>NC_000019.10:51615874-52240874 GCF_000001405.40 Homo sapiens
CAAGAGATTCCCCTGCCTCAGCCTCCCGAGTAGCTGGGATTACAGGCATGTGCCACCACACCTGGCTAATTTTGTATTTTTAGTAGAGACGGAGTTTCTCCATGTTGGTTGGGCTGGCCTCAAACTCCCGACCTCAGGTGATCTGCCCACCTCGGCCTCCCAAAGTGCTGGGATTATAGGCGTGAGCCACCGTGCCCGGCGTCCCTGTCATTTCTTTGGCTCAGTAAGCCTGACACAGGCCAGCATCTGCCCTTCCCTCATTCAAGAAACACTGCCAGAGTAGCCAATAACCCCAGGGGAATGTGAGCTCACAGCTCAGAAGGCTGGGCACCTTTGAAGAAAAGCAAACCAACAGAACCTGATAGACCACTAGAAGCACAAGTACTAGGACGCTTTGGTCAAGAAGCTAAACTGAGCATATTACATGCACTAAAAAGATGTGGCAATATTAGCAGCATGAAAACAAGCATAAGAAACTTTGTCAATAACAAAGTGTGCATGCAAAATGAATGTGAAACATAATAAGGAATTATGTAATTGTGTACTTGATGCAAAAAGGGCCATGTGGAAATATCTGAAAAATATCATAGGAAGAGCCCAATGGATGGGATGGAGAATAGAATGACTATAATTGAGGGCAAATTAGTGAGCTAGAAGGGCCGTCAGAAGTATCCCCTAAAAGGAAGTAGGGAAGGATGAAGACTAGAACATATGAGAAAAAGGTTAAGATAGATGGAAGATAGAAATAGAAAACTGGCCAGGCGTGGTGGCTCATGCCTGTAATCCTAGCACTTTGGAAGGCCAAGGCAGGCAGATCACTTGAGGTCAGGAGTTCAAGATCAGCTTGGCCGACATGGCAAAATCCTGTCTCTAAAAAAATACAAAAATTAGCCAGGCGTGATGATGTGCACCTGTAATCCCAGCTACTCGGGAGGCTGAGGCACAAGATTCACTTGAACCCAGGAGGCAGAGATTGCAGTGAGCCGAGATTGTGCCACTGCACTCCAGCCTGGGCAACAGAGTGAGACTGTCAAAAAAAAAAAACAAAAAAAAAAAACACTTGAACATTTAGATAATAATAGTTTTCAAATAAGATAAAAAAGAAATAGGCCGGGTGTGGTGGCTCATGCCAGTACTTTGGGAGGCCGAGGCTGGCGGATCACAAGGTCAGGAGATCAAGACCATCCTGGCTAAGACGGTGAAACCCCGTCTCTACTAAAAATACAAAAAATTAGCCGGGCATGGTGGCGGGCGCCTGTAGTCCCAACTACTCGGAGGGCTGAGGCAGGAGAATGGCGTGAACCCGGGAGGCGGAGCTTGCAGTGAGAGGAGATCGCGCCACTGCACTCCAGCCTGGGCGACAGAGCAAGACTCCACCTTAAAAAAAAAAAAAAAGTAGAAAAGGAAAAATATTTGAAAAAAATAGTGGAAACAAAATTTCCAGAGTTAAAGAAGATGAAACACCTCAGCTGAAAGGGCCCCACGAGTGCAAGAAAAAAGATGCAGGGAATCCCATGCCTAGACACAGGACAGTGGATCTTAAGAATATCAGAACCAAAGAGAAAATTATAAAAGTTTCCAGGGAAAATGAGTGGATTACCTACAAATATGTGAGATTAAGAATGACGTAAGATGTCTTAACAGCAATACTAAATGCAAGAAACAGTGGGGTGGAGTTTAAAGCACCAAAGGAAAATCACTTTAATTTTAGAATGTATATCCTGCCAAATAAAATTAAAATGTAAGGGGATAAAATATATTTCCAGGCATATAAGTCTTCAGAAGCCTTGAGGAACCCAAACTGAAAACCCACTGGGGGGAAGAATTCAAATAAAAAGAGAGAAAGAGAAAGAAGAACAGAAAATCTGTGATAAGTATGGAATAGAAAGGTGACAAAATACCTCAACAAAATGTGTAGCTGTATATTTTTTAAAAAATCAAATAATAGAAAAATGCTAAGTATGTTCATAATAACACAGAACAAAAACTGCACATTTGTAGAAAATATCAACATTGTAAAGAGTTGAAGGAAGAGAGGCCAAGAGATATAAAAGCGCACCAAAATTCTTTTTGTTAGATGTAAGACAGAGATATTAATTTTTTTTTGAGGCGAGAGTCTTGCTATGTTGCTCATACTAGATTCAAAGTCCTGGGCTCAAGCGATGCTCCTACCTCACCCTCCCAAGTAGCTGGAATTACAGGTATGCATCACTGTGCCCGGCAAGATATTAAGCTTCTAAGTAAGAAAGGAGAAAAATGAAATATTGAAAAAGTGGGACTAAGTGAAAGTAAAAGGTAAAATAGTAGAAAGAAATCCACATATGTCAGTAACCATAATAAATACCAGCAGAGTAAACTCAACAAGGGATGTCAAATTGGATTTTTTAAAACCTGGTTATATACTGTTTACAAAAATCACTGGTAGAGCATAAATACATAAAATGTTGGGAGGATGGGAGAAAATGAAAAAGTATCAGGCATCTAACTAATCAATAAGAAACTAGAGTAGCTATATTAAGATCCACATGCCGCTTCATTCCAGCCCGCATGAGTGAGTGAGACCCTGCCTAAAAAAAAAAAAAAAAAAAAAAAAACATCCAGTCGAACAGACTTTAAAGCAAAAAGCATCATTATGAGCCGGGCACAGTGGCTCACACCTGTAATCCCAGCACTTTGGGAGGACGAGGTGGGCAGATCACTTGAGCCCAGGAGTTCAAGACCAGCCCGGTCAACATGATAAAACCCTGTCTCCACTAAAAATACAAAAATTACCTGGGCATGGTGGCGGGCACCTGTAATCCCAGCTACTCAGGAGGCTGAAGCAGGAGAATTGCTTGAACCCAGGAGGTGGAAGTTGCAGTGAGCCGAGATCGTGCCACTGCACTGCCGCCTGGGTGACAGAGTGAGACTCTGTCTCCAAAAAAAAAAAAAAAAAAAAAAAAGCACCACTATGAAGAGAAAGAATTACTATGTTTGATAAAATGTTCAGTTCACTGAGAAGATATAATGCTTTTCTAAAATATATGGTTTTAATTTAAAAGTACATCAAATATAAGAAACACAATTGTTAGAATTACAGTAAGAAATTGACAAATACATTATCATAATGTAAGATTTCAACACACCTCTCTCAAGTATTGACATGTTGGGAAGATCTGTTGACATCTGAAGATTTGGATTTGAACATTACAATTAACACACTGGACTGTTAATTTAAGAAATAAAAAATATACATTGTTGCCCAGGCTGGAGTGCAGTGGCACGATCTTGGCTCACTGCAACCTCCACCTCCTGGGTTCATACGATTCTCCTGCCTCAGCCTCCTGAGTAGCTGGGACTACAGGTGCCTGCCACCATCCAGCATGCCCAGGTAATTTTTATATTTTTAGTAGAGACGGGGTTTCACCATATTGGCCAGGCTGGTCTTGAACTCCTGACCTTGTGATCTGCCCACCTCGGCCTCCCAAAGTGCTGGGATTACAGGTATGAGCCACCGCACCCGGCTAAAAACATACATTATTCTTAAGCACACAGGGAAACATTTACAAAAATTCATTGTATACAGGCCACAGATCAAGTCTCAACAAATTTTAAAAGTAGATATCATAAAACCATGTATTCTGACCAAAAAGCATCTACTTAGAATTTAATTATGAAAGATGTTTAAAATCTTCATACCTTTGGAATTTTTAATCCCAAATAATTTAAGATTCAAAGAAGAAATCACAATGTTGTTTTAACAATATCCACAACTGAATGTTATTCAAATAATACATATCAAAATTTGTGCAATGGGATGAAAATGAAATTCTGAGAGAAATTTATCCCTAACTACGTTTTATAGAGAATGAAAATATAGACACTAAGAAGCTAAGTATCCAGCTTAAAAATTTATCAAAGATCATCAGAATAAACCAAAACAAGTAGAAGGAAGGTGCTGAGAAAATGAGAGTAAAAATCAATAAAACAGAAAACAAAGATACAGTGAGAAAATTCTACAATCCCAAAAGTTGGTTCCTTGAAACTGATAATAAAATAGGGAAAGCAATTAACAAGATTTAGCTAGAAAAAAAGAAAGAAGTCACAAATAACCAATGTCAGGAATATTTCTAAAAGGGGAAGTAATCTCGACAAAAACAAATAATATAAAGACAAAAGAATGCCACCCATATCCTTTTGTCAAAATATATATATATATATAACTTAGGTGAAAGGAACACGTCCCTAGAATAAAGCTCGCTGAAGAATACATAAAATGATTAAATTAGGAAAATTGCACATAGTGACGCCACCAGGCCCAGGTAGTTTGATAAGTGACATCTATCAATCATTCAGGAAACAAGTCATTTCAGTTTTATACACACTCTTCCAGACAGTAGAAAAAGAGAGACTAGTCCCCAATTTCTCAATCTTATCTTGATACCCAAACAGAAGAAACAGGAGGAAAAAGGAAAATGACAAGTGTATTTGACCATGCATATAGACGCAAAAGTGCTGAGCAAAAGATGATCAAACAACCTACTGGAGTATTAAAAAAATGCTATGAATAATATGGTTTTCTCCCAGGAATGCAGGAGTAGTTTCATACCAGAAAAATCTTTAATTGTCATTCCCCATGGTAACAGATTAAGTAGGAAAAAATCCTATCAGTAGATGCATTCAAAAAATACAACAGAAGTTTAGGATAAAAACTTATTTAGTGATAGAAAGGAACTTCCTTAACCTGATGAAAGTTCACAGAACCAAGTGGCAGGATATTGGGTGCATTTCCTTCAAAATCAGCAGTAGCAAAAGATGCCCATGGTCACTATGTCTACTCAACTTTGACCATAATCTCACCCAGCATATTGAAACAAGAAAAAGGAAAGAAGTGCTTAGGACAAAGGGAAGAAATAAACTGTTATTATTTTGCAGATGATATAATCATCTAATTTGAAATCCCAAAACATTCTAAATAATACCCAAGATCAATGTGTGATTTTTTTTCTTTTTGTAGAGATGGAGGGCTCACTGTGTTATCCCCTGGCCTTGAACTCCTGGCCTCAAGAGATCCTCCTGCCTCAGCCTCCCAAAGTTCTGGGATTACAGGCATGAGCCACCAAACCTGGCCTAATTTGTGATTTTGTTTTAATTGAAAAAAATTTATTTAAAATACTTCAATTTCTATATACTAGTTATTTGAACTAATAAGGGAGCTTGGCAAGTTGGAAGGAAATGAAATCAATTAAAAATGAGTTTTACTTGCTGCATTTACTGAGAGAATTATGACAATTCTCTAAATCCAGAGAGCTGACATCCCAGAGGAGATGGGTGTCACTATGAAGAGATGCACAGTTATAGTGAATCCCCTCAAGGAACCCAGCTGAGAAATTCAACCCCATCAATATAGGAAAGAAAAAGGAGAAGTTCTGTGTTGCCAAATGGTGGGGAAATGAAAGGTAACTGGCTATTCTTCAAACCATCCATAGTCACAAACTGCCCACAGTCTGAGGTGTTACACAGACTTCCGTTGCCAGATGAGGTTAGGTTTGCGTGTCCTCACTTCCTCAAAAAAAGTGATTATTCAGGACAGTGGGTCATTTGTTGAAATCTGACATCTGTTAGAAGAGAAATACATCTGCAGAGTATACATGAGGACAGGCATTTCTTGCTCAGTACCTGAAGCCCAAAAGGATGAGTTGATTCTTTAAGAAAATAGCATTACACTTGCATCAAACCCAGCTGCTTTGATTCAGCAAGCCATGACAGTTAAAAATAGGAATATCACTAATTTTTCAGATGGTATCTATATTTCTGAAAAAGAAGAGATCAGCAGGCTTATAAATAAGATCTAAGAATTCTCCAGCTACCAAAGCAAGAAGATGCTAAAGGACACATGCAAGACCAACTTGTGATTTTTTTTAATTACAAAAAAAAACCCTCTTATATTTTTTAAATACTTTCATTCTGCATTCTGATAAGGAATCAGAAAATGCACTTTTAAAAAGATAGCATTTACAATAGCAACAAAAACTGGTATTTAGGAAGAAAAATAACAAAAGATGTGTAAGACCTGTGTGAAGAAACTCTACATTATCTCTTTAAAACACTTAAAAATATTTAAAGGAATAGAGAGAGAAAGACCTACTGTCATGGATAAGAAGGCATGAATTTCTAAACAAGTAAATTTTTTCCACATTGAGCTATAGATTCAATGTATTTTTTGGAATTTGACAACCTGATTCTTTTTTGTTTTGTTTTGTTTTGCTTTTTTGTTTTTTGTTTTGTTTTGTTTTGAGACGGAGTCGTGTTCTGTCACCCAGGCTGGAGTGCACTGGCGCGATCTCCGCTCACTGCAAGCTCTGCCTCCCAGGTTCACGCCATTCTCCTGCCTCAGCCTCCCGAGTAGCTGGGACTACAGGTGCCCACCACCACGCCTGGCTAATTTTTTTTTTTTTTGTATTTTTAGTAAAGACGGGGTTTCACCGTGTGAGCCAGGATGGTCTCGATCTCCTGACCTCGTGATCCACCCACCTCGGCCTCCCAAAGTGCTGGGATTACAGGCGTGAGCCACCGCGCCCGGCCTTGACAACCTGATTCTAACATTAAAGTGAAAAAAAAAAAGGACCAAGAATGGTCAAGATACTATTGAAGGAGATTAAGGAAGAGGTTTTGCTGTACTCTATATCAGGACTTATTTTTGAATTTATAGACAGTGATGACTCAGGGACAGTAAAATTGACTATTGGAGTAGAATAGAGACCACAGAAAGAGACCGACAAATATATAGAATTTTAATACATGGCAGAATTGGCATGTTGCTCAATGGAGAAGGGAGAAGGACTATTCAGAAATGAAGGAGAAACATATATGGATCAACACTATACACCATACACAAAAGTCAACCCCAGACAGAGTGAGTACTTAAATGTCAAAAGAAAAGCATACTCTCTATGTCCATCAGTTCAATTTTTTTTTATTCTTAGATCCCACAAATATGTGAGAACATGCAATGTTTGTCTTTCTGTGCCTGCCTTATTTCACTTAACATAATGATCTCCAGTTCCATCCATGTTGTTGCAAATGACTGGATCTCATTCTTTTTTATGGCTGAATAGTACTCCATTGTGTATATGCACAACATTTTCTTTATCCATTCATCTATTGATGGACACTTAGGTTGCTTCTGGATTGTTTGCAACTCAACGGATCAATGCTTGAGGGGCTGGGTACCCAATTCTTCATGAAGTGTTTATTTCACACTGCATGCCTCTATTGAAACAGTTCATGTACCCCATAAATATATACATCTAATATGTACCCACAAAATTAAAAATAAAAGCATAAAACTTTTAGTAGAAACTATATTTGAATATCTTTCTAATCTTAGGATGGGTGAAATTTTTTTTAATGAGATCCAAAAGGTACTCAATAGAAAAGAGAGGATTTGTGAATATGATTATATTACAACTAGGAACTTATGTTCATTGAAGATCACTTTAAGAAGTGAAGACAAGCTACGCATTGGGAGAAGATATTTATATTTACAACACATACAATGAGAAAAATAGTGTAAAAATGTATAAAGCCCTCCAACAAATTCATTAAGAAAAAGTCAAACACCCAATAGGAAAATGGGATCCAGATGTGACCAGGTGTTTTATAGAAGATGAAAGCAGAGAGAGATTTTTCATCTTCACTGGTAACCGAGGAAATGCAAATCAATACCATAGTGAGATAGTAAAATAGCCTCCAAAACTGAGAAAAGCAAGTTGGAGAGATTACAGAACAACAAGATTTCCTAGGCATAGATGAGAGTATAAATGGATATAATTGCTTTGGAAAGCCATTTTTCATGACCTTGTAAAGATGCCCATTCACATGCCCAGCGATGCGGCAACTCAATCTTTAGGTGATGCTAAAGGAAAGCTCGTGTGTGTTAGTACGGTGAGACAAGGATAAGAATGTTCAGAACGGCTCAAATGGAAACAACTCAAGTGTGCATCAATATGAGCTTAGGTGATAGACACAATCATAAAATATAATATTATAAGCCGTCACACCTATAATCCCAGCACTTTGGGAGGTCAAGGTGGGTGGATCAAGACCAGACTGGCCAACATGGTGAAACCCCATCGCTACTAAAAATGCAAAAATGAGCCTTGCGTGGTGGTACATGCCTGTAATCCCAGCTACTCAGGAAGCTGAGGCAGGAGAGTTGCTTGAACCCGGGAGGTGGAGGTTGCAATGAGCCGAGATCGCACCACTGCACTCCAACCTGGGCAATGGAGTCAGACCCTGTCTCAAAAAATATATATATTATAAGCAGGAAAAATGAATACAACTGCAACTTTATACAACATGAATGAATCATAATACAATGTTGAGTCTACAAAGCAAGTCCAAGAAGTGTGCGTGGAACATGATACCCTCTGTAGATTCATAAACAATTAAAACTAAATAGTGGCATAAGCCTACATATATGTGACAACACTAGGAAGACAAGATTCACAACAGTGGTTACTGGGAATGGATCAGGGAGCAACACAGGTGGATACAAGTTATCACCAATGTGTTAGGTCTTAGGTTGGATGGTGGGTTTGCAGTTATTTATCATATTATGAACCAAAGTGAAAAAGTAAAAGTAAATGATGCTTGTTCCAGTCATGACAGCTTGGTCATGAACTAAGCATTTTGGACAATTCGTTCGGGGCAACACTAGATCAATTTTATAAAAGAGGAGAGGAGACACGCTGGACAGAAACAGCAGGAGAGAAAACTGCAGGGGCTAAAGAAGCCCCAGCCCCTGTCCTTCAAGAATTCCACAGATATTGGCCGCACGCGGTGGCTCACACCTGTAATCCCAGCACTTTGGGAGGCTGAGGCAGGCAGATCACCTGAGGTCAGGAGTTCGAGACCACCCTGGCCAACATGGTGAAACCCCGTCTCTACTAAAAATACAAAAATTAGCCAGGTGGTGCATGCCTGTAATCCCAGCTACTTGGGAGGCTGAGGCAGGAGAATTGCTTGAGCCTGGGAGGCAGAGGTTGCAGTGAGCCGAGGTTGCGCCAGTGCACTCCAGCCTGGGTGACAGAGCAGGACTCCGTCTCCAAAAAAATAAAAATAAAAAAGAATTCTACAGATATGATGAGTGGGTGGAGACAGGTAAAGGCAGTGGTGATGTGTGATGGGGACGGGGATGCATGTAGGGCTGTAAACACAGAAGAGAAGGGGCAGATATCAACAGGAGGGGAAATGACTAGAGTAGCAGATACTGAGATTAGAGCTGGAAGGATTAGATGAGGTAGTCTGGTGGAAACAGGGAAGGAAAGGTGGAAGAAACTATACTTGCAAGGGCTCAAAGTTGTAGGACAGCAGGTCCGTATGGAGACAGAAGGCCAGCGTGGCCAGGCCACGGGGCAGGATCAGAGGACAGAAACAGGCTGAAGTGGCCACCTGGTGTGGGGCAAGGAACATGGGCCTGATTCTCTAAGCAACAGGAACAAACAACAACAACATTGAAACTCCAGGCTGCCTGGGAAGTAATAGTTTTGGGGCGATGATTCTGGCAGCCTGAAGTTTGGAATGAGAGATGGAGGCAGGGAGGAAGTGAGGCAGGCTCTGTGGTCAGTAGAGGTGGGGAGGGAAGATGAGCAAAGGACAAGTTAGTTTTACTTTTAGAAAGAAGGTTGGTGGCCGGGCGCGGTGGCTTACGCCTGTAATCCCAGCACTTTGGGAGGCCGAGGCGGGCGGATCACCTGAGGTCAGGAGTTCAAGAACTGCCTGCCTAACATGGCAAAATCCCGTCTCTACTAAAAATACAAAAATTAGCCGGGCATGGTGGTGTGCGCCTGTAATCCCAGCTACTTGGGAGGCTGAGGCAGGAGAATCGCTTGAACCTGGGAGGTGGAGTTTGCAGTGAGCCAAGATCGCACCATTGCACTCCAGCCTGGGTAACAAGAGTGAAACTCCATCTCAAAAACAAACAAACAAACAAACAAAACAAAGAAGGTTGAATGGGACATAATGATTTCCTGGCTCTGGGATATGAAGGGGGAGAACAGGAGAGAAGAGAACTCCCAGGTGATGAGGGAGGAGTGGGTTTGGTGGAATGCTGAAGAGCTCAGCCTGGACTTTCCGAGTGGACATGCACATGAGAAGATCCCCAAACCACTCACCGAGGTGATGGTACCCATAATGGGGTCTTCATCATCCATTTTCTCTGGTCTCCCAGCTGCTTGCTTCCTGCGGGCTTTCACTCTAAGGAAAGAAACCAGCACAGTGCAGCTGGGACCACCCAGGCACGGGTTAGCGGGTTGTCCCATCCCATGCTAAGATGGTGAAAATGACAATGAAGCCATCCAGGCCCCGGAACTAAACTCGGAGACCTTCCTGACTTCGGAGTGAGGGCTCCATCCTCCTGGATAACCAGGGATTTGGTCAGGGTGGCCATGGACTGAATTTCCATCATATAGACCCCCTCTTACACACAAAACCATGGCAGGAATGGTCATAGCAGTGTTATGCATCATAGCCAAGAAGCAGAGGCAACCCAAGTACCCGTCAACAGCTGAACCCACAAATCAAATGCGTTCCATTTATATAATGGAATATTATTTGAAAACAAAAAGGAATGAAGTATCGATGCATGCTACAACATAGATGAATCTTGAAAACATTAGGCCGAGTGAAAGAAGCCAGCCACAAAGGACCACATATCGCGTGATTCCATTCACACAAAGTACAACTGCAACTTCAGGACAGACAAATCCACAGAGACATGGAATAGGTTAGGGCTGGGGGAAAGAAGCAGGAGTGATAGCTAAGGGGTGCAAGGTTTCTTTATGTCTTCGTTTTTCACTTTAGGCTGATGAAAATGTTCTAAAATTGATTTTGGTGACAGATGCATAACTCTGTCAATATACTTAAAGCCATTGACTCGTACACTTTCAGTGGATGAATTGTACAAAACATGTATCTCAATAAAGCTATTAGAAAAGAAAAAAAGAAAGAAGACCTCTCTGGATCTACTCAGTTCTGCTTTTTGTTTTGTTTTGTTTTTCTTTTAAGACAGGGTCTCTCACTCTGAGGCCCAGGATGGAGTGCATTGGCACAATCCTGGCTCACTGCAGCCTCAACCTCCATGATCAAGTGATCCTCCTGCCTCAGACTCCTGAGCATCTGGAACCACAAGCACACATCACCACCTCTGGCCTTAGCTCTGTGTTTCTGAGATTCAGTCTCTCCTACTCCCTACAAACACCACCCTGTACCTTCCCTGGGACCAAGACTTACATTAAAAAGAAGATGAGGCACAGACAGATACAGAGCAGGGCCATGACACCAGCACCACCAAGGGCTGCAGGAACCACTCCTGTCCCGAGGTTCGATCTCCCTGCAGAAAAGAGGGGCGTGCAATAACTCACTCCCAGGACTCAGACTCTTGTCCTCCCACCTGCTGGGCAACTTGCTCCAGGGCCCTGCTCAGACAGGAGATGAAGAACCCTGTCTCCCCACCACCAGTCCAGCCTCTCTCTCCCACCATCCATCACTCTGGGATCCATGCCCCTCCCCTCAGGCCCCTGCCCTCTGCAATACGCCCCCTGACCTTGCAGCAGCAGGACAGAGCCGCTCTGGGACCCATAGATGTTCCAGGCCTTGCAGCTGACTTTGAGGTCGGAGCTGAGCCCCCCGTGGAGGATCAGGGAGCTGTTGGCCCAGGGCCCAGCTGAGCTGGAGTTGACCTTGAATGAGCCCTGGCTGCTGTTCCCCTCCAGCGGCTTCTCCTCAAGCCGCCAGCACAGGGAGGGGGCCGGCCGGGCTCGAAAGGAGCATCTGCAGTGCAGACCCTCAGCCTCCCAGGAGCAGGAGGGGCCCAGCAACTGTGGGAGGGCTGTGGGGAGGGAGGACAGAACTCAGCAGGGGGCCTCTTCCTTCTTTAATACCATGCAGTTCCTGCTCCAGCTGCCCCCACACTCACAGTAAACTGAGAGATTCAGAAAAATTTGCAGGAAGCCCAGCGGGTGCTGAGCGCGGCAGGTGAAGCCTCCTTCTTCTGCAGACCTTACTCGACGAAGCTCCAAGATCCCGGTATTGGAGATGGGGGTGGCGTTCAGGGCAGGGGAGCCCTGGAACCAGCTCAGGTGTGCAGGGGGGTTGCTGGGAGCATCACAGAGCAGCCGCAGAGCCTGGCCCTCCAGGACCGGAAGGTATGAGGTGTTTTGCAGGATCTCTAGGGCTTTGGGGAGAGAAGGGTGGGGAAAGAGAGATGGGGCCAGGGAGGCTGACAGTCCCTATCCTTCCCTCCTTCCCAGGATCCAGATGACATCTCCCTCTCCTCCCCTGGCCTATGCTGGCTTGATTGCATCCTGGTTCAAAGGCTGGGCCTTTGCACACTCAGGAAACTGACCAAAAGTGTCTGAGTCTCATGTCTCCAGAGGAGGCTCAATATCTCACTGGTACATGCCTGGACTGTGGTGGAGAGAGGACAGAGAGCCCCCGGTGGCGTTGGGAAATACAGTCCGCTAATGTGACAGGAAATAAGACTGAGGATGCAGGAGTGGAAGGGTGAGAGAAGAACCACAGAGCTGGGCTGACTGAGATGAGAGGGGCATGGAGTGGTCCTTAGTGACTGTGGAAAGAACCAGACCACAGGAGGGATGGGAGATGGGTGGGGTCTAAAGTCTGTTCACTGCTTTGAGCAGAGTGCATGAGTGTGCACCTGTGTGCGTGTGTGTGTGCGTGTGCGGGTGTACGTACATGTGTGCGTGTGTGGGTGTATCTGCATATGTGTGTGTGGTGTATGTGCATGTGTGCGTGTGTATGTGCATGTGCCTGTGTGGTGTATGTGTGTGTGTGCATATGTGTGTGGTGTGTGTGCATGTGTGCCTGTGTGCATGTGTGTGTGTATGTGCGTGTGTGTGTGGTGTATTGCATGTGTATGTGTGTGGTGTATATGCATGTGTGTGTGTGCGTGTGTGTGTGCGTGTGTGCATGTGTGCGTGTGTATGTGCGTGTGTGCATATGTGCCTGCACATGGGGCTCACAGAAGGTGGAAGCCAGAAGGCAGTAATTCTCATTCTTGCTCTTCCCAAATCTGATTGCATTCAAGCTCTGATTCTCTACCTCTGCTCAGAGACAGACCCAGAGGCAGGTCCCAGCTTCAGAGAGGAGGTCTTTCCTACCTATGCCGTTCCTGAAGATGGTGATGGTCTGTGGAGCATCTGGGATAAAAAGATATAAACTTGGCTTCAGCAGTGAGGAGTGAGATGGGCATGGGCCCAGGAGGTACCCAAAGAGGAGCCACAGAAACCCACCAAGCGGGGAAGGCTGTCCTGTCTCACTCCCCGCAGATCCCAAGGCTTAGATCCACACACAAGGTTTCTCAAGTTATTGTTTTGTTTCTCTCTGTCTTCCTTACACACACACACACACACACACACACACACACACCCCTCACTCCCACTGCCCTTGAGGACTCAGCTGTGTCCCCAGCACCACTCACAGGAGACATTGAGCTGGACAGTTCTCTCCGTGGTCACCTGAGCTCCTTGGCGTTTCATCTGACAGGTGAGGTTGGTGCCATGGTCCTCGGGCCTGGGGGTGAGGGTGAGCTCCGAGGAGCGGGTGGTCTCGGGGTCCAGGGGGCTGAGGGCATTCCCCGTCCAGGAGAATGTGAGAGGTGGTCCCGCTTCACAGGATCCTGGAAGGCTGCAGCTCAGCCTTGTGGGGCGGCCGGACTCCAGAGGCTCCAGAAAGTGGATGTCGGGTTTCTCTATCAGGGCTGAGGAGGAGACAGGGAGATACCTGGGCCCCAGGGGCTTGAGGACGTAAGGTGTGACCCCGAGAGTGGCCAGGCCTCAGGCCCCGACCTGCCCCAAGTCCTACACCTCCTCCAGCCGCCCCTGCCCAACTCCTGTCCCTGTTCTCATACGGGGGTCTCCACGTCCCAGGGTCCTCTCCTGGGGTCCCTGCCATACCTGTCACCTCCAAGTTCAGCTTATTCTGTTGGTAGCTATATTTTACATCCCTTCCTCTCTCCACGCGGAAGAAATAGCTTCCCGTGTCCTCCATTCTGGCATCTCCGATGCTCAGGGAGCAGTTCTTCTTCTGGACATCCCCAAGGAGGCGGAATCGGCCCTGGGTCTCTGGCTTCACTCTTCTGTCTGGGTTGTTTGTGGCCACAACCTCAGCGTAGTATGGGATCTCCCCGTCCCGGAACCAGTAGACGTAGAGTGGGGGAGAGGAATACCAGGATCTCCAGGGGTAAGAGAAGGAGCAGGGCACAAGGACGCACAGGCCCTCCTGCACCGTCACCGACTTCTGCACTTGCAGCTCGTACACTGGCTTCTCCTGCAGGGACCCTGGGGGGACACAGAAGCTCAGCTGCAGCTCCAGCCCCCCTTCTCACCCCTGTGCCTGTCCCTCCTCCCTCAGCTCACTCACCCCCCCACAGCAGGGGCAGCAGCAGCAGGGGCAGCATGTCTCCATCCGCCAGGGCCCCAGCCCAGTCCCAGGTCCGGCTGTCAGGGAAGGAAATGCTCCAAATGTCCAAACGTGGGGTGGGGCTGAGAAAGCCCCGACAGGAAGCCGGAGGGTGAGTGAGAGCTGTGGACGCGCACAGAAGGGGAACTTGGGCATCACGTGCTGTTGGGGTGAGGCGGGGGCTGGGAAGCCATTCTGCTCCCACCCCGACTGGACGCCGCAGGTGAAGATACTGAGGCCCCCAGACGATGTGAGGCTTGTCCAGCTGAGGATCTGGAGGTGATCACCCCTCAAATGATGTTTCAGTCATGAGTGAGATCCTCAGGGGGCTGAATGCAGAAAGAAAAGAGAAACAAGGGCTTGTCCTGGTGATGAGGTGAGATGTCAGAACCACCCTCCACCTAAAAACCATGAAACATTCTGGAAATACATAATTTTAAATTTGATTTTAAATGTTCAAAGTGACCAGGCATGGTAGCTCATGCCTGTAATCCCAGCACTTCGGGAGGCTGAGGTGGGAGGGTTGTTTGAGCCCAGGAGTCTGAGACCAGCCTGGGCAACATAGCAAGTCACCATCTCTACAAAAAATAAAAACTATTAGCTGGTGTGGTGGCACACCTATAGTCTCAGCTCCTCCGGGGCACTGAAATAGGAGAATTCCTTGAGCCCAGGAGTTTGAGGTTGCTGTGAGCCGTGATCGCACTACGGCATTCCAGCCTGGGCAACAGAGTGAAACCCTGCCTTAAAAAAAAAAAAAAAAAAGTTCAAAAGGGCTGAAAAAAAATTTTTTTGACCCAAATTTCGTGGAGGGTCAGAGCATGAGAGAGCTGAAGCACTCTTATGTTAAGAAGATTCTTGGGACACAGCACAGTCCACTTTGGGTCTTGATGGACCTGAGGGTCTTGTGGGACGGCAGTGAAACACAAGCCCTGCTAAAGCCTCATCCTATTAAGGAGCTACAGAAGCAAATTTGCCACTGTGAGGCTGATGAAGCTCAATCTTCAATGCCCTCCCTTGCAGGATCCACTTTTCAGATGCCCAGGAGGGGCCCACGCAATGTGTGGAAATAACCTGCCTTGTTACTGCTCTTTTATGAAAGAAATTTCATAATAGTTTCCCAAAATTTAACAATATATTAAAAATTTTTCACATTCCGATTAATGTGTTGTGAGAATAAAGACAGTTTCTTAAACTATCAATGATCAAAACAAACGTCAACCACCCATGCCAGAAGAAATACCGACTTCTCTTTCTATTCTATCTATAAAAATTGTATTATAAAATTATTCTCCAATATTGGCCGGGTACAGTGGCTCACATCTGTAATCCCAAGCACTTTGGGAGGAGGAGGCGGGTGGACCACCTGAGATCAGGAGTTCGAGACCAGCCTGGCCAACATGGAGAAACCTCCTCTCTACTAAAAGTACAAAAATTTAGCCAGGCATAGTGGCGCACACCTATAGTCCCAGCTACTCCAGAGGCTGAGGCAGGAGAATCACTTGAACCCAGGAGGCAGAGGTTGCAGTGAGCCAAGATCACGGTACTGCACTCCAGCCTGGGTGACCAAGTGAGACTCTGTCTCAAAAAGAAAAAAATTATCACCATTATGAAGGCAATCAAAGAAAATCAGTCAAAAATATAGGGAAAAAGTATGCAGGTGTAGCAGACAGGTAGACTATACTATTAACAAACATAGTATGCCATTTTTCTGAGTTGTCTCATATTTTGACATTTTAGATTTTGTGATTTGATGTGTTTTCTCAGTCCAAAAATCATCCTATGTGTGCCAAATTTTGTATTTTTGTATTTTTTTTTCTAAAGAGTCACAAAGACTCTCTTCTTAACCAAACTTATGAAAGCTCCTCTGAACCCTTTTTTCAACTAGGCTTTGTCCTTGGGACTGCCTTGTCCAGCTGTAGCAAGAATCCTGCTAAGTTGGTTTTGCAAGACTCTTGATATCTGATCGCCTTCACTATCTGATCAAATTCCCTAGCCCTCACCCTTGGTATCTGATCATGCTGGCCTGCTTTCAGCAAGAATCCTGTTAAGTCAGTTTAGAAAGAATCCCGGTATCTTCAGTGTCTCCTCTTAGTAGTTTTCCGTCCACTAACACACACGGCCAGCCTCCCTCACCTGCTGCACTATGCTTCTTGCCCATAAACCCCCCTGGTCTTTGCTGTATTCCGAGTTGAGCCTGACCTATCTCCATTATTGCACTAGTCTTTTTTTTTTTTTAATTGACTTCTGTTTTTTTCTTCTGAGACGGGGTCTCACTGTGTTGTCCCAGCTGGAGTACAGTGGTGCAACCTTAGCTCACTGCAACCTCCCCCTCCCAGGTACAAGCGATTCTCCTATCTCAGCTTCCTGAGTAGCTGGGAGTACAGGTGCATGCCACCATGCCCAGCTTATTTTTGTATTTTTAGTAAAGATGGGGGTTTCACCATGTTGGCCAGGCTGGTCTCGAATGCCTGACCTCAGGTCATTTCCCTGCCTTGCCTCCCAAAGTGTTGGGATTACAGGCATGAGCCACTGTGCCTGGCCTGCACTAGTCTTGATACCTGTCTCAGTCATCCTGAATAGTCAATGTTAACAGGTGTCAGAATAATTTTTTCTTTTTTCTTTTTCTTATTGCAAATTCTGAACTTTATTCCTCATTTGAACTGTGAAAGTAATTCATCATACCGGCTAGTAGGATCTAAAGATAAAGACTTGATTATGTAGGAAAATGGTATTTTTATCTTTATATTAAAATCTTAATATTAAATTCCCTCTCCTAAAATACATAGTATGGCTTCTGTTTTCACATCAGCCTTAACTAATTAAATCTCAAGAGATGAATAAGTGAGCATTGGGTGATTTCAAATCCCTTTATGATATAATTCATAGCCAACTAGAAATTCTCTTTAGAGAATTTCCCAAACAAGATAAAGGGTGTCTTCAGCAAACATCATATACCTAATGAAGTAGCTTCAGGTCCTAGCATAATAAGGCAATAAAAATAAGCAAAAGGTACAGCAATTACAATGAAATTTTAACAGAGGTCTTTATCAATGACATGACTGCACATATAGAAAAATCCAGGCTAAGCGTGGTAGCTCACGCCTGTAATCCCAGCACTTTGGGAGGCTGAGGCAGGCGGATCACGAGGTCAGGAGATCAAGACCATCCTGGCTAACATGGTGAAACCCCATCTCTACTAAAAATACAAAAAATTAGCCGGGCGTGGTGGTGGGCGCCTGTAGTCCCAGCTACTCGGGAGGCTGAGGCAGGAGAATGGTGTGAACCTGGGAGGTGGAGCTTGCAGTGAGTGGAGATCACACCACTGCACTCCAGCCTGGGCGACAGAGCGACACTCCATCTCAAAAAAAAAAAAAGAAAAATCCAAAAGTATATACGGATACATTTGAAGCCTTAATAAAATATTTGCAAGACAGCCAGAGATTAATCAAATTACAAAATCAGTTGTCTTTCCACATCACAGTAATAAAAATGGAATTTTATAAAAATGCCATTGACAAAAGCTTCAAAAATTATGATATAATTTATCAATATCAAAAAATATGATATAATTTTTGAATATATGGAATATATCTAACTATTAGAGATGTATCTAACAAAAATATGTATATGTCACCTCTATGGAGGAAATTATAAATCTGTATTCAAGGACATTAAAGATGTAAATAGGCTGGGCGCAGTGGCTCACGCCTGTAATGCCAACACTTTGGGAGGCCGAGGCGTGTGGATCACCTGAGGTCAGGAGTTCGAGACCACCCTGGCCAACCTGGTGAAACCCCATCTCTACTAAAAATACAAAAATTAGCTGGGTGTGGTGGCAGGCACCTGTAGTCCCAGCTACTCAGTAGGCCAAGGCAGGAGAATCACTTGAACCTGAGAGATGGAGGTTGCAGTGAGTCGAGATTGCACTATTGCACTCCAGCCTGGGCGACAGACCAAGACTCCGTCTCAAGAAAATAAATAAATAAAAAATAAATAAATCAAGATGTAAATAAACTGAAAAAGAGGCCATGTTGATGAGTTTGAGAACAATATTGTATGAATGCCAATTTTACCCAACAATCTACAGCATCAAAGGAATATGTCATACAATCTCCCGGGTGATTTTTGTGCAATTTGGTAACTCTATTGTAAAATTTATACTGAAGTAGAAATGTTCAAGTATGGTCAAGGCAACCATGAAGAACAATGAATGGCTTTGCAAGATAAAAAGATGTATCATAACATTACAGAAAATATGACCATTTCAGACGGGGCACAGTGGCTCACATCTGTAATCCCCGCACTTTAGGAGGCCGAGGCAGATGGATCACTTAAGGTCAGGAGTTTGAAAGCAGCCTGACCAACATGGTGAAACCCTGTCTCTACTAAAAAATAACAAAAATTAGCTGGGCATCGTGGCATGTGCCTGTAATCTCAGCTGCTCAGGAGGCTGAGGCACAAGAATTGCTTGAACCCAGGAGGTGGAGGTTGCAGTGAGCTAAGATTGTGCCACTGCATTCCACCCAGGGTGACAGAGTGAGACTGTCTCAAATTTTTAAAAATGTGAGAAAATAGGCCCATTTCAATGGTTCACACCTGTAATACCAGCGCTATGGGAGACCGAGGCAGAAGGATTACTTGAGCCCAGGAATTCAAGACCAGCCTGGGCAACATGGTGACACCCCATCTGTACAAAAAACACAAAAATTAGCTGGGCATGGGTGGCTCATGCCTGTAGTCTCAGCTACTTGAGAGGCTGAGGTGGGAGGATCACTTGAGCCCAGGAGGTGGAGGTTGCAGTGAGCCAAGATTGCAGCACTGCACTCCATCCAAGGTGACAAAGTGACACAGTGAGACCTTGTCTGAAAAAAAAAAGTGACAATTATGTATTGACCAAGTGGAACAAAATTGAGTGCCTGGAAATAGACCTCAACCACAGGAAACATCAAGTGTGATAGAGGAAGTGGCAAATAATAAATTTTTCTTTTTATTTATTTTGGGTTTTTATTTATTTAATTTTTTTTGAGACAGTGTCTCTGTCACCTAGGATGGAGTACAATGGTGTGATCAGGGCTCACCACAGTCTCTATTTCTCTGGGCTCAGGCACTCCTCTCATCTCAGCCTCCCAAATAGCTGGGACTACAGGAATGCACCATTATGCTTGGCTAATTTTTTAATTTTTTGTAGAGACAGGTTCTCACTATGTTGCCCAGGCTGGTCTCAAACTTCTGGGCTCAAGCGGTCCTCCCACCTCAACCTCCCAAAGTGTTGGGATTACAGGCATGAGCCACTGGGCCCGGCCAACTTTTCAAAAAATATCTGTGGGCAAAACTTAATGCAATCAAGTTTGCAGTAAGTTTGCAATGAAATTTGACTCCCAGCTCATGCATAAAAGTCAAGTACAGGTAGCTTGAAGGTCTAAATATGACAAAGAAAACAATAGAGCTGTTAGAAAATAATATAGCAGGAAATCGCCATGAATTTGAGGTAGGTAGGATTTCTGAGCAAAACATAAATAACACTATTTATTTATTTGTTTATTTTTATTATTTATTATTATTTTTTTTGAGACAGAGTCGTGCTCTGTCACCCAGGCTGGAGTGCAGTGGCGTGATTTTGGCTCACTGCAACCTCCGCCTCCCAGGTTCAAGCGATTCTCCTGCCTCAGCCTCCGGAGTAGCTGGGACTACAAGCACACCCCACCACGCCCAGCTAATTTTCGAATTTTTAGTAGAGACGGGGTTTTACCATGTTGGTCAGGATGGTCTCGATCTCCTGACCTCATGATCCACCCACCTTGGCCTCCCAAAGTGCTGGGATTACAGGTGTGAGCCACCACGCCCAGCCAATAACACTATTTATAAAGAGAAAGATTGAAAACTTGACCCCTGGCCCAGACACTGAGCTCTACCTCTCTGAGGTCTTGCCTCCACAGGACCTGCACATCCAAAGGTCTTTTCTCCCCAGGACCCTGACATCCTACTCCAGCTCCCATAAGCCATGCTAAGGAGGCTGATTCTCTCCATGTTTCTCTGGCTTCCAAAGGGGAAAACTGAAGGGCACCTGCAGAGCACCTGAAGCCCAGAAGTAAAGGTGACCACTGAGACAAGGAGTGAGGTAGCAGTCATGGGTCTCAGGTCCCTGAAAGGAGAAGGCAGCACCTTTTTGAGAGAAGGTAATGGGTGTTTCCTCTCCATTTGGCTCCAGGGTCCCTTCGGAGTGATGAGTAACTCCATGTGTGGTCCCACCCTCATCTCCACCTCTTGTTGCTCACTCTTGGAGAACTTGTGCCCCTGTCACTCTCACAGTGACTCCTTAGGTAAAAGGTTTATGTTCTACCACATCCTCTTAAGATATATCTCCCACTAACTCCCATCTGGAATCCCCCAGTGCTCAGAGAAGAGTTATTGTCCTGGGAGCAACTGAGGAGGTGACATTGATCTTGGGAATTCTATTTTTTATTTTCACCCTCTCTTTGTGATCGATCACTAGAGAACAGTTACCACGTGCCTGGCTGCAGTGAGTTTTAGGATTCCAGGATCCCAGGTGTAGGAGAATGTACAAAACATTAGGTCACTTGTTTCCTTGGGTGAGAGACAGAGATACCTGTAGGGCCAGCCCCAAACCCCACCTGGTCCTCTCAAGCATTTGTCCCACTCAACACTAGAGGCATCTCTCAAGCTGGAGATCCCAGATCTTGCCCTGGGACAGCTTCATTCCCCCAACCCCCATCCTCTGTGCTGTCTATTAAGTGCAAGAAACAAATGGGGTGAGAGAAGAGGAAATTGCAACCAGAAGCCACAAGATATAGACAGAAGGGCAGAAAAGGAAATTTCCCCACAGCCTCTACCAGGAAATCTGGGCCCCAAGGGCAAGGAAGAGGCCAGGCTGGCCCACCTCAGGGGCACAATGCCCATTCTAATAAAAGTAAAGTAACACAAAATACAGAATTGGATGTAAGAAGGAAAAAAAGAATTGAGGTAAAGAAATTACCATTTTCACATTCAAGAAGGGCTACAGAGTTTGCCTCAAGAGAAAAGTGTGTATATAGTTTATCACTACTTTGTTTTCAAATTAAACTGGTGATAATATTTTTTATTGAGGTGAAATTCAGACGAAAAAATTACTAGTGGTAATTTTGGATGTATAAACTTTTGAAGGATGAGGTGAAGAGGAAGCTAAAATGATGCTGGATAAAAAAAGGAAGATGAACGTTAAGGCTCCCCCTTGTGGAGGATAGAGAAAGCATTTTTAAAAGTTCTGGATTCAGTGGCAATGAGATGAGGATTTGGGGGATGACCTCTTGGACTCAACAACGTGGTACTAGGACACAAAATCCAGTGAAAGACTTTCTGTGGTGGGGATGAATGGTGAATTTTTGCAACACGATGTCTAGCATCCAATTTAACCTACTTCTTATCCTGAAGAGCCATTCCTTTCTGCTGCTCCCAAACCTTGAATGAAGAGTGCTACCCAAAATATACTTGTACAAAGTGCTGGGAAAGGCAGGAAAGAAGTCTTTGTTCTCACGTTTGGGGAAGGGATACCAGCTTGCATATGTCAATCACCCATCACCCTCAGGAACTCTCCCACATATTGTGGTAAGTTGGCAGCTTTGGGTTCTCTGTGATTATTAAGCATGAGAGATCCAGTTACTTTCTGGGGATCTTAAAATCTGAACAGGATGCAAGATTTGGGAATTACTGGTTTGTACCATCAAAACTTAAATCTGCTCTTAAACTCTTGGAATATATCAGCCTGGTGCAGTACAATTTTAACAAATTCAAAGCAGGAGAGGAGGAGCTGAGAACAAAGTTACAACCTGTGACTGAGTTGATGGTATGATAAATTGAGGCAGGAATTATGTGGAGGCAATTATGAAGGACTCCAACTAGGAGAGGTGTGGACTGAGAGAACACCCTGGTAGCTATGAAGTCTTTACTTTTGATTGGGCATCCATTGGATAGATATATTCAGCTTACATTTCTATTATATTTGATTGAAAGTGTTGACAAAAAAAAGTTTTATTTTGGTAAAATAATGCATAACACAAATTTTAACATTTTAACCACTTTTAAATGTATGGTTCAGTGGCACTGAATATATTCATCTTGTTTTACAACTGTCACAACCATCCATTTCCAGAACTTTTTCATCTTTCCATACTGAATCTGTGTACTCATTAAACACTGACTCTCCATTTCCTTCTCATCCCAGCCCTTAGCAAGCGTCATTCTACTTTCTGTATCTATGCATTTGACTATCTCAGTATCTCATATAAGTAGACTCTTATGACATTTGTGCTTTTCTGTCTGGTTTATTTCACCTAGCATAATGTCTTCAAAGTCATACACATTAAAGCATTTGTTAGAACTTCATTCCGTTTTAAAGCTGAATAAGATTTTATTTGATGCATACTACATTTTGTTTCTCCATTTATCCACTGATAGACATTTATGTTGCTTCCATGTTTTGGCTATTGTAAATAATGCTGCTGTGAACATTGGGGTACAAATATCAGACTCCCTGCTTTCAATTCTTTGGGGTATCTACTCAGAAGTGGAATTGTGGAATTGCTGAATTACATAGTAATTACATGCTTTGTTTTTCGAGGAATTTTCATACCATCTTCCATAGTGACTGCACCATTTTACATCCCACCAGCAATGCACAAGGGTTTCAATTTCTCCAAATCTTCACCAATATTTGTTATTATCTGGTTTTGTTTTGTTTTTTAATAGTGGTCATTCTAACGTGTACGAAGTGGTATCTCATAATGGTTTTGATTTGCATTCCTGTAATTATTACTGTTTATAAAATTGTATAAGTATTTATGTGTTGGAAATTATAAATTAGTTTTCAATATTTCAATATTGAGAAGTGTTAAAATAATATGAACTTACTCAACTTACCTTTCAAAATTGGAAGATCTAGCACTCCCCTTATGACAGTGATTAACTGGGGATGAACAAGAACTGCCTCTTTTACTTTGCCACACTTTCTATTCTGTACTTTGGTGGTTCAAGCTATCTCTTCCAATGAAAATTACCCAAACAATAAAGAGGGGAAAAACATAGGATGGAAAAGATAAATTGTCTCAGTCCATTTGGGCTGCTATAACAAAATACCTTAGGCTGGGTGATTTATAAACAACAGAAATTTATTTCTCATAATTCTGGAGGTCGGGAAGTCCAAGATCAAGGTGCCAGCGGATTCAGTGTCTGGAGAGAATTATTTGCTTCCCAGATAGTATCTTTTCGTGGTATCCTCACATGGCAGAAGAGGAAAACACACTTCCTTCTGTTTCTTTTATGAGAACACTAATCCCATTCATGAAGGATGGCACCATTATGGGTTAATCACTTTCCAAAAAGCCCCAACCTTTTAATACCATCACCTTGAGGTTTAAGATTTCAACATATAAATTTTGGGAAGACACACATTTCTATTATAGCATAAATAAAGTATATCAAGAGTTAAAGCATATAGAAAAAAAGCAAATATTGCACTCTCTTTGCTACATGCACTTAGGGAAATTAAAAGAAAAACACCTGAAGTTTATAAAAGTTAAATTCATGAAAAAGAATGAAGAAATTATAAAAGCAGCAAGACATAAACAGATATTGCCTTAAATGGAACCACAATAAGAAAATGATGACTGAATTGTCATGAGAAACTCACCCGCCCTCCAAAGTGGAATGACATCTCCAAAAGGTTAAAAGAAAAATGCAAAGCTAGAATTCTACATTTTGGAAAATTATCCTTCAAAACGAAAGAGAAGGA
Organism: Homo sapiens; assembly: GCF_000001405.40. Classification (NCBI taxonomy): domain Eukaryota; kingdom Metazoa; phylum Chordata; class Mammalia; order Primates; family Hominidae; genus Homo; species Homo sapiens. The sequence goes on from NC_000019.10 coordinate 51,640,122, forward strand.
GTCGTGCTTTTATTATGAAGGAGTAAGCTCCTAGCAGAGTGAACTCACCACAACACAACAAAACAAACAAACAAAAAATCCTTACAAGTTATAAGCTTTGAATGGGGAAAAAAAACTACTTGGGAAATGGGATAAAAGAAAATAGATTCTGGAACGGGAGTCAATATTTGGGGAAAGGCACCAACAAGGAATAAATAGCTTTATTCCAATGGTAGGTCAGAGCTACAGTGCAGAAAGTGGCTGCTAAAATTCTAATACAACTCCTTCCATCTTTCTGGACTGAGAAACAAGGGATGAAGCCCAGGGCAACTAGGAACACTGAAACAACAGGTAACAATTCTGGAAAGGGAAGAGCTAGGGAAAAGGAACTCCAGCTTCTGAGTATAAATGCTTTCCATTTCAAATATAATGAGGTGAGGCTAGGACTTAAAGGATGTGAAAATGCATACTATGCAAATACTAGTCAAAAGAAAACTGGAATGGCTATGTTAATAGCAGACAAAGTACACTTAAGAGCAAAGAAAATCACAGGAACAAAAAGTGATGTTACATAATGTAAAACAGTTGATTCAGCCAACTGCGGTGGCTCACGCCTATAATCCCAGCACTTTGGAGGCTGAGGCGGGTGGATCACCTGAAGTCAGGAGTTCAGGACCAGCCTGACTTACATGGTGAAACCTTGTCTCTACTAAATACAAAAAAAACTAGCCAGGCGTGATGGTGCGTGCCTGTAATCCAAGCTATTTGGGAGGCTGAGGCAGGAGAATCACTTGTACCTGGGAGGCGGAGGTTGCAGTGAGCCAAGATCGCGCCATTGCACTCCAGCCTGGGCAAAAAGAGCGAAACTCTGTCTCAAAAAAAAATTTTTTTTAAGTTGATTCTTTAAGAAGACATGAGAATTCTTAATATGTATGCACCTAACGACAGAGTTTAAAAATACATGCAGCAAAAACTGATGAAACTGAGAGGAGAAACTGACAAATCCAACATTAGGATCAGAGACTTCAACATTCCTCTCTCAGTAATAGACTGAGCTGGTAGACAAAAAAGTTACCAGCTATAAAACTGAACACCATTGGACAACTATGTCTAATTGCCATTTAATATTCGTCCCATAACAGGGCAATACACATTCTTTCTAAGCACACATGGAGCATTCACCAAGATAGACCAGTGTCATCAAGCAAACTTAACCAATATAAAAGACTCTCACGGTTGGTGAAAGTGAAAGTTAGTTCAGCCATTGTGGAAGACAGTGTGGCGATTCCTCAAAGACCTAAACATAGAAATACCATTCGACTCAGCAATCCCATTCCTAGGCATATACCCAAAGGAATATAAATCATTCTATTACAAAGACACATGCATGCATACATTCACTGCAGCACTATTCACAATAGCAATGACATGGAATCAACCTAACTGCCTATCAGTGGTAGACTGGATAGAGAAAATGTGGTACATATACACCATGGAATACTAAGCAGCCATAAAAAAGAATGAGATTATGTCCTTTGCAGGGACATGAGTGGAGCTGGAGACCATTATCCTCAGCAAACTATCACAAGAAGAGAAAACCAAATACCACATGTTCTCACTTGTAAGTGGGAGCTAAATGATGAGAACACATGGATACATAGAGGTGAGCAACACACACTGGGGCCTTTCAAAGGGTGGAAGGTGGGAGGAGGGAGAGGATGAGGAAAATAACTAATGGGTACTAGGCTTAATATCTGGGTGATGCAATAATCTGTACAACAAACTCCCATGACACTTTACCTATGTAACAAACCTGCACTTGTGCCCCCTGAACTTAAAAGTTAAAAAAAATCATATCAAGCATGTGTATTTATTAAAATGGAACTTAAAAAGAAAGTAGTAACAATTTGTTTAAAAATAAAAAACCAGTAAAATCTGCAATCACTTAGAAATTAAACAACACACTTCTAAGCAATCCGTGAATTCAAAGGAAATCTCAGGGGAAAGAAGGAAATATTTTGAACTAATATAAAAATACAACATAACAAAACTTTTGTGGTGCAGCAAAAGTGATTAAAGGGAAAATGCAGAACCAGTGGATACAGAAGGCTGACTGTACGATATTAAAAGCAAAAAAAACCCCACCAAAACTGAGAATGAGCTATTGATACGTGTAACAACGTGGATAAACTGGGAAAACCACACTGAAGAAATGAAAGCAGACCCTAAAGCAAATATGTTTGGTTCCAGTTATACGATGCACAGAACCTGACAATACAGGTATTGCCTTCTTGTATATGGACAGAAGGAGAATCACTTGAACCTGGGAGGCAGAAGTTGCAGTGAGCTGAGATTTTGCCATTGCACTCCAGCCTGGGCAACAAGATAGAAACTCTGTCTCAAAGAAAAAAAAAAAAGACATAATTTTTGTCTACAAACTCTCACAGAGGCATTAAAGAGTAAAATCAGTTATGTTGTATTGTTTCATAAAAGTTTTACTTATTTTGTAACAATTGTATTGGATAATAATCACAATGAGGTAGAGTTTTAACTGGAAAACAAATGCTGCCTCTCTGTGCCTATATGGATAGGGAAGCTGAGGAGACCAGAAATTCAAGTGTTAAGAAGGTAACTTTTGGCAGCCAGGCACGGTGGCTCATACCTGTAATGCCAGCACTTTGGGAGGCCAATGCAGTGGATTGCTTGAGGTCAGGAGTTCGAGACCTGGCCAACATGGTAAAACCCCATCTCTACTAACATACAAAAAAAAAAAATTAACTGGATGTGGTGGCAGGCACCTGTAATCCCAGCTACTAGGGAGGCTGAGGCAGGAGAATTGCTTGAACCCCAGAGGTGGAGGTTGCAGTGAACGGAGATTGTGCCACTGAACTCCAGCCTGTGCAACAGAGTGAGACTCTGTCTCAAAAAAAAAAAAAAAAAAAAAAGGTAACTTTTGGGTAATGGGTAATGGGGGTATAAGACCGAAAGTACATTCCCTTCACAGGGCTGGAGATGGTGGATGGAGAGGGAAGAGAAGGGCAGGTGGAGAGGGGATGGGGTGCAGATGGGGATGCAGGTGTGGTGGGGCAAGACTCACAAGCAGAGGGGAATAAGTAGAAGGGGTATGGGGCAGGAAGGAAAAGAGGGGTAGTCAGTGGGATGTGAGCTTCCAGAAAGAAGCTGACAGTGATGTCCTGCATGTGTCCCACAGGGCTAAGTGTCCACACCTCAGTTCTGTCTTGAGCGGGAGGGGCTCAGCCAGGCCTCTCAGCCCTGCTCTGCTGGGGGCCTCCACACCTGCAGAGCCAACATGGGCCTCAGATCAGCACCAGCCACTTCAGTTCTAATTCCAGGTGGGGCTGAGCTGTCCTGGGGCAGGACAGCTCAGCCCCACCTGGAACTCAGGAGCTTCCTGGAGACAGGCAGTCCGGCTCACCTGGTATAGTAGATCCAGGTGAGGCCATAGGTGAGGAGGAAGCCAGCCCCCATGAGAGCCCCCCTGATCAGGGTGAGGACGAGGGGCCAGGAGCCCTGCTGTTTCTCAGTTACACATATGCAGGAAGAGGAGCTTCCTGGGAGAAAGGAGAAGGTAAGGTGCTGTTACCAGGCCTCAGTCCCTCCCACCAACCTGAATACCTCACCGGGCTGTCTACCCTCAGCACCTGTCCTGCAACTCACTCTGCACAGAAAGGATGAAGGACAGGTGCTGGGAGCCCAGCGGATGCTGAACCCGGCAGGTGAATTCCCCTCCCTCTCTAGCTCCTATGTTAGGCAGCTCCAGGGTCCCAGACATTGAGGTCTGGGAAGGATTGAGGGCTTTTCCCTCCCGGAACCAGCTCAGTGAGGCAGGGGGGTTGCTGTCAACTGTGCAGGCGAGGAACAGGGACTGGCCCTCCTGGATGGGCACCGACATGCCATTGCTCAGGATCCGCAGGGCTGGGAAAGAGAAGCACAGCCAGGTGAGTGGAGCTGGGAGGCCCAATTCTCCCTCATTCCTCCCACTGAGCTGCAAGAAGAAAGACAAGACTGTGTGGTGAGTGCTGAGAATGGGCTAGTCATGGGTGAAAGGATGAGGACTTGGTGATCAGGTCAGGCTACCAGAAAGAAGGTGGCTGAGCTGAGAAAAGACAGATGAGGAGGAGTTCTCACATTAAGGAGAAGTGGATGGGCAGCTCAGGTGCAGACGTGCCAAGAACTGAGACAGGCAGACGAGGAAAGAGGCTCCTAGATCCGCAACCTGTCAGGGAGGACCCAGAGCTCCCAAGACACGATAATGGAGGTAGAAGCAGGCTCAGATCTTTTGGAGCATTGGGTGCCAGATTGAGGGCCTTGGGCTTTATCCTGGAAAGCAAGAGGGGGCTATAAGCAAGGGAAACAGAGTTAGCACTGGATCTAGAAAGATCCTGCTGGAGCCAAGTAGGTCCCGGACTGGAGAGAAGTGGGATAGGAGGCAGGGAGGCTGGGAGGAGGCTGGGGCAATGGGCCAGGGTTGAGCACGAGACTTGAGCTGGGCCTGGAACCAAGGGGATGAGGAGGGAAGTGATGATTGGTGAAGTAAAGGTGTTAAGACTTGCGGACTCATGAAACAGCTGATGAGAAAGGGTGCTGTCTACAGCGATGTCCAGAACAGCCCTGGGATCAACAGGGAAGGAGGAGCCGAGAAGCATCCGAGGGAGGTGGCTAAATGTGCAGATCTGTGCCTCAGAGAAAGGGCTGGATATAAAGTTGTGGGAGGCATCAGGACAGGGTCAAGGAGAGATCGGATTACTCAGGAATGTGGAGGGGAAGAACTGGGTTCTGGGACAGAGCTGTGGGAGGTGGGAAAGTCGAAGGCTCCCAAAAAGGACGATCAGTTAGAGATGAAGCAGGGCATGCATCAGAGGACATCGGAGCAGGCAGAAATTCAAGAAAAGGGAACAGCGTGTCCTGAGTACTCAAACTCACAGAGACAGAAAAGTAGAATGGTGACTGCTCGGTGGCAGGAGGGGGAAGTGGAAAGTCGCTGTTCAGTGGGTACAAAGTTTCAGTTTTGCCAGATAAAAGGAGCTCTGCAGTTTGGTTTTGCAACAATGTGAACACATTTAACACTGCTGAACTGTACTCTTTAAAATGGCTAAGATGACAAATTTTGTGCTATGTGTATTTTCTCACAATGAAAAAATAAATCTGAAAAAGAGAGCAGAGAAAAGGGAGAAGCCAAAAGAAATACTAGGTCTGTTCGTGCAAGATCTTAGTGACTGGGATTGGGGGGTTGGGAGCAGGAAGGACCCAGACCCAGGGGCTGAGGGGTGAGGGAGGGTCTCCTCTCCCAATGCTGAACCCTGAGCTAATAGAAGGCTCCCATCACAGCCCCAGAGGGAAGAGGGTCTTTCCTACCTGTGCCTGTGCCATTTCTGAAGAAGATGCTGATGGCGAGGTTCTGTGGAGCATCTGGGATAGAAAGATACAGCACCAGCTTCAGAGGTGACAAGAGGGATGGGCGTGGTCCCGGGAGGGACCCAAGGAGGGGCCACAGAAACCCACCAGGTGGGGACCGCTGTCCTTCCTGCCCACACACGAGTTTTCCCTGGTTATCATTCTCTTTCTCTCTCTCTCTTCTACACACACACACACACACACACACACACCCCCCTCACTCCCACTGCCCTTGGGGACTCAGCTGTGTCCCCAGCACCACTCACAGGAGACATTGAGCTGGACAGTTCTCTCCGTGGTCACCTGAGCTCCTTGGCGTTTCACCTGACAGGTGAGGTTGGTGCCATGGTCCTCGGGCCTGGGGGTGAGGGTGAGCTCCGAGGAGCGGGTGGTCTCGGGGTCCAGGGGGCTGAGGGCATTCCCCGTCCAGGAGAATGTGAGAGGTGGTCCCGCTTCACAGGATCCTGGAAGGCTGCAGCTCAGCCTTGTGGGGCGGCCGGACTCCAGAGGCTCCAGAAAGTGGATGTCGGGTTTCTCTATCAGGGCTGAGGAGGAGACAGGGAGATACCTGGGCCCCAGGGGCTTGAGGACGTAAGGTGTGACCCCGAGAGTGGCCAGGCCTCAGGCCCCGACCTGCCCCAAGTCCTACACCTCCTCCAGCCGCCCCTGCCCAACTCCTGTCCCTGTTCTCATACGGGGGTCTCCACGTCCCAGGGTCCTCTCCTAGGGTTCCTGCCATACCTGTCACCTCCAAGTTCAGCTTATTCTGTTGGTAGCTATATTTTACATCCCTTCCTCTCTCCACGCGGAAGAAATAGCTTCCCGTGTCCTCCATTCTGGCATCTCCGATGCTCAGGGAGCAGTTCTTCTTCTGGACATCCCCAAGGAGGCGGAATCGGCCCTGGGTCTCTGGCTTCACTCTTCTGTCTGGGTTGTTTGTGGCCACAACCTCAGCGTAGTATGGGATCTCCCCGTCCCGGAACCAGTAGACGTAGAGTGGGGGAGAGGAATACCAGGATCTCCAGGGGTAAGAGAAGGAGCAGGGCACAAGGACGCACAGGCCCTCCTGCACCGTCACCGACTTCTGCACTTGCAGCTCGTACACTGGCTTCTCCTGCAGGGACCCTGGGGGGACACAGAAGCTCAGCTGCAGCTCCAGCCCCCCTTCTCACCCCTGTGCCTGTCCCTCCTCCCTCAGCTCACTCACCCCCCCACAGCAGGGGCAGCAGCAGCAGGGGCAGCATGTCTCCATCCGCCAGGGCCCCAGCCCAGTCCCAGGTCCGGCTGTCAGGGAAGGAAATGCTCCAAATGTCCAAACGTGGGGTGGGGCTGAGAAAGCCCCGACAGGAAGCCGGAGGGTGAGTGAGAGCTGTGGACGCGCACAGAAGGGGAACTTGGGCATCACGTGCTGTTGGGGTGAGGCTGGGGCTGGGAAGCCATTCTGCTCCCACCCCCACTGGACGCCGATGGTGAAGATACTGAGGCCCCCAGAGGGGCTTGTCCAGACTTGTAAGTCTAGACTCCTGAGGTCACCAGGTCCCATAGCTGCAGCACTTTCCTTATGCACCTTTGTCTACATAGGAAGGAGAACACCACTTGGCCAGCTCCCTGGGAGTCAGGGCCTCGGGACCCTCAGCGAGATGGGAGAATAAATCCTTTATGACATGATAGGAGCTGTGGTGAGGGAAGCACACGCTGGGGGTTTCAGGTGGGGAAGACTTTCCTCTTTCCAGAGGGAAGGCAAGTTGTCAGGGACAAACACATCAGGTGGACATGACCGGGTCCTTAGCAGTCAAGAGAGATGTGGTCCCCACCACCAGTTGGATTTGGGAACCTCATCTCATCCTTGTCCTTGTCCCAGGCAGCGTCAGACCCCATCCCTGATGTTGACAGCCAGATGAGGCTTGAGAGCCGGGCATTTGAAATGTGAACGTTGAGGATATGGAATACCAAGTGTGAACCCAGACCCCTCACCTACCGGCTGTTGAACTTTACAAAAGTTACCTACCCTCTCTGTGCCTCAGTTTGCTCAGCTGAAAAATGCAGACAATAATAGAATTGCTGTGTGGGGATTCAGTGAGGTCTCATGTGTAAAGTGCTTAGGACAGTGTCTGGCCCCGAGAATTCACTCATTCAACTGATGCTTCATGGGCGCCTATGGTGCACCAGGCCCCCTGTTTTAGGAGCTGGAGATACAGCAAAGGATAAACTCTTAGGATGAGAAGGTAAGTCAAAAATCCTAGTGGGGGCTCCTCTGGGCACACTGCTTATGCATACCCCTGCTCCACGAAGAACAGTAAAAAAAGAAGGCCGGGCGCAGTGGCTCACGCCTGTAATCCCAGCACTTTGGGAGACCGAGGCGGGTGGATCACGAGGTCAGGAGATCAAGACCGTCCTGGCTAACATGGTGAAACCCCGTCTCTACTAAAAATACAAAAAATTAGCCGGGCGTGGTGGCGGGCGCCTGTAGTCCCAGCTACTGGGGGGGCTGAGGCAGGAGGACGGCGTAACCCGGGAGGTGGAGCTTGCAGTGAGCCGAGATCGCACCACTGCACTCCAGCCTGGGCGACAGAGCGAGATTCCATCTCAAAAAAAAAAAAAAGAAAAGAAAAGAAAAAGAGAAAATAAAATAAAAATCCTAGAGGGAAGACAAACATTTAATATGAAATTAAAATACACAGTCTGCTAAAGAATAATATATTCTAAGAAAAAATAAAAACAGGAACACAGAAGAGGAATCAGTGAGGACTGATAATTTTTTTTTTTTTTTTTTTTTTTTTGAGACGGAGTTTCGCTCTTGTTGCCCAGGCTGGAGTGCAATGGTGTGATCTCAGCTCACTGCAACCTCTGCCTCCCAGGTTCAAGCGATTCTCCTGCCTCAGCCTCTCAAGTAGCTGGGATTACAGGCATGTGCCACCACACCTGGCTAATTTTGTATTTTTAGTAGAGATGGGGTTTCTCCATGTTGGTCAGGCTGGGCTCGAACTCCCGACCTCAGGTGATCCGCCCGTCTCAGCCTCCCACAGTGTTGGTATGACAGGCATGATGATAAAATTTTTTACAGCATGGCTTGGGGGGCCACTTGGAGGAGATGACATTTGAGTAAAGATGCGAAGGGCGTGTGGGAATGAGTCCACTGGTATCCATTCCAAGGGAACCGCACATTTAAAAGTCCCAAGGTAGGAACACACGTGGTGTGCTTGGAAAATAGCCATATGCCAGCATTGAGGGGTGATCAGTGGGGAAGATGGTAGGAGGGTAGGTCTGGGAGGTGTCCTGGGTCTGATCATGAAGAGATTTGGGAGCTCTCATAAGAAGTTCACTTTTTTCTTGTCCAGCTGGAACTATGGAAGGTGTCAAAGAGAGGAAGAAGAAAAAGAAGGTTCCTGCTGTGCCAGAAACCCTTAAGAAAAAGGGAAGCAATTTCACAGAGCTGAAGATCAAGCCCCTGAGAAGGAATTTTGCCCAAAAGATGCTTCGAAAGACAAGGAAGAAGCTTTTCTAGGAAAAAGCGAAGCACTATCACAAGGAATATAGGCAGATGGACAGAACTGAAATTTGAATGCAAGGAAGGCAAGAAAAGCTAGCAACTTCTATGCAACTGCAGAACCCAAATTGGCCTTTGTCATCAGGATCTGAGGGGTCAATGGTGGGAGCCCAAAGGTCCGAAAGGTGTTGCAGCTTCTTCGCCATTGTCAACTCTCCAATGGAAGCTTTGTGAAGCTCAATAAAGCATCAATTAACAGGCTGAGGATTCAGAACCACATATCGCATGGGGGCACCCAAACCTGAAGTCAGTAAATGAACTAACCTACAAGCGTGGTTATGACAAAATCAATAAGAAGCAAATTGCTTTGACAGATAACACTTTGATTGCTTGATAAATATGTAAATATAGCATCATCTGCTATATAAGGATCCAATTCATGGGACCTGTACTGCTGGAAAATGATTTGAAGAAATAACTTCTCGTAGCCCTTCAAATTATCCTCTCCACAAGGTAGAATGAGGAAAGAGACAACCCATTTTGTAGAAGGTGGAGATGCTGGCAACAAGGAGCACCAGATCAACAGGCTTCTTAGAAGAATGAACTAAGGTGTCTACCATTATTTATTTTTCTAATCTGGTCAGTTAATTAACAGTACCCACTTTCAAACTGAAAACAAAAACCTGACTTTTGCTGAGTGTATTAGCCAGGGTTCTCCAGAGAAACAGAATCAACGGGATGTGTCTGTGTGTGTGTGTGTGTGTGTGTGTTTATTATAAGGAATTGACTCACACAATTATTGAAGCAGAAAAGTCCCAAGATCCTCAGTCGGCAAGCTGGAGACCTGGGAGAACTGACGGTGTAGCTCCAGTCCACAAGCTTCCAGGCTGGAGATCCAGGAAGAGCCAAAGTTTCAGCTCTAGTCCAAAGGCAGGAGGAAACTCAGGTCCCAGCTTGCAGGTAGTCAGGCAAAAGGAGTTCCCCTTACTCACAGGAGCGCCAGGCTTTTTGCTCTATCCAGGCCTTCAACCAACTGGTCAAGGCTCACCCACCCTGGGGAGGGCAATCCACTTTACTCAAAGTCTACTGATTTAAATGTTAATCTCATCCCAAAACACCCTCACAGGAACACCCAGAATAGTATTTGAGCAAATACCAGGGCACTCTATGGCCCTGTCAAGTGGAGACCTAAAATTAACCATCACACTGAGCAAATTGTGAAGACAGGGGTTGAACAGAGAAGGGGCAGGATTTTATTTGTTTTTACCTGATCACTCTGCTTGCTTTCCTGAGACTAGACTCTGCTGAGCCATTGCAATGCTTGGGAGGTGAGAGGAGGGTGCTCAGGTCTCCAAGGACACAGTGGAAGTGGTGAGAAGAGGGGGAGTTAACAGTATTTGTCAACAGATTGGACACACATGGGAAGAGAAAGGAAAGGGCCACAGATAATGCTTGTTTTTGACCTGAGATGTTGCAGGCTTGAAGCTGCCATTGAGAGAAGAGGAAAAGACTTCAAGAGAAGAATCGGGAGCTCAGCTTGGGACACGTTGGGTTAGATGTGCTTATTAGACATACAAGTGGAAGGAAAAGGAAAGGGGTTAGATCTGTGGGTCTGGAATTTAGGAAAAATAGGAAAAAGTTCTGGCTGGAGACAAAAGTGGGGTCATTCATGTTCAAAGAGTGTCTGTAGTCATGAGCCTGAGTGACATCACAAAGAGCATGAGTTTATTTATTTATTTATTTATTTATTTAAGACATGGTCTAGCTGTCACCCAGGCTGGAGTGCAGTGGTGCAGTCATAGCTCACTGCAGCCTCAACTTCCCAGGCTCAAGCAATCCTCTCACCTTGAGTAGCTGGGACTACATGTGCACATCACCACGCCTAACTAATTTTTTTTTTTAAGTAGAGATGAAGGTTCCACTATGTGCCCCACGCTGGTCTTGAACTCCTGGGCTCCAGTGGTCCTCCGGCCTTGGCCTCCCAAAGTGCTGGGATTATAGGTGTGAGCCACAATGCCTGGCCAAGGCATGAGTTCAAATGAAAAAGGGACAGAGACCATCTCCAGGGCTTCCATGATCTGGATATCACACCCACTTTCCCACTGAAAATAACTAAAAATACAGGGAAGATAATTAATGCAAGTCTTCTTTAAACCATGGAATGGCTGACAAGAGAGAAAAGAATTTACAGTCAAAACTGTAGGAGATGGCGGGAACCAAGAGAGGGAAGCAGAGCACCAAAGTCACACGTGCCCTCCGGGAATTTTAAATGTGGGGAACTTGAATTTGGGGTTTCCTAGACCTGAGGATGAGAGTCAGACTATGCACCAGGTGTAGGGGAAGTGCAGGGTTCCTGGTCACTCTCTCTTTCTGCACACCCCCAGGCTCTGTCTAGGGAAATGAAACTCAAGTGCAGCCAACCCCACTCTCCGCCCCCATCCACCCTCTGACTGCTGCCCCATTCAATGGCAGGGAGGCCAGAAGCATCTCTAGGCTGGAGGAGACCCAAGTCCCTGCCCTGGAATCACCTCATTCTCTAACCCCATACTCTGATTCATCTACTAGGAGCGGGAACGCAGAAGAGATAAGTGAGCGGGAAGGAAGTTGCATTCAGAAGATACAACACATAGACATAAGCACTCTGATTCAATAGAAGAGGAAGTTTCCCCATGATGTCTCCAGCCTGGGTCCCCAGCCACCCTTCTGAGAGTATCTGAGTTGATGTGGAAATATGAACACAACACCACGCTCTTGGTGTCAGATCTCCAGCTCCAATGCTGAGTCCAATGTACAAATCTTGTAACCCTTGGCAGACTTGCCCTCATCTTCACTTCCTCCTCTACACTTTTGGGTTTTCCAAGTTTGAGGGAAAGGCAGAGGTCTCCAATGGCTCTGATCTCCTATGCAGTGGTGTTATTATTTGTTTGCTTGCTTATTTGTTGACTGCCCACAACCCAGTTCTTCACCCATAGCCCTATTTTATTTTCCTTTGGAGAACTACCACTATCAGCCCCATCCCTCACTTCAGCGGGGAGTCTGTGAATTGTGCAGGGAGCACTGTCCAATTGACATAGCTCATCACCAACAATGCTGCGGCCAATTTTAAGAACAAGCCCGTGTCCAATTGCCTCTAAAGATCCAAGTTCCAGGATTTTTGCCACACCTTCAGGAAAAATAGCTGTTCAGTTTCTCCCGGCATCCCTGGGTGGAAGAAATGTAAGCCTGCAGCTGCCTGAGAACAAAGTCAACAGAGGAAGGAAGAACTCTAGGGTTAACAAACGACAAAAAAGGATTTTAGAGACATCAACCAATTCTGGAACCTGCTGTGCCTGAAGCCGGTGTACTTCAGAACTTTTCGGCTAAGTGGGCCAATGCTTGGCTTTTATTTCCCAATAGGCCCATTTGAGCTAGATTGATCTTGCTTGCACCCCAAAGAGTTCTGCCTGATATAACCTCTCCCCTAGCCACTGTGTTCCACTTCCCCTCAGCTACTCTGCGTCAGACCCTGAAGCTGCCAAAAGCCTCCCTGTGAGACTTGATCTCAATTTCAGAGTTCACAACCCTTCCATGACTTTTGGGAAAGATCCTGACATGTGCCCCTCCCTTATAACAAGACCCTCTGTGACAGCCATCAACATAAAGTCAATTACCAGGCCTGGTGGCATGTGCCTATAGTCCTAACTGTTCTGAAGGCTAAGGTGGGAGGATTGCTTGAGCCTAGGAGTTCAAGATCAGCCTGGGCAATGTAATGAGACCCTGTCTCTACAAAAAATTTACAAATGAGGATTAATAACCAGAATACGTAAGGAGCTCAAACAACTCTAGGACAAAATCTAATAATCCAACCAAAAACTGGGCAAAAGATCTCAACAGATATTTCTCAATAGAAGACATACAAATGGCAAACAGGTATATGAAAAGGTACTTGGCATCATTGATAATCAGAGAAATACAAATCAAAATTACAATGAGATGTCATCTCATCCCAGTTAAAATGGCTTATATCCAAAAGACAGGCAATAACAAATTCTGGCAAGGGTGTAGAGAAAAGGGAATCCTTGTACACTGTTGGCGGGAAGGTAAGTTAATATAGCCACTGTGAAGAACAATTTTGAAATTCCTCAAAAAATTAAAAATAGAGCTACCATATGATCTAGCAATCCCACTGCTGGGCATATACCCAAAAGGAAGGAAATCAGTATACGGAAGAGATATCTGCACTCCCAAGTTTATTGTAGCACTGTTCACAAAAGCCAAGACTTGAAAGCAACCTAAATATCCGCCAACAGATGAATGGATAAAGAAAATGTGGTGCTTATACACAAGGGAGTACTATTCAGCCATGAAAAAGAATGAGATCCTGTCATTTGCAATAACCATGGATGGAACTGGAGGTCACTATGTTGAGTGAAATAAACCAAGCACTGAAAGACAAACTTTGCATGGTCTCACTTATTGGAGGAAACTAAGAATTAAAACAATTGAACTCATGGAGATAGAGAGTGGAAGGATGGGTTACCAGAGACTGGGGAGGATAGAGGGCATGGGGGAGGGGAGAAGGTGGGGATGGTTAATGGGTACAAAAAAATTGGAAAGATGAAATGAGACCTCATATTTGATAGCACCACAGGGTGATTATAGTCAAAAATAATTTAATTGTATATTTTAAAATAACTTAAAAAGTATAATTGGATTGTTTATAACACAAAGGATAAATGCATGAGGTGATGGATACTTCATTTACCTTGATGTGATTGTTACATGTTGCATGCCTGTATCAAAATATCTTGTGTAACCCAGAAATATATACACCTACTATGTATCCACAAAAATTTAAAAACTTAAAAATTAAACTAAAAATTAAAATTAAAAAATACAAAATTAGCCAGGTGTAGTGGTGCATGCATGTAGTTGCAGCTACTCAGGAGGCTGAGGCAGGAGGATTGCTTGAGGCCAGAGGTCAAGGCTGCAGTGAGCTATGATCATGCCACTACATTCCAGCCTGGACGACAGAGAGAGATGCAACCCTGTCTCCAAAATTAATTAATTTATTAATTAATAATTAAAATAATCAAAACCAGTTGTAAAAATAAAGAACAACTAAATGAGAACAAGGAAAGGCTATGTATTCAGTTCTTGCTATGACAAGAGAGTCAGCCACCATTATTTGTGTTCTGGCAGAGACTCACAGGCAGGCAGTGGAGTGGGAGAGCTTCATAGTGGGGAAAAGAGAAAACTTCAGGTGTGTCCTGATTGGAGGCTATTGGCCTGGGGAAGCTGTAGGTGAGCCAGCTAGAAGCAGGTAATCCTACATGATTGGGTTAAGAAACCATATCCACTTTCTCTGATTTGGTCCTAAGTAGAAAGTGGGGACAGAAATTAGGGAAGCTGTCAGTTATTAATCAAGTCCCAGGCCAATTTAGGGCCAATCGTTACAGGGATTATTGTTTAGCTTCCTGGACAGGTTACCAGAGACAAGTCTGGTTTATAGAGAGTAGCCTGGCTTCCTGAGCTGGTGACTGTGGATGATGGGCTGGCTTTTCACAGCTGGTTGCTGCAAATTAGGAGTCAGAGTTCTAGTTTTATATATGATCTGGCCATTTCTGCATGTATATTCAGGCTCTCACAGGGTAGGAGAGCAATTTTCCACATTCAAAAAGAGATACAAAATTTATTTCAGGGAGAAGACCTATATACTTGTTTTTCAAAACAAATCGATCACCTTTTTGGGTGTCTAAACAGTAAGCCCAGGACTAGCCTGGAGGGTGAGCTGAAGAACAGGCTAAATTTTCTCTGCATAATAGAATAATGTGAATCCTAAGATTGTGGCTGAGAGAGAAAAGACAGCAAATGTCCTGGTCTTGATGGCAATGGAAGTGGTGGGGACATGAGCTGGTGTTCTCTTTTGATAGATGGGACCCCAGCAGCCTGGTGACAGCAGACATACAGCCGGTACCAGGTTCTGTGGCGTGGAGATGGATGGTGGAGATTAATGTCCCATGTAGGTTGCTCTGTTAGGGCTCTGCCTACTGGACCTGGTGAGCTCAGCATTTTTGACACGTCTTTTGGGACCATTCACTACTGCTTTCCCCAAACTTTCTGTATGTTTTACACAATATCACTGGATTAAGAGGACCGAGGAATGCAAGAAGGAAGTGTTTGTTCCCATGTCAGGAGGAAAGAACAGCACTGTGCAAATGACAATTAGGAGAATACCGTTATCTACCGTAATCTTCCCAAATAATGTACAGGGTGGGAAGTTTGGGATTCACTGTACTTCTGTGGCTTGGGTTCCATTTATTTCCTTTAGACTTTAAAATCCTGGAAGGGTGCAGCATTGGGGGATCTCTGGTTTGCACCCTGCACAATGCAAAAATCCTTGAGGATATCAGTTTGGTATCACCATCATGTGGACATCATTGAAGGTAGGGAAGGGGAACTGAGAACAAAGGCAGAACCTCCCCACCCCCCTCCCCCGGCCCGCGTCTGAGAATGTGAAACAATGTTGTGAAGCTGAAGTATGGACAGGAAATGATGAAGGACTCCAACTAGCATAGGTATAGACCACAGGAAGGATGGGATACATGTTTGAACAGTGGTGGCATCAAGGCTGAAGAAGACACCAGGCACCTGTAAAGAGTCTCTCTCCTGAGGCAGGTGGATCACTTGAGGACAAGAGTTCGAGACCAGCCTGACCAACATGGTGAAACCCCGTCTCCACTAAAAATACAAAATTACACTTTGGGAGGCCAAGGCGGGCGGATCATGAGGTCAGGAGATCGAGACCATCCTGGCTAACATGGTGAAACTCCGTCTCTACTAAAAATACAAAAAATTAGCCAGGTGTGGTGGCGGGTGCCTGTAGTCCCAGCTACGCGGGAGGCTGAGGCAGGAGAATGGCATGAACCCGGGAGGCAGAGCTTACAGTGAGCCGAGACCGCGCCACTGCACTCTAGCCCGGGTGACAGAGCAAGACTCCATCTCAAAAAAAAAAAAAAATTAGCCAAGCGTGGTGGTGCATGCCTATAATCCCAGCTATTTGGGAGGCTGAGGCAGAAGAATCGCTTGAACCTGGGAGACAGAGGTTGCAGTGAGCCAAGATCGCACCACTGCAGTCCAGCCTGGGCAACAAGAGTGAAATTCCATCTCAAAAAAAAAAAAAGAAAAGAAAAGTCCCTCTCCCCTTGACTTGGCTTCCAGTGAGCAGGCAGGGTCTGGCTCCTCTTCGCATTTTGTTTGACTGGGATGGTTTGGAAATATTTAACTAATTTACACCACTAAAATATTGGGCCGGGCACAGTGGCTCATGCCTGTAATCCCAGCACTTTGGGAGCCGAGGTGGGCGGATCATCTGAGGTCAGCAGTTCAAGACCAGTCTGGCCCACATGGCGAAACCCCGTCTCTACTAAAAATACAAAAATAGCCATGTGTGGTGGCACACGCCTGTAAATCCAGCTATTTGGTAGGCAGTGAGCATGCCACTGCATTCCAGCCTGGGAGACAGAGCGACACTTTGTCTCAAAAAAAAAAAAAAAAGAAAGAAAGAAAAGAAAGAAGGAAAGGAAAGAAAGAAAGAAAGAAAGAAAGAAAGAAAGAAAGAAAGAAAGAAAGAAAAGAAAGAAGGAAAGAAAAGAAAAAGAAAGAAAGAAAGAAAAGAAAGAAGGAAAGAAAAGAAAGAAAGAAAGAAAGAAAAAGAAAGAAAGAAAGGAAAGAAAGAAAAGAAAGAAAGAAAAGAAAAAGAAAAAGAAAAAATTGGAAGACAATCTCACACTGACATGAAAGCCCCGACTTTCTTGGAAAATAGGAAGATGTGGTATCCTCACATGTAGCGATCAGCCGAGGCTGAGCAAGAACCAATCACCTTTACTTTGACGCACTCCCCACCATGTGCTATCATCTCCCTCTACTAAAGCCAAAGTCCAGGTGCGATTTGTCGGAATACTTGCCCAGTTGTTTTCCTTACACAAATCCACTTCCCTCATTTGCCGTAACTGCCTTGACCATGCAGAGGTTTGATTCAGGGGCACTGGACCTACCAAACAAAAGATATCGGATGTCTCTCTTTTTGGCTCATCAGCAGAGGTCAAGCTCCCTTGAGAAAGAAAAGGAAACCAAAGCCCAAGGGCTCCCCCTGCTGGACCCAGTGAGCTCAGCATTTTTGGCACATTACAGACGTTAAACTTGAAGAGACACATTCCCAAAGTATTAATGCGCAAGGCCAAGCCTCCAACGGAAATGTACAACAAAAAAAAAAAAAGAAGAAGAAGAAGGAAAATAAAATAGAATAAGACTTCTTGTCTCTGCTCGGACATGAGAAGAACTTCGAAGTTGTCACTTTTGTTCTTACAACAAGAAAAGGCTGAACAAACTGAGAATCAACAGCTTTTCTTAGACACGTCTAAAGAACTGCAGTAACACAGTGAATTACCATCCCCAAGTCTGGAGACACTGGCAAATCCAGAGAGTTACTAATGAGATCCATTTACACAGGGCAGAAGCTGCTGGAGTCACTAACTGGTGAAGACATTTGCATGGTAATTCTGACAAGTTGCTGCAGGCTGGGTAACAATTAGCTCAAGAATGATAAATTTCTACAGGTGTCAGTCTTAGGAGTCCCCACACTTTCGTGGATTTTACCTCCAGTAACTCTACCAGTGAAGAGCCCAGAAAGGCCCCCTAGCCCATAGCCCTGGTAGGGAGAAGGAAGAGTAACTGTTGTTAAGTATACCCAGAGCATTCTCCCCAACACAGGCCTATTCTCCAGGGATAAAGAATTTATTGGTACCTTCTCCCACCTGGAAGAAGGGATTTCTCCTGGCCGGGCATGGTGGCTCGTGCCTGTAATCCTAGCACTTTGGGAGGCTGAGTTGAGAGGAACACTGGAGGCCAGGAGTTCAAGACCAGCCCGGTCAGCATGGCAAGAAACCCCATCTCAAAAAAAAGAAGGAGAAGGAGGAACGAGGAGGAGGAGATTTTCTCCTGAATCCAGCACGGCACATTCTAGACTTCCTGTCTCACCTGAAATGAATGGAGAGAAGCTGAGAATCACTTGTGAATGCCATAACCCAGAGGCACAGGTCCCCTAAAAGACGGATATTTAATCGCAGCGTGTTTAATAATGACTTGCAAAGCTATACAGACCCTAATTCCTAGAACCTGTGAATGTGACCTGTGGCAAGAGAGACTTTGATGGTGTGATTAAGATTCTCAAGATGGGGAGATCATTTTGAATTACCTAAGTGGACCTTCAATGTAATTGCAAGGGTCCTTAAAAGACAGGCAGCAGGGCTGGGCGCAGTGGCTCATACCTGTAATCCCAGCACTTTGAGAGGCTGAGGCGGGAGGATCACGAGGTCTAGAGATCGAGACCATCCTGGCCAACATGGTGAAATCCTGTCTCTACTAAAAATACAAAAATTAGCTGGGCGTGGTGGCACGCACCTGTAGTCCCAGCTACTCAGGAGGCTGAGGCTGAGGAATCGTTTGAACCTGGGAGGCAGAGGTTGCAGTGAGCCTAGACTGTGCCACTGCACTCCAGCCTGGCGACAGAGTGAGACTCCGTCTCAAAAAAAAAAAAAAAAAGAAAAAGAAAATCTTCATCCCTTCCCAAGACAAAGCACGAATATTCCTCCCCTTGCTCTTAACGTTCAGCCCCTTCAAGAATGATACCCTATATCTGTAACTTCCCAGTTCTCAGGAGCTGAGAAGTTGATTTGTAAGCCCAGCTCCCACTTCCCCAATCCTGTAGCTGTTGAATGAAGCCTGCACTGCTCAATACTCACTGTTGGTTTCACATATTAGCTTCATGACTTGGAACAGGAAACAGTCCCCTTTCTAGGGTGACCAGGACCCCCAGTAACAAGATGGGTCTAGGAAGGAAAAGCACTGTGCACTCCCAGGCCCCAGCACCTGGGCTCCTGATTTGGGGAAGAATTGACTTCTTTAAATTATCAGATGTTCTGATCAGGCACGGGGGCTCACACCTGTAATCCCAGCACTTTGGGAGGCCAAGGCGGGTGGATCACTTGAGGTCAAGAGTTCGAGACCAGCCTGGCCAACATGGTGAAACCCTGTTTCTACTAAAAATACAAAAATTAGCTAAGCGTGGTGGCACATGCCTGTAGTCCCAGCTACTCGGGAGGCTGAGGCAGGAGGATTGCTTGAACCTGGAAGGTGGAGGTTGCAGTCAGCCGAGATCATGCCACTGCACTCCAGCCTGGCGACGGAGCAAGGCTCCGTCTCAAAAAATAAAAAATTAAATAAAAATTAAAAAAAATTATCAAATGTTCTAACTCATCAGCATGGTGTAGCTTGCCATTATTCAGGATGTTAATTCCTCTCAACAATGTGCTCCAGCTTTCAGTGTAGTGGTCTTGGAACCATTTTGTTAGTTTCACTTTTAAGAATACTGTGATTTGAGGTGCTATTTTAAAAGATACTGTATCTTAAGTTTAATTTTCTGATAGTTGCTACCAGAGATATAGAAGTGATTTCTGTATGTTGACTTTGGATGCAGCTGCTCCGCTAAATTCTCATAGTTATATCCAATTAGAGGATATTTTGGATTTTCTATGTACGTTATCTTGTCATTGAAAACAATTATATTTTGCTTCTTCCTTCCCAATCACTGTGCCTCTTATTCTTCCTGCTTCATTGAACCCGCTAGTAGTTTTATTACAATGTTGCATAAAGTGGTAATAACAGATATCCTTGTTTTTCTTGATCTTAGGGAAAAAGTGTTCAATTTTCACTATTCAGTATAACTGGAAGTCCATGCCACATAAATACAGTAACTTCAGTACCATTCACCAATAAAATTCTAGTTCATAGTTGTATTCAATGTATACATAGTGTTTTAATTTTTTTATTTTAAGAAACAGTCTCGCTCTGTTGCCCAGGCTGTAGTGCAGTGGCACGAGCACAGCTCATTGCAGCTAACTCCTGGACTCAAGCGATCTTCCTGCCTTAGCCTCCCAAAGAGCTGGAATTACAGGTGTGAGCCACCACAGCGCCCAGCCATTTAAAAAATATTTTTAATTCATGGATCACAGTTTAAAATTTGGAGCTCTCTCCCAGTAATCTGAATGCCTAACTTCTCTTGAAATAACTGACTATCTTGCATGCCCACGTAACAGCAATTAGCCCAGGGAAGCAGGAGCTGCCCCTCTTTACTATGCTGCATTCCCCACCAAGGGCTATGGTCTCCCCTGAGCTGAGGCCAAAACAAGTAGACTGACAAAGCTTTGTCAATATCTTGCCCCATTGTTTATCTTTTTGTTGTTGTTGTTGTCATTTGAGACAAGGTCTTGCTCTTGTCTCCCAGGCTGGAGTGTGGTGGCACGATCATAGCTCACTATAGTCTCCAACTCCTGGGCTCAAGTGATCCGTCCGCCTCAGCCTCTTGAGTAGTTGGGACCACTGGTGTGTGCCACCATGCCTGGCTAATTTTTTTATTTTTTGTAGAAGTGGGGTCTCACTGTATTGCCCAGGCAGGTCTCAAACTCCTGGGCTCAAGTGATCCTCCCGCCTCGGTCTCCCAAAGCCCTGGGATTACAGGTAGAAGCCACCATGTCCCACTCCCATTATTTATCTTACCCCAGTCCTACTTATTTTCTATACCTGCTTTTCTCTTGTAGGGACTCGACTGTGTAATTCCTGGGAAAACAGATGCACTGAGCCATTAAATAAAAATTCGTCTAGCTGAAATTGCTTGAACCTGGGAGGCAGAGGTTGCAGTGAGCCGAGATCGCGCCACTGCACTCCAGTCTGGGCCACAGAGCGAGACCCTGTCTCAATATATATATGTGTGTGTGTGTGTGTGTGTGTGTGTGTGTGTGTGTGTGTGTGTATATGTATATGTATATGTATATGTATATGTATATGTATATGTATATGTATATGTATATGTATATGTATATATTCCTCTAGCCAGGCTGGGTGCAGTGGCTCAAGCCTGTAATCCCAGCGCTTTGGGAGGCTGAGGCAGCAGGATCGCTTGAGCCTAGGAGTTCGAGACCAGCCTTGACAATATAGTGAGACCCCCCCCGCCCCCCCACCCCTCTCAAGAAAAAAACAATTCCTCTAGCCAAGGGTTTACTCTCTAACTTCATTTCTCACGGTGGATCCCTCTCAAGCAGAGTCCGGGAGCCAATCCACGTCCAATTGTGCCCCCTGCTGGACAAGGTCCACTTGTTCAGAGGAAACTTGCGGAGAGATGGAGAGCTCCAGTTGAGATGCTCCAGCTCCCTCTGCCAACACAGTTTAATAACAAGTAATAAAGTAGAAAAACAATATAGCATAAAAATAATTGAAAAATTATTTTAATTAATAGTATGAAACAAAAGAGATGGTAGATTAGCAGCTTGCTGCTAATAAGGAAATTAAATTTTCTGGTAAAATTATAATAAGCAATGGTAAGAGAACAGAATAAAAATAAAATGAGAAAATCTAGCAGAAATAATTAAGGAGATGATGACGATGAAAAAATAAAATTGAATTAGAGGCGTGAAATATAATACTTGGCACACAGAAAACAAAAGCCAGTGGTTCAGAGTCCAAGTTCAGGAAAATCGCACAGGATGAAAGGGAAAGAATCAAAGAATGAAGTAATGAAAGGGAAGGTTCTCCGAAGGAGTCAGATTATCAGGAGAATTCTTCATTTAACTTCTTGCTAATAACTAGAAAACTCGGGATAAATTGATGATTTTTCAGGAACATGTAAATTACAAAAAAATATTCTCAAGGAGAGACGTATTAAATCAATTGACAATTTTAATATACACAGACAGGATCATATTAAATTATTTCAAGCTATCAACAGACAATTCTGATATAATGTAAACGAAAGAGAAAAATAAAGAGCTTCACAATTGTTTGTACAGAGCGAGCATCACATAACATGAAAACCTAACAAGGTAATACAGAAAAGGAAAAGTATATAGACAAATCTCCCTATGAATATTGACATGGAAATTCCAAATATTTGGAATTTAGCGATAAAAACCTCCAGTAATTTTTTTTAAAATACCAGCTGAATGTGGAGGCACAGCCTACAGTCCCAGCTACTCGGAAGGCTAAGGTCAGAGGATTGCTTGAGCCCAGGAGTTCAAGGCTGCAGTGAGCTATGCTGGGGCCACTGCACTCCAGCCTGGGTGACACAGCGAGACCACATGTCTTTCTGAGGTCTTGGAGGCTAAAACGCACACACACACAAAAACTCATATCTCTTTAAAAATAAATAAACAAACAAATAAATAAGCCATGTTAAAATGGATATTACCTAAGAATAATGAGATGATTGGATATTAGAAAATCTATTAAAATAAATTGTGTATAGATTAAAAGAGACTATGATATCATTTTGTTAGATGTCGAAAGGGCATGTCATAAAATATAGTAACTTTTCCCCCAAAATTCCCTTATATAAGATTATTTGCTTAATCTAAAATTACATATTTATAATCTTAGATTTACATATATTATATTTAATCTTAGATTTATATATATATTATATTTACCTACCTGTCTACCTAATCTACAAAGCCAAAAGCAGTTAAATGCTTCTATGTAAAACATTATGTTGCCCGCCACCCCAGGACGTAGTCCTACGATCACTACTCTTTGGCATCTTCACTCATTCCCAAAGCAATCTCATCCAGTCCAAAGGTTTTAAATACTATCAAACATTGATAAGTCCCAAATATACATCTTCATTCTAGTCTTCAGTTTGCAGCTTTAGATCCATACATTTAATTGCCTGTTTGGATATGTACTCTGCGTCTCAAATTCATCGTGTCCAAACCTTACTCTGGACACCCACTCCAAGCCTGCTCCTCCTACATTCTTCCTCATCTCAGTAAATGTTAACTCCATTTTCCAGCTGCTCAGACCAAGGATCTTGGAGTCTTTTTTATCACTCTTCCTTCTCTTACACCCTGCATCCAGTCAGAAATCCTCTCAGTTCTACATTCAAAATATACCCAGAGGCTGGGCATAGTGGCTCACGCCTGTAATCCCAGCATTTTGGGGAGCCAAAGTGGGCGGATCACTTGAGGCCAGAAGTTCGAGACCAGCCTAGACAACATGGTGAGACATCATCTCAAAAAAAATTATATACATCTATATCTATAATCCAAATATATATATATATATTCAAAACTACTTCTTCTCTTCCTCCTCCTGCTCGTTCTTCTTCTTCCTCTTCTTCTCCTCCTCCTCATTCTTCTTCTTTTTTTTTTGAGATGGAGTCTCACTCTGTCACCCAAGCTGGAATGCAGTAGCATGATCTTGGCTCACTGCAAACTCCGCCTCTCAGGTTCAGCGATTCTCCTGCTTCAGCCTCCCAAGTAGCTGGGATTACAGGCATGTGCCACCACGCCCAGCTAATTTTGTATTTTTAGTAGAGACAGGGTTTCACCATGTTGGCCAAGCTAGTCTTGAACTCCTGACCTTGTGATCCGCCTGCCTTGAACTCCCAAAGTGCTGGGATTGCAAGCATGAGCCACCGCGCCCGGCCTCATTCTTCTTTTCTCCTCCTCCTCCTCCTTCTTCTTGTCCTTCTTCTTCTCCTCTTTCATCATTTCCATCCTCCTCTTCTTCTTTCCTCACCTCTTCCTTTCTTTTTCCTCCTCACCACTTCTTTTCCTTTTCTGATCAATAGAACCCTGAAGCCAACAGGTGGGGCAGAGCAAGACAGATAGCTGCGCAGAGGTCATCTGGAATGGGGAGCTCCAAGCAGATTGAGGAGGGTATCTACCCAGGGATGTCAGAGGGGAGTGTCAGAACCTGCGGAGGGAGGGCACTTACATGTGTTTGCACACAGGGATGGCCCCTTATGGGTGTCAGAGCTTGAACAGGGTGAGTGGAGTCCTTTGCCAGAGGGCACCCCAGTAGTGGGAAGTGGGACCAAGCAGGATGAGGAGCCAGTCATGCTGGAGAGGAGCAGTGGCTGAGATGAGGGACTAGTTACACTCAGGAGACTGACTGAACAAATGAGTAAATATATCATGATTAATGGGAAACGAGTTTCTCATTCTCAGAGAAGGGATTTACACATATGGGAAGGCAGAAAACTACAAAGACCCATGTAGTACTGGATTGCAACTAGAGGTAAAGGAGTGAATTCATAGATTTCAATCTGTTTCATGAATGAAATAACACGTGAATGCAAATGAGAGACCAATTCCAACAAAGTCAGGATCAAGACAATGGCACCCAACTATCACAATGATTATTTAACATTCTAACAGTGGGGTTCTTGGTTGCAAAGGAAACCAATTTGGGTTAACTTAAGCAACAAAAAAGAATTCAGTCATAAGACCTTGGGCAGCTGACAGATTCAATGAAAAGGCTAAAGTACCAAGTTTAGAAAGTGGGTCAGAACCCAAGGAAACAATGAAAGAAGAACTATCTCCAAGTTTCCCTAGGGACAGCCCAGTTCAGTGCCATCAAAATGAGTACTGAGCCCTTCTTTATGTCTTTATAAAGTCTCAGTGTAAGTTTAGTCAGATACCTGCATGCTAGCCACTAGGTTTCCAGGAAAGTATGTATCTAGATTTTAGGTCCTTAGAGGTGGGAAGGAGGACTTCCTATCATGATGGAACCCCCTAATAGAGAAATGTAGTTCAGCTGTGCACTGCAAACAATGCTCCGAGAGTGCTAGCCCAATGCAATTACAAAACAGAACCATATAAATGGTATCAACCCTGGAAAGGATATATCTTTATTATTTGCAATTAGCATGATTATATGTCTGGGAAATTCAAAATTAACTGGGAAAAGGATTACAGGCAACACAGTAACTCATTAAAGTATCAGTTACAAAAGGGTTTTACAATTTATCACTATTGACATTCTGAACTGGATAAGCCTTGGTTGTGGGAGGACAGAAGAGATGTTCAGTGCATTGTAGGATGTTTAGCAGCATCCTTGGCCTCTATTCACTAGATACCAGTAGCACTCCCTCCCCTACCAAGTTGTGACAAATAAAAATGTCTTCAGACCTTGCCAAATGTCCCCTGGGGGGAAGGCAAAATCACCCCCATTTAAATTGGGTTGTGCAATTAATTTATAAGAATCAATAACTTTCTTACGTTAAAAAACTAACCAATTAAAAGTTATAATGAGGCCAGGCAAGGTGACTCATGCATGTAGTCCCAGCACTTTGGGAGGCAGGAGGAGTGTTTGAGCCTGGGAGGCAGAGGTTGCAGTAAGCCAAGATTATGCCACTGCACTCCAGCAGGGGCGACAGAGCAAGACTCTGCCTCAAAAAAAAAATTATAATGAAAAAATCATTCTCGTTCATATTTAAAGCACCTCAAAATCAGATTAAATCCATCTGAAATGGCTTTGTGTATGGTATGAGGTAGGGATCTAACTTTACTTGTTGATTCTTTACAAGATCCTGATTAGTGTATTTATCTTATATCTTGCCAAATCAAATAACTTGATTATTTTTCTAAATTTAATTTTAAGTTCCAGGATACATGTGCAGGACATGCAGGTTTGTTACATAGCTAAACATGTGCCAGGGTGGTTTGCTGCACCTATCAACCCATCACCTAGGTATTAAGCCCTGCATACATTAGCGATTTATCCTGATGCTCTCCCTCGCCTGGCGCCTCCGACAGGCCCCAGTGTGTGTTGTTCCTCTGCCTCTGTCCATATGTTCTCATTGTTCAGTTTCCACTTCTAAGTGAGAACATGTGGTGTTTGGTTTTCTGTTCCTGTGTTAATTTGCTGAGGATAATAGCTTCCAGCACCATCCATGTGTCTGCAAAGGACACAATCTCATTCCTTTGTATGGCTGCATAGTATTCCACGGTGTATATTTACCACATTTTCTTTATCCAGTCTATCATTGATGGGAATTTTGGTTGACTCCATGTCTTTGCTATTGTGATTAGTGCTGCAATGAACATACACATGCATGTATCTTTATAATAGAATGATTTATATTTTTTGGTATATACCCAGTAATGGGATTGCTGGGTCAAATGGTATTTCTGAGAACTTGATTATTAGTTCTAAGGTTTTTCTGTAAATTCTCATGTGTTTTTTTAGGTAGATGTTCATGTTGTCTACAAAAATGACAATCTTATCTTTTCATTTCTCACATTTATACCTTATTTCAACTTTCTCTCTGGCTATCTTTCCTAACACCACAAATGCAATGATAATTGTGGTAATAGTGGGACTCTGCCTCATTTCTAGCTTTAGAGTTTCATCATTATGACCAATGAGTGCCTGAGTATGGCTAGTGTGACCAAGTAACTTAATTTTCAGTGTTGTTTCACTGTAATTAATTTAAACTTAAATGGGCTTGGCAAACCTGGCCCATCTAAAAATAAATAAAATTGAACTTCTATCTCATCTCAGACTATATACAAAAATACATGCCAGGCTTAAACATACAAAAAGAAAAGACATGAAAGAATTTGAAGAAAATGTAGGAAAGAGGCCAGATGTGGGGGCTTATGTCTGTAATCCTAGCAATTTGGGAGCCTAAGGTGGGAGGACTACCTGATCCCAGAATTTCAAAAGCAGCCTGGGCAGATAGGGAGACCCTGTCTCTACACAGAAAAGAAGAGAGAGAGAGAGAAAGAAAGAAAGAAAGAGAAAGAGAGAGAGGGAGGGAGGGAGAAAGAGAGGAAGGAAGGAAGGAGGGAAGGTAGGAAGGGAGGGAGGAAGGATGGAAGGAAGGAAGGGGAAGGGAAGGGAAAGAAAAAGAAAGAGAAAGGAAAGGAAGGAAGGAAGAAAAGGAGGAAAGGAGGGAGGGAAGGAAGGAAGGGAGGGAGGGAGGGAGACGATGTGGCTGTGATGGTAACTTTCTTAGCCAAGAGAAGAAACCCAGAAGCTGTGGAGAAAAAGAGTGGTCATAAATGACTATGTGAATATAAAAAAATTTTGTATGGTAAAATGTACCAAAAACAAAATCAGTGCACTAAGGGGTCAGGGATGGTAAATTTTTCAATATATATGGCAGATAAAAGCCAAGATCTATATTCCAGCAAGAACTCTTACAAATTGAATTTGTTTTAAAAAAGACAAACATTCCAATAGAAAACAAGCAAAGAATGTGATTAGAGAATTCACAGAAAAGCAAATCCAAAAGGCTAAACATGAAACAACTGCTCAAATTAACCAGCGGTTTGAAAAGTGCTTATTTGAGTCAAAATAAAATGTCATCTTACACCTATGAACTGGAAAAATTATAACACCCTTAAGCTGGCATGGATCTGAGGAAATGTGAGCACCTTTAAGTTGGCATGGGGGTGACGAAAAGAGTACCCTTACATGTAGAAGCAATTTTGGATCATCCATTAGCAATACTCCCACACATTCACTTTATCTCAAAATCCACCTCCTAAGAATCTACCCTATTGAAACAAAAGCAGCACTACAGAAGGTAAATATACAAGTAGGTTAATTGTTGCATTATTCGTGGCAGCAAAACTGGAAATAACGTTAATGCCCATCAATCTGATAATGGCTGAGTAACTTTGGTTTGCCAACACCACTGAGTACAGGACAAATGTTTAAAAATCACAACAAATTGAACAAAGAAGCAGCTAGGTAAAATCAATTTCCCTTAAGCCAGATATGAAAGAGATTTGCAAAAAATGTAAAGCAATGTCAGTCTTTACATTGATTTTCATTTTTGAAAATGTAGGCATTTTTCTTTAAATATATTAATTGTGTTAACAATTAACATATAACATGCATTGGGGCCGGATGTGGTGGCTCACGCCTATAATCCCAGCACTTTGGGAGACTGAGATGAGCAGATCGCTTGAGCTCAGGAGTTGGAGACTGGCCTGGGCACATGGTGAAACTCCATCTCCACGAAAAATTTAAAAACTAGCCAGGTGTGGTGGCACACACCTGTAGTCCCAGCTACTAGGGAGTCTGAGGTAGGAGAATCGCTTGAGCCCAGGATGTGGAGGCTGCAATGAGCCGAGATCTCGCCACTGTACTCCAGCCTAGGCGACAGGGTGAGACTCTGTCTCAAAAGAAAAGGTCGGGGAGGGGTTTATCATTGTTATTTAAAATAAATATATAAATATTTTGAAAATAATTCTCATTGAATGAAGATTATAAGGGAACTATAAATGTAACTAGAAAAATATTAGACAATTCAATAGAAAAAT
Organism: Homo sapiens; assembly: GCF_000001405.40. Taxonomy (NCBI): domain Eukaryota; kingdom Metazoa; phylum Chordata; class Mammalia; order Primates; family Hominidae; genus Homo; species Homo sapiens. The sequence goes on from NC_000019.10 coordinate 51,668,151, forward strand.
TCACTAATGATCTGAGTTTATACCTTAGTCCATTCAGGCTGCTGTTAAGAAAGTAGCACAAATAAACAAAATACCACTTCGAAACAAGAGAAATTTATTTCTCACTATTCTGGAGGCTGGGAAGTCCAAGATCAAGTCACTGGCAGATTAGGTGTCTGGTAAGGGCCCACTTCCTGGTTTGTAGAAATGAGGACTTCTGGCTGTGTCCTCACATGTTGAAGGGGAACTCTGGGGCCTTTTTCTTAAAGGTCCCAGTCCCATTCATGAGGGCTTTACTCTCATTGCTTCATCACCTCTGAAATGCCTCATCTCCTAATATTATCACATTGTGATTCAATTTCAACATATGAGTAGAGAGGGACACACACATTAATAGCAGCAAACTTCACAAAAAGAAAATCCGAATGACCACGAATTATATAAAAGGATTCTGAATAATTTATTATTTTTAAAACATATGGTGAAATTAGCAGTATTGCACCAATATTCATCTCCCGGTTTTGAACATTATGCTGTGGTTATATAAGAGAGTAACTTTAGGGAAGTTCAGTGAAGGGTTTGCAGGAATTTGCTGTACCATTTTTACAACTTTTCAAAACACTAAAATTAGCTCGGCATAAACAGTTAAAAATGTGGAGGAGTCAAATTTTAACATTTTACATTAGAGTATGGGAACAATGATTTCTCAGTACTTTTAGCTGTTACCTTTTTCTCTGTTCACCTTACTGCGCAGTTCTGGTACTAAATAGATGCTCACTTTGCCAGCAAAAGGTCCTAGTGTTGGCTGGGTGCGGTGGCTCACACCTGTGATCCCAGCACTTTGGGAGGCTGAGGCAGGCAGATCACGAGGTCAGGAGTTTGAGACCAGCCTGGCCAATATGGTGAAACCCTGTCTCTACTAAAAATACAAAAATTAGCCAGGCGTGGTGGCGTGTGCCTGTAGTCCCAGCTACACAGGAGGCTGAGGCAGAAGAATCGCTTGAACCCAGGAGGCGGAGGTTGCAGTGAGCTGAGATCATGCCACACTATACTCCAGCCTGGGCGACAGAGCAAGACTCTGACTCAAAAAAAAAAAAAAGGTCCTAGTTTTAGTGATGTTGCCAAGTTATTAAGGTTCCTTCCTCACTAATCGAAACTAATACAAGGAAAGGATTACTTCCTCTTTGGGAAATCTGGTCAAGCTGATGATCCAATTTAATTAAAACAATACCACAAATTGAATCTTTGTTTACTGCTTGAAAAGCTACTTTCTAGATCCTTTTGTAGTTCATAAGTGTGAGGACTGGGTTTTCAGGCTCGTGTATAAGATGTGCCTCCCTCACTCCTTGTTACAACATCGGCATATTACTCATCTGAATGGAAAAAAAAAAGCTTCTGAATAGTTTCAGAAGTAGATGTTAAGATTCATCTTAAAGTAGTCATATAGGTCAAGAAATGAAACATACACAATATTTCAGAATCCCCTGCATGTGGCTTCCCCAGTAATAATCCATGCCTCCCTCCAGAAGTCAGTAACATTCTAACTTTTTGATAATTTTGCGCTCACTTTTCTTTTTATTGCTATTAGTTATGTAGTTTTCTTTTTCTTTTCTTTTTTTTTTTTTGAGATGGAGTTTCACTTTTGTTGCCCAGGCTGGAGTGCAATAGTGCGATCTTGGCTCACCGCAATCTCCGCCTCTTGGGTTCAAATGATTCTCCTGCCTCAGCCTCCTGAGTAGCTGGGATTACAGGCATGCACCACCATGACCAGCTAATTTTGTATTTTTAGTAGAGAAGGGGTTTCTCCATGTTGGTCAGGCTGGTCTCCAACTCCTGACCTCAGGTGATCTGCCTGCCTTGTGCCTCCCAAAGTTCTGGGATTACAGGCATGAGCCACTGTGCCCAGCATAATAGTTTTCTTTTAGCTATTTTTAAGATTACATATTTACATGTATGGAACAAGATTCCATGTGTTCATTTGATTTTGCAAATTTTTATAATATCACATTGATGACAATATTCTATGTATTCATATAGCTGTATTTCATTTTTTCATTGCTGAATAGTATTCCATTATGTGGATATACCACACTTCATCGATCCACTTGCCTTGTAAGTGGGAGCTAAATGATGAGAACACATAGAGGGGAACAACACACACTGGGGCCTACTGGAGGGTGGAGGGTGGGAGGAGGGAGAGGATCAGGAAACATAACTAACGAATACTAGGTTTAATACTTGGGTGATGAAGTAATCTGTATAACAAACCACCAGGACACAAGTTTGCCTATGCAACAAACCTGCACATATACCCCAAACTTAAAATAAAAGTTTTAAAAAAGTGTATTCAAGAGTTGAGATTTAGCACAATTAATAGCTTTTACTGTTTCATCAAGTGCAATCTTAAATGAAGCTGGAATTTTCCTTAACAGTGAGTGTGAAGTGATAAAGAATACAACTTTCTAGCACAATTTAGTGCTATTACCTTGCTTCCGGCTAAGGTTACAGCCCTTTTATGTACCATTGCTTTTGCACCAGCAATGTAATGTCAACACAGAGAAAAACGCAAATAACATCTGTGTATTATTACTAAAATAGTTTTGACCTTGAAGATGCCCCCTGAAAGAATCTTGGTATCTCCTAGTAGAACCCTGTCTCTAGAGGATGCATCTTAGAGGAACTTCTGTATATATGTCAGTATGCCTGTGTACAGATGCTCCTTAACTTATGGTGGAGTTTCATCCTGATAAATCTGTCATAAATTGAAAATATAGTAAGTCAGAAGTAATTTTCTACTTAATATTTTCCATGTATGATGGGATTATACTGAATGTGTACTCAGTATACTGAGTACTGAATGTGTATGGCTTTTGCACTATCGTAAAGATGAAAAATTATAACTTGAATCATCATAAGTCAGGGATGGTCTGTATGTAAGTGTGTGTATATATCTCCTACTTCAGTAGATAATGCTAAAAAATTTTCCCAAACAATTGCATGAATTTACACTCCCAAAAGTGTACAATATGAGAGTTACCATTGCCCCACATCCTTGCCAACCCTTGGTACTTTCCATTTTTAGCAATCTGATGAGTATGTAATGGTATCCACTATGACACTGATTGGTTTCTACCTCTAAAGAGGTCGAGGACCTTTTCTTATACAATTGGAGTTCATTGGATTTTCTTCTTGTAAAGTCACTTTTGAAGTGATTGGCCAATTTTGCTATTGGATTGCCTGATTTTTTTTTCTAATTGGATTTGTATATTCCTCAGTTGATGAGAATTGTTATGGATAAAGGTAGAATTTCATCAGACTCATTTCCACCTTCCATGGGATGGTCATATTATGTTTTTTTCTTGTATTTGAGCTTGTGATAAATACACTAAATGAGTTTCTAATGTTAAACCACCCTTGCATTCCTGACATAAACACATCTTGGCTATGATGCATTATCATATTTATATCTAGCTCTATTTAATTTGCAAACTCTGGCTTAATATTTGTGCCACTATATGCCTAATTAAGATTTGCCTATACTTTTATTTTTTTATATTGTTGAGTTTGGGTATTAATTTTATAATTAGCCACAGAAAATGAGCAAGAGTTTGAATAGGAATAGAGTAATTTCTTCCTTAAGTTTTGGTACAATTTGCTGGTATACTTAAAGTTTAGCCATCTTGACCTAAAGTTTGCTTGGTGAGATGATTTTTACTACTGATTCTTCCGAATAGTTTTAGAACTATTCAGGTTTTCTACTTGTTTTCTGAGGCTATTATACTAAATTACATATTTTTATTAATTTATCCATTAATCTAAATGTCAAAGTATGTGAAATTGTTCAAAATATTATCGTATATTCTCAATGTCTGCAACATCAGTGGTTATGTCCTTTATTTCTGACATTAGTTACATGTGCCTTCTCTCTTTTCATTGTATTTAGACTCCCCAGAGGTTTATCAATTTTATTACTTTTTCACCAAACAAGTTAGGGCTTTGTTGATTCTGTTGTATGCATTTTAAAACATGTATTATTTAGTACTTATTTTATTATTTTCTTATGTCTACTTTCTTGAGTTTTTTTATCTCTTGAGAAGAAAGATCGAATTCAGTTTATCTTATTTCAATTCCAGTAATATGATTTTAAGCTATTCATATCTGTCTTAGTCCATTTAGTCTTGCTAAAAAAGCAATACCTGATGCTGGGTAATTTATACAGAAAAGAGGTGTATTTGGCTCACAGTTCTGCAGGCTGTATAGAAAGCATGGAACCAGCATCTGCTTCTGGTGAGGCCTCAGGCCGCTTCTACTCATGGCAGAAGGTAAAGGGGAGCCACCACGTGCAAAGATCACATGAGGAGAGAGAAAGCAAGAGATAGGGACAGTGCAGGTGGCAGGTTCTTTTTAACAACCGCTCTTGTAAGAATTAATAGAGCAAGAACTCACCCATTACCAAGAGGACAGTACCAAGCCATTCATGAGGCACCCACTCCCATAACCCAAACATCTCCCATTAGGTTCCATCTCTAATACTGGATAAAATTTCTTAATTTTCTTTTTTTTTTTTTTTTTTTTATTATACTCTAAGTTTTAGGGAACATGTGCACATTGTGCAGGTTAGTTACATATGTATACATGTGCCATGCTGGTGCGCTGCACCCACTAATGTGTCATCTAGCATTAGGTATATCTCCCAATGCTATCCCTCCCCCCTCCCCCGACCCCACCACAGTCCCCAGAGTGTGATATTCCCCTTCCTGTGTCCATGTGATCTCATTGTTCAATTCCCACCTATGAGTGAGAATATGCGGTGTTTGGTTTTTTGTTCTTGCGATAGTTTACTGAGAATGATGGTTTCCAATTTCATCCATGTCCCTACAAAGGATATGAACTCATCATTTTTTATGGCTGCACAGTATTCCATGGTGTATATGTGCCACATTTTCTTAATCCAGTCTATCATTGTTGGACATTTGGGTTGGTTCCAAGTCTTTGCTATTGTGAATAGTGCCGCAATAAACATACGTGTGCATGTGTCTTTATAGCAGCATGATTTATACTCATTTGGGTATATACCCAGTAATGGGATGGCTGGGTCAAATGGTATTTCTAGTTCTAGATCCCTGAGGAATCACCACACTGACTTCCACAATGGTTGAACTAGTTTACAGTCCCACCAACAGTGTAAAAGTGTTCCTATTTCTCCGCATCCTCTCCAGCACCTGTTGTTTCCTGACTTTTTAATGATTGCCATTCTAACTGGTGTGAGATGATATCTCATAGTGGTTTTGATTTGCATTTCTCTGATGGCCAGTGATGATGAGCATTTCTTCATGTGTTTTTTGGCTGCATAAATGTCTTCTTTTGAGAAGTGTCTGTTCATGTCCTTCGCCCACTTTTTGATGGGGTTGTTTGTTTTTTTCTTGTAAATTTGTTTGAGTTCATTGTAGATTCTGGATATTAGCCCTTTGTCAGATGAGTAGGTTGCGAAAATTTTCTCCCATGTTGTAGGTTGCCTGTTCACTCTGATGGTAGTTTCTTTTGCTGTGCAGAAGCTCTTTAGTTTAATTAGATCCCATTTGTCAATTTTGTCTTTTGTTGCCATTGCTTTTGGTGTTTTGGACATGAAGTCCTTGCCCACGCCTATGTCCTGAGATTCAATGCCATCCCCATCAAGCTACCAATGACTTTCTTCACAGAATTGGAAAAAACTACTTTAAAGTTCATATGGAACCAAAAAAGAGCCCGCATTGCCAAGTCAATCCTAAGCCAAAAGAACAAAGCTGGAGGCATCACACTACCTGACTTCAAACTATACTACAAGGCTACAGTAACCAAAACAGCATGGTACTGGTACCAAAACAGAGATATAGATCAATGGAACAGAACAGAGCCCTCAGAAATAATGCCGCATATCTACAACTATCTGATCTTTGACAAACCTGAGAAAAACAAGCAATGGGGAAAGGATTCCCTATTTAATAAATGGTGCTGGGAAAACTGGCTAGCCATATGTAGAAAGCTGAAACTGGATCCCTTCCTTACACCTTATACAAAAATCAATTCAAGATGGATTAAAGATTTAAACGTTAAACCTAAAACCATAAAAACCCTAGAAGAAAACCTAGGCATAATTTTCAACCTTTCAAGAGTTCAATAATATTTTTGTTTCAGATCTCCATCTTAACAACAAAGTGATCAGAAAATATACTTTTTGTGATATAAATCCCTTAAACTGTGTTGAGATTTTCTCAATGGCTCAGTCTCTGATCAAGTTGTACAAATATTCTGTGTGTGCTTTAATAATGCATGTATTGTTGCTGTTGTGAGTGTACTGTTTTGTCTTTTGTTTAAGTCAATTTGTTGATGATGTTGTGTAGATTTTCTTCATCTTCACTGACTTTTTTCATGTTTAATTTACTCATTAATGAAAGAGATATGTTAAAAAATTTCCCACTATGATTATGAATTTGGACATTTTCTGTAGTTCTGACAACTTTGGATTTATATATTTTGAGGCTGCATTATTTAGTGCATACTAATTAGGTTTTTAAATGTTCTGATGAAATTATTATCATTGTGATATGATCATCATTACTGGTAAGTATTTTGCCTAAACACTTTGCCTAAATAAATTTTACTTTAGCTGATGTCAATATATCTACCCAGGTTTATTTTGGTTAGTATTTGCTGCATTATATATAAATTTTCATCTTTTTTCTTTGACATTCCTGTATCACTATGTTTTAGATGTGTCTCTTGTAAATGGCATACAGTTGGATTTCTTTTGGCGCAGTCTAGCAAACTGATTTTAACTGAAGCCTTACATTACACTTAATGCAATTACTAATATATTTGAATTTAAATCTATTATTTTTGTACCTGCTTTGTGTTCTGCGTTTTTTTTTTTTTGTTTTTTTGGTTTTTTTTTTTTTTGCCTTTTCAATGATTCCTTTTTTCCTCTTTCTGGCCTACATTTGGACTGCTGGAGTAATTTCTATTCTTCTTAGTTCATTTCTTTCCCACAAGTTTAAAAGTTTTGCACTCTATTGCTAAGTTTATTAGTTATTCTTTAAAAAACATATAATACACAGTTAATAAAGTCTAAAGTTAGTGACCTTTTAAAGCTTCTCCAATATAAGATAGGACATTAGAACCCTTTACTCAGTTTGCACATTCCAATATATTACTATTTTCTTATTTTACATGTGTCTTATACTTAAGCCTCTTACTCATTTTTATTGTTATGATTACTCAAATTATTACTAATGGTGAAATAACAGAGAGTGAAGGTGGAGGGCAAAGCATTGGGAAATTAAGTGGCACTCAGTCACCTTGGTGATAAAGGTTATTATGAAGACTGTGTGGCAGACAGGCTGCCTCTGACCAACTTGAAGACCAAACAAAAAGGAAAAGATAGCTGGGCACGGTGGCTCACGCCTGCAATCACAGCACTTTGGGAGGCCGAGGCGGGTGGATCACGAGGTCAGGAGTTCAAGACCAGCCTGACCTACATGGTGAAACCCCGTCTCTACTAAAAATACAAAATTTAGCCAGGTGTGGTGGCACACACCTGTAATCCCAGCTACTCAGGAGGCTGAGGCAGGAGAATTGCTTGTGAACCAGGAGGCGGAGGTTGCAGTGAGCCAAGATCGCACCACTGCACTCCAGCCTGGGCAACAGAGTGAGACTCCTTCTCAAAAAAAAAAAAAAAAAAAAAAAAACAGATAAATGAGTCCTTGCATGCCCAACTTAAGAGATATGTTAGAAACATCAGAAAGCATCTATGGCTACCTTAAAAGAATCCCTTATCTTTTTTACCATGCCAGCTAAATGCACAACCCCTCCAGTTCCCACACACTAAACAAGAAAATAATTTTAAGGCCAATAAAATACAACTGTGGGCCTCATTACCCAGAAGCAGGTGACTTGATGTATTGATGAAATGACCTACTGAAGGCAAGTTATAGTGCCATCTGGCGGTGAATATTTGGTGAGGTTGGGTGAGGTGCTATCGAACAGTATTTGCCTTAAACCAGCACCAATATACAGTGCCATTTCTCCCAGAGCCAGAATACACAATGTGAAAACCAAGCAGTGGAGGTAGTGAGAGGTGAAGCCAGCTGGGCTTCTGGGTCGGGTGCGGACTTGGAGAACTTTTCTGTCTAGCTAGAGGATTGTAAACACACCAATCACCACTCTGTAAAAACGCACTAATCAGCATTCTGTGTCTAGCTAAAGGTTTGTAAATGCACCAATCAGCACTCTCTAAAAACGCACCAATCAGCATTCTGTGTCTAGCTAAAGGTTTGTAAATGCACCAGTCAGCACTCTGTAAAAAACACACCAATCAGCGCTCTGTGTCTAGCTAAAGGTTTGTAAATGTGCCAATCAGCACTCTGTAAAAATGCACCAATCAGCACTCTGTAAAATGGACCAATCAGTGCTCTGTAAAATGGACCAATCAGCAGGATGAGGGTGGAGCCAAAGAAGGGAATAAAAGCTGGCCACCCGTGGCAACCCGGCAACCAGCTCAGGTACCATTCCAGGCTGTGGTGGGTTTGTTCTTTTGCCTTTCACAGTAAATCTTGCTGCTGCTTTCTCTTTGGTCTGTACTACCTTTATGAGCTGTAACACTCTGTGAAGGTCTGTGGCTTCATTCCTTAAGTCGGTGAGACCACGAACCCACCGGGAGGAACAAAACAACTCCAGACTTGCCACTTTTAAGAGTTGTAACACTCACTGCGAAGGTCTGTGGCTTCACTCCTGAAGTCAAGTGAGACCACAAACCCACCGGAAGCGAGAAACTCTGGACACATCTGAACATCTGAAGGAAGAAACTCTAGACACGCCATTTTTAAGAACTGTAACACTCACTGCAAGAGTTTGCGGCTTCATTCTTGAAGTCAGCAAGCCCAAGAACCCACCGGAAGGAACCAATTCTGGACACAGTAGAACTGGTTCCTCTTCCTTATTCCACCTAATCACACACCTATGCAATTTTTTGCTTCCTAAATTTGCAACTTTGGAGTGGGTGGCTTTGCGAGTCCTAGTGTTTCAAGGAGAAACACTTCCACTAAAGGACCCAGTTATGGTTTCAAGTGGAAGGAGAGGCTGCCTCTTGGCCATTTTGGGCAAGTCATGATGCTAAACCATCAGGCAGAGAAGGAGGTACCTTTACTAAGCTAGTAAAGGTACCAATTGATCCAATTATTAGGAGAAAAATATGTTGTTGCTATACAGTGCAATCAAGGAGAATTAGGAGTGGAACCGAGACTATTCCGTCGGGAGGCTTTTTATACTCTGTCCAGAATAATGGTCAATGGATAACTGCAGCAGTGCAATAAAGACGAAGCATTAATGACTTGGATCCTTTGGGTCACTCTACCAGATAAAAAATTCCAAGGAAACGAAGTGCTAGAGGAAGGTAAGAGAGACACAAAATGGTTATCAATTTAGGCTTTATGACCAGCTATAGAAGCAGGAACTGCAGCTATTATGTTTTATGGTAACTAATTGTTTCTTTCCCACTTCAATTTCACTCTGATATCTTACATGAAGAGCACTTTTCATGGCTGTTGTTACAATTTCAGTTTCAGAAGTATAGCAGGAATGACTTCCCTCTGCAGTAATAGTAGAACTAATACTGGGCATCTCTGTGTTAAGGATGTGAGCTTGTTCATCCAAACAAAAGAACGTAATGGGTGCTCAGTGACAACAGGGATGACCTGTGCCTCTTCAGATCCATCATTCACTTGTCTCTGCTCATTTCTGTGCACTGACAGGCTGACCTCTCAGGACCGCATCATCAGCTTCCCCTTGCCAGTGGGAGGCACTGTCCGGAGATTGAAGGGTGGGAGGAAAGAAGTCAGGGTTTTTATTCCTCCTGTTCTCTCCCTACAGTTCTGGCCGTGGCTGCATTCCTCTGTGCTACAAGTCCTATAAGGCAGCCCATCCTCCAAGGCTACTGCCCTTGCCCCATCAGGTCTAGGCTGGTACCCGTTTCCCACTGCTGCTTGTCCTTGGATGCTGCACCATCTCTTTTTGGACCTCTTAATCCTGCCTACATCTCTATTTAGTCCCTTCATTGGCCTATGTTTATTATTTATTTATTCATTTATTTATTTATTTTGAGACGGAGTCTTGCTCTGTCACCCAGGCTGGAGTGCAGTGACGCGATCTCGACTCACTGCAACCTCCATCTCCCGGGTTCAAGCAATTCTCCTGCCTCAGCCTCCTGAGTAGCTGGGACTACAGGCGTAAGCCACCGCTCCTGGCCACTTTTTGTATTTTTAGTAGAGACAGAGTTTCACCATGTTGGCCAGGCTGGTCTGGAACTCCTGATCTCAAGTGATCCGCCTGCCTTGGCCTCCCAAAGTGCTAGGATTACAGACGTGAGCCACCGTGTCCGGCCAAGTCTATGTTTAATTAAGCTCTTGAATGAGCCATCAGCTTCCTATTCGAATCCTGATGGATACATCCATATATTTACCACCTGTTTCCTCCTCGTACCTCAGACCTTCTACCTGGGATCATTTTCATTCTATGATCAAAGTACATCCATGAAGGAGGGTTTCAGTTTGCTTTTACCATATGCCATAGTACCAGTTTGGTGCCACTTTTACTTTTGTTCCTTTCCTCTCAGGAGACTGTTGAAAACTACAGCTCATTTTTATAATCAGAATAAGCCTATGCTCATCAGTCAAAAGCAGGTTTGAATGCTCTGCTTAGTTCTTGGAGTTCTCACTTTCTAAATTTTAGCTAGGAAATTCCTCACTAGATTGTCTTTCCATTATTTTATAAAGATTGTTTTGAGTATTTTATCCGCCACTTTTAATGACTTTCAGCAGAGGAGTTGATCCATATAGCCTGGACTGCCATTCTCAAAAATGAGAAAGTTCTCCCCTCTCTTAGGTTTTTTTGTTTTCCCATAAGATTTTTGCATTTGCTTGCTATTTCACGTAGGCTGTTGGGAAGAATGTCTCCTGAAATCTTGGATGAGAAATATGACAATAGAGAAAGACAATTCACTTTCAAGATATCAAAATACTATTCATATAACAGAAAAACAAAAAAGTATTAATATTAGCCATCTATTGTTACCTAGGGAATTATTCCAAAACTGAGCATCTTGATACACACTTATCTTACAGTTTCTGTGGTCAGGAATCTGAGCACAGCTTAGCTTGGTCCTTGGCTTACGGTTTCTCACTAGGTTGAAATCAAGATGTTGACTCAGGGTCTTCATCCTCATCTGAAGGCTCTACTGGGGAATGACCCACTTCCAAGTTTATTCATTGGCTTTTGGCAACATGCAGTTCCTCACAGGGTATTGGAATGAGAGCCTCAGTTCCTTTCTAGCTGTTGGCAGGGGCTTCCCTCAGTTCCTTACCTCATGAGTCTTTCAAAAATGGCAGCTCAGAATATAGCCACTTACTTGATTAATACATGAAAATCAGAAAGGCAGTAGAGTTTGCTAGCAAGACAGAAGTCACACAGTTTTTTGTAATCTAATATTGGAAATGACATTCCATCACTTTTGCCATATACCATTAGTTATAAGTAAGTCACTAAGTTCATCCTTTGGGGAGGAGGTTACACAAACACATGAATATCAGGAAGTGGAGATCATTGGGAGATATTTTAGAAGGCTGACAACCCCGCAAAAATAATTTCTGAATTTCCATCTGTATCTCAGCATTCAATAGCTATGCACCTGTTTCAGCACATTGGCAGGAGCAAAACAATAGCAAAGTGTTTACAGCATGTATCGTGTGAAATACATCCACTCTCAAAGCACCTTCGTTTGGCTATTTCTTCAGTAGGTTCATCAAATAAACCACTTTTTTTCAAGCAACTCTCAGTTATCAGTACGTCCTGCTGGGTGGGTATTGTCATCTGCAGAGTACAGTATCGGCTTTTTGTTTAAGTATTGCTTTGAACATGGAAGAGCTGCTTTGTCATCCTGTTTAAAAACCTCATAGGCATGCAATTCCAAGGTCTCTTGTATGTCATGAGTTTGATTTTGACTGAAGAATGATGAAAGTGTGGCCCAACCATCTTTCTGCTTATGGACATTAATTCTATTACCTGATACTGAGCTCTGATTATTCCTGGACACACAATTAAAGGTGTGAAGAAATAATAATATACTTCTAATTTCTAATTCACTCATAGCCTTTGCCATTTTTGTTCCATTATCAACAATTGACTTTTTTCATATGACATACATTCCATAAAGTATATGCACTATGTTGTTAACTACGTGTAAGACCAAGAAATATCTCCACCACCAAGTAGAAATATAGTGAAATTCATCATAAATCAGGAAGAAAACACCTGATTGTTTCTCTATGTCCAAATGTTCAATCTATAAGATACAGAATTAGTACATAAAATAATTTTGTGCACAGCTTAATGTAATTTGGAATAACTTTTCAAAACATGTTTTCTAGAAAGAACTTTTAAGAATCATAATTTTAGCAAATTTTGAAAATCCTTTGTCTTCTACTTCAAAAAATGGTTGACAGTGTTGTGCAATCAATTTTACAGCTTTAAGATTTTAGCTTCACTAACTCAAAACTATAAAGAATTTTTTTAAAGTGTGCTTATAAAATCTGTTGTTTTGAAGTTTGATTAGTGAGAACAAAATGTATTTGGGGAATCTGATTTCCAACACTTTTCTGTTTTTTTTTTTTCATGCTCTTTGCACCCATTATGATGTCTGGATCAAAGACGATTTAGCACAGAAGTTGTTACACATGATTTTAGAGAGTTTCATTTCTACTTCAAGAAATTTAAGTAAGCAAAATTGCCAATCTTTTTGAAATTCATCCTCACAAATGTGAACAATTTTCAGATAACACTTTTTCTAAAAAGATACACAGCCTAAATGTAAATAACTAAAAAACATCAAATACGGTCATCAAAGATTATTTTCGTTAATAATATGAATGATAGAATACCAAAAAATTCTACAAGGGAGGCTGCCTATCACAAAAATGATCTCTGGATTTCCATGGAATCTAATCTTTGCTGTTCTGACTCATGTTATTATTGATATTTTTACAATCACTTTCCAGTTCCAAGAGGAGACAATATTCTTTCTAATGGCATTTAACTAAAGCACTCTTAATCTTCATACCAACACTCAGTCTATTTCCTGAGTTGTATAATTATGCGGAAGTTCTCAGTAATTGTTTTTGGACCTGAAAGGCATGGTGTAATGATAGAGTGCCCCCAGGACTGAAGCACTGGTTCATCCCAGCTGCTGTGAGTGTTGATTGCTGACAGCTGGCAGCACTCCCTTGTAAGGATTGCCTTCAGAGCAAGGAGCTGCCTCACCCAAAGTCACAACCCCTTCCTGGGTCAGCTCACATCCAATGACTGCTCTATTAAATCAGCATTGTTTATGCTGGAGGCCATGAGCCTGTTTATGCTGGAGGCCATGAGCCTGAGGTTTTCTCCATACTTTGAGTTCCTACCTAATAAATAGCAACCTAAGTCAGTAGGTAAACAAACCGAAATGTAACTTAGTAGTATACTTTTTGTAACAAATAGCAAGGTTCCAGCCAATCACAAACAGCCAAGCTTCAACCAATCACAGGCAGCTAACTGATCATATCCGTGCCCAAATAAGGCAAATGTCTTGCTGTAGCCAACCAGATGATTTCTCTACTTTGCTTCTGTGTTCAGCTTATACAAGCTCACTGCTCTTCTGATTCTGAGTGTTGCCCTACTCATGAATTGTTCTCTACTCAAATAAACTGTGTTCAATTTAATTTGTCTGAAGTTCTTCTTTTAATAGGTCAGTGAATGGTATAAAGGCCCAGTCCCCTTTCCCCGATTCAGGACATCTCTGTGGAGCCATCTAGCTGTAGAGTTTCCTGTAGGATTGGCTGGGGCTTCTGTTATGACTGCATAGTAGTTCACCTTCTCCCACTGCCTAATCCTACTTCCTTCGCTCCCCTACGAGTGTGAATCCTGAGAGCAGGAAATTAATAGGGGTGTTCTCAGGATTCACACTTGTAGGGGAGTTCTAACCTCTGCTTCAGAGTCAGTTTCCTGAAGAATCATCTGTAACTTATAGGTTTTCACAATCACCATTATTTATTTCAGCCTCTTACTCCTGTAATTGTATAATTACACACACATTTATACTTTGATAAAAATTTAACTTTGAACACACACACGATGTTCACTCCAAGCTACATTAGAATGCTTAAATTTGAAGGTGACTATTAAGATTTTAAAGTTAGGAACATGATTTGTTCATATTTCTAATGTTATTGTGCTAGTTAGATAGGCTGGTAACCCAATCTGTCATGTATTCATCGTGACCACACAAGTTCAGGGATGCCAGAAATGAACTTCAAATTGGCACTCAGTGGTTCCACCTCCAAAAGACTGAGGTGAGATCAAAGTCAAATAGAAAAAAATGAACAAATATTGAGGCTGAAGCTGAATTTTAATGCAACCCAACTATGTGCATGTTTGTGTGTGTATGTATGTTTACTTAAACATGAAGTAAAGAATGACAAGACACACAGATAAACATGGATACTATATTGGTTTTCTAGGGCTGTTGTAATAAAGTATTATAAACTGAGCAGCTTAAAACAACAGAAATTATCCGGGCACAGTGTATCATGCCTGTAATCCCAGTACTTTGGGAGACTGAGGGCGGGCAGATCACTTGAGGTCAGGCGTTTGAGACCAGCCTAGCCAACATGGTAAGATCCTGTCTCTACTAAAAATACGAAAATTAGCCAGGCATGGTGGCAGGTGACTGTAGTCCCAGCTACTTGGGAGGCTGAGGCAGGAGACTCACTTGAGCCCAGGAGGTGGAGACTGCAGTGAGCCAAGATCATGCCACTGCACTCCAGCCTGGGTGGCAGAGGGAGACTCCACCTCAAAACAAACAAGCAAAAACAGAAATGTATTCTCTCGCAGATGTGGAGGCTAGAAGTTAGAAATGAAGGTATCAGCAGGACCAGCTTCCTCTGTAGGCCCCTTGGTTTCTTGTTCTAGCTTCTGGTGGTTGCCAGTCATCCTTGGTGTTTCTTGGCTTGTAGATGCATCACTTGAATCTCTCTGCCTCCATCATCACATGGCCTTCTTCCCAAGTATTTTATCTGCATCTTCAAATATCTCTCTCCTTATCAGATTACCAGTCATTGGATTTAGGGCCCACTCTAATCCAGTATGCCTTCATTTTAACTTGATTACATCTGTAAAGGCTCTCAAAGAAGGTCACATTCACAGGTACAGGGGATTCAAACTTTAACATATATATTTGGTGGGGTGGGGACACAATTTAACTCACAACAGGTATGACAGATAACTTTGGGAGGAGAAGCACCTGGTGAATGGGTAGGAAGGGAGGGGTCAATCAAGGTAACCAAAGAAAAAAATAAATGAGGATGGGAAAGAATACAGTAAAAATACCTTCATAAGAATAAATTGCCCTGTTAATATAAAATTCTGTGCATGTGTATGAATAAATTAGAATAAAGAGCTAGCTCTGTATTAATTTGTAGGCATAACATTCGATAATTCTTTTATATGGTTTATTGTGTGCCAGGCACTGTTTTAAGCACTTTCCATACATTAACTCCTTTAATCCTTATGTCTCAACCCATGATATAGGTACTATTATTATTACACCCATTTTACTGATGATGAAACTGAGACATAGAGAGACATAGCTAGTAAAATGGCTGAGCCAGGATTCAAACCTGAGCCATCGGGCTTCAGAATCTGTGCTCTTAATCACCTTGGCATATGTAGTATGACTCTGTTCTTCAGAAACTAAAACAATATATATGTGTACAAATGCATATGTATACATTTATATTTTAGAAGACATAAAATTAAAGTATCAAGATCAAAAATAAAATCTTGGATTCTAACCAGCTCTGTCAGGGCTCACAGACAATGAATGATAAATATTCTGGTTGGCCTATTTTGTGTCATATACCCAGATGCCCAGACTAGGTTTTTTTGGGGGGAGAAGGAGGGGCATCAGTGCTTGGACATTCTTGTCAGAGTCATGTGGAGTGGGTTACTTAAAGGAAAGAGATGATCTATTATCAGAGGTAGGAGGAGATGGCAGCTGACGGACTTGCAAAAACTATAACTAGTCTGTCTCCTTGAACCTCAGTGTAACCTTCCCTACCTTTTTCTTAGATGTAAACAGCAGAGCAGCTGAAGGTCCTTCACTCATCAAACAAAAAGAAGGTATGGCCCAAGGTGAAGAGAAAGGCTATAGGGAAACCCTCCCCAAAACATCACACCCATTTTCCCATGCCCTTTGTTCAGAAAATAATTAATTGTGGAAATGAGATCTGTTGCCTCCCCACTTCCCCCAGCCCAGACCCGACAACAATGGGGACCCTGTCTCTACTTCCTACAAGTCCACCAGGGGCAAATTACCATTTGGGGTTATTTAATGGTGTAATAGGAGAATCTGCTGCTTTTAGTTCAGGGGTGTCCAATCTTTCAGCTTCCCTGGGCCAAACTGGAAGAATTGTCTTGGGCTGCACATAAAATACATTAACACTAATGATAGCTGATGAGCTTAAAAAAATTTGCAAAAAAAACCCAAAACCTCAATGTTTTAAGAAAGTTTATGAATGTGTGTTGGGCCACATTCAAAGCCATCCTGGGCCACATGAGGCCCATGGGCTGTGGGTTGGACAAGCTTGATTTAGATCATCTCGTGATTTTAGGCTCTGCCAGTGTGGGGATTATCCCACCTGCAGGGATTATGTGGTGCTCTAGGATTATCTTGGGTTTGGGGTTGATCCCCCCACATGGAAGGATTGTCTGGTGGTGCTATCGGATTATCTTGGTTTTAGGGTTGATCCCTCACATGGAAGGATTCTCTGCTACTTTGATGTTCCTCATGACCCGGTGCCGCCTGTTCTATAGTATCAACGTGTAAGTCCTTGACTCAGACCTAATTCAAGGTAGGTTAAGGTGTCCTCCTGTCTACCAGTTCCTGTTTCAGGAACTTGGGATGACCTTGTGAAGGGTAGGAAGTTTCTATTTTCCTTTGAAGTGCTGTTCCAAGAGGTAATAATAGTGGAACTTGAGTTTCAGCAGTTGATGAGAATGGTGGCCCCTGTGTCTAAGAAGTATGAGAATTACAATATTGGGTAGCAGAGACTGATAAAGATGGTGATATAGGTTGAGCATCCCTTATCCAAAATACTTGAGACAGAAAGTGTTTCAGGTTTGATTTTTTTATTTTGTATTTTGGACTATTTTCATATATATAAAATCAGATATTTGGGGATGAGACCCAAGTCCAAACACAAAATTCATTTGTTTTCATTTCATTTATATATGCCTTCTACACATAGCCTGAAGATAATTTTATACAATATTTTTGTGCATGAAACAAGGTTTTTTGTTTGTTTTAAGACAGGGTCTCACTCTATCAACCAGGCTGGAGTGCAGCCTCAACTTCCTGGGCTTAAGCAATCCTCCCACCTCAGCCTCCCTAGTAGCTGGGAGAAGAAGCATGCATCACCATGCCCTGCTAAGTTTTAAATTTTTTTATTGTAGAGATGGGAATCCCACTATGTTGCCCAGGCTGGTCTCAAATTCCTGGGCTCAAGTGATCCTCCTGCCTTAGCCTCCCAAACAGCTGGATTACAGGCATAAGCCACTGTGCCCAGCCCCATGAAACAAAGTTTTGACTGCAATCTATCACATGAGATCAAGTGATGGAATGAAATTTTTCACTTCTGACGTTACGTCGGTGCTCAAAAAGTTTTTGATTTTGGAGCATTTCAGATTCGAGATTTTTGCATTAAGGATGCTCAACCTGTACTTGTGTGCCAATGTCTGATGGGAATGGTGGCCCCCTGTTTCAGGGAGTGAAGGCAATGATGGATCCTGAGTTCTGGATATTTGTAGGAATTGCAGTAGATGAGTCTTATGTGCTGAGAGATTTGGAGCCCTGTATTTCAGAGAATGAAGGAACCAGTGGTCCCTGTGACTTGCTAACTGATGAGAACAGAACAGAGGCCTTATGTTTCAGAAACTAATGGGAATTATGGTCACTGTTCCTGGGGGGCTTAAGCAAGTCCCAGCCTAATCCACAAGTCATTTATTATTCACTCATCTCCTCATTCATTCACTTAGCAAACATTTTCCTGAGCCCCTGCTCTGAGCCATGCCTGGGTGGAGTGATATTGAGGACACAGAAATGACTCAGACCCAGACTGTGCCCTCAGTAAATTCCCAAAGACAGACCCAGACGTAGAAAATCACAACACAACAGGATCAGGGCCAGGACAAGGACTGTGATGTGGTGCCTGTCCTGATCTGTCTACAGGGCATCCAGGGTGAATGTAGAATGACAGTAACTCTAGATCGTAAGTGAAAGTGAGGGGTCTGACAAAGGGTCCTTCTTAATCATACATGAATTTGTGTGCATGACAAGTTTAAATGTACCCAGTGTCAATCCTTAGAAATAGCATATTTTCCCAGAGCAAGCCCACCCCAAAGAAGGAGCCAGAGAGGCCTGGGTTTGAATCTCTAGCTCCATCACATACTTTGTGAGCTTGGGCAACTCGCTATTCAGAACTGCATCCTATTCAGTATTCCATCCTTACAATTGGGATAATAATAGTTTCTAATAATAAGGTTTCTGTGTAATCAATGATATAATGTATAACAAATACTCATCCCAGGAACTGGCTCCAAGTAGTCATTCAATAAAGGGTATCTGTTGTCATTATTATTATCCCATTGTTAGTAATTATCAACAAATTTTAAAGGATCTAGAAGTAAGCATTTATCGAATATCTGGGTTTAGAGGCTTAAAAGCATTGGACAAAATCACTTTAAAAATCAGCAAATTTGGGCCAGGTGTGGTGGCTCAGCCAAGGTGGGAGGATCACTTGAGGTCAGAAGTTCAAGACCAGTCCAGCAAACGTGGCAAAACCCCATCTCTACAGAATACACAAAAATTAGCCGGGCCTGGTGGCGCAGGCCTGTAGTTCCAACCACGTGGGAGGCTGAGGTGGGAGAATGGCTTGAACCTGGAAGGCAGAGGTTGCAGTGATCTGAGATAATGCCACTGCACTCCAGCCTGGGCAATCCGTCTCAAAAATAAATACATACATACATACATACATACATACATACATACATACATACATAAGCAAATCTGTAAATATCAATATGCATAACCATTAGTTTCTTGACATAAAAAACCTCCCAATCTCCCAATTAACTGAATACACTAGGAATAAATAGATGAATACAATGGAATATTATATCACTATTAAAATGAATGAGGAGGTTCTATAAGCCTAGATATGGGAGGATCTTTGGATATCATGTAAAAAAAAAAAAAAAAACCAAGGTGCAGAATAATGTGATCCTATCAGGGGACAGAAAAGAGGAGGGTGGTATATATGTGCATAGATGTATAAAATTCCTCTGGAAAGATACATAAGAAATTAGTGAATATATGCTGTCCCCAGAGAGGAGAACTGGGTGGCTGGAGGATAGGGAGGGAGGGAGATGCACTGTTGAAAGCCCAGCACCATGCATCCTGAACGTTTTCCCTGGCTCTTAATGTCCACTAAGTTCTCAGATGCCCACAGCATCTCTCTCCTCTACCCTCTTCTTCCTCCTAGTTCCCCATTGAAAGCAACTCCTGCCCCATCCGTTCCTGGGCCAGACTCAGGGAGTTGTAGTTTTCCTACCTGTTTCCCGCCCACAGGTTCCTGTTCTCTGCCCCCAGTGCCCAGCAGTCTCCAGCCATCTCCAGCTCCTCACATTCCTGCCCCACCCCTTCCTCTCTCCCCAGGTCCTAGCCCGCAAACTGCAGGGAGGGGGCCTCCTCCCCAGCCTCCACCCGTCTCTCCCCCTCCACTCCACACAGCCTCAGCGGGGTCTGACATTCAGCTATAACCGTGTCCCCGCCCCTTGCTCACAACCTTCCAGGGCTCCCTGTCACCCTCAGAAGGCTAAGTTCCCAGCCTGGCCTGAAACTCCCTAAGAATCTGACCCCGCCCGCTCGCCCCACCAGCCTCATCTCCTGTGCTCCTTGGCTCCTGGCTTCGGAGGCTCTAGTCAGACTTAAGGGCTTTGTTGTCCTCCCAGCACCTCCTTGGTTTCCTGCCTTGGGCCTTCGCTTCAGCTGTGCCCTCTGCCTGGAAGGGCCTTAGTGGAGGTCATGCCACAACCACGCCTTCTCTGGAGGTCCTCTCTGCCGTCTCCAGCTGCCAGGATTCCTCCCGCCCTGGGCTCTCACAGCCTCTGGCCTCTCCCTGTGTCATACCCAGATCACCCGGGATTGGGACTGTCTGCGGCTGGCTCTGTCTCTTCCATCAGACTGTGAGCTCCATCTGCAAGGGCAGATTCGGGTCTGATTCACCTTTGAGCCCCCAGTGGGTGGGGGTGGGGGGTGGAGATACTAAAGCTGGTGGGGGCGAAGCTGGGAGAGCAGGAAGGGGGAGAGAGAGACGGGCAGACCCTGACTGGTTCGGGGAGAGAGGGGAGGAGAAAGCGAGAGAGAGGAAGAACAGAGACACAGAGACAGGAAGGGAGGGAGAGAAACAGAGAAAAGGGAAGAATAAATGGGAGACACAGATAATGCCCCACAGGCAGAGAAAGAGGATGGAGATAGGGAGAGGGCGAAAGGAAGGACAGATGTGCAGAGACAGAAGGGAGGACAGACGGAAAGAGACACAGAGAGGCAGCAAAAGCAACCAAGAATGACAGGAGCAGAGAGGAGGAGGGAAAGAGGGAGAGAGAGAGAGAGAGAACGAGAGAGAAGGGAGGGAGGGAGAGAGGGAGAGAGAGAGCGAGAGAGCACGCACAGAGCGAGGAGGAGGCGCAGGAGAGAAGAGGGAGGGAGGCCAGCGAGGGACAGGACGGGGCGGAGAGGCGGAGGGGAGCTAGGGAAAGCCGGGGAGGAGCGAGACTGGCCGAGGAGGAGGGCGGGCGAGCGGGAGCGCCGGCCCCGCCGCCTCCCGGCCTCTTTTGTCCCTTCCCTCCTCTGCGTCAGGCTTCTCTGGCCCGGCCTCCCCCTCCCGCTCCCTCCTCCTCCCCGGGGCTGGATGGAATTTTTTCCCCTGGACCTGGGCCAGCTCCGGGGCAGGGGGGAAGCCAGGCCGGACTGGGCTGGGCGGTGGGGAGGGGCCGGGGCGGGGGGCCCCCTGGGGAGGGGGCTGGTCCGACGGCCGCGCAGCCGGCGGGGTCCAGGGAGGGGGAGCCCCGGACCGCAGAGCCGGGGAGGAGGTGACGGCCGGAGGGAGTCGGGGAGAAGGGAAGGAGGATGGCGGGGACGGCGGGAGGAAGGGGAGAGGCCGCCGTGCGGCGAAGGCGGGGAGAGGATGGAGAGCGCTCGGCGGCGGTGGGGCCCGGCCTGCGGGCCCGGGGCGGCGGAGAAGACCCCTTCCCTGCGACGCGGGAGCCGCGGGAGCCGTGAGTCTGCGGAAAGGGAGGGTGGGGGGCTGGGGCCCGCACTCCTGGGTCCCTGAGGGAGGAGCACCCGGGGGCCTGGATTTCAGGGTTCTTGGAGGAGGAGTTGGGGGTGGGGAGGGTGGGGTGGCTGGGAGCCCAGACTCCTGAATCCTTGAAGGAGGGGGCTGGGACCTGGATCCCGGGGTCCAGAATCTGGAGAAGGCTGGGGACACTTCCTGGATTCAAGAGGGAGGACAGAGATGGGGGCTGGGGCTGGTAGGATCGTGGCTGGAAGAGACTAGGGGCGAGCTGCCCGAGCCCTCGGGGGAGGTGGAGGAAGACTGGCTTTGGAGTGCCTGCGGCAGCGGAAGGGTTAACGTCTGGCTGGAGGGGAGGGGGAGGCGCAGGGATGGGGCTGCGGGGCTTTGAGGGGTCAAGGGTGAGCCGTGCCAGTGGGAGGGGGCCGAGGAGGAGGGGGAGGTTGTCTGGGCTGCCAGACAGGCCAGGGTCAGCGGCGGGGGCAGGAGATGTCTGGAGGAGGAGAGGCCCAGCATCCATGCTCCCTCGGGGACCCGGGATTCCAGGTCCCAGACCCCTCCTCCCTCAGATCTGGGAGTACACCACCCAGTCCCCCACCCATTCCAGAATCCGAGCCCCCAGCCCCCTTTTTTCCAGGATCCAGGAGTCTGAGCCCCCAGTCTGTTCTCTCAGACCAGGGAATCCACACTCCAGCCCCTAACTCCTTCAAAACCCCAGAGTTCAGAACCTCAGCCCCTCTTCCCAAGGAGCGCGGCCCCCAACCCTCTGTTCCTCTAGAACCCAAGCGTTCAGGCTCCGGCATCTTTCTCCCTTTGAAGCCTGCAGTTCTGGGGATCCCCAGGCCCCTCCTCCTCCGGAACCCAGGAGTCCCCACCTCCTCTTTAGCCCCAGCTGGAGTCCAGCCCTCCAGGGGTTAAGGGGGCGGGACCAGCTAGTTGCCATGGTGCCAGACTGTTTGGGTCTGCTCTCTGACCCTTGGGGGCTCCCCAGGGTCCGCAGAGAGGGGGAGGGGGACCTAGGCCTGGGGGAAGTCCAGAGCCTACCCCTTCCCCAAAGCGGGGCTATGGGCCCAGGGAGTTCGCGTTTCCACCAACGCCTTGTCCAGTGACCTTGAACAAGTCCTGACCCTTCTCTCTCCGCCTCAGTTTCCCCAAGGAGACACTGGTTGGCGGGTGGGGGAGATGCTTAGGTCCGGGGAATCTCTGAGATTCTCGGCTTCCCCTCTCCCCTCACCCTCCTCCTCAGGCCCCAGGCAGCCCCGGGGCATGCTGGGAACCCAGGCCTGGGCTCCGGGCCAGGTTGGTGTGGGGGGGTGGGGGCGGGGGCAGCCTCCTCCCTTCCCCTTCCTCCCCACCTTGGCCTGACTCTCGCCCCCGCCTGAGGGTCTGGGAGGTTGGGAAGGAGGGAAGGGGGAAGAGAGCTGGCCGTAGACCCGTCTCCGGCCCCCGCCTCCCCCTTTCCTCCTCCGCCCCTTTCCCGCCTCTCCTCCCCCTCCTCAGGTCGCTACCCCAGCCCTGGGCCCCTTCTCAAACCACCCCCACCCCACCCCCAGCTCCAGACCTGGCTCGAGCTGCGAGGGGGAGGGAGAGAGGGAAGGAGAAAAGAGAGAGAGAGAAGGGAGGGAGACCCAAAGAGAGAAGGGGGAGGGGAGGAAAGAGAGAGACCTAAGAGGGAGGGAAGGAGAGAGAGAGGGAGAGAGACAGAGACTGAGAGAGAGCAGGAGACGGAGGTGAGGGATGGAGAGAGGGAAGGGGCGGAGGGAGAGGAAGTGAGGAAAGACATCCGAAAAAAGGGGGTGGAGAAGGGTGAGAAAGAGGAGAGAGACTGAGAGAGGGCCAGAGAGAGAATGAGAGAGACAAAGAGGGGGAAGGGGGAGAAGGGGAGGATGAAAGACAGAAGGTAGAGGAAAAGCAGGAGAAAGAGGGGGAGAGAAGGAAGAAAACAGAAGCGGGGAGAGGAGAGAGGCGATGGGCAGAGAGAGAAGCCAGCGCAGAGCCAGGGAGGGATGTCCTGATGCAGGAGGAGGCTGGGAACCAGGGAAGGTGGAAAGAAAGAGGGAGAGAGAAAAAGGCAGGGCCAGAGAGACCTGGACTGCGAGAAAGGAACCGGAAGGTGCGCCTGGAGCAGGGGCAGCGAGAACCAGACAGTCCAGGAGGAGGGGCTGGGCACGGGAGAGACCCCAGCTGGAGGGGCTCAGAGCCCAGGGGTGGGGAGGGTGGGTGCTGGGTCCCGGGGTCCAGAAGCTGGAGAAGGCTGGGGACACCTCCTGGATTCAAGAGGGAGGACAGAGATGGGGCTGGGCAGACTTTGGGAGCCTCTTCCCCTCTCTGAGGCTCAGCCCCCTCACCTGCCAAATGGGGATGCTGAGGGCACCTCGCTCTCTGGAGTGGGAGGTGTCAGGGAGAGGACTGGTGCTCAGGGCCTGGTATGGGGTCAGCGCTGGGAGATTGTGGCTGTCATAGTTGTAAATGACCCAAAGAAGGGAGGAGAGAGGAAAGAAAGCACCTAGGGAGGCTCTGATGGTTGGCTAGCCCCTGGCCTCCTTAGCCCTGGGCCTGGAGTCTCTGCAGACTGACAGGAGGGTAGGTAGGAAGCAGGTGTGCCCAAAGGGCCAAATTACGAGACAAATGAGGTTCCCTCCCAGCCGGCACCCAGGAAGCCAGGTTTTCTATCAGGCCATGCCTTCCCCAGGAGGCCTGCCTGGCCGGAGGGAGGAGGGGCTGGGGGCAGGGACTCCTGGGTCTCTGGGGAGAAGGAGGCTTTGGATCTGGACTCATGAGTCTGAGGGAGGAAGGGGCTGAGTCCTTGGATTCCAGGAACATTTGGGGAGAAAAGGGCCAGAGGCCTGGATTCCTGGGTCTGTGGTGAGGAAGGGCCTAGACTTCTGGGTTCTTTAGGGAGGAGGGGGATGAGAGCCTTGACTCCAGGGTCCCTGATGAGGAAGGGGCTGAGGGCCTGGACTCCTGGGTTCCTTGGGGAGGAGGGGCCGGGGGCCCGGACTCCTGGGTCCTGGCACCCACCCGTAGAACCGACCTTGCGGGGCCTTCGCCGCACACAAGCTCGTGTCTGTGGGTCCGTGTCGGGGGCTCACCATCGCGGCTGGGGCCTCCCCGGCCCTCCCCCTCATCCCTGGTCCTCCTGGTCCCTGTCTGTCTGTCTGTCGGGTCTGTCCACCTGCCGCGCCCCCCGGGCTGAGGTAGGAGGTTGTATAGTTGAGGAGGACACCCAAGGAGATCACTATACGGCCTCCTAGCTTTCCCCAGGCTGCGCCCTGCACGGGACGGGGCCCGGCGGGGACCCCCAGCCCCACTCAGGGACCCTTAGCCCCACTGGGCTGCCCCAGGGACCCTGGGAGGAAGAGCCGGGCTCTTTTCTGTCCTTGTCCCTGCATCCCCTCCTTCCCCTGAAATCTGTTTTCCTTCCCTGTCTGTCTCCATCTCTGCTGTGTCTCTGTGGCTTCTGTGTCTCTTTCACAGTGGATCCTCTGACTCCCTCTTATTCTGGCTTTCTAGGTCTCTGCCCCTCCCGATATCTCTCTGTGTCTCTATTTCTGTCGTTTTTGGTCTTTCTGTCTCTGGCTCTCAGAATGTCTCTGTGCCTATCTCCATCTCTGACCCCCACCCCAGGGTCTACCGGGCCACCGCACACCATGTTGCCAGTCTCTAGGTCCCTGAGACCCTTTAACCTGTGAGGACATCCAGGGTCACAGGTGAGGTTCTTGGGAGCCTGGCGTCTGGCCCAACCACACACCTGGGGAATTGCTGGCCTGACTTCTGACCCCTGACTCCTCATACCCTTCCTCCAGAGCATGACATTTGACCACCAACTGAAACCTGACCTCTGACCCCAGACCACTGGCCCTTCCCCCGCCCTGTGGTGACTTCATAAAGGTTACTAGCTTCTCCCCTGGCCTTGAGACCCACACGATGGCCCTGCTGGCTCTGGCCAGTGCCGTCCCGTCTGCCCTGCTGGCCCTGGCTGTCTTCAGGGTGCCCGCCTGGGCCTGTCTCCTCTGCTTCACAACCTACTCTGAGCGCCTCCGCATCTGCCAGATGTTTGTTGGGATGCGGAGCCCCAAGCTTGAAGAGTGTGAGGAGGCCTTCACGGCCGCCTTCCAGGGCCTCTCTGACACCGAAATCAGTGAGGAGACCATCCACACTTCATCAGTGTCCTGGGGAAGGTGCAGAGGGAGGGCAGGAGAGGCCCAGAGGGTCAGGCTGAGGGACAGACAGAGAGAAACAGTCAGAGGAGAAAGGCTCAAAGACCATGAGAACAACAGAGACTTAGGGACAGAGAGACACAGACAGGGGAAGACAGCAGGGCAAAGACTCAGAGAGGGGAGGATGGAGAGTCAGAGAGGGGAAGATGGAGACTCAGAGAGGGGGAGGATGGAGACTCAGAGAGAGAGGAAGATGGAGACTCGGAAAGATGGAGACTCAGGAGTATGGAGAGTCAGAGAGGGGAGGATGGACACTCGGGAGGATGGAGAGTCAGGAGGATGGAGACTCATAGAAAGGGGAGGATGGAGAGTCAGGAGAGGTTGGAGACTGGAGAGGGAATAGAGACCCAGAGAGGGGAGGATGGAGACTCAGAGGGTGGAAGATGGAGACTCAAAGAGGATGGAAACCCAGAGAGAGGAGGACAGAGATGAGGCAGAGACTAGGGGAAGCAGGATAGCGACTGGTCGGGGGCAGAGACTCAGGGAGGATAGAGACTTGGGAGGGACTCAGGAAGCATAGCGACTGTGGGGCAAAGAGTCAGAGAGGGGAGGATACAGACTTGGGAGGGCAGAGACTCAGAAACAGAATGTTCGCATTAGGGACATGGTGTTGCGGGGAGCTGCCTCCCCCAGCCCCTGCTCCCTCCCTCACCGCCAGACTATGATGAGAGAAGCCACCTGCATGACACCTTCACCCAGATGACCCATGCCCTGCAGGAGCTGGCTGCTGCCCAGGGTGAGTGTGTGGGGATGGGGAGATGGGAGATGTGGACTTGGAGCCCCTAAGAAATGGGTATGTGGGAGGGCCCAGGGCAGAGGAAGGAGGCCCCCAGAGTTGGGCAGTGATCCGGGAGGGGAAAGCTGGGAAGACATTGAGCTCAGCTACTTGTCCAAACGAAGGCTGAAGGCAGCTCTAAGAGCCAGGGGCTGAAGGTGGTGAGGGGGAAGGGACGCTGCAGAAATTGCCTAGAGCTGGAAGTCCAGATGGGGTCGGGTAGGCATAGGTTCTGCCATGGCTGCATGGCTCACACTCTTACTGGCTATGAAGTTCTGGGTGTGTCACTGCCCCTCTCCTGGCCTCAACTTACCCATCTGTAAAGTGGGACAATCTTCTTGCCTCCTAGGATGGCCATGGAGCTCAGTGCAGGGGTTGGGGCTGCCTGATGAGCCTGATCTTAGGGAAGGCATCTTCCTCTAGGATAGAACACACACACACTCGCACACAGACACGCTCAGAGACATACACTCACACTCACACACACACACAGATTTCTTATAAAGTGATTCCACATTTTTGAGGTGTGAGGCAATTAGAGGGCGGGAAAACAGGAACAGCAGAGTGGATCACTCAGGTGACAGCAGTGAAAAGAGACAAGGTGTGACTGTCCTGGTGAGACAGGCACATGTGACAGCCTTGAGGTGTGTGGCTGTGCGAAGAGACCTCAGGGCTGGGGGCCACGCAATGCCGATGGGCAGCATGGGCGGTAATCATGCCTGATCACCATGGCCATGATCCCCACGAGGTGCCAGACCCTGGAACTGTGGAGGCTCGGAGTTGCAGGAGTTACAGAGCCCTGCGCTATAGAATAAACTGGCTTCCTCTTAGGTCCAGGAGCTCAGGGCTTATTCCCACACCCACAGTCGCTCCTTTTGCTTCCTGCTTTGCCCTCCAAGCGTCCTGTCAACAATCCCGGAAGAGGGAAGGTTCCCATCCACCCAGGGGGCATCCAGGGCCAGCCTGGAGAAGGCCTCAGCTGTGGCTCTCCCCATCTCCACCCTAAAGGGAGACCTGAGGCCCTAAACCTCTCCATGTGGGGGTGTGCAGGATTCCAAGAAATGCCCTTTCTCCCCACATAGGCTGCCTTGTTACAGAAGCTTTTGAAAAGATGAGGAACCTTTGGATCTGGGAATGGAAGCCTTCTGTGGGGCCGCATGGGGGACAAACTTGGAGGGGAGAGAGAAGAGGCTGGGTGAGGGTCCAGGCCAGAGCGGAGGCCCGAGTGGGGGCTGGGGCCGTGAAGGTGGAGAAGGGCCAGGGCCAGAGAGTTAGGTCTGCTGGGCTGTTTTGGGAAGCATAGAGAACAGCATCTGAGACAGGTCCTGCTCTGTGCCTGTTGGGCGGTGGGTCATCACCGAAATAAGGAGCCTGAGAGAAAGAGCCGGGGGCAGATGATAAGCTGGGTTAGAAGGCAGTGACTTTGAGGGGTCCCAGGGACGTTTAGGAGGCAGCTAGATACCTAGGTGCAGAGTTCAGCAGAAAAGTCAGAGAGTGTTGAGTCTCTTTCCTCAGGGCGCTGGGGAGCTGCAGCAGGAGTGTGAGCAGTGAAGAAGTAGGGGCAGCTCTGGGTGTAGAAAGAACCCTCTGGGGTCGTGTCAAAGATGGACCAGAGGGAGAGTCTGGAGGCCGGGAGAAGCTGGTGCAATACGTTCAATTATACTTACTGAATGTGCCAGGAACAACCGCTGTGACCAAAACTGCAAACCACCTGTCCTCGGGTTGCTTATATTGGGGTGGAGTCTGGGGAGATAGACAATAAACATAATCGATAAAATATCTTAGTATCTTAGTATGTCAGTTGGTGATCCCTGCCATGGAGGAAAACAGAGAAGGGGAAGAGAAAGGGGTGATAGTTTTTTTGTTTTTTTGAGATAGGGTCTCACTTTGTCACCCAGGCTGGATTGCAGTGATGTGATTATACCTCACTACAGCTTCAAACTCCTGGGCTCAAGCGATCTTCCTGCCTCAGCCTCCCAAGTAGCTGGGACTATAGGTGTGCGCCACCATCTTTGGCTAATTTTTTAAATAGTTTGTAATGATGGTGTCTTGTTATGTTGCATGGGTTGGTCTTGAACTCCTGGGCTCAAGTGATCTTCCCACCTCAGCCTCCCAAAGTGCTGGGATTACAGGCATGAACTACCGTACCTGGCTGGGTGATAATTTTAAATAGGTTGGTCAGGGCAGGTGGAAATGACAGGGTCCAGTTGAGCAAAGACCTGAGCAAGGTGACAGTGACAGCGACAGCCATGCAGATAATCTGTGGAAAGAGATTTTCAGGCCACAGGGAATAGCCAGTGCAAGACCCTGGGGCCCGTGGGGCTGGAGTAAAGGTGAAATCAGAGAGATAGCAAGGGGCCACCTCCTGTAGATCCTCATAGACAGGGGGTTCTCAAGCCCCAGCATACATCAGAATCCCCTGGGAGCTTATTTAAAATGCAGATTTCTGGGCTTCACCACCTCTGACCAGGAGGTCCAAGGTAGGGCCCAGACATGGACGTTTCTGTCAAGATCCCAGGGAATGCTGATGCTGCTGCTCCGGGAACACTCTTTGAGAATCACTGTTGTAGGCCCTTGGAATGACTTTTGTTTTTTGCTCTTGAAATGGGGGAGCTGTTGGAGGACTTTACACAGAGAGACAGGATCTGACCTGGGATTTAACAAGATCTCTCTGGCAGCTGTATGGGGCCTGGACAAAGGCAGGAAGACTTCCAGTGAGAAGCCGGCCCATGGTGGCTTGGACCAGTCACAGTGGTCCGGGGGCCCAGATGAGGTCTGAGCAGAGTGGGGTGGGCATAAGGATTTGACCGTGTGCCAGGCTTGCCCATGCGTGCAAAAGGCTGTGTTTGCCATACACAGAGTCATTCATATTAAGTATCTTCCTAAAGGATATCCTCTACCGGCCCTGTGAGGCTGGGTTTTATAGCCCCGCTTATCAGAAGGGAACGCTGGGCTCTTCTGGACAAGAACAGTAGGCCCAGGATATATTTGGAGATAGACTGGACCAGATGTAGGTGGGTGAGGGCAATGGGAAGAATCAAGGATGACTTTTGCGTCTCCTCCAGAGGGAGCAGCAGGGAGATGGAGGAGCTGATGTAGGCTGACTGCCTCTTGGTGATCCCAGGTGATCTTATTTGTATATATGTATATATAAACCATGGAGTAGATGACGTGGTACAGACTGGATGCAGTATTAGGTGTGGAGATTATGTATGCAGCGATTAGGTGTGGAGGCTCTGGAGCCTGACCACCAGGGTCAAATGTAGCCATGTGATTTTGGACCACTTCTCTAATCTCCCCATGCCTCCGTTTCCCCACCTCAAACTTGGAGATGGCAATCCTAAGTTTGCCAGCCTTCTCTAACACTCACTACGTGCTAGGAGCCATTCTACACACTTAGTGACACCATCTCATACAATCATTAAACGATGCCATGGAAGAGTGGGGATGAGGATGCTTTCATGGTTGTATGGCGTCTCATCCTCCCGCTAATTCTGTGATACAGACACTGCTGTCATCCTCATTTGATGAATGAGGAAACTGAGGATCAGGAAGGTGAAGTCACTTGGCCAAGGTCGCATGGGGAGGAGGGCTTGTGATTGATACTCAGATCTGAGACAGGTGTGCTCAAGACGGAAGCACCAGGACTCAGACCCAGATGATCTGAACCAGGGTCAGAGCTCCTGACGATATGCAACTCCTCTGGGGGAGACTTTACAACACCCACCCATGCCGCCTTATGGCCCGCTTGCTATAACCCAGGCCACTTGGCCTGTTCGGAACATTTCACTCCACTTATACTCCCCTGGTGGAGTATAAGCCCACCCGGCCACCATGGCTTACTTGGTATATCCCACGCTCACCCTGCCCATGAGTCATTTGATTTGGCACATAGAAATTCTTTGGATGACTCCTCCAACATCCTGGCCTCTCATTTGTGCACCCCAGTCTGACCACATGCTCCTGATCATCCTGCCATCTTGAGACCACACTCCTGCTCTGTGGCCAAGGAGAGACCACTGGGTCCTCATTTGGAACCCACTTCTGGGCATCAGTGCTTCCTCTCTCCAAGTGTATATCCAGTGATCATTGTTTTAGGCACTTTCTTGCCAATATCCTCAGTTCCCTCCCTTTTTGTATGGCTTTAATCACAGAGGACGCTTTCCCCTGTCCCTGCAATGGCTTTAAGCCCGTAGGAAGTTTAGCTCTCCTATATAAAGTAAGTCTTGTGGTAGGCACTTAAGGCTAATATGGCACCTCCATTTCTTGGGGATCCAAGCTCCTTCAAGACTTAATATCCCAGGGAGTAGCCCTTGTCCTCATGGTCCCGTGTGGCTGCTAGAGCTCCAACCATCAAAACAAATTTTCAGGCAGCAGGATGGATGAGGGGAACAATAAGATGGCACCACCTTCTCTGTCTTTGTTTTTTAGAGACAGGGTCTTGCTCTATTGCCCAGGCTGGGTGGAGGGCAGTGGTGCAATCATAGCTCACTACAGCCTTGAACTCCTGGGCTCAACCATCCTCCCACTTCAGCTTCCTGAGTAGCTAAGACTACAAGCACACCATCACACCTGGCTAATTTATAAAAATTTGTTTAGAGATGGTGTCTGGATATGTTGCCCAGGCTTGTCTCGAACTCCTGGCCTCAAGTGATCCTGTCACCTCAGCCTCCCGAGTAGCTGTGATTCCAGGTGCGGTACCACCTCCCTTTTAAGGCCACCTCCTGTGACTCACATAACACATCCATTTGCATCCTATGGCTACAACTTGGTCACATGACCACAACTGCAAGGAAGGCTGGGAGATGAAGCTTTTTATCTGTGTTCTGTGGATATAGGTTATAGATATATAGGTATTTGGAGGCAGTGAACAATTCCTGTGTGTTGGTTTGCTAGGACCACTGTAACAAAGTACCGTAGACTGGGTGACTCGAACAACAGAAGTTTCTGCCTTCTAGAAGTCTGAGACCAAGGTTTTGGTGTCAGCAGGGTTAGTTTCTTCTCACGCCTCTCTCTTTGGCTTGTAGATGCCTTCCTTCATATGTCCCTGTGTGCATCTCTGTGTCCTAATTTCCTCTTCTCATAAGGACACCAATCATACTGCATTACAGCCCACCCTAATGACCTCATTTTAACTTAATCACCTCTTTAAGAACCAAGTACAGTCACATTCTGAGGTACTGGGAGTTAGGACTTCAACATACAAGTTTGGTTGCGGGGGATGGGGGGTGGGCGGCACGATTTAGCCGATAAAACCCTGCCACATTACTGATTTCCACAAATCACCACGAGATCAAGTCAGCTGTCTATTCTTATTCCACTGGAACAAGCCACAAACCCATACAATTTGGAGGCCATTGCAGTGGTCAAAACACAAGGCCAGGCATGGTGGCCCACACCTGTAATCCCAGCACTTTGGGAGGCCGAGGCAGGCGGATCACCTGAGGTTAGGAGTTTGAGACCAGCCTGGCCAACATGGTGAAACCCCATCTCTACTAAAAATATAAAAATTCGCCGAGCATGGTGGTGGGTGCCTGTAATCCTAGCTACTGGGGAGGCTGAGGCAGGAGAATCACTTGAACCTGGGAGGTGGAAGTTGCAGTGAGCCAAGATCACACCACTGTACGCCAGCCTGGGCAACAGAGCGAGACTCTATCTCAAAACAAAACAAACACCTACAAAGACAAGGAACATAAAAGAGTAAAAGATGGGTAAATATAGAAGTGAATAGAGGCTGGGGACTATGGAGAAGTGGCCGGTGTGTGCCCCATTTCAAGGGAGTGACTGCTACCCATCTCCAGCTAATTGCTGCCTTATGGAAATGCGATCTCTGTGTTACAGCTCTTCCAACTTTGTAAAAAAGAGATGCCAAACGTTTTATTTGACATTCCAAATTTTATATGTTGGCAACTGGTTCATTTTCTTTTAAACACTTTCCAGGCCAAATATAACACATCCCAGGGATGGATTTGGGTCATAGGCCACCAGCTGGGGTCTCCAGTTCAAGTTGGATCCTGGAATTCATTGTACAAATACTTACTGAGCACTTCTAAGACTGAGGGCCCTCTCCAGGATCCAGAGGACACAGTGCTACAGAAGAACATGTTTATTTACTTACGAGACAGACATAAGTGATCATCATCTATATATAAATATATGTAATTGCAGACAGATGAGAGCTAGGAA
The DNA here is from genome assembly GCF_000001405.40 of Homo sapiens. Taxonomy (NCBI): domain Eukaryota; kingdom Metazoa; phylum Chordata; class Mammalia; order Primates; family Hominidae; genus Homo; species Homo sapiens. Next base: position 51,700,781 of record NC_000019.10, read on the forward strand.
TGAAATGATTGCGATGAGAGACAAAAACAGGGAACTTGGTTAGATTTGTGGTGATGGAAGGATGATTAGGAGAAGGAAAAATGTGCTAAAAACAAGCCAGCATGTGCAAAGGCCCTGAGGTGCTAGGGAATGTGGTGGTTTTCATATTAAAGGAAATGAGGCCAGGCACGGTGGCTCATGCCTGTAACCCCAGCACTTTGGGAGGCTGAGGTGGGTGGATCACTTGAGGTCAGGAGTTCGAGACCAGCCTGGCCAACATGGTGAAACCCCATCTCTACTAAAAACACAAAAATTAGCCAGGCGTGGTGGTGCACACCTGCAGTCCCTGCTACTCGGGAGGCTAGGGCAGGAGAATCACTTGAACCCAGGAGGCGGAGGTTGCGGTGAGCCGAGATCGCACCACTGCACTCCAGCCTGGGTGACAGTGAGACACTGTCTGAATAAAATAAAATAAAGGAAATGAAAGGTGGGCAGTAGGGATGGGACAGGGAGGGAGGGGGAACTAGGCCAAACCATGTAAGACCTAATAGGCCTTGGTGAGGAATTTGATCTTTATCCTCCCCTTCTCCCCCCAACAAGCTACATGCAGGTGATGTCCAGGAGGACTTCCATCCTGGAGAGATTCAGGAGGCAGAAGAAAGGAGACTTAGGGACTTGTTAGCCTTCAACTACAGAGGGCGGGTGATGAGAAGAGGAGCAGAGAATATGGTAATGAGAGGGGTGAAGAGGGGCCAGGGAAGGGCAGATACCATGACAGTACGTCCTGTGAGCTAGGGCCAGCCTAGCCCTAGCCAGGCTAGATCAGAATGCAGGACCAAGGACCAAGCCCTGGGGGAAGGGCTTTACTACACAGGCCGTCCTCCCCTCCACTCTCCAGGATCCTTTGAGGTTGCCTTCCCTGATGCTGCGGAGAAAATGAAGAAGGTCATTACACAGCTTAAAGAAGGTAAAATACACTCCATCTCTCCTTCCCCAGACACACACACACACAATTAGAAAACCCCACTTTTGGCCGGGGATGGTGGCTCACGCCTGTAATCCCAGCACTTTGGAAGGCTGAGGCGGGCAGATCACTTGAGATCAGGAGTTCAAAAGCAGTCTGACCAACATGGTGATACCCATATCTACTAAAGATACTAAAATTAGCTGGGCGTGGTAACGCATGCTTGTAATCTCATCTACTCAGGAGGCTGAGGCAGGAAAATTGCTTGAACCCTGGAGGCGGGGTTGCAGTGACCCGAGATCGGCACTCCAGCCTGGGTGACAGAGCAAGACTCCATCTCAAAACGAAACCCACTCCTGAGACCCCCCATCCACTCCCCGTACAATCCCCTGGCCCCATCTCTGAGCCTCAGACCTTGAGGGACGACTATTTCCCCGCGTGGACCATTTTTGATCTGGCCCCGCCCCTTCGATGAAAGGTTTCGTCTCCAACTGAGCCCCTTTCCGGGACTACTACTAACCTGGCCACGCCTCTTCTCTAACTGGGCCACCACCTTAGCCTTGGTCTCCTGCAAGGATCGCCCAGGATCTAGCCCCGCCTCCTCGGTGGAATACACCTGGATTGCCCATCCCCATCAGGGCCTACAGAAAACCAGTGTGTTTCCCTCTAAACCCCAAGTAGAAGGCTGGCAGCAGTCCTGGGCCTGACCTCCTAGTGGAATGCTCAGGCTTGGCCCCGGCCCCAGGTGGAACCCAGCCGGCTTGACCCCGCCCCCAGGTTATGACGAAAGCTTGGCCCCGCCCCCTCGGAGCAATGCTTCGGGCCTTGTAACATTAGCTAGGGGAGCATCGGGCAAGGGTTCTTCCCATGACTGTAAGGTAGTGATGTTTCCTCTTCCTCCACAGCCCAGGCTTGCATCCCTCCCTGCGGTAAGGACTTCATCTAAAACTTGGAAATTGCGGGGTAAGGGAGGCGGTCGGGGACGAAACGTACGACATCAAGTGTGGGAAAGCGGGTGGGCTTCACATCCTTAGGAAGCCAATAAGATCCCTGGAGAAAAGGAAGAAAACCAAGTATTGCTCTAAATCCTCAGAAGGTGTGTGTGAGAGCCGAAGCAAACCAATAGGAATCCTAGAGGGCGGAGAGGAGTGAGAGTCGGCCAAAGACAGCAGGGAGGGCGGGGTCAAGATGCCACCTGGCCGATGGACCCCGGGAAGCTGCATGGATCTCAAATGGGCCAAGGGCCCCGGGCTTGGAAGGGCAGGTGGCGCCTAGACCCAGCGTTCCCGCTCCACAGGTCTCCAGGAGTTCGCCCGGCGTTTCCTCTGCAGCGGGTGCTACTCTAGGGTCTGCGACCTCCCGCTGGACTGCCCAGGTGAGGGGGCGGGGCCTCGGGGTGCAGGAGGCCAACCTGAGAAAAGGGACCAGAGCACCGAGGGGCATAAGCTGGTGGCGAGGCCAGACGTGGTCGGGGCCCAGCGAGTGAACCCTGCTCCGTCTTCAGTTCAGGATGTGACAGTGACTCGGGGCGACCAGGCTATGTTTTCTTGCATCGTAAACTTCCAGCTGCCAAAGGAGGAGATCACCTATTCCTGGAAGTTCGCAGGAGGAGGTGTGAGTCGGGGCGGGGCCGGCGCGAAGAGTTTAGACGGGCGAGTTAGCCTTCACTAGAGGTTGGGGAGTCAGCTTGCGGGGACGGGACTCCGGGAATCTCCGTCTAGACACAAGCATCAGCAAGAGGAGGGTCGCGGGATTTAGGGGAGAGCTCGAAGATCAGAATGCAGGACCAAGGACCTGGGGCGATGGCTCACGCCTGTAATCCCAGCGCTTTTGGAGACCAAGGCGGGAGGATGGCTTGAGCCCAGGAGTTTGAGACCGGCCTCGGCAACAAATTAAGACCCCTCCTCTGCCAAAAAATTTTAAAAACAGCCGGGGCGTGGTGGTGCACGCCTATAGTCCCAGCCACTGGGGAGGCTGAGCGGGAAGACTGCTTAAGTCCAGGAGTTTGAGGCTGCAGTGAGCTATGATCGCGCCACTGCACTGCAGCCTGGGCGCCAGAACGAGACCCTGTCTGGAAGAAAAAAAAAATACATAAATAAAAGCAGTTTCTAGGGGTAGGTTATGCGTAAGGGTTTAAGGAGTGAGGGGAAGGGGTGCGTTTAGGGCAGGGGAGCGAGAAGGCTCGGGGGCGGGCTCAAGGCTCAGGGCCAGGACTCCAGGGGGCGTGGTCTGGCTCGGGGGGCGGGGCTTGTAGGTTACTCAGTGGCAAGCCGGAGTTGAGGCGTTTAAACCCGCGTGTCCCGCAGCTCCGGACTCAGGACTTGTCCTATTTCCGAGATATGCCGCGGGCCGAAGGATACCTGGCGCGGATCCGGCCGGCTCAGCTCACGCACCGCGGGACGTTCTCCTGCGTGATCAAGCAAGACCAGCGCCCCCTGGCCCGGCTCTACTTCTTTCTTAACGGTGGGGCGGGGCGCGGCCGCGTGAGTGAGCGGGGTCGGGAGAGGGGTGGGGCTCGTGCCTGGCTGACGTGCGCGCCCCCGCAGTGACGGGCCCGCCCCCGCGGGCGGAGACAGAGTTGCAGGCCTCGTTCCGGGAAGTGCTGCGCTGGGCGCCGCGGGATGCCGAGCTGATCGAGCCCTGGAGGCCCAGCCTGGGCGAGCTGCTGGCCAGGCCCGAGGCTCTGACGCCCAGCAATCTGTTCCTGCTTGCAGTCCTCGGGGCCCTCGCATCAGCGAGTGCGACAGTGTTGGCGTGGTGAGTTCTGGGGACTCCGGAGCCCCAGCATCTAGCTCCCCGCTGTCTCAGATCCCACCGAGAAGTCTGGGTTCCCAGCAACCTCCAACCCAGGAGGTCAGGCTTTCAGTTCCTCCTCTCTCAGACCCACGAGTCCAGGTCCCAGCCCCTCTTTACTAGCCCAGGAATCCAAGTCCCCAGCCCCCTCCTCCCTTAGATCTAAGAGTCCAGGCCCCCAGCCCCTCCTCCCTCAGACCCAGGAGTCCAGGTCCGCAGCCCCTCCTCCCTCAGACCCAGGATTCCAGGCCCCAAACCCCTACTCCTTCAGACCCAGGAGTCCAAGTCCCCAGTCCCCTCCTCCCGCAGATCCAAGAGTCCAAGCCCCCGGACCCCCTCCTCCCTCAGACCCAGGAGTCCAGGCCCCCAGCCCCTCCTCCCTCAGATCCAAGAGTCCAGACCCCCAAGTTTCTCTTCCTTCAGACCCAAAAGCCCAGGCCCCCTGCCCCCTCCTCCCTCAGAACCAGGAGTCCGGGCCCTGTACACCTTTTTGACCCTGGTGTCCAGGCTCCGGGACCTAAGTTTCTAGTCACCAACCCCTCCTGTAACACACATACCTCTTTGTTTCCCCAGGATGTTCTTTCGATGGTACTGCAGTGGCAACTAACAAAGGTATCTTTCCTCCTTCCCTATCCTATTTCCATCCTGAAAATAAAGAATATATTTCAACTCTAGATTGTTTCATCTCCGAAGGTGGTCACTACTAACTCAGGTAGGAGGAGGTGCAGCAAGCCCACACATGCCCAGATGAATATGGCCCGCATAATGACAGTGATAGGCATAGCTATCCCAGTGCAAGTTAGGTGGGAACCCAGATACCCCCTCAGGTTACTGGCTGTCTCCTTGACATTTCCATCTGCAGAAGGCACCCTCAAATAGAGTCCTCCATGTTGCCCTCAGAGGCTGTTCCTCCCCAAGGCTTTCCTCCTACCAGAAAGAGCAACACCATCCACCTAGCAGTTCAAACCAGAAACCTTGGAATCTAACTTCTCCTCCACTTCCAATTCATTTTCATTTCCAACCCTCAGACTTTTTAACTCCTAAATATCTCATGAAGCTGCCTTCTCTGTGGTCCCAGTCACCCCCACCTCATGTCTGGATCACTGGAGCAGCCCCCCACCACCTCCTTGGCCTCTCTCCACTGTAGCCCATTCTCTACATACCAGCAGGACTTGTTTTATTTTATTTTATTTTTTTGGAGGCACCATCTCACTCCAAGGCCCAGGCTGGAGTGCAGTGATGTGATGTCAGCTCACTGCAACCTCCACCTCCCGGGTTCAAGCGATTCTTCTGCCTCAGCCTCCCAAGTAGCTGGGATTACAGGTGCCCACCACCACACCCGGCTAATTTTTGTATTTTTAGTAGAGACAGGGTTTCACCATGTGGCCAGGCTGTTCTTGAACTCCTAACCTCAAGTGATCCACCTGCCTTGGCCTCCCAAAGTGCTGGGATTACAGGCGTGAGCCACCAAGCCCGGCCAAGGACTTAGGTTTTAAAGTGTGTCAGATTGGGTTACTCCTCTACCCAGAATCCTTTAGTGACTCCCTGTTGCCATTGAGACAAAATCCAATTCCTTGTCAAAGCCTCAGAGGTTCCACAGGTCTGGCCTTTGCTGACCTCACCAGCAGCCTTGTCCCATACCCCTTTCCTCCTTGATCTTGCCACCCTGCGGTTTTTCTCTGGCCTTTCCTCCTTCCTCGCATTCATCATGATACTTCTTGCCCTCTCTAGGGTCTTGGTTCACACTGTTTCCTGCCTAGAATAATATTTTCTCCTTTTTTTTGTCTAGTTAACTCTTATGATTTCCCCTGAGTAGCCATTACATCTATTAACCCCGCTAATCCCCTTGACAAGTCTGCGCGGCTGGCACTGTATTGACTTAACTGACTCTACCTCTCCCTCAGGCCCCTTGCTACTTTCCAGCCCCAGTGGCCTCCTTATTAGGTCCCTGGAACATGCAAGTCTCAGTCCCATTTCCAGGCCTTTGCTGTGCTTCATACTTGAAATGACTTTCCTCTGAGTATCACAAACCCACCTCTCTCATTGCACAGATCCCAGATCAAATGTCTCCTTCTCTAACTACCTCTCTCTCCCTGTTTGACATTGCCCAATTTCACCTTGTTCACTGAGCTCATCTGGACCTAATGTTAACTCTTTTTTTTTTTTGAGTTTCGCTCTTGTTGCCCAGGCTGGAGTGCAATGGTGCGATGTCGGCTCACTGCAACCTCCACCTCCCGGGTTCAAGCGATTCTGCTGCCTCAGCCTCCCGAGTAGCTGGGAACACAGGCATGCGCCACCACACCTGGCTAATTTTGTATTTTTGGAAGAGACAGGGTTTCGCCATTTTGGCCAGGCTGATCTCAAACTCCTCACCTCAGGTGATCCACCTGTCTCAGCCTCCCAAAGTGCTAGGGGATTACAGGCGTGAGCCACCGCTCCCAGCCGTTAACTCATTTTTTAATTTGGTTTTGCCTTTCCTACCTGAAAGGGAAGCTCCTTTTGAGCATGTACTCATTCTTGTTCACTGGTCTATTTCCCTTTATTGATTTGCTCATTCAGCAAATATTTATTGAGTGCTTACTATTTTGTCATGTATTTTCAAGGCACTGTAGAGATCCCAATGAAGAAATCAGAAGAGACAAAAAGTTTGTACAGTACTCACATGGAACTTACATTCTAGTGGACAGTAAAACAAAACTGTTTCTCTCTCTCCCTTTTTTTTTTTTTTTTGTTTTGTTTGAGATGGAGTCCTGGAGTGCAGTGGCACAATCTTGGCTCACTGCAGCCTTTGCCTCCTGGGTTCAAGCAATTCTCGTGCCTCAGTGTCCCGAGTAGCTGGGACTACAAAGGCGTGTGCCACCATGCCCAGCTAATTTTTGTATTTTTAGTAGAGACGGGGTTTCAATATGTTGGCCAGGCTGGTCTCAAACTCCTGACCTCAAGTGATTGCCTGCCTCAGCCTCCCAGAGTGCTGAGATTATAGGCGTGAGCCACCGCGCCTGGCCAGAAAACTGTTTCTCTACTCTCAACATTTCTGACACTACATGTATGGGATTCTACCTCCTGCCCCCATACCAACCAGTTCTCCAACTCTCCCGGACACCAGTTGAGTGTCCTATAATTCATTTAATTCTAAAATCAACAACCCAGGGTTAGCGTCGCACTACACAGGTTTTAAGAGCTCAGGCCCACAAGACTGCCCCCACTTCAGACACCAGTCGCAAGCCAGGGGCTCCTGCAACCTGCAGCCCCCCAGCTCAGTAATTTGCTAGAATAGCTTGAATAACTCAGGGAAACATATTTACTGGTTTATTATAAAGGAGAGTATGAAGGAAATAGCTTAATAGCCAGATGAAGAGGTAGATAGGGTGAGGTCCAGAAGGGTCCCAAGTGCAGAAGTTTCTGTCTCCATGGGAGCTGGGATGCAGCGGCCTGTCAGTGCGTGGATGCACTCACCAGCCTGGAAGCTCTGCAAACCCCATAGTTTAGGGATTGTTCTGGAGGCTGCACCATGTAGGCATGATTGCTTATGAACTTAGTCTCCACCCCTTTTTCCCTCCCCAAGGACTGGAGGGGGCAGCGGGTGAGGCCGAAAGCTCCAAGCTCCTAATCATAGCCTAGTCTTGCTGGTGACCAGCGCTCTTCCAGGAGACCACCAAGAGTCACTTGAATAGAACAAACGATGCTGTTATCACCCAGGAAATTCAAGAGATTAGGAGCTCTATGTAAGACGCTTCTGTTGCCCACATCACTCCAGAAAGTACAAGGGTATAAGACTGTCAGAAACCAGGGACAAACACCAAATATGTATTTCTTACTATGTCACAGACAATAAGAAAACAGTAAAATACGAAATATGGTAATATGTGTGATGGAGAAGATAAGCAGAGAAATGGAATATGGGGCCGAGGGAAGTAGCAGTAGGATCTGTGGAGAAGCCCTCACTGAGAAAGTGACGTTTGAATAAAAACTTGAAGGGGATGACGGTATGAGCCATTATGGATATTTGTGTGAAGAGTGTTCCAGGTGGCCAGGCGAGGTGACTCATGCCTGTAATCCCAACACTTTGGGAGGCCGAGACGGGTGGATTACCTGAGGTCAGGAGTTCAAGACCAGCCTGGCCAACATGGTGAAACCCTGTCTCTACTAAAAATACAAAAATTAGCCTGGCATGGTAGCACATGCCTGTAATCCCAGCTACTCAGGAGGCTGAAGCACGAGAATTGCTTGAACCTGGGAGGCAGAAGTTGCAGTGAGCTGAGATTGTGCCATTGCACTCCAGCCTGGGCAACAGAGTGAGACAATGGCACTCCGGCCTGGGCAACAGAGTGAGACTCTGTCTAAAAAAAAAAAAAACTGTTCCAGGCAAAAATTTAAAAAGGGAAAAGCCCTGAGGCAGGAGTGCCAGGCACATGGGAGGACAGCCGGGAGGACATCCAGGAGGCCAGTGTAGCTGGAACAGGGCCTTAGGAAGTGGATACACAGTGAAGTCAGAGACCATGGGGACCAGATGGTGCTGCTGGCTGCTATAAAGTCTAGACTTACCTCTGTAAGAGATGAGGGTCGGCTGGGTGTGGTGGCTCACACCTGTAATCCCAGCACTTTGGGGGACCGAGGCTTGAGCTTGAGAGGTCAAGGCTGCAGTGAGCCATGATTACATCACTGCAGTCCAACCTGGGCTACAGAGTGAGAACCTGAATCAGAAAAAAAAAAAAAAAGAGCAAGGTGCAGTGGCTCATGCCTGCAATCCCAGCACTTTGGGAAGCCGAGGCAGGCAGATCACCTGAGGTCAGGAGTTCAAGACCAGCCTGGCCAACATGGTGAAACCCCATCTCTCCTAAAAATAAAAAATTAGCCAGGTGTGGTAACAGGTGCCTATAATCCCAGCTACTTTGGAGGTTGAGGCAGGAGAACTGCTTGAACCCGTGAGGCGGAGGTTGCAGTGAGCTGAGATTGCGCCATTGCACTCCAGCCTGGGCAAAAAGAGCGAAACTGCATCTCAGGAAAAAAAAGGCAAAAAAAAAAAAAAAAAAAGATGACATGAGCCATGACTGCACCACTGCAGTCCAGCCTGGGCTACAGAGCAAGACTCTGTCACAAAAAAAAAAAAAAAAAGAAAAGAAATAAAAGATGAGCGTCACGGGTGGCTTTTGAGCCAAGCAAGGGCAGGCAGGTCATGACTTGATTTCCATGGCTACTGTGTGGCTAACAGACTGGGGCAAAGTGGAAGCAGGCATCGCTGTGAGGTGCTGCAGTAATCCAGGGACGAGATGCAGCCCTGGGGAACAAGGTCGTGAGGAGCAGTGGCTCTAGATATGTCTTGAAGGTAGAATCAGTGGGATTTGCTGATGGTTCAGAATGTTGGATGAGAGAAGGAGAGAGGCCAAGAGTAACCACAGTGGCACTGTGCAGTCAAACCCTCTGCCATGTTGGAAATATTCTAGATCTGCACCGTCCAGTAGCGCAGCACCAGCCACGTGTGGCCGTGAAGCATGTGAAAGGTGACCTGTGCGACTGAGGAACTGAATCCATAATCTTAGGTAGCTCTTCAGGCAAGAAAGGGTGTCAAAAAAAATAAAAATAAGAAAAAAATCAACTCAGGTAGCTGTAATAACTTTAACATTACATAGTTCCTGCTCTATGACAACAGCATCATAGAGGCCTATGTGAGTATTCTTACCTGTGGCTCACTCTTAACTCTTTGTTTACTTGACTAAGAGCTCCTTGAAGGCAAGCTTCTTAATTGTTTCTATACTTGCAGACTTGGCAGAGTGTGTGGCATTCAGTAGGTGCTTGGTGAATGTTTTGGTGACTGATGAATCAAAGAATGCATGAATGGGAAAAAAATGTTTTAGACTTCCATGTGGTAGTGGCTAGTGATGGACAGTTACAGCTCTAGCATTTTTTGGCCTGAGCAGCTGGGAGGATGAAGTTCTGTTTACTGAGATAGACTGATGGAGGAGCAGGTTTCACGGGGATTAGCAGGGAGGAAGGCGAGAAGATATTAGGAGTCTGGTTTGAGATGCCTATTAGGCATCCAAGTAGAAATGTCTTGGAGGCAGTTGGATATACAAGCCTGGAATTTAAGGGCGAAGTCTGGTCTGAAGATCTGTTTGGGAGTCCCGTCTCCATACATGGAGCATGAATGAAGTATTCAGAGCCATAACACTGGAGGCACAAGGGAAATGGGTATAGATGGGTAAGAGACGAGGATGAGAGGATCCAGGAAAGAAAACAAGGTGGAGGAAAGCAAGGTAGCTGTGGCTTCCTGAAAGCCAAGTAGCTATGCTTGGTGGCTCACACCTGTAATCCCAGCACTTTGGGAAGCCGAGGCTGGTGGATCACTTGAGGTCACGAGTTTGAGACCAGCCTGGCCAACATGGTGAAACCCTGTCTCTACTAAAAATACAAAAATCAGCTGGGTGTGGTGGCACATGCCTGTAATCCCAGCTACTTGGGAGGCTGAGGCAGGAGAATTGCTTGAACCTGGGACGCAGAGGTTGCAGTGAGCTGAGTTCACACCACTGAACTCCAGCCTGGGCGACAGAGCAAGACCCTATCTCAAAAAAGAAAAAAAGGAAGTCAAGTAAAGAAAGCGTTTCAAGGAAGAGTGATCAACTGTGTCAGACACAGCCAAATCATGAAATAGGGCTGAGAATTGGCTATTGGTTTTAGCAACGTGGATATCATTGATGAACTTGACAAGAGCAGTTTCTATGGAGAGCTAGGGGAAAGCATGACCATCTGATTGGCTTGGGTTTAAGAGTTAATGGAAGTCAACATCATTAGTCATTAGAGAAGGGCAAATCAAAACCACAATGAAAGCCACTTCACACCTGCCAGGAAGGCTGTAATCAAAAAGTCGGGTAATACAAAATGTAGCAAGGGTGTAGAGAAATTAGAACCCTCATACATTGCTGGTGGGAATGTAAAACGGTACAGTCCCTGTGCAAAACAGGCTAGCAGTTCCTCAAAAAAATTAAACATAGAATTAACATAAACCCAGCAATTCAATTTCTAAGTATATACCCAAGAAAATTAAAAAGCTGTGCCCACACCAAAACTTGCACACGAATGTTCATAGTAGCATCATTCATACAGCCAAGAGGTGGAGATATCCCAAATGTCCATCAACTGATAAATACATAAACACAATGCAATATAGCCATACTGTGGACTATTATTTGGCCATAAAAAGGAATGAATCAGTGATACATGCAACAACATGGATGAACCTTGATATGCTAAATGAAGGAAGTCACAAAAAAAAGCACATACTGCAGGATTGCATTGATATGAAATAGCCAGAATAGGTAAATCTATAAAGAGAAAGCAGATGAGCAGCTGCCCAGGTCTTAGGGGGATAAAGGGGTGAGAAAGGAGAAGTGAGCTGCCAATGGATATGGGGTTCCTTTTGTGGGGTGATGAAAATGTTCTAAAATTAGATTATGGTGGTGGCTGTGCAAACCTGTAAACTTAACTAAAAACCATTGACTTGTACACTTCTTTTTTTTAGATGGAGTCTCATTCTGTCACCCAGGCTGGAGTGCAGTGGCACGATCTCAGCTCACTGAAACCTCTGCCTCCCAGGTTCAAGCGATTGTCCTGCCTCAGCCTCCTGAGTAGCTGGGATTACAGGCACATGCCACCATGCCTGGCTAATTTTTTTTGTATTTTTAGTAGAGATGGGGTTTCACCATGTTGGCCACGCTGGTCTCGAACTCGTGACCTCAAGTGGTCTCCCTGCCTCGGCCTCCCAAAGTGCTGGGATTACAGGTGTGAGCCACCGCGCTCAGCCAAATTGTACACTTTGAGTGAGTGAACTCTGTGCGAGATAAATTGGAGACAAATATGGACAACTCTCCCAAGGAAATTTGCTATTAACCGAAATAGAAATGGAACAGTTGTTTACAGGGAAACTGAGGTCAAGAGTGGGGGTCTTAAAAGTGGGAGAGTAACAATATGTTCAGATGCTGATGGGAAAGGCTCCGAAGCGAAAGGAGAACTGACGGAGGATCAGGTGGGAAGAACTGCTGGAGTGAAGTCTTTGAGCAGACAAAGAGGACATAGGGTCTGGTGCCCTGATGGAAGAGGTTGGCACTGGCTTGGAGCACAGACAGGTCACCCTCAGCAACAGGAAGAAGGTGGAGTGTATGGACACAGGGGCAAGTGAGTGGGAAGACGTGGAGATGGGGACTCCAGCAGAAGTTTTCTTTTTTAACCCCTATTTTCTCAGTGAGATAGGAAGCCAGCTAAGAGGGAGGGGAGGAGGTGCTGGAGGTTTGAGGAGAAAAGGGATGTGTTACCCTTCTAAGTAGACGGACCAGAGACAAAAGCACCATCTGCAGTACCTGCCAGTGTGCGGCAGGTGGCAGGTGCTTGGTAAGTACCCGTGAATGAGTTGAGTAATTTAACCCTCACACCAACCCTGCCCCAGGGGATTAATAATCCCTGTTTTCAAAAGAGGGAACCCCAGGTTCCAAGGAAGGAGAGTGTCTTGTCCAGGTTCAAACGGCTAGCACCCAGCACTGAGCCCAGCGTCCCCAATTCTCAATCATCCATTCCCCTTAGTTCTCAAAAAGGTGGAGGCTGGGGGAAAATAAATAAAATTCTTTATTACATCCTGATCACACAGTAGAAATGGAGATTAAATAAGAACGAGGAGAAAGCAGGACCCTTTCCCTCCACTCCTCAGATCCCACACCCTGACCAATAAATACCCTCCCTGGAGACCCAGAAGTCCCAGTCCCAATATAGTCCAGACTGAAGAATCTTGGGCTGACCCCCTCGTTTTGCAGAGGAGGGAAACTGAGGCCCAGAGAACCACCCAGCAAGTTCGTGGCTCGGGGCCCAGCAGCTCTCCTCTGGCCTCCCCTGAAGACCCTTGAGGCGGCATCCGCGTGGCTGGACTCACACCTGGACGCGGTAGCCCCCGGTCCGCCGCCGGCAAAGCCTCCGCACGCCCACCCAGTACAGCGTCAACATGGCCACCCAGTAGCCCACGTAGGCGCCGGCCCCCGCGGCCAAGTGGTAGGCCTCGGCTGCGCGGGAAGGGCCGCTCCAGTCGGCCCTGGCCTCGTGTGCTACGCTGCGGACCAGGCCCCCAAGCAGCAGCAGCGCCCAGAGCGCCAGGGGCAGCAGAGGGACGTAGTTAGCGGCCAGCTTCCGCCGGCCCGAGGTGCCCCAGCCACTCTGGTTCATGGTGACTAGCGCCAGGAACTTGGCAGGCAGGAGGCCACACATGTAGAGGGGCGCGTAGAGCGACAGAAGCACCATGCGCAGGCAGCCCCGCAGCCAGGCCGCGAAGGCCGCCTTGGCCAGTGCCACGCCCTGCACGCACAGCAGCACCCACAGCAGCGCCCAAGGGCGGCCCGCGTAGAACAGACGCAGCACAGTGGCCGCCACGAAGAAGGGGAACAGGCCGGAGACCACCGCCTCGTAGGTCATCCACGCATGGTGCCGGTGCCACCAGAGCGCGTTGTACAGCCACTCACGGAAGTACGACTTGGACCAGCGTGTCTGCTGGCTCAGCCACCGCAGGAAGGACGAGGGCGTCTCTGAGTAGCAGCGGGACCTGGAGGTGTACCTGCACGGGGGCGAGGAATGAGGGCATCATCGCGTGCTCCCTGGGGCCTGGGCAGGATTCTGGAGGCAGAAATGACCACTGTGGACGGCCACTGGGGGCGAGTTTCTTAACCTCTCTAGGCCTCAGTGTTCTCATGTGTAGAATAGGGTGGATAATGGTTCCTAGGCCTGGACGCGGTGGCTCACTCCTGTAATCCCAGCACTTTGGGAGGCTGAGGGATAAGGAGTTCAAGACCAGCCTGGGCAACATAGCAAGACCCCATCTCTACTAAATAAATAAATAAATAAATAAATAAGCACCAATGGGTGGGATGCAATGGCTCATGCCTGTAATCCCAGCACTTTAGGAGGCTGAGGTAGGGGGATCACTTGAGGCTAAGAGTTTGAGATCAGCCTAGGCAACATAGTGAGACCCCATCTCTAAAAAAAAAAAAAAAAAAAAAAAATTAGCCGGGCGTGGTGGCCTGTAGTCCCAGCTATTTGGGAGGCTGAGATGGGGGAATCACTTGAGCTCAGGAGTTTGAGGCTGCAGTGAGCCATGATCGTGCCCCTGCACTCCAGCCTGAGCCTGAGCAACACAGCAAGACTCTATCTAAGAAAAAAAAAAAGGCTCTCATAAGACAAGGATACTGTAAGGATTGAATGAAATTAAACGCCAAGTGCTTAGGACCAGTAGATAGTATTTGCTCAATAAATGTTAGCTACTACCGTTTTTACTATGACTATTGCTGTTACCATTACTATTGCTGTTACTAATATCATGTTGGTTACTGACACTATTACTAATACTATCACTAACATATTACTAATACTACCATGCTTACTATTACTGGCAGGCCCTATAGGGAGGAGCAAGATGGGTGTGGTTGCTACCCAGGGTAGTCTATGTATTAGAACTTCTCAAGGGAACCATCAGGCCTCCTTCCTGTTTTGTGGCAGACATCATTAATCAATCCCTGCATGGTTTCCAGCCAAGCCCACACAAGAGGAGAATCCTGGGCATTACTTGACAGTGTCCAGACTCCTTCCCCTGTGTCACTTGGCATCCTCAGTGGCCTCCCTGCTTCCGACCTTGCCTTTTGTAGTCTGTACCCAAAACGGCTGCCAGAGGGATCCCATTACAACGTGTCACTTCTCTGCTTAAAACCCTCCCATGGCTCCCTCATCTTAGTCAGAGTCCTTAGACCTATAAGCCTTTCATGAGTGGACCACTCCTTAACTCTCCATCCTGCTCTCCTAATACTCCCCCAGTTCAGTGCTCCAGCCACACTATTCTCAGCCTTGAGCCCCATCCTACCTCAGGCACTCCACTTAACACTTCACCCCCAACCCCAAAACTTCCTATCCACCACCCTTGCCCGGCATTATTTATCTCCATAACACATATCATGAACATACTGTATGTTCTACTTATTTATTTCTTGTGTGTCTCCCCAACTGATGTAATCAATTGGTGTCCTGTCTGCCTATTGCTGTATCCCCGCAGCTTAAACATTCTAGGCACCTAGTGAATATTTGTTGAGTGAATTAATGCATGGATTCCCCTGGATTATCCCAAGTTTCCTCTGGGTATTTCAGTGGACCTGGCTTTGCAGAAATCACTCTCCCCTGAACTTCACTTGGTCTAGATCATCCTCCCCTGAGTCTCATGGAATTACTTGTCTTCTCTTGAAGAACTTACTAGAGTTCAGGTGCTCCTCTTCTCTCACTTGTTTCTTTCTCCGTGGCTCTCTCACTAGTTAGATCCCACTCTATCCATTTGTCTCTTGCCCTTCCTACTTCACTCCCCACTGTGCTACCTTGGTCTCCATGACAGAACCAACTCACCCTATCTCAATTCTAGGTGGAATTCTCTACCCTCACCTTGCCTCTCTTGGTAGAGTTCACCGCATTCCATGGTTCAATGCAAATGCCAGCCTTGTCCCTTATAGTATCTTCCCCTCTTCCCTAATATCTCACTTGGTAGAGTCCATTGGCTCAATGCAAATGGCCCCTCTGCCCATTATGGTATCCTCCTCTCTCCTCTAAAGTCTCACTTGATAGAGCCCATTGTCTGGTGAGTTACTTTGGATTTGGAGAACTCTCAGCATGCACACACGCTAGGATATTCATTGGCCTCCACACATACCCGACCACCTGGTCCCCTCAGCTTACTTGGTAGCATAACCCATGCTGAGCATGCGGTTGGTGAGGTGCCGGTCATCCCCAAAAGTACAGTGGGTACCCAGGAACTTCTGGTTGTACCAGGCCTCAAGAAACTGCTGCAAGAGGTTATTCCTATATAGGCCTGGGTGGAGGGGAGGTGTGAAAGAGTGTCAGCCTCTGCTGTCACCAACACCAACTCCAATGCTGTTTCCAGCCCCAACCCCATCTCCAGTTCCAACCCCATCCTCAGTCATCATAATCTCAATCTCAGCACTATCTCCAATCCCATCTCCAGCCCGAATCCTGTCCTCAACCTCATACGCACTCCAACTTGCCTGTCATTGAACTATACCCACTGTGACTGCAAACCTGCCCACCCCAGTCTCATCACCAATCCCATATCCATTCTCAGCCCCATCCAAAACCCACTGCAACCTCAAACCTGGCTCCAACTCTGTCTTTGACTCCAAGCCTATCCCATCTTCTTCCCCAGCCCCAGCCCCAATCGTCATCCATATCCTTTTTCCAACCTCACTCCCCACACCAAACTCAGCTTGAGCCCAAGCAGCATCCTCACCGCCAGCTTCCAGTTTTATCCCATCCCCAATTCCTGCCCTGCTGCATCTTTGTTCCCAACCCCAGTCACATCCTCAGCCCCATCCGGCTTCCCTTCTCCCTTTCCACCCCATCCACAGCCCTCCCAATCTCTGCCCCTGCTTACCTAGAGGACCGCTGATGCAGGATACACAGTGGAAGTAGCTCTGACAAGCCCGCTCCACATTGAAGGCTACCCAGTATCGCAGGCTGCTTAGGAAGCTGACCCAGGAGTCCAGAGGGTTAAGGATCCGCACGTCCCCACCAACAGCCCCTACCCGGGGGTCCTCGTCCAGTACCCGCACGAGCTCCAGCAGTGCCATGGGGTCCAACCTTGTGTCCGAGTCACAGACCTGTAAGGTGGAAGGGGCCAGGATCAGCACAGACCCCTGCATCAGGCTGATGCTTGAGAGGAAGGCATCAAGGGGTGCAATGCAGCTGGGGCACTCTGCAACCGATCTGAACATAATTTTGAGATTTTTTAAAGTCATTTTCAATGTGTAGTCACAGTTTAACATGTACTCCAAGATGCACATCCTTGTATGAACATGAACAATAAGACATATACCATCTCCTCTGGTGTGTGAGTGAGACCCCTAACTTGCTACTAAGCAATAGAATATGGCAGAAGTTATGGGATATAACTGCCATGATTATATTACCTAATATGGAAATGGTGAATAGGTTTTGCAATGTAATTAAGTCCCCAAATCTCTTGACTATAAGTTAATCAAAAGGAGATTATCCTGGGTGGGCCTGACCTAGTCAGGAGAACCTTTAAAAGCAGACCTAGAAGTCAGAGAGTCTCCTTGCTGGCCTTGAAGAGGCAAGCTACTGCTACCATGAGTTCTATGGCTGCAAGAAAGTGAATTCTGCCAACCAACAAATACATACGCTTGAAAGATAACCCCAAGCCTTAAAAAAGACCCAGCTCCAGCTGACACCTTGATTGCAACCTGGTGATATCCTGAAAAAAGGATCCAGTTGAGCTGTGCTGACTCTGGGCTCATAGAAACTATGAGATAATAAATGTGTTTCGTTCAAGCTGCCAAACATATGGTAACTTGTTATGCAGCAATGGAAAACTAATATAATGCATTAGAATTGCTACACCAGGCCAGGTGTGGTGGCTCACACCTGTAATCCCAGCACTTTGGGAGGCTGAAGTGGGCAGATCACCTGAGGTCAGGAGTTTGAGACCAGCCTAGCCAACATGGTGAAACCCTGTCCCTGCAAAAATACAAAAATTAGCCAGGCATGATGACAGGTGCCTGTAATACCAGCTACTGGGGAGGCTGAGGTGGGAGAATCACTTGAACCCAGGAGACAGAGGTTGCAGTGAGCCGAGATTCAACCATTGCACTCCAGCCTGGGCAACGGAGTGAGATTCCATCTCAAAAAAAAAAAAAGATTGCTACACCAAATGGGATGGATGAATGAGATAAATAAATGAAATTAATCTGTATATTGAATACATAGATAGATGGCTGAGTGGTTGAATGAAAGAATCTCAACACTGAAGGAGGGGAAAGGAAGGAGGGAAGAAGGAAAGAAGAAAGGGAACAAATCTCCACATTTAATAGATAAATGAATGAATAAATGAGTAAATGATCTCCATATTGGATGGATAGATGGTATATCCATGAGTGAGTAAAGAAAAAGAATTTCTACACTGAATGAAGTAAGGAAGAACTTTTATTTATTTATTTATTTGAGACGGAGTTTTGCTCTTGTTGCCCAGGCTGGAGTGCAATGGTGCAATCTCGGCTCACCGCACCCTCCGCCTCCCGGGTTCAAAAGATTCTCCTCCCTCAGCCTCCCGAGTAGCTGGGATTATAGGCATTCGCCACCATGCTCGGCTAATTTTTGTATTTTTAGTAGAGACAGGGTTTCACCATGTTGGCCAGGCTAGTCTAGAACTCCTGACCTCAGGTGATCCGCCCACCTCAGCCTCTCAAAGTGGCCGGCTGGAAGGGTTTAATTTTACATTGAATGGATGGATAACTGAATCAGTGGATGAATGAACAAATGAATCTCTATATTGAATGGATGGATAGATGAATGGATGAGTCAAGAATGAGTGAAATTGTCTCTTCCTGGAATGCGTAGGTGAATGAAAAAAGGAAAGAATGCCTCTACATTGAATGGGTAAATGAATGAATAAATGAACGAATGATCTCCATATTGGATAAAGGGATAGATGGATGGATGAAAGAATGAGTGAAGGAAAGAATCTCTCCACTGCATGGATGAAAGAATAAAGAAAGGGAGAGAGTCATTCAAATCTGTACATTGAAGGAAAGACCCCAGGAAAGTGGGATTTGGGTGTTCGGGTCACGAGTGGGCTGAAGGCGCCTCTACTCACCTGCACGTAGTCCACCGAATCTCCGAGCGCCTTGAAGGCTGTGTACATGACCTCGCGCTTGCCGCCCCAGCGCTGCGCCACGCACACGCACCTGCGAGTCCTCACCAGCGCCTCCACTGCCAGCCGCCCAGGATCCTCCGCCTCCACCTCCCGATAGGCTCCGGCGCCCACCGCGCCCGCCGCCGCGGGTTCCCAGGGCTGGTGGTAGTTGCCGTCCCACACGTACGTGGCGGGGTCCTCGTCAGCGAAGACCTCGCGGAACATGTCGACCATGTAGAGGTCCTCGGCGCGGTTGCCATCCACCACCATGAGGACGCGCAGCCGCGCGCGCGGGTACAGCAGGGCGCGGGCGGACGCCAGGCACTGGCGCAGGTACGCGGGGTCCTCCTGGTAGGCGGAGATGGTCAGCGCCACACTGCGCGCGGTGGCTGCATCCAGCGGCCCCCGCGCCGCCGCCGCCACCCGCCGGTGCTCCAGGTACGCGAAGAGGCTCTGCGCCACCAGGTGCGCTGAAAGGAAGGCCCCGTAGAGGCCGAAGGCCAGGAGGCCGTAGCGATCGGAGGCCAGCGGCACCCCGGCGGCGTAGGCCCAGGTCATGAGGCCCAGGATGAGCAGGGCGAAGGCGATGGTCAGCACCCTCCGGGCCAGGCCGGAGCAGCGGCAGGCTGCAGGAGTGGGCTTGGGCGCGTCCTGCTGGGAGCGAGAGGGGAAAGGAAGGGGCATGAGTCCCGGGCGCATGAGCCTCCTCCGAGAGAAGATTAAAAATCCTTTCCTTCCTTCCCTCCTTCCCTTTCCCTCCCCTCCCTCTCTCTCTCCCTCCCTCCGTCCTTCCTTCTCTTTATCTTTCTCTCTCTCTGTGTCTGTCTCGCTGTCTCTCTCTCTCTCTCGCTCTCGCTCTCCCTTTCTCTCTCCTTTCGTTTTTTGTTTTTTTTTTCTTTTGAGACAGGGTCTCACTCCAGCCTAGTGTCGCCATCTAGGCTCACTGCAGCCTCAGCTTCCCGAGCTCAGGCTCAGCCTCCCACCTCAGCCTCCCGAGTAGCTGGGACTACAAAGAGTGTGCCACAACTCCTGGCTAATTTTTAAATTTTTGGTAGAGCCGGGGGTCTCCCTACATTACCTAGGCTGGTCTGGAACCCCTGGGCTCAAGTGACTTGCCTGCCCCGGCCTTCCTAAGTGCTGGGATTACAGGCATGAGCTACCTCGCCGGGCCCCAAAATTATTTTCATTAACGAAAATAATTGGAGCAAATAGCTATCTAGGCTTCATGCTGATTAGATTCCTTCTTTTCATTATTATTTATTTTTATAGACAGGGTCTTGCTCTGTCGCCCAGGCTGGGGTGCAGTGGCACCATCATAGCTCACTGCAGCTTCTAACTCCTAGGCTCTGGCGATTCTCTCACCTCAGTCTCCCAAGAAGCTAGGACCACAAGGCTGGAGTCACTATGCCTTGCTAATTAAAAAAAAAACAATTAGAGGAGGGGTCTCACTATGTCTCCTAGGCTCCAGTCTCCCAAAGTGCTATGAATACAGGCATGAGCCACCAAGCCCAGCCTGATTTTGTTTCTTCCAATACAACTTTTTTCCACGTTTTGAAATCTCTTAAATCCGTGAGGATGATTGCATGCGATGGAGTGTCACAATTTAATTACTAGGGCGTTTCCCTCCTCTTTCTTAGTGGCACATACAATGAGGATTTATCTCCCAATCAAAGGTTTCTTAGGGTTGAGACAGTAATAATAATAACACATACTAAAAAACCAAAATGCTGTGTACCAGTCCCTGCTCTAAGCCTTTAAGATGAATGAATTTATTTTAATCTTTACAACAGCGCTGTAAGGTAGGTACTGTTATTATTATCCCCGTTGTACAGATGAGGCAACTGAGTCACACAGAGGTTCAGCAATTTGCCCAAGGTTGTCCCTGGAAAGCAGAGGAACCTGGATTTGAACCCTAGGAACTGAATCTCTAAACCTCTAGCCCTCGGGAGAGCCCTGGGGGACAGATAGTGCTCTGCCACCATACAGGTGGCCAAACTGAGGACTGATTGGCCAGAAGGAGTGGCTTGCACAAGATCAGCAGCCCATGGTAGAGGACTCTTCTCTCTGACTTTCCAGAGGCATAGCCTGGTTCTCCTTTTCCACTGCCCAACTCCCCAGCAGAGCCAGGTGCCCCAGTAAATGTTGCTGGAAGAGCCCAGAATCAGAGGAAAAAGTACTTTCTGTGTGCCAGACACTACTGTACAACAACCTTAATATATATATATAAATTTTTTTTTAAATTGAGACAGGGAGCCAGAAACTGTGGCTCACGCCTGTAATCCCAGCACTTTGGGAGGCGGAGGCGGGTGGATCACCTGAGGTCAGGAGTTCGAGATTAGCCTGGCTAACATGGCGAAAGCAAAATACAAAAATTAGCCAGGCTTGGTGGCGCACGACTGTAGTCTCAGCTCCTCAGAAGGCTAAGGCAGGAGAACTGCTTGAACCCCTGAGGTGGAGGTTGCAGTGAGCCAAGATGGCACCACTACACTTCAGCCTGGGTGACAGTGCGAGACTCCATCTCGAAATAATAATAATAATAATAGAGACAGGGTCTTGCTGTGTTTCTCAAGTTGGTCTCGAACTCCCAGGCTCTAGCGATCCTCCTGCCTTGGCCCCCTAAAGTGCTGGGATTATAGGCGTGAGCTACTGCACCCGGTCTCTACAACAATCTTATAAGGCAGGTACCTTCACTGTCTTCTGTTACAGATGAGGAAACTGAGACACTGAGAGGCAAATACTTTTACCCAAGGTCACTCAGGTAATAAGCAGAGTCAGAAGTAAAACTCAGGCAGTCTGGCTCTGGCGTCCCCTCTACGCTAAACTGCCTCCTATGCCACCAGTTCCTGCCTCAAGGCTTACTGTGGGTTATTTAAATGCGTCGTTAAGATGTAGATCTTTGTGTCCAACACAGGTGTCAGCAGCCACATGTGTCTACCGAGTACTTGAAATGCAGCCAGTATCACCGAGGAACTGAGTTTTAAATTTTATTTAATTTTAATTCATTTAAATTTAAAAACTCTTACTTGATTCGGTTATTGGAAAGATTTTAAATATGTCTGGAACAAGTTGCATCTACGATGCCCCTTTTATAATTGTAAATCTTATAAAATCTAAACACAGATTAGGTATTTCCAGTGAAAAGGTAGCATCTAAGTGAGAAGTGCTATGAACACACTGGATTTTGAAGGCCAAGTCTGGGGAAAAGAAAGTAAAATAGCTCATTAACATTTATGTATTGATTACATATTGAAATGATCATATCTTATATGTAGCAGGGGTCGGCATGCTAAGACCTGCTGCAGCCTGCAGGCTAAGAATTTGTGTGTGTGTTTTTAGATGGTTTTTGAAAGCCAAAAGAAGAATAATAGTTTGTGGAGCATGAAAAATATGAAATTCAAATTTCAGTGTCCTTAAAGGAAGTTTTATTTGCATACAACCACATTCATTTGTTTATACATCATCTGTGGCTGATTCTACATTTACCACATCGAAGTTGAGTACTTTCAAAAGAGACCAGATGGCCCCCAAAAGCCTCAAATATTTAATATTGGGCCCTTTATTTAAAAAAATGTGCTGGCCCCTGACACACTGGGTTAAATAAAAATATATTATTAAAATTAATTTCACCTGTTTGTTTTTACTTTTTCAAATGTGGCCACAAGAAAATTTTAAATTAGATATTGTGGTTTTCGTTACATTTCTAGAGGACAAAACTGAGGTACAGCTTTTAAACTCTCAACATTAAACATTATTCTTTCTTCTCGAATCCCCCTTCTCTCTTCCTTTGCTTCAAACCTGGCCTTGCCTGAGTTCCTAGGGATGGCTCAATTCATGCTGGGGATCCAGAGAGTTGATTCCAGAAACACAGATGAACACACGTGTAGACACACTCCCCCACACGTGAACTCACACATGATGAGTGACACACAGAATGAAATTACTCGTGTTCTACAGGATGACCCGAGACACCCACTCAGGCCAAACACAGCGATCCCGTGACCCCCACCGACGGCCACACAGGTGAACCTGCAGACACACACCCCTCAGCAGGAAAAAGCAACACCAGCAAAGGATGTCCACGTGGCCACAAACACACAGAGCCCCAACTGAGAGTCTGGGGCAATGGGATGCACAGGGAAGATTTCAAGAGAAATAGTAGGTGACTGTCAAGCTGATACTGAACCAGATGAAATTGCTATTCTTCCAAGTTTAGAGTGGCTCAGTATCGGCGATTTCATTTGGTTCAACTTAATAGCTATTGAACGCATGAAACAGAAATCCATTCCCATGTGCCACAGGCAAATCCAACTCTCTTTCTCACTCAGTCTCTTTCATTCGCTCACTGTCGCACTCCCTCTTTCTCTCTGCCTCCCAGGGAACATAGACATACACAAGTTTGTAGCAAGATACGCAGATACAGAAATACGGACATGGCACGTCTCACCTACATGTACTTGGGATGGCCGCTCACACAGGGCAATGTATACACAGACCTGCACACTCAGCCTCACATGCTCACTGTCCCCTACACACATATGGTCACTGTCAGGCACATGGATACACACATGAAATCATGCACACACAGTTCCCCAACACACGTGGTCACACATATGGCAGTAGTTTTCCCCACATGGCTGTATACACACACACACACACACACACACACACACACACACACACCTGTCTCATCGCAGTGGGTCTGGCCGGGCTCTCTCTTCTCTCCGGCTTGCTCTCCCAGCCTCTCTGTGGCCAGAGAGCTGGAGGGGGGTCATTTGAAGACCAGCGCAGGCGGGGGCGGGAGCGAGCGCTGACGTCAGTCAGGCTAAGCTGGGCCAGGGGCTCTGAGGTCACGGCCCAGCCGGGCAGCTCCACCCGCTTCCCGCTATTACTCCCACCCCCCTCAGCCAGACGGGCCTCCCTTCCCAGGCCCCCATGTCTACCCGCGCCCCTCCTCTAGTCCTCTCTGCCATCACTCCCCCTCCTCTCCCTCCCTCCTCTATGTCTTCTTCTCTCTTCCTCCCCCCTCTCGTCCCTTGTCTCCCCTGATTTTTCTCTTCCACCTCACTTGCATTTTGGGGGTTCCCCTCATCCCCCCATCCCCTATCCCTGTATTTCCCTCCATCCCTTTCTTTCTCCCTAACCCACTATTTCTCCTCATCTCTTTGTTGGTACCCTCATCTCTCTCCCCATTACCACATTTCTCCAAGTTTCTGTCTTTCTCTCCATCCCTTTCTTCCTCTCCACTTCTCTTGCCTCCTCTCACCCTCATTTCTTTCTCTTCTTGCTTTAAAGCTCTCCCCACCTCCCCCTTCTCACCTTCCCCAGTCACCCCCGCCCTGCTTCTCCCCACAGCCGCCTCTCCTGTCCCCAGAATCCATCTCTGGGTTGGGCCCCCCAGGGACATGTCTCAGCAACTGGCAGATGGAACGAAACTCACACACGTGCGTGCTGTGGGTGTGCCTGTGTGTACGCTGGCCCGAGGCACGGCTGCCTGGAACCGGAGCTGTGAGTGAACATCTGTCCATTCAGCGCCTAACTGACGTGGGTCTGCGTGTGTGCACCAGGGTCTGGGGTGGAGAGCTGGGGCGCTGGGATTTGTATCCCCAGGGACTCAGGGATGAACACAGAGAGTTGTCGGTCAGCTGACCCTGGGGAGCCAGCCGGGGTCTGTCAGTGCTGTCACCCATCAGGGAAACTGAGTCAGAGGAAGGGTGAAAAGAGATGCGGGACCTGGGGTGCCCGAACCCCAGCCCCTCAGGACCAGATCTGTGATAAATGTCTGTTTACATGCCCTTCTTTCCATGAATTTTTTAAAAAAACTATCTGTATCTAATTCTGTTCTTCTCTCTGCTCCTCTTACTGTGAACTATTGATGTCTCACTTTCGGCCTTGGTAGCTGCCTCGGTAGCTGCCTCGTTCTTTTCTCCCTGCCTGTGACTCCAACGACCTTTGGTGTCTGGCACGGGCCAGCTCCAGGACAGGCTGAAAGACATGGAGCAGCAGAGAGAAATTCCCCCGTGCTTCTCTCTCCTCGTCTGTCCCTCCCCAAATCTCTGTCATTTTGTATCTGTCACCCCATCTCTGTTTCTCGGTCCCTCTATTTGGGTCTCTGCCTCTGTGTATTCCTGTCTGTTTCTCCTCCTCATCCCCCCTCACAGCCATTCTCTCTCTGCTTTTACCTGGGAGTGTCTGTCCCTTTGCATTTCTGAAGTCTCCCTGACTTTCTTCTTGTGTGGCTCTCTTTCTTTCTGAGTGCCTCTCCCTGACTTTCTCACTGTGTGTCCATGTGTGTGTGTCTCTTTCTCTCTGTCTCTTTTTCCCTCTATCTCCCTCCCTCTCTAGCTCTGTCTCTATCCTCCTTCCGTCTCTCTGCATCCCCATCTCTCTCTTTTTTTTTTTTTTTTTTTGAGACGGAGTCTCACTCTCTCACCTAGGCTGGAGTGCAGTGGCGTGAGCTCGGCTCACTGCAACCTCCGCCTCCCGGGTTCAAGCGATTCTCCTGCCTTAGCCTCCCGAGTAGCTGGAACTACAAGCGCCCACCACCACACCTGGCTAATTTTTTGTATTTTTAGTAGAGATGGGGTTTCACTATGTAGGCCAGGCTGGTCTCCAACTCCTGACCTCAAGTGATCCATCTGCCTTGGCCTTCCAAAGTGTTGGGATTACAGGCGTGAGCCACCGCACCTATCTCTTTGTAAGGCTCTATCTCTGTATGTGTTTCTCTGTCTCTGTCTCTCTCATTCAGTTTCTCTCCATTTCTCTGTTTCTACATCTTCGTCTCTCCCTGCAGTTCCATCTCTTCCAGCCTGTCCCGGAGCTCTCCCCTGCCAGACACCAAGTCCTCACACCAAGTCCTCACACCCTGGGGTTTTCCCCGAGGAGGCTGCGCCAGGCCAAGCCTCTGCCTGGGCCTGTCAGGGAGAAGGTGCATTCCCAAGGAGCTCGAACGCCCTTCCCACCCACCAGGGCGGGCCGGGCTGTGTCTGACGCTGTTGCCGGGAGCCGGGCTGCCTGGTGTCTGGCTGTGTCAGGATGATGGGTCCTCAGATGATCTGAGGCCAGCCCAGAGCAGAAGGGGAGGGTGAGTCCTCCGCCCAGTGGGAGGGGGCAGCGCAGGCTCCTCCCCAGAAGTGGGGCATTTGGCTGCCCAGCCCCCACCCCGCCCTGCTCGGGTGGAGCAGCTGTATAAAACCAGATGTTTCTAAAACCAGAGTGCGGTTGAGGAAGGATAACCAGGGCTTTAATCCTCAACAGTTCCCTCCTCTAAGACCCAGGAGTCCAGGTTCCCAGCACCCTCCTCCTTCAGACCCGAGAGTCCAGACCCCAGCCCTTCCTCTCTCAGGCCCAGGAGTCCAGGTTCCCATGTCCCTCCTCCCTCAGACCCAGGATCCCAGACACCCAGCCCCTCCTCCTTCAGACCCAGGAGTACAGGTTCAGAGTTCCTCATCCCTCAGACCCAGGGTCCAGACCCCCAGTCCCTCCTCCCTGAGACCCAGGAGTCCAGGCCCCCAGCCCCACCTCCCTCAGACCCAGAAGTCCAGGTCCCCAGCACCCCTCCCTCAGACCCAGGAGTCCAGGCTGCCAGCCCCGCCTCCCTCAGACCCAGGAGTCCAGGCCCCATCCCCTCCTCCCTCAGACCCAGGAGTCCAGGCCCCATCCCCTCCTCCCTCAGACCCAGGAGTCCAGGCCCCATCCCCTCCTCCCTCAGACCCAGGAGTCCAGACTCCATCTCCTCCTCCCTCAGACCCAGGAGTCCAGGCCCCCATCCCCTCCTCCCTCAGACCCTGGAGCCCAGGCCCAGGCCCCCATCCCCTCCTCCCTCAGACCCAGGAGTCTCAACTCCCAGCTTCCTTCTCCCTTAGACCTACATGTCCAGCCCCCAGAATTTCTTGCAGGAAGAGATGACCAAGGCTGGAAGCAGCCCAGACAAGTGCTGAAAGACAGGGAGCAGTGAAGCTGAACACTCCCACAGCAGGCCGGGGCTGTTGTTGGAGGGACAGGTAGGGACACCGCACCCCTCGCTAACACCCATGGCTCCTAGAAACCCCCATTCCTCTGGTGGCTGCTCTCCAGTTCCTGCCCTGGGTCCACAGTGGCCTTCCCAGCATTTCAGCCATCATCAGGAAACCTCAGGGTACAGCTTACAGAATACCTGGACAGAAGGAGCACAGGGTGGGAGAGGTAAGGCAAAAATGGAGCAAAGGCAGAGGAGAGAACATTCATTCATTGTGGGGACATCTCCTGAGCCCTGGTGGACAGGGCTGGGCTGGGCGATGCCGGGCACACAGAGATGACTCAGCCCTGGGCCCTGCCCTTGGGGAGATGCCAATCTGGTGGAGAAGACAGCTGTGTAAACAGAGGGCCACAAAACAGTACAAGGATGCACCAACCCAGCCCAAGAGTCAGGGAGGGCTTCCTGGAGGAGGTGATGCTGGCTGATGAGGCGTTAGCCGTGGTCAGGGTGGTGGTGGACGGTGGGGCAAGAAAGGGGCATCCAAGGCAAGAAATGGTGTGGCCAGTCAAAAAAGTAAGGGCGGATTGATGCTGTGAAGCACAAAGGGTGAAACAAGGGGCTGGGGGATTGTAGGGTCCCTAGTGAGGTCCGCTCATTTAGGTTTAAAAAAATTTTTTTTGGCCAGGCACAGTGGCTTATGCCTGTAATCCCAGCACTTTGGGAGGCCAAGGCGGGCAGATCACTTGAGGTCAGGAGTTTGAGACCAGCCTGTCCAAAATGGTGAAACCCCGTCTATACTAAAAATGCAAAAGTTAGCCGGGTGTGGTGGCGTGCACCTGTAATCCCAGCTACTCAGGAGACTGAGGTGGGAGAGTCACTTGAATGGGAGGCGGAGGTTGCAGTGAACGAAGATTGCGCCACTGCACTCCAGCCTCCCGTCTCAAAAAAAAATTTTTTTTAAACTAAGTAACAATTATACATATTTATGGTATACAACATGACATTTGCTATATACATATATATATATTCGTTGTGAAATGGCTAAATCAAGCTATTTAACACATGCAACGTGTCGGGTTTTGAATGCAGGAATCAGAGGCTAGGACTTTGCTCTGGTGGCAATGGGGAGCCATGGAAGGGCTGTGAGCAAGGGAGGGGCAGGATCAGCTCTTTGTCTGAGTAAGGGACAAACTGGAGGGAGAGACAGGGGGCTCTGGGCCAGGATGAGTTGCTGGGGGGTGGGGTTGCATCAGAGATCCCTGGGGCTTTTCCAGGCTAGAGAGGAAGTGTGAGTGAGGTTGGGCAGAGGTGCAGGACCCCGAGGAGCCAGGACCAAGAAGACTGGGGGATGGACACAGACATGGCGGGCTAACTTGCCAAGCCCCTAACCTCAGCTAGTTCTGGCTACAGTTGCTCCTCGCTTTGCTCCATCTCAGGCAGGTACCTACTGGGGAACCAGTGAGGGCAAGGGGCCCCTGGGCAGTAACCTGAAGAGATCCTTGTTTTATTAAATGCTTGAATCCCGGTAGATGGTTTCTTTGCCAGGTGTCCTGGATTGGGAAGGGAAATGCACACTGCGGGGATCTAGATACCGAGAGACAGAGGAGAAAAGGAGGGAGGGAGAGGAATGAAAGACAGAAGCTGGCTTCCACGACCATCTATTCAACAGCGAAAAACTGCCCTACCCCTGGATTCCTGACCCCCTTTACTCTCTTCTGCTTTTTCTTTTTCCCCATAGCATTGGTCCCCTTCCTATATAACGTATAACCTGCATAAGGTACGTTTAGTATCTTTTTTGTGTAATGTGTGTCTTCCTGGTTCGAATGCAAGCTCTAGACAGGCAGCTGTCTTTATCTGGTTTGTTCATGGCTCATTCCTCAGAGCCTGGACCTGTGTCTAGGTAGGTGCTCAACAAATATGTGTTGAACAATGTGTGAGGTCAGGATAGAAAGTCAGATTGGTAGATGGAGAGGGGAAAGAAAAAGGAGAGCGACCGGGCACGGTGGCTCACGCCTGTAATCCCAGCACTTTGGGAGGCCAAGGCAGGTGGAGCACTTGAGGTCAGGAGTTCAAGACTAGCCTAGCTGACATGGTGAAACCCCGTCTCTACTAAAAACACAAAAATTAGGTGGGCGTGGTGGTGCATGCCTGTAGTCCCAGCTACTCAGGAGGCTGAGGCAGGAGAATCGCTTGAACCCGGGAGGTGGAGTTTGCAATGAGCCGAGATCACGCCACTGCACTCCAGCCTAGGCGACAAAGCGACTCTGTCTGGGGGAAAAAAAAATGGAGAGGAAGGAAGGAGGGGAAGGAAAGATAAGGGAAGAAGGAGGAAGGAGAGGAGGAGGGAGGGAAAGAGAGAAGGAGGGGGAGGAAGATCAGAAGAGGAGGAGGAGAATGGAGGAGGGAGAGAGAGAGGGAAGGATAGGCAAGAGGGGGAGGAGAGAAGTTGGGGAGAGAGGGCCTAGCAGCTGGGACCCCCAACCGACTCCTGCGTAATAGTTCTATGGACACCACTCAGAGTGGCCAGTCCTGGGAGGATGGGTTGAGGAGCTCCGGGGAGGTGGGACCTTAGAGGAAAAAGACTCCAGGATCAGCAAAGACCCCAAGTCTGTAAAGAGACTGCCTCTGGACTTCCAGGAACTCAGAACCTTGGATGGGCTGGAGTTAGACGGGACCTTTTCTCCCCCACATGCCTATTCTGGGAAACCCCTAGGCTTCCATGATTCTGCCGAAATCCAGGGAGGGAGGGAGGGAGCCTAGCCAGCAATGATGACTGTACATCCACCTTCTGCCTCCAGCTAGTGCCTCTGGGAGAAACTGTAGGACTTCCAGAGCTGGGAGGAGGGAGAGAAAGGCCTGGAGGGGGAGAGCCCTGCCTGTAACAAGTTGAAGGCACTTTCTACCCCAGCATGCACCATCTCTCCTGCCACTTTCCCTGGAGAGAAACAGAGACAGTAAGAGCCAGACAGAGGGAGAGGGAGGGAGGGGCTTCCTTTTGCAAAAGCTGTTTATCCTCTCCAGGGAAGCAAGAGAGGAGGAGACCCATTTTCCAGATAGGGAAACTGAGGCACAAGAAGAGTCATTTCCTGGGACAAGTGATACAGCACACAGGCAGCATGGCTGGGTAACAGAAATCAGGTGGTAGGCATTAGGTCACTAGGCTATGCCCTGCCAGTCACAGAGGAAGGAGGAGCTGGGGGCTTAGACTAAGATCTGAGAGCCTGGATTCCTGAGTCTGAGGGAGGAGCGGCTGGGATCTGAATTCCCTGGTCTGAGGAAGGAGGGGCTGGACCTGGACTCCCGGGACTAAGGGAGGAGGGGCTGGACCTGAACTCCTGGATCTGAGGGAGGAGGGCCTGGGACCTGGACTTCTGGGTCTGAGGGAGGAGGGGCTGGGGGCCTAGACTCTGGGGTCTGAGGGAGAAGGGGCTGGACCTGGACTCCTGGGTCTGAGGGAGGAGGGGGTGGGGGGGCTGGCATCCAGTGGGCTCAAGATGAGGCCTGGACCCCTAGATTCTCAGCTCTACTGCGTTCCGAGCTATCAGGGAATCTGCCCCGATATTCATGTAGGTTCTTTTCTATTTTCCTTAAGCGTTGGCCAGCTTGAGAAATAAAGGGACAGAGTACAAAAGAGGGAAATTTTAAAGCTGGGTGTCCGGGGGAGACATCACATGTCGGTAGGTTCCGTGATGCCCCACAAGCCACAAAAACCAGCAAGTTTTTATTAGGGATTTTCAAAAGGGGAGGGAGCGTGCGAATAGGTGTGGGTCACAGAGGTCACGTACTTTACAAGGTAATAGAATATCACAAGGCAAGTGGAGGCAGGGCGAGATCACAGGACCGCAGGACCGAGGCAAAATTAAAATTGCTAATGAAGTTTCAGGCACCATTGTCATTGATAACATCTTATCAGGAGACAGGGTTTTGAGATCAACTGGTCTGATCAAAATTTATTAGGAGGGAATTTGCTCTTCCAAATAAGCCTGGGAGCGAGCGCTATGGGAGACTGGAGTCTATTTCACCCCTGCAGTCTCGACCATAAGAGACAGGAGCACCTGGGGGGGATATTTATAAGCCTATACCTCCAGGCGCGTATTCTCTTTCCCAGGGATGTTCCATGCTGAGAAAAAGAATTCAGCGATATTTCTCCCATTTGCTTTTGAAAGAAGAGAAATATGGCTCTGTTCTGCCTGGCTCACCAGCGGTCAGAGTTTAAGATTATCTCTCTTATTCCCTGAACAACTGCTGTTATCCCGTTCTTTTTTCAAGGTGCCCACATTTCATATTGCTCAAACACACATGATCTACAATTTGTGCAGTTAATGCAATTATTACAGGGTCCTGAGGCGATATACATCCTCCTCAGTTGACAGGATTAAGAGATTAAAGTAAAGACAGGCATAGGAAATCACAAGGGTATTGATTGGGGAAGTGATAAGTGTCCATGAAATCTTTACAATTTATGTTTAGAGATTGCAGTAAAGGCAGGCATAAGAAATTACAAAAGTATTAATTTGGGGAACTAATAAATGTCTATGAAATCTTCGCAATCTACGTTCTTCTGCCATGGCTTCAGCCGGTCCCTCCATTTGGGGTCCCTGGCTTCCCGCAACACCGAGCCCTGACAGAAAACTTCCCAAGCCCAGGTTCCTCTTGCACATGTGGTTTAGCTCTGTGGGTTACCCCCTCCTCTCTGTAAGTTCCCATTGTCCACCTTGCCTCCTGCATCGGCCTCCACCACAGTCAGGGCAGAGGAGTCTCTGTAGGACAAACACAGCAATCAGATTCAGAAAATAGATCCAAAGGTGGGGATCCAGGGCCCAGGGCTGGTGGCCTGGACCTCTGGGGCTGCCAGGGAGGAGTAGGTTTGAAAGAAAACCCTGGGCCAGGCGTGGTGGCTCACGCCTGTAATCCCAGCACTTTGAGAAGCCGAAGCAGGCGGATCATGTGAGGTCAGGAGTTGGAGGCCAGCCTGGCCAACATGATGAAATCCCGCCTCTACCAAAAATACAAAAATTAGCTGGGTGTGGTGCTGGGCGCCTGTAATCCCAGCTACTCGGGAGGCTGAGGCAGGAGAATCGCTTGAACCCGGGAGGTGGAGGTTGGAGTGAGCCAAGATTGCACCACTGCACTCCAGCCTGGGGGACAGAGTGAAACTGTGTCTCGAAAAACATGAATAAATGCAAGAAGACCCTGTTTCTCCACTCCACACTTCTGACACCAAAGAGGCCGGGCTGCATTCCCACCAACAATCAATTCTCCAACTCTCTGGACAGCAACTGCATGTGTAACAACTCACTTCAGTTCTGACACTAACTCCCTGGAGTTAGCACAGCCCCCACAGGTTGAGGGCTCAGTCCCACGGGAGTGCCCCCGACTTCACATGCCAGTCACAGGCACTGGGACCACAGGGTACCCACACTTCTATCTGACTTGGCTACAAATCAGGGGTCCCACAACCCCTTCCTGACATTCCATAATTTGCTATCACAGCTCACAGAACTCAGGGGGGTGCTTTACTTCCATGTACCAGTTCATTATAAAGAGTATTATAAAGGTTACAGGTGAGTGGCCAGATGAGGGGGAACATAAGGTGAGGTCCAGAAGGGTTCCAAGTGTGAGAGCTTCTGTCTGCGATGGCGTCATGTGGACGTCTTCATCAACCTGGAACTTCTCGGAACCCTATTGTTTAGGGTTTTTGTGGATGTTCCTTTACCTGGGCATTGTTAACAGAAAAACCAAACTCTATAAAGTATTTTATTGTATTTATTTTTATTTATTTATTAATTTTTGGAGTCAAGATCTCACTCTGGAGTGCAGTGGCACAATCATGGCTCACTGCAGCCTCAACCTTCTGGGCTCAGGTGATCCTCCCACCTCAGTTTCTTGAGTAGTTGGGGCTATAGGCGTGTGCCACCACACCTAGCTACTTTTTTAATTTTTTGTAGAGATGGGGTCTCCCTAGGTTACCCAGGCTGGTCTCAAACTTCTGGGCTCAAGTGATCCTCCTGCCTCAGCTTCCCAAAGTGCTGGGATTTTTGGCGTGAGCCACCACACCTGGACTCTGTAAAATATTTTAAAGAAGTTTATTCTGGGACAATTTCAGTGACCGTGGTGTGCCCAAGGTTGGCCAGATTAAGTTTGGTTTGATGTTGCAGCCATAAAAAAGAATGAGTTCATGTCTTTTGCAGGGACATGGATGAAGCTGGAAGCTATCATTTTCAGCAAAGTAACACAGGAACAGAAAACGAAACACCGCATGTTCTCACTCATGCGATCATGAGTTGAACAATGAGAACACATGGACACAGG
Organism: Homo sapiens; assembly: GCF_000001405.40. Classification (NCBI taxonomy): domain Eukaryota; kingdom Metazoa; phylum Chordata; class Mammalia; order Primates; family Hominidae; genus Homo; species Homo sapiens. Next base: position 51,733,511 of record NC_000019.10, read on the forward strand.
GAGGGGAACATCACACACCGGAGCCTGTCAAGGGAGGGGGTGTGGGAGATAAGGGAGGGAGAGTATTAGGACAAATACCTAATGCATGCAGGGCTTAAAACCTAGACGATGGTGCAGCAAACCACCATGGCACACATATACCTATGTAACAAACCTGCACATTCTGCCCATGTATCCCAGAACTTAAAGTAAAAATTGATTTGATGCATTTTAGGGAGGAAGGAGTTACAGGCAAAGTCATAAATCAGTACATGGAAGACATACATTGGTTTGGCCTGAAAAGGCAGAATATCTTGAAGAGGGGCGGGCTGACAGGTTACAGATGGATTCAGGGCTTCTTTAATTTGCAGTTGGTTAAAGGAGTAAGGTCTGCTTAAAACCTGGAGTCTGCAAAACCTGGAGTCTGCAAAAAAGAATGTTTTAAGATAAGGATGAGGGATGTAGCAAGATTGATGGCCCTTAGAAGTGACTTAACACTTGCCTTAGGTCTTGTATGTAATTTGGTATCTTATCATCACAAAGAGTCTGTTTTGTCAATCTTACGACGTCTATTTTAACTATAATGCTGGTCTTCTGTGTTCCTAAACTCCAAAAGAGAAGGGGCATAAGAAGGCGTGTCCCACCTCCCTTGAAGTCATGGCCAGGAACTCAGTTTTTAGGTTTCTCTGGGATCCCTTTGGCTAAGAAAGGGTCTTGCTGAGTCAGTGGTGGTGATGGTGAGTGGGGTGGAGGGAGGGCCTTAGGATTTTATTTTTATTTTATAGCATGATTGATTAAATCATTGGCCACTGGTGATTAGTCAATCTCCAGCCCCTCTCCCTTCTTGGAATTTAGAGCATGAGGCTAAAAATTCCACTGGGATCACAGGGTTCGTCTCTCTGGCAACCATCCCCGATCCGCCCAGATCCTCCTCATTAGCATAAACTCAGGTATGGCTGGTAGGGGCTAATTATGAATAACAAAATATGTTCTTCTCACCTCCTCACTCAGGAAGTTACAAGAATTTTAGGAGCTCTGTGCTAGAAATTAGGGGCAGAAAACAAATATATATTTATTTATTTTTAGACAAGTCTTCACTCTGTGGCCCAGGCTGGAATGCAGTGGTGCAGTCACTGTTCACTGCAGCCTCAACCTCCCAGGCTCAAGCGATCCTCCCGCCTTAGCCTCCTGAGTAGCTGGAAATAAAGGCTGTGCCACTGTGCCCAGCTAATTTTATTATTTTTTGTAGAGACAGGAGCTCACTATATTGCCCAGGCTCACTATATATTGCCTATATTGTCTCAAACTCCTAGTCTCAAGCAATTCTCCCACCTCGACCTCCCAAAGCACTGGAATTACAGTTGTAAACCACCTCACCTGGCCCAAATACATATTTCTTTCTTTTTATTTTTTATTTTTTGAGACAGAGTCTTGCTGTGTCATCCCGGCTGGAGTGCAGTGGCGCAATCTCGGCTCACTGCAACCTCCACCTCCCAGGTTCAAGCGATTCTCCTGCCTCAGCCTCCCGAGTAGCCGGGATTACAGGCGTGTGTCACCACACCCAGCTAATTTTTGTACTTTTAGTAGAGACGGGGTTTCACCGTGTTGGCCAGGCTGGTCTCGAACTCCTGGCCTCAAGTGATCCGCCTGCCTTAGCCTCCCAAAGTGCTGGGATTAAAGGCATGAGCTACTGCGCCCGGCCCCAGATATATGTTTCTTATTGTCTTAGTCCCTTCTGGCTGCTCTATCAAAATACCCTAAGCTGGGTGGCTTATAAACAACAAAAATTTTATTTCTCACAGTTCTGAGGCTGGCAAGTCCAGGACCTGGGTACTGACAGATTTGGTGTCCGGTGAGAGTGGATTTTCTGATTCATAAATGGGGTCTTCTTGCTGTGTCCTCACATGGTGGTGGGGGCAGGGTCCTCTCTCTCGGGCTTCTTTTGCAAAAGCACCAATTGCATGCATGAGGGCTCCACCCTCATAACCTCATCACCTCCTAAACATGCTCCCTTCTAATAACATCTCCTTAGGGATTAGGATTTCAACAATGAAGTTTAGGGGACCCGAACACTTATTCCCTCACCGTTAGTTGCCTGTTCTTGGCGTGGAGCCATTTCATTCCTCTGAGCCTCTCTTTTTTCATCTGTAAAATGGGACTGTCTCAATTTGTCCTTCATAGGATAGCCCTGAAGATTAAGAGAGAGAGTCTGTCTGGCACATTAGAATATGAGGTGAGTTTAGCCGTTCCTGAAACAGCAGAGTTTGAAGGTCTCCAAGACTAACTCAGGTGGCAACAGGGGGATGCTTCCCTGGATACCCCACCCCTTCACCCTCCCTGGATACCCCACCTCTCCTCTGAGGAGTAAGCCAGGTTGGAGCTGGGAGGAGCCCACACTCTGTCATCAGACACCCCTGGGTTCCAAGGCAGGCAGGCTTGCGCAAGCCAACTCCTGGCTCTGAGCCTCCTTAGCCACCTGCAGACAAGGAGGACCCTTCCCCATGTTGATGCAGGTGAGTGGAACTCTGTTTGGTTCCTAGTCTTTCAAGCATGGGGTGAATAGACCCTCTTACCCGGGACATAGCAGAAAGCTCCAAACAGTTTGGTGAACAGCCAGACTGTGCAGCACAGAGAGTGTGTCATCAAAGGGGCACGCCTGTGGGCTCCAGATAGAGGACACAGAGCTGCAGAAGTCCGGCGGCCCCTTTCTGTGACCTGGGCTGCAGGCACCCACAGTCCAGAGGCTCAAAACCACAATGCCGTCATTCCCAGTGAATGCTGTAAGATGAAGAGGAAATAACGCTGCCGTGGTTTCCCATGAGGGGATTACTTAAGAGGATGTCCTAACCCCCAGAAGCTCTGACTGCAACCTTATTTGGAAAGAGGGGTTTTGCAAATGTCATAAAACTAAGAATTTCAAGATGAGCATATCCTAGATTTAAGGTCGGCCCCAAACGCCACGGCAGGTGTCCTTATAAGAGTGAGGCAGAGGGAGGTAGACACTAAACACAGAGAAGAAGGTGATGTAAAGACGGCGGCAGAGATTGCAGTGATGCACCCACAAGCCAAGTGTATTAGTTTTCTAAGGGTTCTGTAGTAACAAAATACATCTGTCCCTCAGTGTCCTTGGTTCCACATGTAGTGGGGTTGACGGGTGGCCCCCAAAAGATACATCTAAGTCCTAACCTGCAGAACCTATGGATGTGACCTTATTTGGATAAAGGGTTTTAAGAGCTTTTGCAGGTGTCATGAAGTTAAGGATTTTGATATGAGATCTGGCTTTTCAACACTGATACCATCCTGGCCAACACCCTTCTGGTCCTTGTGATAATTTCCATTTTCCAAATGTTGAGAGATAACACAGAGATGAAGGAAGCTGCCCCAAAGCACATGAGACACGGCCTCCGCCATCAGCTCTTGTCATCGTATGTTCAAGTGTTCTGCAAAACTGGTCCGTGGAGCCCAAAGCATCCACATCATCTGTGTGCATTTGCTAAACATGACGACTACTGGTCTTCACTGTCATTTATTCAGATTTTGTGAGCTCAGGGCTATGGAAATGATTTAAACAAATGTCCCAGGTAATTCTTACGTACAGTTTGAGAACCATCTGATTAGGAAAAAAAAAATGCCTCCCAAAGTGAAATAAGAAGACTGAATGCCTGTAATCCCAGCACTTTGGGAGGCCGAGGTGGGAGCCCCAGGGGGTTCGAGAGCAGCCTGGCAACACAGTGAGAACTTGTCACTACAAAAAATTTAAAAATTAGCTGGATGTGGTGGCATACGCTTATAGTTCCAGTTACATGAGGGGCTGAAGTGGGAGGATCACTTGAGCCCAGGAGATCGAGGCTGCAGTGAGCTATGATTGTACCACTGCACTCCAGCCTGGGTGACAGAGGGAGACCCTGTATCAAAAAGAAAAAGAAAGTGATGCAGAGACATAGGTGGAGATTGGAGTGATGTATCACAAGCTAAGTGTACTAGTTTTCTAAGACTTCTGTAATAAAAAAGTACAGCTGTCCCTCAGTATTCTCTGAAGGTTGCTTCCAAGACCCTGCGGATACTAAAATGCACAGATGAGTTCAAGACACTTACATAAGATTGTGTGGTATTTGCGCATAACCTATGCACATCCTCCCATATACTTTATTTTTATTTATTTATTTATTATTATTTGTTTGAGTTGGAGTCTTGCTCTGTCACCCAGGCTGGAGTGCAGTGGTGCAATCTCAGCTCTGCCCCCTGGGTTCAAGCGATTCTCCTGCCTCAGTCTCCTGAGAGGCTGGGATTACAGGCACCCTCCACTATGCCTGGCTATTTTTTGTATTTTTAGTAGAGACGGGGTTTTGCCATGTTGGCCAGGCTGGTCTCGAACTCCTGACCTCAAGTGATCTGCCTGCCTCGGCCTCCCAAAGTGCTCCCATATACTTTAAACCATCTCTAGCTTACTGATGATACCTAATACAATATAAATGATAGACAGTTCTTCTACTGTATTTTTAAAATTTGTATTTTTTATTACTTTTTTCAAATATTTTCTATTCGTGATTGGTTGAATCCTTACATGTAGAAACCACAAATATGAAGGGCCGGCTGTGACACAAACTCAGGGGATTAAACAACAGAAATTTACTGTCTCAAAGTTTTGCCAGCTAGAAGTCCAGAATCAGGATGTTCCAGCAGACTTGGTTTCTTCTGAGGGCTGTGAGGCAGAATCTATTCTATGCCTCTTGCCTAGATTCTGGTGATTTTTTTTTTCTTTCTTTGAGACAGGCTCTTTCTCTGCTGCCCAAGATGGAGTACAGTCAGCTCACTGCCCACTAACCTCTGAGCCAGTGAGCTGACCCAGCCCCAATCAGCTCTTTGCAACTTCTGCCTCTCAGGCTTTAGCCAACCTCCCATCTCAGCCTCCCAAATAGCTGGGACTACAGGCACAGGCCACCATGCTCAGCTATTTAAAAAAATTTTTTTTGTAGAGATGAGGTCTCATTACATTGCCAGGCTAGCCTTGAACTTCTGGGCTCAAGCAATCCTCCCCCATCAGCCTCCCAAGTAGCTGGGACTATAGGTGGGAGACACCTCACCTGGTTAGCTTGTTTTTTATTTTTATTAATTTATTTATTTTTGAGAGGAAGTCTCCCTCTGTAGCCCAGGCTGGAGTACAGTGGCGCAATCTCAGCTCACTGCAACCTCCGCCTCCTGGATTCAAGCAGTTCTCCTGCCTCAGCCTCCTGAGTAGCTGAGATTACAGGCACGCGCGGCCACACCCGGCTAATTTTTGTATTTTTAGTAGAGACGGGATTTCTCCATGTTGACCAGGCTGTTCTCGAACTCCTGACCTCTGTTGATCTGCCTGTCTCAGTGTCCCAAAGTGCTAGGATTACAGGCATAAGCCGCAGCGCCCTGCCTATTTTTATTTTTTAGACAGGGTCTTGGTCTGTCACCTGGGCTGGAGTACAGTGGTGTGATTGTAGCTTACCACAACTCAGAACTCCTGGGCTCAAGTGATCCTCCCGCCTCAGCCTCCCAAGTAGCTAGGACCATAGGTGTGCACCACCACACCCTGCTCACTTTTTAATGTTTTGTAAGGACAGGGTCTTGCTATGTTGCCCAGGTTGGCCTCAAACTCCTGGGCTCAAGCAATCCTCCTACTTCAGCGTCCCAAAGTGCGGAGATTACAGGCATGAGCCACTGCACTTGGCTGCTTCTGGTGCCTGACACTGACAATCTTTGGTGATTTGCTGACAGTCTGTGGTGTTCCTTGGCTTGTGGAAGCATCACTGCAACCTCTGCCTTCCTCATCACATGGCGTTCTTCCCGTGTGCGCACCTGCATCCGAATTTCCCTTTTTTCATAAGGACACCAGTCATGTTGGATTATGGGTCCACCCTAGTCCAGTATGACCTCACCTTAACTTAAACAATTACATCTGCCATGATCCAGTATCCAAATAAGGACACGTTCTGAGGGGCTGGGGGTTAGGACTTCAACATAGGAATGGAGGGTGGGGAGAGGACAAAATTACATCCCTAACACCAAGGAATGCTAAGGATGGCAGCCGCCACTGGGAGCTAGGAGAGAGGCGTGGAAGGGATTTTCCTCCAGAGCCTCCAAAAGGAGCCAACCCTGCCGCCACTTTAATTTCAGACTTCTGGCCTCCAGTACTGTGAGATAATCCATTTCTGTGGTTTGAAGCCACTTGGTTTGTGGTAATGAGTTACAGCACCCTAGCAAACTAACATGCCAGCCCAGTGCGGGGTACATGTGGAGCGTAAGATGAACAAGCTCCTCTCTGTGCCCTGGGGAGGCTCACAGGGACCATGCATGCTCTTCTAAGGTGCACGTGATCAGAGCAGATCACTGAGGGAGCGTTTCCGCTCCCCTAACCCCAGGTGCAGGGACTTCAGAGTAATTCCTACTAAATGACCCCTACCACTGTTGCTTGACAAAGGGAGGTGCGAGGGGGAAAAAAGACTATGAGAATGGGAGAGGGCGGGTAATACAGGAAGTGTCACGTCACTCTGGTTGCAGAGGACAGAGAAAACAACCCTGTCTCCAGCAGGTGGAAATGGTCATAATGTTGATGGTGGCCATGATATGTATGTTTTTATCTTATTATATTTTGAGACAGGGTCTTGCTCTTACTCCCCAGAATAGAGTTCATTGGCATGATCATGACTCACTGCAGCCTCGACCTCCCAGGCCCAGCCTCGATTCTCCTGCCTCAGCCTCCTGAGTAGCTGGGACTACAGGTGTGCGCCACCAATCCTGGCTGATTTTTTTTATTTTGTATTTTTTTATTTTTGTAGAGACTCGGCTTTGCCATGTTGCCCAGGCTGGTCTGGAACTCCTGGGCTCAAGTGATCCGCCTGCTTTGGCCTCAAATGTTGGGGTTACAGGTGTGAGCCACTGTGCCTGGCCAGCCGTGATACAGATGCTCAGCTCTATGCTTCCCATCTCATGTTCATGAGCTCCAACCAAAAGATTCCCTCAGGCAGCTATTACTGCTCGCATGTTAAAGAAGAGAAAATTGACATTCGAAGAGGGAAGTGACTTGTCTGAGGTCACACAAGCAGTGACAGCCGGGATCTGAACATGACTGTTACAGGATCCAAAATACATGTGCTTTCTACACTGTGAGGTGCTGGTAGATGTTTAACAACTGGCTCTCCAAGGGGAAAAATGTATGTCTGTGTATAAACACATATGTTTATAATACATTTTGTAATTTTACTGATTATAAAGGATATGTACCACACACTTTACAAAGAATAATAATATAATCTAAAATTCTCTTTATTGTAAATGCCATACAATTATAACTTCAGGGTGACTTGCTATTTCTTGCAAAATCCAGTACTAGTTTTTATTTTATTTTTTGTTTTTATTTTTTTGAGCTGTAGTCTCGCTCTGTCACCCAGGCTGGAATGCAATGGTGCAATCTTGGCTCACTGCAACCTCTGCCTCCCAAGTTTAAGTGATTCTCCTGCCTCAGCCTCCTGAGTAGCTGGGATTACAGGCATGCGTCACCACGCCCAGCTAATTTTTGTATTTTTAGTAGAGATGGGGTTTCACCATGTTGGCCGGGCTGGTCTTAAACTCCTGACCTCAGGTAACCTACCTGCCTCAGCCTCCCAAAGTGCTGGGATTACAAGCATGAGCCACCATGCCCAGCCTGTTTGCAGATTTTTTAAATGTCTGGTTTAATAAAGGACAGATGAACTCTCTTTTCTTCTGTATCCAAACCATTGCAATAATTTTGTTTTTTGTTTTTTGTTTTTGTTTGTTTGTTTTGAGGCAGGGTCTCACTCTGTCACCCAGGCTGGGCAACATCGTGAGATCCCATCTCTGCAAATAAATAAATAAATAAATAAATAAATAAATTAGTTGGGCATGGTGGCATGCACCTGTAGTCCTAACTACCTGGGAGGCTGAGGTGGGAGTTTGAAGCTGCAGTGAGCTATGATCATACCACTGCACTCCAGCCTAGGTGACAGAGCAAGACCTTGTCTCAAAAAAAAAAAAAAAAAAGTGAGAATACAGCTTTGGGCTAAACTTAATAAGATTAACATTTATTTATTTATTTAATTTTATTATTATTATTATTTTTGAGACAAAGTCTCTGTGTCGCCCAATCTCAGCTCACTGCAACCTCCACCTCCCTGGTTCAAGTGATTCTCCTGCCTCAGCCTCCCAAGTAGCTGGGACTACAGGTGCCTACCACCACACCCGGCTACTTTTTGTATTTCCAGTAGAGACAGAGTTTTGCCATGTTCGCCAGGCTATTCTCGAACTCCTGACCTCAGGTTATCTGCTCACCTCAGCCTCCCAAAGTGCTGGGGTTACAGGTGTGAGCCACCACGCCAGACCCAAGATTAACATTTAAAAGGTAGACTTAGTAACACAGCTTACCCTCTCTATTGTGGGCGGGCCACGTCCAATCTTTTGAAGGCCTGAATAAAACAAAAAGGCTGGCCCTTCTACGAATAAAAGGAACTCCTTTCCTGTCAACCTTTAAGCTGAGACATGAGTTTTTTTCTTGCTTTTGGACATAAAATAAAAACATTAGCTCTTTCTGGGTCTCAAGCCTGCCAGCCTTTGGACTGGAACTACATCATTGTCTCTCCTTCTCAGCCCTTCAGACTAGGACTGGGACTGCACCACCAGCATTCCTGGGTCTCCAGCTCTCTTCAACGAAATCATTTTAGTGTACTGCCTTTTTCTTGAGGGGACCATTACTGATACAGAAAAAGTAATTGAGGCCAGGCACAGTGGCTCACGCCTATAATCCCAGCACTTTGGGAGGCCAAGGCAGGCAGATCACCAGAGGTCAGGAGTTCGAGACCAGCCTGATCAACATGGAGAAACCCTGTCTCTATTAAAAATACAAAAATTAGCCGGGCGTGTTGATGCGCACCTGTAATCCCAGCTACTCGGGAGGCTGAGGCAGGAGAATCATTTGAACCTGGGAGGTGGAGGTTACAGTGAGCCAAGATTATGCCATTGCACTCCAGCCTGGGCAACAAGAGTGAAACTCTATCTCAAAAAAAAAAAAAAAAAAAAAAAAAGAGAGAGAAAAAGTAATTGATTTTCCCCAGATCACAGAGCTTATAAGAGATGAGGTCCAGATTCCAATCCAGTCAACTTGTTAGGAGGGTCTGTATTCTTAACGTCTAAATTCTACAAGAGGGATTTTTTCCCCATAGAGGCACCATTCAGGGTGAGCTGGATATTGTTAGGATTTGGGAGCCGACAGGGGCTATCATTTATTCTCGTTCTTTGACCACATCATAGGCCATTGCCTCTTCTCTGTTTGCTGGTTCATGCAAGACCAGGAGCTCCCCCAGTAAGTGGCCGGAAGGGTAATACCCACCCCCCGCAAGCCAAGTCTCTCCCCATTCTCTTGCTCAGCCTCAGTCACGGGAACCACCCTGTGGTTGATTCATTCTGACAATTATTATAGGTAGCTTAGGAACGGATGGTTGAGTTGTGAGTTGCAGAAACTCGGTCAAGCTGGCTTAAGTTAAACCTGCTGGAAGAACACAAGGGAATTTAAAGGAAGCCAACTGCAGACAGTGCGTCTAGACCTTAGAGGAACTGGAACATTATCTGGTAGCTTCTCCCTACCCCTTGCAATCTGGGGCTTCATCATCTCTCACTTCTTCTCTGTTCAAATCCTCTGCTCAGTTCTCTCTCTGTGACTCTTTCTAGCAAATGATCCAGCCGGAGGGTGTTCTGGAGATTCTGCAAATTGGCAGAAGCGAGGGTGGTCTTGTATGAAGGGTCTGCCCTCTAACTTTGTAGCAGGGTCCTATTTTACTACACTCTCCTTCTGGGCCTCAATTTCTCCATGTGTCAGCATAGGAAGAACTCTCTGACTTAATGGAGTTGGTGACCAAAGGGGTTCCAGGATTTACAAGTATCCTGCGTAATTATAAAAGAGGTACAGAAGCAAAAGGTTTAGTTAAACCATCATTCATTGAAGCCTTTTGTATGCAGGGAAAAGGCAAGGATGACACGATGCCCTCCAGAAGCTCTGGGGTCAGTGGCATAGGTTAAATAAATGCATTGGATGCTGATGAGTAAGGCTTGCAGAGCTTCGTGGGGGGTGTACAGAAAAAATCATCATGGGAGTCTAGAGAAGAGCTAGATTCCCAAGGACCACATCATGTCATCAAAACTCAGGAATCTCCCCTTGCACTGAGATGAAATTAGCCCTCATCACCCAGCCCCTCACCCAAAGACAGGTTCTGCTGTAAGTTAATTCTGGATGCTCCAAGCTTCTCCTTCATCTCTCTTCTTTCTATTCATTCTCTCTCCATTTCTCTTCTGTTTCTTGTTTATAATAAAATGATGGCCAGGCGCAGTGGCTCACTCCTGTAATCCCAGCACTCTGGGAGGCTGAGGCGGGCAGATCTCCTGAGGTAAGGAGTTCGAGACCAGCCTGACCAACATGGAGAAACTCCATCTCTACTAAAAAATACAAAGTGAGCCAGGTGTGATGCATGCCTGTAATCCCAGCTACTCTGGAGGCTGAGGCAGGAGAATCGCTTGAACCCAGTAAGTGGAGGTTGCAGTGAGCCGAGATTGTGCCATTGCACTCTAGCCTGGGCAACAAGAGTGAAACTCTGTCTCAAAAATAAATAAATAAATAAAATAAAATACAATAAAATGATGATGTCTGTAATGGTAATTAAATGATTATTCAAGAGCCGACAACAGAAATCTTCTTGATGGGGTGTGGTGGCTCACACCTGTAATCCCAGCACTTTGGAAGGCTGAGGCGGGTGGATCACAAGATCAGGAGTTCAAAACCAGCCTGGCCAATATGGCAAAACCCCACCTCTACTAAAAATACAAAAAAATTTAGCCGGGCGCAGTGGCGGGCGCCTGTAGTCCCAGCTAACCTGGAGGCTGAGGCAGGAGAATCGCTTGAACCCGGGAGGCAGAGGTTGCAGTGAGCTGAGATCGCACCACTGCACTCCAGACTGGGCGACAGAGTAAGACTCTGTCTCAAAAAAAAAAAAAAAAAAAAGAGCTGGCACCAGAAATCTTCTTAAGGAGGATACTGTTATTGATAAATGACTTGAGTTAGGAAAGGAGACCTGAGGGATAAAGAGTCAGAGTCAAGGGTAGGATGGCTAAATTTCTCTGCGTTGTAAAAAAAAAAAAAAAAAAAAAAAAAAAAGCAGGAATCTGGAGGTGAGGAGATAAGAGGGAGGGTGGACTTTTAAAAGGATGTCTTAAGTTCAACTGGAAGCTTTCATGTTTGTCCGTTGCTGGCCAGTTGCATACTCTAACATTTCCAAGCTTCTTTCTGTAAAGTGTGTTTCATATTTAAATACCTTGTGCAGGTAGCTTTTCAGTAAATTGAAGGAAATGTCTGAGTTCCTCTCTGGGTTAATTTCATCAGGGCAGCAACCACCAGACATTGTGTGAACTGGACTAACTCAGTTGAAGCAAGACTTAGAGCCACAGGTAAAAACACGGGCCCTGGGGGCCCTCCCTTGTGGAGAGGATAATCTGTTTCCCAAAATTTATTATATAAAAGATTAGGCATCAGGTAGATCTCAAGGAAATGAGGGGTCTTCAGCTGACATCTCGATAACTTTATATTTTTACTGAGTTGTTGACCGATAAAGGCTGAGGACTTTATATAAAGTATCTTCTTTTTTTTTTTTTCTGAGCCGGAGTCTCTCTCTGTCACCCAGGCTGGAGTGTAGTGGCGTTTTCTTGGCTCACTACAACCTCCGCCTTCCAGGTTCAAGCGATTCTCCTGCCTCGGTCTCCTGAGTAGCTGGGATTACGGGAGCCTGCCACTACGCCCAGCTAATTTTTGTATTTTTAGTAGAGACAGGGTTTCACCATGTTGGCCAGGCTGTTCTCGAATTCCTGACCCCTGGTGATCCGCCTGCCTCGGCCTCCCAAAGTGCTGGGATTACAGGCATGAGCCACCGCTCCTGCCCTATATAAAGTATCTTCTTGTATATCTTGTCTGATTTAAGCCATACTCTTTCACACTTCTCCCTCCTCCTTCATTTACCTAGGATGACTATATAATTTATTTTTCACAGCAGGGCACTTTTCAGAATGGAAGTGGACACTACTCATCATGATGCCAGAATGATGGGTATCATTCACTACTCATAATTCAGGACTAATAATAATGGGTATTATTTGGGTTCATTTCAGGCAAACTAGGATGCAGATGACAGCTTCTTCCTATCATTTCCCACCCTGACCACCCAAGGCTGAGGTCCAAAATCAAAAAAGAAGTCAATAATAAACTCATATCTGTTTATTCTCCCCAAATCAGGGGACACAAAGGCTTTTTTTTTTTTTTCTGATGAGTGGGTAATCCTAAAATAAGCAGGAAATGCCTGTGGCTCAGCCTAACTCAAGGTGAGACGAAGCTGGAGCTGGGAGCTCGAAAGTGTCCCCCAGCTCCCTCCTCACTTTGCCTGTAACTCCACCTCTGCAGAAGGTAAAGTAGAATTGGTAGCTGTGTCACTGGTTTGGGTTGAGTCCTCGGTCAGGGCCCTCTCCAGACTGGCGGGAAGGGCGTGGATCAGCCTCTCCCGGAAGTCCTGGCCCATGAAGACATAGAGCATGGGGTTGAGGCAGCTGTTGAAGAAGGCCAGGGCACTTGTCACATCCACTGCAATACCAATTTCTTTGTACATGCCTTGCAATAACTCACGGATTCTGACTGTGGCTATAAGGGCCACCACCTGATATGGGGACCAGCAGAGAAAAAAGGCTGCTGCGACAAAGGAGAGGACCCGTAAGGGACGACTGGACTTAATCAAGCCTTGCTTGTGGATCTTGGTGGCAATAAGCCCATAACTGACAGCAACGATGGACATGGGTGCGCTGAAGCCAATGATGAACCGGATGATGCCTCTCACCGTCAACATGGCAACGGCCACATTTATCCTCTCTTTAGGGTCGTTGGTCCAGGGCGAAAAGTTAAAAGTGCAGGCTACTGTCCCCGTTTTACCAGGTACTGTAGTCACACGAATGATAACTGGCAATGTGAGGAGCAGAGCCATCACCCAGGGCCCAATGATCACCTTCTTGGCCAGGCTCACGGTGCGGTGGTTCTGGGTCCAGACTGGATGCAGGACGCAAACACAGCGGTCCAGAGCAATGAGGGCGATCAGGAAGACACTTCCGAACAAGTTGATGTCCACTATGGTAAAGACGAATTTGCACAGGAACCAGCCGAAAGGCCAATGTCCTCCCATGGCCTTCCTGACCATGAAGAATGGCAAAGTGGAGGTGAAACAGAAGTCAGCCACGGCCAGGTTCAGGTAACTGATGGTGGTGACTGTGTGTGTCATCCGGAATCCAGCCACCCAGATCACAAGCCCGTTGCCCAGGACCCCGAGGACAAAGGTGACTGCAAATACCAGATAAGTGATGATATCCAGGAAGAGATAGCCAGCAGATACAGCAGGTGTCCCTCCAGAGATGTTCGTGGGGAGAGAGGAATTTGTCTCCATCTTGTCTGCTCCTGAAATAGTGCAGTCGTGGTCATTCCTCAGTTATGAACCTCCGTACCATTTCCCCACCCCCTCATTTCTGCCCCTGCCAGTTTTCCCACTCCTAGCTTTCTCACCTTCCCCTAGAGCTCCCACAACAGCCGGAACATCCTCACCACTGTCCCTTACACATGCCCACATCTATACATTGGCAATCTTTTATTGTACCTGTTGGGCAAGATTACATCTTTTTTTTTTTTTTTGAGATGGAATATTGCTCTGTCACCCAGGCTGGAGTGCAGTGGCGTGATCTCTCACTGCAACCTCCACCTCCCGGGTTCAAGCAATTCCCCTGCCTCAGCGTCCTGAGTAGCTGAGACTACAGGTATGCACCACCCCACTCCTGGCTAATTTTCGTATATTTAGTAGAGGTGGGGTTTTGCCATGTTGGCCAGGCTGGTCTTGAACTGCTGACCCCAGGTGATCCACCCACCTCAGCCTCCCAAAGTGCTGGGATTACAGACGTGAGCTACCACGTGTGGCCAAGATTGCATCTTATGACACATCCTCATAATTGCTAACATGCAAGCCCCTACCAGGGAGATTAAATGGCTAAGGAAGATAGGGTCCTTGACCTCCAAGAGGAGAATATGGGGCCAAAGATGTATAGAGAAAACATGTATTCAAACAAAAATGTTCATAGAGACACTCCTCCCTATAGCCAAAAGGTAGAAACAACCCAGATGTCCATCAACAGATGAATGGATAAACAAAATGTGGTTTATCCACCCAATGGAATATTATTCTGCCATAAAAAACAATGAAGCACTGATATATGCTACAACGTGGCTGAACCTTGAAAACATTACTCTAAACAAAAGAGGGCTGGATGTGGTGGTTCACGCCTGTCATCTCAGAGCTTTGGGAAGCCGAGGTAGGAGGGTTGCTTGAGCTCAGGAGTTCATGATCAGCCTGAGCCACATAGCAAGATCCTCATCTCTAACAACAACAACAACAAAATTAAATTAAATTAGCTGGATGTGGTGGCACACACCTGTAGTCCTAGCTACTCAGAAGGGTGAGATGGGAGGCTCACTTGAGCCCAGGAATTCAAGGTTAATAGTGTACTATGATTGAGCCACTGCACTCCAGCCTGGGCAACAAAGCAAGACCCTGTCTCTAAAATGAAAGAAAAAAGAAAGGAAGGAAAGAAGGAGGAAGGAAGGAGAGAAGGAAGGAAGACACCACAAGTCACATTTTGTATGATTCCACTTGTATGAAATATCCAGAGTAGCCAAACTCACAGAGACCGAATGCAGATTAGTGATTGCCAGGGACTGGGGAAACTAGGAAGTGGGGAATTGTTGCTTAATGAATATGCAGTTTTTGCTTGGTGTGATTAAAAAGTTCTGGAACTAGATAATGGTTATGGTTGCAACACACTGTAGATGTACTTAATGCCATTGAATTGTACATTTAAATGGGTAACTTTTTTATTGTTGTTTGAGACGCAGTCTCGTTCTGTCACCCAGGCTGGAGTGCAGTGGTGCGATCTTGGCTCACTGCAACCTCCGCCTCCCGCGTTTAAGTGATTCTCCTGCCTCAGCCTCCTGAGTAGCTGGAATTACAGGCACTTGCCACCATGCCCAGCTAATTTTTATATTTTTGTAGAGATGGGGTTTCACCATGTTGGCCAGCCTGGTCTCAAACTCCTTGACCTCAGGTGATCTGCCCGCCTCGGCGTCCCAAAGTGCTGAGATTATAGGCGTGAGCCACTGTGCCCAGCCTAAAATGGTTAACTTTTTGTATTTTACCATCAATTTAATAAAGGAAAAATAAGAGCATAAGATATCAGAAAATCAGTGGGCGACAGCTTCAGTGACCTAGTGTCACACAAACGTGGACTAAGACTTTCTCTCACCCATAACACTGCATAAGAACTATAAGGTATGCAACTTCTCAGCCAGGCGCAGTGGCTCACGCCTGTAATCCCAGTACCTTGGGAGGCCGAGGCGGGTGGATCATGAGGTTAGCAGTTCGAGACCAGCCTGGCCAACATGGAGAAGCCCCATCTCTACTAAAAATACAAAAATTAGCCAGGCATGGCGGTGGGTGCTTTTAGTCCCAGCTACTCCAGAGGCTGAGGCAGGAGAATCACTTGAACGTGGGAGGCGGAGGTTGCAGTGAGCAGAGACTGCGCCATTGCACTCCAGCCTGGGCGACAGAGCGAGACTCCGTTTCAAAAAAAAAAAAAAGATATGCAACTTCTCCACTCCAAATTCTGCTCGCTCTCTCTCTTTAAGGTCATGAAATCTCCCTTTCCTCTCTCATCGTGGGAAGCAAGGCATAGTACTTGGTTAGTTTTCCAACATAGGTCAAATGGATCCGTGAGTGATACTAAACGACGTATAATCAAGTATTATATCCAATGGATTCTGTGCTAGAAGAAGTCAGAACAACAGACTCTGTTTCCACTCTCGTCTCTGCGGTTACCTTGGCCAGATGGATGGGAGGTGCTTCTCCATCCATTGGATGGGCTCAGCACTCTTGGGGATGTAGAAGACCGTGATAGAAATAATAGTCCAAATATGTATTGGATATGACATTTCATTAGATCAGGTATGCAAAGTGCATGTCAGGTTCTTGCTGAGAGCTGGCCTTCTCTCTTTTTTTTAATTTATTTTATTTTATTTATTTATTTATTTTGAGATGGAGTCTCTCTCTATCACCCAGGCTGGAGTGCAGTGGCGTGATCTGAGCTCACTGCAACCTCCGCCTCCCAGGTTCAAGCAATTCTCCTGTCTCAGCCTCCTGAGTAGCTGGGATTTCAGGTGCACGCCGCCGTGCCTGGCTAATTTTTCTTTTTAATTGTATTTTAGTAGACATGGGGTTTCACCATGTTGCCCAGGCTGGTCTCAAACTCTTGAGCTCAGGCAGTCCACCTGCCTCAGCCTCCCAAAGTGCTAGGATTACAGGTGTGAGCCACTGCGCCCGGCCTGGTCTTCTCTTCTAATGCTTGCAGCAGCCTTCCTCAAAATTGTTACTATGAGGGTCACTGTCTTTATGGTACCCATTTTGCAGACGAGGAAAGTGCGACTTAGAGCATTTCAGTTAATTCCTTAAAGTCACCCAACAGCCCAGGCTGTCGAATTCCAGCAAAAGTCTCTTTCTGCCTCTGCCCTGCCACGCTACTGGCACAGAAGAGCTGTCTAATGCACTAGTCACTCACCACATGTGGTTTTCAAGCACTTGAATTGTGGCTAGTCCAACTGGAGACAGGCTGTAGGAGTAAAATACCCATCAGATTTCAAAGACTTAGTATGAAAAAAATATTGTGACCATCTCATTAATAGTTTTTATATTGACTACATGTTAAAATGATAATAATTTGGCTATTTAAGTTTAGGTTAGATATTTTATTAAAATTAAGTTCGCATGTTTCTCTTCACCTTTTTAAAGTGCCTACTTGACACTTTGAAATTACATATGTGTCTCACATTTCTAATGAACTTTGATACTCTACAATCTCAGAAACAACTCAGAGATGTCTCCCTCCCCTACCACCCATCCAACCACCAAAATACCCTGAGGACTCTTTGTCCTCAAGAATCTCTAAGGCAACCAGTTCAGAAGATTGTTGCAATGAATGATGAGGATTCTGCAATAATGAGCTGGAACATACCAGAGAGGAAAACCTGTGCAATTTTGTCCAATTATGGTTCAAGGGAAAAATCCTGTGATTTGCAATGAACACAGGCCTTGGTGGCTGCCATCGATGAAGGACTTTATGCTTGATAATCATTGTACCACATCCTCAACTTTCTTGCCTCTGATCTCAACAAACTCAGCATTGATTATACATCATCATCCCTGTGTGACGGAAGAGGAAACTAGGAGCTTGATGAGAAATGACAGCCAATGTCTGCAGATTCATGAGAGGGCAGGGCTGTATTCCGCTACTGGGTCCTATGCACCATGCAGAACCAGTGTCTTCACGTGGAGACTCATCACTGATCCGAAAGGTGACTGCTTCTGTATTACACTCATTTCCCCATGACCCATCATAAAGTCGTTAGGGCTCTTTTGCTTTCTCCTGAAAGCTTCAAACCAAACATCCTTTCCCATCCCGACTCAAGCCCTCAAGCTGATGCCCTTGCCTCTTGCTCCACCAGATTCTCCTCCTGCTGGCTCCTGCATCACTGTTCTCTGCCCTCATCTCTGTAACCAGAAAACAAGTGTTTCCATCCAAGAATTACCCTCTACTGGTCCCATAAAACTCATTCCCCCATTTACTCAAGAACTTCCCTCCTTCACTTATCCCTTCTCTCTCCTGCAGCCTCATAGTGTCTCTATATTCCATCATTCCCATCAGGACCCCAATAAAGTCTAGAGCCTATTTGTTTATTTATTTATTTACTTATTTATTTGAGATGGAGTCTCACTCTGTCACCTAGGCTGGAGTACAGTGGTGCAATCTGAGCTCACTGCAACCTCCACCTCCCAGATTCAAGCAATTCTCCTGCCTCAGCCTCCCAAGTAGCTTGAATTACAGACGCCCACCACCACGCCTGGCTAATTTTTGTATTTTTAATAGAAGTGAGGTTTCAACATGTTGGCCAGGCTGGTCTCGAACTCCTGACCTCAAGTTATCCACCTGCCTTGGCCTCCCAAAGTGCTGGGATTACAAGCATGAGTCACCGTGCCCGGCCTGTTTAGAACCTCTTTAAAAAAATTATTCTTCAACTCCACATCCTTCTTCAAACAAAGAGTCTATTGTGTTCACCAGTGTATTAAGTGTGTCTATGTCAAGCTACCCAGTCCCCCAGAATATGTTTCTTACCTGGACTGTTCACCAGCTGTGGTCTTGCTCTGGGTAGTTCTAGGTCTGGGTCTCCTGGGGAGAGTGACTCAGGCTCTAATGATTGCAGCAAAACATACACCAAGGAACAGGAGGAGGGGTAAAGGAACTAAAACCAGCTGGGTAGCAGGAAATAGGAAGTCTGAGCTTCTTCTGATTTTTGATGGCCCCAAGAATACACCAATATACTGTCTGCTTTAATGGCATTAGGACAGTGGGCTGGGCCTGTTTAGAAACTCATGTACCTGACTGTATTTCTCAGCCTCAGTCTCTGTGGGATGCAGAGGTTCAGTGCTCTCAACAACAAGGGCCAAGAAATCCAAGTGTCCGGGCCCCTGCTCCCTCCAAGGGTCAAGGTAAAGAAAGCAGCAAGCACTGTGGTGAGAAGAATCAGAGGGAGGCAATGAAAGGAAGAGAAGAAGTCATGAGGGATGGAGACCAGAAACACAGAGAGAGGTAAGGGAGTGGGGGAAGTTGAGACAGTTGGCAGGACAGCGCGTCCACACCCATGCACACCACCAAGATTAACCCCATAATCCTCTGATCTTGTGGAAGCTCATTTGTAGTCTTCTAGCCCAAAGAAATAACCGTTTTTCTGAAATGTTAAGCATCCTTCCAAGGGTATCAGAGTGATATGGAGAAATATGGTAAGACAGTTACAGAATCAGAGATAACGACACTGATTCTAAAAGCATTATTACCAAGGCATTGTTGCATTAAGACTGTTTTTTCTTTTCTTTTAGAGACAGTATCCTGCTACGTTGCCCAGGCATGTCTCAGACCCCTGGGTTTAGTGATCCTCCTGCCTCAGCCTCCCCAAATGCTGGGATTACAGGCATGAGCCGGGCTGTTTTTAATTCTAAGTAATTTATAATTTACAATTACACCTAACAATGGCTTCAACAAGGGGTGTCCAATCTTTTGCCTTCCCTGGGCCACACTGGAAGAAGAAGAATTGTCTTGGGCCACACATAAAATACACTAACACTAACGATACCTGATGAGCTAAAAAAAAAAAAAAAAAAAAAAATCCCCCAAAAATCTGATAATGTTTTAAGAAAGTTTATGAATTTGTGTTGGGCTGCATTCAAAGCCATCTTAGGCCATGGGCTGGACAAGCTTAGCTTAGAACCAAGACGAAATTTATGGTTTACTTTACAAGAATTTTGCAAGAGGGTAATACTAGGTTAGGTTATATCTGGAAAATATCATCAAGAACTACATTCATTTTAATCTTTTCTCTTTTTTATCCCTAATATGGTGACTTTTTTTCCTGGGGATTGCCACTTCATGGCTCCAAGAAAGCTACCACAGCTCCTGACTTCACATTACAGCAGGGGTCCCCAACCTCCAGGCCATAGACCAATACACAGACCGATACCGGTCTGTGGCCTGTTAGGAAGTGGGCTGCACAGCAGGTGACTGGCAGGTGAGCAAGAGAAGCTTCATCTGTATTTATAGCCACTCCCCATTGCTGGCATTACTGCCTGAGCTCTGCCTCCTGTCAGATTAGTGGCGGCATTAGATTCTCATAACAGTGTGAACCCTACTGTGAACTGTGCATGCCAGGGATCTGGGTTGTGTGCTCCTTATGAGAATCTAATGCCTGATGATCTGTCACTGTCTCCCATCACTCCCAGATGGGACTGTCTAGTTGCGGGAAAGCAAGCTCAGGGCTCCCACGGATTCTACATCATTGTGAGTTGTATAATTATTTCATTGTGTATTACAATGTAATAATAATAATAGAAATAAAGTCTACAATAAATGCAATGTGCTTAAATCATCCTGAAACCATCTACCCCGCCACCCCATGGAGAAATTGTTTTTTATGAAACTGGTCCCTGGTGCCAAAAATGTTGGGGACTGCTACACTCCAGCATCCCACACCAGGAGGATGGGGATGAGATGGAGAATCACTGAAGATCTTTAATCAGAAGGGTGATATGTTCATTTGTACTTTATAAACATTTGTGTTTGTATTTTATAAACATTTTCTTGGGATCATAACAACAGATGCATTTTAGAAGATTCCCAAGGTATGAAGGGTAACAAATGAAGACGTGCCTAGGAGTCACATGGAAGCCAACACTTTGTAAGGGGATTAAAATAAAGGGAATGGCAGAGGACATCATTATGCACAGAGGAGAAGGGCCCAAATGTCAAGAGAAAACAAGAGACAAGGGACTCCACAGAGAGTAATTGCCAGAAAAATTTGTAGGTCTTTTGAAGTCTGACTGTTCTTCCTAAAACGGGGGTCCTGGGACACCCCTACCTGTTTCCCATGAGCCCTCTTTTCTAAAACATAAGTAGGTTTTCTTCCTGGCTACCAAATGGCCTGTGATTAGCACACTAGGTTGGGCAAAAATAGAGCCAAGTGTGTGTTCCAAAGTGACTATGGTGAAGAAAAAAGCGAAAGTCTTAAAATGGACTTCCACTTCTGTGTTTGCGTAAGGCTAAAAGGGAAGATGTCTTAGGGTTGACCGGAATGGGAGTATTCCTGCCTATGCTGCAAAAGTCCCTGACTCTTCTGGTAACTGAAACATGAGAAATGGCCTCGGCGAGCAGCACAGCCTCCCAGTAAAGCACTGGACTGAGGTGGTAAAGCCAGATTGCCTGGACTAGAATCCCAGGACTACTGTTCACTAGCTCCGGACAAGCCAGCTAATCCAGGGGTCTCAAACATTTCCCCCAACTTTTTTTTTTTGAGACAGAGTCTCACTGTGTCACCCAGGCTGGAGTACGGTGGTGTGATCTTGGCTCACTGCAGTTTTGCCTCCTAGGTTCAAGTGATTCCCCTGCCTCAGCCTCTCCAGTAGCTGGGATTACAGGTGCCCGCCACCACGCCTGGCTAATTTTTGTATTTTTTAAGTAGAGATATGGTTTTGCCACGTTGACCAGGCTGGTCTTGAACTCCTGACCTCAAACAATCACTTGCCTTGGCCTCCCAAAGTGCTGGGATTACAGGACGGAACCACTGCACTGGGCCACAAACATTTCCTATGAAGAGCCAGATGGTCAATATATTTCATTTGGCAGGCCATAGGGTCTCCATCACAACTCCTTGGCTCTGCTGTTGTAGCCTGAAAACAGCCACAAGCAAAGTTGTAAATGAGGAGCATGACTGTATGTCAATAAAACTTTATTTAAAACACGACAATTGGACTTCATATAAGTTTTGCATGGCACAAAATACCCTTCATTTGATTTTCTTTAGCCGGTAAGAAATATTAAAGCCATTCTTGGCTCTCAGGCCATACAAAAACAAGCGGTGGCTAGATTTGACCCCTGATTTAACTGCACTGGGTCCCAGACACTTCACCTGTGAATTGAGAGCAATGATACTTACAGAGGTGTTTTCTGGAGCAGAACAAATAAGATCAGTGATACAAAGCACTTGGCATGAATTCCAGTGCAATAAGTATTATCAATATCTTAGTAATTACATAAACCTCTCTATCTGCTGTTTCACGTTCTCTGCGGTGAACCCATCCATGCTTAAAACTTGAACCACACCTCAGCTAACATTCACCAGACCCCTGTCTCTAGCTCAGACCTGCCCTTGATGTTCAGACACATCATTTTGGGTTCCTGTTTCCTTTCAAACTCATCTGCAGCCTTTGCTCTCCTCACCTTCTCCCACAACTCTGTTAAGGACTAAATTGTGTCACATTCCCCTTCAAATTCTTAGGTTGAAGCCCTCACCCCATGATATGGTTTGGCTGTGTCCCAACCCTGATCTCATCTTGAATTGTAGCTCCCATAATTCCCACGTGTTGTGGGAGGAACCAGGTGGGAGATAGTTGTTTCATGGGGACGATTTCCCCCATAATGTTCTCATGGTAGTGAATATGTCTCACGAGATCTGACGATTTTATGAGGGGTTTCCCCTTTCACTTGGTTCTCATTCTCTTTTGCCTGCTGCCATGTAAGATGTCCCTTTGTTCTTCCTTCGCCTTCCGCAATGATTGCGAGGCCTCCCCAGCCACATGGAACTGTGAGTCCATTAAACCTCTTCCCTTTATAAATTACCCAGTCTTGGGTATGTCATTATTAGCAGCATGAGAATTGACCAATACACCCCAGCATGTCAGAATGTGACTGTATTTGGGGATACAACCTTTAAAGAGGTAATTAGCTGAAACTGAGGTCATTAGGGTGGGCCCCAACTCAATATGACTGATATCCTTATGAAAAGAGGAGATCCAGACACAGACAGGCATAGAGGGAAAACTGTGTGAAAACATGAGGAGGAGGCGGTATCTGCAAGCCAAGGAGAGAGGACTCAGGAGGAATCAACCCTGCTGACACCTTGATCTTAAACTTCCAGCTGATAAAACTGTGAGAAAATATATTTCTATTGTTGTAGCCACCCAGCCAATGGTATTTTGTTATGGCAGCTCTAACAAACTAAACACTCTGCTTCTTTTCATTGACTCTCGTCTCAATGACAGCCCCCAAATCCACGCAGTTACCTTGGTGCAACAGTTCTGAAGAAAATGGCCACAATATTCTTGGACACTCCTTCCACTGACAGGAAGGCAGGCATATTGTATCGCCTCTCCCCTGGAACCTGGGTAGGGTTGGGACTACTTTGACCAAAGAACGTGGTAGAAATGACTTCCACGTAGCTTTCAAGGCTAGGTCAAAAAAGGCTAGGAAGCATCTTCTGGTTCTCCTGGGACACGTGTTCTGGAGGAAGGCAGCCATTGTCCTGGGACTTTGATTCCTCTGAGACCACCATGCTGGAAAGGCTGCCTGTAGGCACTTGGTGCAATACCAGCCTAGTTCAGCATTTGAGTCATTCCAACCCAGGCATCTGACATGTGAATGAAGGAGCTCTAGATGACTCCAATTCACAGTCTTCTAGTCACCCCCCAGACCTTTGAGTTTTGGGTGGCAGAGACAAGCATCTCTGTGCCTTATCCTAATTCCCAACCCACATAATCCATGAACGTAATGAAATGGTTGTTTTACATGCTATGATTTGGGTGGTTATACAGCAATTATGAATTATGAATGTGGGCTTCATAAAGACCCTTCATGCTTCCTCATTCTCCAGAGCCATTTGGTCTCCAAGCTCAGTCTACCAAGCCTGGAAATCTCTCCCTAAACTACACCTCCTCTCTAGCACACTACTCCAGCACAGGCAATTATTCGACAAGTTCACCTTGATCTCTGGCAACTTCTTACCCTTTAAGATCTCTGCCTCCAACTGGGAGCATTCTCAGAGCCATCCCTTTGCAGGGGGACTCTAGAGCAATGTTTTCTGGAAGCACACACCTGACAAGTCACTCTCCTGCTTAAATAGCTTTTAAGCAGAAGAAATTGTAAGAAAGAAATTTTTTTTTAGACCAATATCCTTGATGAACATTGCTGCAAAAATCCTCAATAAAATACTGACAAACCAAATCCAGCAGCACATCAAAAAGCTTATCCACCACGACCAAGTGGGCTTCATCCCTGGGATGCAAGGCTGGTTCAATATACGCAAATCAATAAATGTAATCCAGCATATAAACAGAACCAAAGACAAAAACCACATGATTATCTCAATAGATGCAGAAAAGGCCTTTGACAAAATTCAACAACCCTTCATGCTAAAAACTCTCAATAAATTGGGTATTGATGGGACGTATCTCAAAATAATAAGAGCTATCTATGACAAACCCACAGCCAATATCATACTGAATGGGCAAAAACTAGAAGCATTCCCTTTGAAAACTGGCACAAGACAGGGATGTCCTCTCTCACCACTCCTATTCAACATAGTGTTAGAAGTTCTGGCCAGGGCAATTAGGCAGGAGAAGGAAATAAAGGGTATTCAATTAGGAAAAGAGGAAGTCAAATTGTCCCTGTCTGCAGATGACATGATGGTATATCTAGAAAACCCCATTGTCTCAGCCCAAAATCTCCTTAAGCTGATAAGCAACTTCAGCAAAGTCTCAGGATACAAAATCAATGTACAAAAATCACAAGCATTCTTATACACCAATAACAGACAAACAGAGAGCCAAATCATGAGTGAACTCTCATTCACAATTGCTTCAAAGAGAATAAAATACTTAGGAATCCAACTTACAAGGGACGTGAAGGACCTCTTCAAGGAGAACTACAAACCACTGCTCAATGAAATAAAAGAGGACACAAACAAATGGAAGAACATTCCATGCTCATGGGTAGGAAGAATCAATATCGTGAAAATGGCCATACTGCCCAAGGTAATTTACAGATTCACTGCCATCCCCATCAAGCTACCAATGACTTTCTTCACAGAATTGGAAAAAACTACTTTAAAGTTCATATGGAACCAAAAAAGAGCCCGCATTGCCAAGTCAATCCTAAGCCAAAAGAACAAAGCTGGAGGCATCACGCTACCTGACTTCAAACTATACTACAAGGCTACAGTAACCAAAACAGCATGGTACTGGTACCAAAACAGAGATATAGATCAATGGAACAGAACAGAGCCCTCAGAAATAACGCCGCATATCTACAACTATCTGATCTTTGACAAACCTGAGAAAAACAAGCAATGGGGAAAGGATTCCCTATTTAATAAATGGTGCTGGGAAAACTGGCTAGCCATATGTAGAAAGCTGAAACTGGATCCCTTCCTTACACCTTATACAAAAATTAATTCAAGATGGATTAAAGACTTAAATGTTAGACCTAAAACCATAAAAACCCTAGAAGAAAACCTAGGCATTACCATTCAGGACATAGGCATGGGCAAGGACTTCATGTCTAAAACACCAAAAGCAATGGCAACAAAAGCCAAAATTGACAAATGGGATCTAATTAAACTAAAGAGCTTCTGCACAGCAAAAGAAACTACCATCAGAGTGAACAGGCAACCTACAAAATGGGAAAAAGTTTTCACAACCTACTCATCTGACAAACGGCTAATATCCAGAATCTACAATGAACTCAAACAAATTTACAAGAAAAAAACAAAAAACTCTATCAAAAAGTGGGCAAAGGATATGAACAGACACTTCTCAAAAGAAGACATTTATGCAGCCAAAAGACACATGAAAAAATGCTCATCATCACTGGCCATCAGAGAAATGCAAATCAAAACCACAATGAGATACCATCTCACACCAGTTAGAATGGCAATCATTAAAAAGTCAGGAAAAAACAGGTGCTGGAAAGGGGAGAAATAGGAACACTTTTACACTGTTGGTGGGACTGTAAACTAGTTCAACCATTGTGGAAGTCAGTGTGGTGATTCCTCAGGGATCTAGAACTAGAAATACCATTTGACCCAGCCATCCCATTACTGGGTATATACCCAAAGGACTATAAATCATGCTGCTGTAAAGACACATGCACACGTATGTTTATTGCAGCACTATTCACAATAGCAAAGACTTGGAACCAACCCAAATGTCCAACAATGATAGACTGGATTAAGAAAATGTGGCACATATACACCATGGAATACTATGCAGCCATAAAAAATGATGAGTTCATGTCCTTTGTAGGGACATGGATGAAATTGGAAATCATCATTCTCAGTAAACTATCACAAGGACAAAAAACCAAACACCGCATGTTCTCACTCATAGATGGGAATTGAACAATGAGGAAACATGGACACAGGAAGGGGAACATCACACTCTGGGGACTGTTGTGGGGTGGGGGGAGGGGGGAGGGATAGCATTGGGAGATATACCTAATGCTAAATGACGAGTTAATGGGTGCAGCACACCAGCATGGCACATGTATACATATGTAACTAACCTGCACATTGTGCACATGTACCCTAAAACTTAAAGTATAATAATAAAAATATATATATATATAAGAAAGAAATTTTAAGAAGAAATTCTAAGTTCTTTTTACAGCATTCAAGACCAACCAAGAAATTGCCTCTGCCGCCCTCTACATACTTAATGCTTATTGCTGTCTGCCTTATCATCTATGCTCTGGTAAACAAAAGTAACCTGCTTTTTTGTGACCCCTTTCGTGGGTATTTTTACTCCCCTCTGACAAGAATGCATTATTTTTTCTCCTTTATCTGAGTCTTTAAGACTCAGCCTACATGTTCCCTCCTCCGGATATTGACTCTAGATCCGTGAATCTGAGTTAGTGGTTCCTTTTAGAGGACCTCACAAGGAGCCAGGCATCTGTCTATCACTACGTGCCCCCACCCTATTGTAACTAAGCACTGCATTCTCACCTCTCTATTCAGGTGGTCCGCAGAGCCCATGTCTGATTGATCTCTATGTCTCCAGCAGCCAGCAAGGAAGCACCTCTTTAGAGACCTGCACCTATACAATACCTACCACCTTTTATTTCTCGATATGTGAACTCCATTGAGAACAAACGAGTAAATGTAGGTAATGTGCCTTCTTCTTTTCTTTTCTTTTCTTTTTTTTTTTAGATGGAGTCTCGCTCTGTTGCCCAGGCTGGAGTTTAGTGGCACAATCTCGGCTCACTGTAACCTCCGCCTCCCAGGTTCAAGCGATTCTGCCGCCTCAGCCTACCAAGTAGTTGGGATTACAGGTGCCCACCACCACGCCCAGCTAATTTTTTTTGTATTTTTAGTAGAGGTGGGGTTTCATGATGTTGGCTAGGATGGTTTTCAACTCCTGACCTCAAGTGATCCACCCACCTCGGCCTCCCAAAGTGCTAGGATTACAGGTGTGAGCCACAGCGCCCAGCCAGTAATGTGCCTTCTTAAGTTCTGTGAGCCATTCTAACAAATTATCAGAACAGAGGAAGGGGTTATAAACATCCCCCCACCCCCGATTTATAGCCAGTCAGTCAGAAGTACAGGTGGCCACCTGGGACTTGGATTGGTGTCTGAAGTGAGGACAGTTTTGGGAGAGTGAGCCCTTTAACTTGTGGGATCTGACACTAACTCCAGGTAGACAGCGTCGGAGCTGAATTGAATTGTGAGATACCCAGTGGTGTCCCCAGAGAACTGGAGAATTGCTTGATATGGAAAAGACCCACACATTTGATGCCAGAAGTACTGCATAAGTCGAGAATTGAGTTTGACTTAATCATCATATTTGGGCTTGATTGCGTGGCTGAAACTCTTCCCACTTCAGTAATTGTTTCTTTCATTTTCATGAAACTCTGAAGAAGGAAGGGCTGGACATTCAGATTCCTTGACCCTTGACATTTGGAAGCATGAACTCCAGTCTCTCACAGAAGGCTAGAGGTGAAGGAACATTCAGACACATTGGTTTCTAAGAAGAGTCCGCTGACAACATACCCAAGGTGTCTTCTGAAAATTATAAGAAATCCTGAGTTTCTGTTAGGGGATTGGCTCCAGCTCCATTGTCCCTCCCCCATCATTCAGTAGTCTCCGCGAAAGCCCTTAGAGCCGGTGTTGCTCCACAGGAAGCCAAGAAGCACACAGGAAAAGGAGCTTAGCTGCTGGTAAGTTGGGGACTGACAATTTAAAATTTATCAATGGAACTCCTGCTCTCTGACAAACACCTCCTAAATTCTAGAGCAGTGCTGTAATGGAGCATCCACTTGCCACAGGTGGCTTTTGAGTGCCTATGTTTCTATCTTGATCTGAAATGTGCTTAAGTGTAAAATATACTTAGTGTAGTTTAATCATTAGTATGATCAAAATAATACAATTTATCTCGTTAATAACTTTCATTTTGGTAACGTGTTCCAATGATTTTTTTTATTTGCGGGGTTAAATGAAACATATTATTATAATTAATTTCTCCCAATGATTTTACTTTTTTAACATGGCTACTAGAAAGTTGTAAGTCACGTGTGTGGCTGGCATTTAGGGCTTGCATTACCCTGTCTCTACTAAAAATGCAAACAACAAACTAGCCAGGCGTAGTGGTGGGAGCCTGTAATCCCAGCTACTCAGGAGGCTGAGGCAGGAGAATCGCTTGAACCTAGGAGGCCGAGGTTGCAGTGAGCCGATATCGTGCCATTGCACTCCAGCCTGGGCAAGAAGAGTGAAACTCTAACTCAAAGATAAATAAACATGTGAAGGAGCCAAGTGTGAGGAGCTTAAGAGGAAGAGCATGGTAGGCAGAAGGAACAGAGAAGGCAGAAGCCCCGAGATGACAATGAGCTGCATGTTCAAGGAATCAGAGCCCGTTATGGGTGGAGCCCAGTGTGTCCCACGAGAGTGCAGAGATGAGGTCTGAGGAATGCACAGGGCAGGTCCAGGGGTACTTGAGGGAACTTAAGATAAGGATAAGTTAGAAGTTTGGAAGCCATTAGAAGGTGTTGAAAATAGCATCACCATTTTATTGGACCTTTTTTTTTTTTTTTTTTGAGACAGAATCTTGCTCTGTCGCCCAGGCTGAAGTGCAGTGGCGCAGTCTCGGCTCACTGCAAACTCTGCCTCTCAGGGTCAAGCGATTCTCCTGCCTCAGCCTCCCAAGTAGCTGGGATTACAGGCACCCGCCATCACGCCCAGCTAATTTTTGTGTTTTTTTAGTAGAGACGGGGTTTCATCATGTTGGGCAGGTTGGTCTTGAACTCCTGACCTCAGGTGATCCACCCACCTCAGCCTCCCAAAGTGCTGGGATTACAGGCATGAGCCACTCCCGGCCCTTATTGGACTTTTTTTTTTTTTTTGAGACAGAGTTTTGCTCTTGTTGCCCAGGCTGGAGTGCAATGGCACGATCTCAGCTCACTGCAACCTCCGCCTCCCTGGTTCAAGCGATTCTCCTGCGTCAGCCTCCCGAGCATCTGGAATTACAGGCACGTGCCACCACGCCCAGCTAATTTTGTATTTTTAGTAGAGATGGGGTTTCTTCATGTTGGCCAGGTTGGTCTCGAACTCCTGACCTCTGGTGACCCACCTGCCTCGGCCTCCCAAAGTGCTGGGATTACAGGTGTGAGCCACTGCACCTGGCCCTTATTGAACTTTTTAAAAGCTCATTTGGTTTCCTTCTGGAGATTGGATTGTAGGGCAGGGGAAAGTAGGACCAGGAACAACCTATTTGCAAAGTTGGCGCAAACATTCCTGCCTGACAGGACCATGGACACAGGTTGTAGAGATAGAGATGGCTCTGGCTGTGCATTCAGCAGATTCTGTAGATAGAATTAATAGGACTTGGATGGGATTGTGGTGAGAGAAAGTGAAATGAAAGATAAGTTCTAGTTTGGAAGTTTTAACAACTGAATGTTTAAACTCAAATAGACACAAAATATTGGAAGAGTGGCAGGTTTGGGAGGATGAGACAATCAACTGTTTGGTTGAGCCACGTTAGGTTTGAAATGTCTACGGGACTCCCGTGGGGAGAGGTTATATCAGACTGGAGCACCAGAGAGAGGCCAAGGCTGATAGTTTAGATGAAAAGAGAGCATGATATTTTAAGCCCTGAGACTGGATAATATCACCTATAGAAAGACTATATAGAGATAAGAGAGGTGGGGAACAAGTAAAAGCTGCGGGACACTCCTAAATTTAGAGTCAAATTTAGAGCAGAAAATACTAGCAAAGGGGACTGAAAAGCGGTGGCCAATTGAGCTTCAAATGCAAGTGAAAGTGTGTTGTGTGTACATTTATCATCTCATGGCACAGGAAAAACGTGATTTAAGGAGAAGGAAGCGATCCAATGGGAAGAAGAGATCCAATGGATCCTCTATCACGAAGATATTGAGATAAGAACCAATATGGATTTGCACCCACTGCATTTGCAGCCTTGAGGTCATAAGCATCCTCAGGAAAATGCACCAGGTCAGTGCTAAGGACTGGAGTCAATACAGACTGGATTCAGGAGAAAAAGTGAGGCAGGGAATCAAAGGGAGCAAACACAGAAAACTCCTTCCAAAATCTGGCTGCAAATTCTTTTCATAGAAAGAATTCTCTCAGGAGAAATAGGGTTAACACCAGAAAGGAATATAGTCCAAGATCTTTTTGGTTGTTTTTTGTTTTGTTTTTTGGGGTGGTTTTTATTTTGTTTTTGTTTAGTTTTGTTGTTGTTTGTTTGTTTGTTTTTGAGACGGAGTCACTGTTGCCCAGGCTGGAGTGCAGTGGTGCGATCTCAGCTCACTGCAACCTCCGCCTTCCGGTGTTCAAGAGGTCTTCCTGCCTCAGCTTCCCAAGTAGCTGGGATTGCAAGCGCGTGCCATCACGTCCAGCTAATTTTTGTATTTTTAGTAGAGATGAGGTTTCACCATGTTGGCCAGTCTGGTCTCAAACTCCTGGCCTCAAGTGATCCACTTGCCTCAGCTTCCCTAAATGTTGGGATTACAGGTGTGAGCCACGGCACCTGGCCAAGGATGGTTTCTTTTTAAAGGGAGGGGATATGATTTATGTAATGTTTATGTAATAGTGAGAATGATCTAGTAGAAATAAAATCTTGAGGGTTTGTTTTTGGCAGAAAATGGAAGGACAAATGCAGGGGGAAAGTTTGTGGGAAGATGAGAGGGCATCCTGGGCCAATGCAGGGAGGGAAATTATTGGAAAGAACAAGAAGTCTTTATTCACAGTGACAGAGGCAGGTAGACTGAGGGTCAGGGGAGGACCGGCTGAAAATTTCACATCTAGTTATTACCATTTTCTCATTATAATGTCAGTCAAGGGCATCTGCTGAGAGTGGGAAAAACAGAGTAAATGAGGTACTTTTTGGAGAAAGCAGGACTGAAATAATTAAGGTGTGGGATAGCGAGTGCGCTGGAGAAGTAGAGTAACCTAATGAGGAACTGCTGAGTTTTCATTTGAAATCTGTGGTCATAAATTCAATTGCAACCCTCGATAATTGTGAAAGTCACTTCCGCTCTCTGAGCCGTACTTTCCTACCTGTTACACAAGGACAGCACTTGTCCCAAAGCAAGGGTATTGTAATCAGAGATGATAAAATATATAGTGACTGGCACATATTAAGGACTCACCAAATAGCAGACCTCATAATCAGTACAGGTATCATCTGTGGTTCGCAGTTCTCCTCCTTACATTACAACTAGGGTGGACCCAAAACTTTGCAATTTTTGCCTTGTTAATTTGTCCTCACCTGTCATTGCACAATCATCCTTCCTTGTTGCATCAACATTTTTTTTTTTCTGAGACAGAGTCTCGCTCTTTCACCCAGGCTGGAGTGCTGTGGCACGATCTTGGCTCACTGCAACCTCTGCCTCCCAGACTCAAGTGATTCTCCTGCCTCAGCCTCCCAAGTAACTGGGATTACAGGCACCCACCACCATGCCCAGCTAATTTTTGTATTTTTAGTAGAGACAGGGTTTCACCATGTTGGCCAGGCTGGTTTCAAATTCCTGGCCTCAAGTGATCCACCTGTCTTGGCCTCCCAAAGTGCTAGGATTACAGGCGTGAGCCACTGCGCCCAGCCTGTATCAACATTTTAAAATGAATTTGAAATTATGGATAGATCATGTCTTCTAAGTGTCTTGTAGAATGTTTGGAGTGTGGATAGAGAAAATCTGAGTCTGTTGAGGAACTATGGGGTGGAAAAGGGTTAACAGCACAATTCTGTTGTAATCAATCTGGCTGAGCTCCAATTCTGTCTCTACTCTTTCTACCTGGTAACGTTGAACAATTAACGCAGCCCATCTAAGTCTTAACTTCCTCATCTGTACAATGGTTATACTAATTATCAGGCTGCTGCAAAAGTACTTGTGGTTTTTGATATTATTTTCAATGGCAAAAACAGCGTTACTTTTGCACCAACCTAATATCACTAAGATTAATCAATATTCACTGTGTCTCAGGAGTGCTCAGTGTTCACACATATTAACACAGCCCATCCACAGATCCTGTGAGAGGCGTTGATAGGGTTAAAGGAAAAGCTCTTGGTGTGTGGGTAATGTTCATAAGTAGAAACAACTATTGCTATGAGCATCGTTCTTGTCCTGACCTTGAACTTCATAATGGATTGAGCCCCACGACACAGCACACAGCCTGGTGAGGGCCAAGAGTTCCCATTTGTCATAGATATACTCAGTCTAGCCTAAAAGATTTCCACATCTATTCTCACTTAATCCTCACCTGAAAGTTAGACTTCACCATAAAATTGTCCTCGTTCTGCAGAGCAGAAAACTGAGGCTCAAAGAGATATCACTGACTAAAAACTCATAGTGAGGAGACATCACAGATGAGATTAGAAGAGAGATGTAGCTGACTTCAGAGCCCAGTATATATATATATTTTAGACAGAGTCTCGCTCTGTCCCCCAGGCTGGAGTGCAGTGGCACGGCTCACTGCAACCTCCGCCTCCCGGGTTCAAGCGATTCTCCTGCCTCAGCCTCCCGAGTAGCTGGGACTGCAAGTGCATGCCACCAGGCCCGGCTAATTTTTTGTATTTTCGGTAGAGACGGGGCTTCACCGTATTGCCCAGGGTGGTCTGGAACTCCTGACCTCAGGCAATCCACCCCCCTTGGCCTCCCAAAGTGTTGGGATTACAGGCGTGAGCCACCGTATCTGGCTGAGCCCAGTATTCTTTGTAACAGTGACTCTCAATTGGGGGTGACTTTGCCTCCGAGGGGACCTTTGACAATGTTTATGGAACCTGTTGATTGTCATTTCTGGAGAAGGAGTTGCTACTGGTGTCTGTGGATAGAGGCCAGGGGGGCTGCTCAACATCCTACTGTGTCCAGAACAGTCTGCCACAACGAAGAATTACCCAGACCCAGATGTCAAAGGTGCCAAGGTTGAGAAACCCTGAGCTACATTAAATAACGTCCCATGGAATACCTCAGTGAAACTCACTGGTAATAGCAGGAAGAAAAGGAGGAAATAAGGAAAAGGAAGAAGGCTAAAAATCACCAGACTGAGGCATAGCCCTATCCTAGTAATCTTGGGGGAATCCCTTTCAAAGGCAGGACTTCCGTATGCAAAGGCAGTGGCTCTGGAGTTGTTCATCTCGGTTTCCGTATCTTGCTGCCTCCACTGACTGGCTGGGCATGATGTTGAAAAAAACTACAGAAGTCCCCGGGCCATGAATTCCCCCAGATGTGATGGCTGTTTCCCAATGTTATTATGAGCATTAGATGTGAACAAGTGCTATGGAATTGCTATTTCTCTTAAAGATGCTGAATAGCCCAGTCTGAGATGATTCTCAAATTCTCATGGCCATAGCAAATCATCCTGGCTTTTACACATACAGATTCTAGAATGAGATTTATGGATATAATTGTTTTTCATTTTTATTATAAGTTCAGGGGTATATGTGCAGGTTTGTTATACAGGTAAACTTGTATCCTGGTGTTTTCTTGTACAGATTATTTCATCACTGAGATATTAAGCCTAATACCCACTACTTATTTTTCCTGATCCTGTCCCTCCCCTCACCCTCCACCTTCCGGTAGGCCCCAGTGTTCCCCTCTTTGTGTCCATGTGTTCTCATCATTTACCTCCCATTTGTAAATGAGAACATGTGGTATTTGGTTTTCTGTTCCTGCATTAGTTTGCTAAGGATAATGAATACAATTTTAACAGGCAGCCTGGATGTTTCTGATAAAGTCCACAGACCACGGCATAAGAAAATGTGCTCAGGTGACGTGGGACTTTGTGTTGAACTGGATACAAATATTACAGATGTGATCCGGACCAGAGGCAGGGACTACATGTTTTGGGTTTTTGTTCTTAAAAGAAAAAAACAAAAACAAAAAAACTTGATCTGAGAAGCTCTGAAGGGTCATATTCTTACAATGTTATTGTCCACAATTTAGTCACGTGTCCACTACCAAAGCAATCCCTTGCAAAGTAAAAGGGATTCTGGTTAGTGCTAATTAGACTAGTCAGGATTTACTCCCAACATGGAGAAAAGACACCTTCTCTGCAGGGTGAGTAACTAAACACAATTGTGGTTTTTCAAGCAGAGAAGAATGGGGAACCGTTGCTGGGTGGGCAACCAGCAATATCTGTCAAGCGTAAGGGTTTAGAAGTCAGACCATGCCAAACTGAAGTCCTGAATCTATTATCTACTACCTAAGTGACCTTCAACACATTTCACAATTGCCCTGAGCTTTCATTTATTCTAATGAAAACTAGAAGTAATGAATATTACATAGCTATTACATAGGCCAAACCGGATCCCATATGTAGTAATTAACACAATGCATAGTCTCTAATAAGAACTTCACAAGTATTAATACAACTTATTATTCTTATAGTCTTTATCCCACAGACACCAAAGCTATACAAATCGGCACTGATTATTTGCATTCCAAACAGAGAAGAGCTCCACATCAAGCAGGGACAGGGAAAAGCAGAGGGTAGAAAGCAGAGATGGAACTCTCTTTGCTGACTTCCTCTAGTGCAGAATCCTCAGGATATAACATACTACTACATGTTACCAGTGACTCCTCAAAATTCTCTTCAACAATAACCTCAAGCCAAACCCTCAAACTTTATCTTGAGTACTAGCCAAGCAATAGGTCAAGGGTTCTCACAGTTTGAGGGACAGGAGTTGGGAGACTGGAAGAACCTGGGGCTGAAAGAGATTGCAGAGCTTGCCAGCATGTTTGCATTGAATGGTGGGAGACACAGATGTGAGCCTTCTGATTCTGAGTCATGTGCCTTCCTCACAATGCTGAGGCTGCCTATGCTCAATTTTCCATTGTCCATACAACATAAGTTCAGTATGAGCCTTGTAATCCTCTTGGTGAAGTGATCAGCCCGATAAGCGAAATGCATATTGATAATGATGGGAATATGGAGGACTATCCCTTCCCAAAGGAGCATCCAAGAGAATGCCAATTCTATAGCACCGTTGTCAACAAGGCTTGGTAGATAGAGTGGGTCTCCTGGTAGGAGTGGGAGCTTTAGTGGAAGTTGATGTGAGCTATAAATACAGATGCTGTAAGATGGTTCCACAGCTGAGAAATGGCCATTGTTGGAATGTTTCAGGTGCTGCTGGCAAGATGGAAACCAACTTCTCCACTCCTCTGAATGAATATGAAGAAGTGTCCTATGAGTCTGCTGGCTACACTGTTCTGCGGATCCTCCCATTGGTGGTGCTTGGGGTCACCTTTGTCCTCGGGGTCCTGGGCAATGGGCTTGTGATCTGGGTGGCTGGATTCCGGATGACACGCACAGTCACCACCATCTGTTACCTGAACCTGGCCCTGGCTGACTTTTCTTTCACGGCCACATTACCATTCCTCATTGTCTCCATGGCCATGGGAGAAAAATGGCCTTTTGGCTGGTTCCTGTGTAAGTTAATTCACATCGTGGTGGACATCAACCTCTTTGGAAGTGTCTTCTTGATTGGTTTCATTGCACTGGACCGCTGCATTTGTGTCCTGCATCCAGTCTGGGCCCAGAACCACCGCACTGTGAGTCTGGCCATGAAGGTGATCGTCGGACCTTGGATTCTTGCTCTAGTCCTTACCTTGCCAGTTTTCCTCTTTTTGACTACAGTAACTATTCCAAATGGGGACACATACTGTACTTTCAACTTTGCATCCTGGGGTGGCACCCCTGAGGAGAGGCTGAAGGTGGCCATTACCATGCTGACAGCCAGAGGGATTATCCGGTTTGTCATTGGCTTTAGCTTGCCGATGTCCATTGTTGCCATCTGCTATGGGCTCATTGCAGCCAAGATCCACAAAAAGGGCATGATTAAATCCAGCCGTCCCTTACGGGTCCTCACTGCTGTGGTGGCTTCTTTCTTCATCTGTTGGTTTCCCTTTCAACTGGTTGCCCTTCTGGGCACCGTCTGGCTCAAAGAGATGTTGTTCTATGGCAAGTACAAAATCATTGACATCCTGGTTAACCCAACGAGCTCCCTGGCCTTCTTCAACAGCTGCCTCAACCCCATGCTTTACGTCTTTGTGGGCCAAGACTTCCGAGAGAGACTGATCCACTCCCTGCCCACCAGTCTGGAGAGGGCCCTGTCTGAGGACTCAGCCCCAACTAATGACACGGCTGCCAATTCTGCTTCACCTCCTGCAGAGACTGAGTTACAGGCAATGTGAGGATGGGGTCAGGGATATTTTGAGTTCTGTTCATCCTACCCTAATGCCAGTTCCAGCTTCATCTACCCTTGAGTCATATTGAGGCATTCAAGGATGCACAGCTCAAGTATTTATTCAGGAAAAATGCTTTTGTGTCCCTGATTTGGGGCTAAGAAATAGACAGTCAGGCTACTAAAATATTAGTGTTATTTTTTGTTTTTTGACTTCTGCCTATACCCTGGGGTAAGTGGAGTTGGGAAATACAAGAAGAGAAAGACCAGTGGGGATTTGTAAGACTTAGATGAGATAGCGCATAATAAGGGGAAGACTTTAAAGTATAAAGTAAAATGTTTGCTGTAGGTTTTTTATAGCTATTAAAAAAAATCAGATTATGGAAGTTTTCTTCTATTTTTAGTTTGCTAAGAGTTTTCTGTTTCTTTTTCTTACATCATGAGTGGACTTTGCATTTTATCAAATGCATTTTCTACATGTATTAAGATGGTCATATTATTCTTCTTCTTTTATGTAAATCATTATAAATAATGTTCATTAAGTTCTGAATGTTAAACTACTCTTGAATTCCTGGAATAAACCACACTTAGTCCTGATGTACTTTAAATATTTATATCTCACAGGAGTTGGTTAGAATTTCTGTGTTTATGTTTATATACTGTTATTTCACTTTTTCTACTATCCTTGCTAAGTTTTCATAGAAAATAAGGAACAAAGAGAAACTTGTAATGGTCTCTGAAAAGGAATTGAGAAGTAATTCCTCTGATTCTGTTTTCTGGTGTTATATCTTTATTAAATATTCAGAAAAATTCACCAGTGAAGCCAACTTGGTCTTGTGTTTTCTTTCTGGGAAGATTTTTAATAACAAGTTTGTTTTCTTTAACAGTGATTAGACTCTTCTGTTTTTTGGTTTTTTGTTTTTTCCTATCTGTCAGTTTTGGTAAACTGAATTTCAAGGAGTTTGGCCATTTCATTCAAACTGTCAAACTCATCGGCATAAAATAGTATAATAACTGTTTAAAAGTTATAAAACAGCATGAAACTTGGCTGGGTGCGGTGGCTCATGCCTGTAATCCAAGCACTTTGGGAGGCCAAGAAGGGTGGATCACCTGAGGTCAGGAGTTTGAGACCAGCCTGGCCAACATGGTAAAACCCCATCTCTACTTAAAATACAAAAATTAGCTGGGCATGGTGGTGCACACCTGTAATCCCAGCTACTTAGGAGGCTGAGGCAGGAGAATTGCTTGAACCCGGGAGGTGGAGGTTGCAGTGAGCCAAGACTGTGCCATTGCACTCCAGCCTAGGGGACAAGAGTGAGACTTTGTCTGAAAAAAAAAAAGTATGAAACTTGAAATGCTTTCTTTTATGTATTTATTAATTTCTGATTTTTGTTCTTCTTGTTGTTATTATCCTAGAGCACAGCCTTTGGAGATACAGTTTCTTTTAAACAACGAAAATGTAAGCTCTCTGAAGTCAGGGATTTTGGTCTGTATGGTTTGCTGATTGAACCCCATCCTCTATGTGTAAAATACTGTCTGATATGTAATAGACATTCATTAAATACTCATTGAATAAATGAATCAATAAACAATAGTATCACCTAGGTGTCAAGTGAGAAGTTTTAATGTCAAATCAAAATTATCTCCAACCCTTATTACATGAACCAGACCATGTCCAGTAAACACCCATCCTCAAGCACACAATATTTAGAAATACTCATGTGGCTTACTTTTTCATCAATTTCTGGTTTTGAGCTTCTGCTTTAAGGAAAGTACCATGGCTAACTGTTGCCTCACGCCTTTGTTTTGAAATAAATCAACCCACAAAGGTACTCAGCCCTTTACTTTGCTTACAGGAAATGACCACTCAGAAATGGTCCTTCGGTGCGGAACATACTTTCCGGATGCACTGGCAAAAGACAGAACTCTACACGAATATGAGGCAGTCCTGTTATCAGCGTCCTCACTCACTCCACCGCTTCTCCCTTTCCCTCCTGTTTCCCCTAAAGTTATTTACATTTCCAACATTTCCAAAACAGAGAAGTTTACTTAGTTCATTTGCATTCTTGACTCCTATAAATGCTTTCCAGTTCCTAAGAAAAGTATACCCTTTAATGCCCGACTAAGTTGTGGCCATAGAAAATAAGGAACAAAGAGAAAACGCAAGAAGGAGAAACCTGGAGCCAAGAACAGCATATGACCTTGAAACAGGAGAACCACGGCTTCTAGACTGGCTAGTTAACAGCCTTCCTCCACTGCCAGGACAGAGGAGTCTTACTTTCCTTCCCACTGGCCTTGGTTAATTGCACTGGAACAGTGCCTGCTGCATCCTCCCCATTTTTCTTTTCTTCATTGGAAGTTGCCATTGTGGATTCTCAGTTCCAATTGCACCCTTGTGTACTGGGGTCTTCAGAAGCTGAGGATTCTTGGTGTTTATGGGACATTCACCACCAATAAACATTTCTAGACTTGCTCGAATCTGGAAGTCCAAAATAAAACTCTGGGGATAGTGTCCATGGGAAGAACAGGACCACTTTTTCTGTTTGGGGAGAAGAGTGTAGAGACTGTTGAGTACCCAAAGGCGTAAGCTCCCCTGGAGACTGCCAGCTGCCTACCCAATATTCTTCCCCCTACTTTATTAACAAATGTGGGCAGCAATTCATTCAGCTAAAATAATCCTTTTCTCAGTCATCCTTCCAGCTAGGTGTGGGTAAATTCTAGGCAGTAAGATACAAAAATAGTATCACATTAGTACATAAGGGGCTGCCTCATTATTTTATTAACATAGTGTTTATTGATTGATTGATTGATTGATTGAGACAGGTTTTCACTCTGTCACCCAGGCTGGAGTGCAGTGGCACTAATCACGGCTCATTGCAGCCTTGACTTCCCAGGCTTAGGTGGTTCTCCCACCTCAGCCTCTTGAGTAGCTGAGACTGCAGGCTTGTGCCATCATGCCCAGCTAATTTTTGTATTTTTTGTAAAGACAGGGTTTCACCAAGTTGCCCAGGCTGGTCTTGAACTCCTGAGCTCAAGCAATGCTCCTGCCTTACCCTCCTAAAGTGCTGGGATTATAGGCATGAGCCACTGTACGTGGCCTAGAGTTTATTTTTTAGGGCAATTTTAGATTCATAGCAAATTGGGAAGAAAATACAGAGATTTCCCATAAACCCACTGCCCCTACACATGCACAACCCCTCTCATTATCAACATCCCCGACCACAGTAATATATTTCTTACAGTTGATAGACCTACGCAGATACATCATTAATCCAAAGCCCACAGTTTACATTAGGGTTCATTCTTGGTGTTTTACTTTCAGCGGGTGATATGGTTAGGCTTTGTGTCCCCACCCAGATCTCACCTTGAATTGTAATCCCCATAATCCCCACGTGTCAAGGGAGACACCAGGTGGCGGTAATTGAATCACGGGGGCAGTTCCATGATGGTCTTGTGGTAGTGAGTGAGTTCTCATGAGATCTTGATGGTTTCATAAGCGGCTCTTCCCCCTTCACTGGGCACTTCTCCTTCCTGCTGTCTTGTGAAGAAGGTGGCTTGTTTCCCCTTCCCCTTCTGCCATGATTGTAAAAGTTTCCCGTGGCTTCCCCAGCCATGCTGAACTCTGAGTCAATTAAACCTCTTTCCTTTATAAATTACCCAGTCTCAGGCAGTTCTTTACAGCAGTATGAAAACAGACTGTCCAGGTACGGTGGCTCATGCCTGTAATCCCAGCACTTTGGGGGGCCGAGATGGGCGGATCACAAAGTCAGGAGATCGAGACCATCCTGGCTAACACGGTGAAACCCCGTCTCTACTAAAAATACAAAAAATGAGCCGGGCGTGGTGGCGGGCACCTGTAGTCCCAGCTACTCGGGAGGCTGAGGCAGGAAAATGGCGCGAACCCGGGAGGCGGAGCTTGCAGTGAGCCGAGATCGCGCCACTGCACTCCAGCCTGGGCGACAGTGGGAGACTCCATCTCAAAAAAAAAAGAAAAAAGAAAACAGACTAATACAGTGGGTTTGGACAAAAGTATAATGACTTGTATTCACCATTACAGTATCATACAGACTCGTTTCATTGCCCTAAAAATTTTCTATGCCCTGCCTATTCACCCCTACCTCCTCCCTATCCCCTGGAAACCACTGATATTTTCATTGTCTTTATAGTTTTTTCCTGTTCCAGGATGTCATATAGTAGAAATCATGAAGTATGTAGCCTTTTACGATTGGCATCTGTCATTTAGTAGGATGCATTTAAAGTTTCCTCCATGTCTTTTCATAGACTGATAGCTCATTACTTTTTAGCATTGAATAATGTCCACTGTCTGGATGTACCATCATTTATTTATCCATTCACCTACTGAAAAACATCTTGGTTGCTTCCCAATTGGACAATTATAAATAAAGCTGCTATAAACATCCATGTGCAGGTTTTTGTGTGGACAGAAGTTTATAACTTGTTTGGATAAATACCAAAGAACATGATTGCTGGATTGTATGGTAAGCATATGTTTAGTTGCATGGGAAACTGCCAAACTCTCTTCCAAGGTGGCTGTATCATTTTGCATTCCCACCAATAATGAATGAGGATGTTCCATGTCTTTGCCAGCATTTGGTTGTGTCAGTGTTCTGGATTTTGGCCATTTCTAATAGGTGTAGGGTGGTATCTCACTGTTTTAACTTGCATTTCCCTGATGATATATGATGTGTATCACCCTCTCATATGTTAACCTGGCATCTGTATATCTTCTTTCTTGAGGTGCCTGTTAAGGGCTTGGCCCATTTTTAAAATGGGCTTTCTGTGTCCTTATTGTTGAGTTTTAGGAGTTCTTTGAATATTTTGGATAACAGTCCTTTATCTGATATGTCTCCTGCAACACTCTCCCATAGAGCAGATTTTTTTTTTTTTTAGATTTTTTTTTTTTTGAGACAGAGTCTCACTCTGTCACCCACACTGGAGTGCAGTGGCACCATCACAGCTCACAGCAGCCTCAACCTCACGGACTCAAGTGATCCCCCCACTTCATCCTCCCAAGTAGCTAGGACTGCAGGTATGCACCACTATGCCCAGCTAATCATTTATTTTCTGTAGAAATGGGGGTCTCACTTTGTTGCCTAGGCTGGTCTCAAATTCCTGGGCTCAAGTGATCCTCCCACCTCAGCCTCCCAAAGTGCTGGGATTACAGGTGTGAGCCACCATGCCCAGCCAGAAATTTTCAATTTTAATAAGAATTGCCTTCTTGATTCTTTCTTTCACGGATTATATCTTTTGTTTTGTAATTACAAAGTCATTGTCAAACCAAACGTCATCTAGATTTTCTCCTATGTTATCTTCTAGGTGTTTTATAGTTTTGTCTTTTACATTTAGGTCTGCGATCCATTTTAAGTTAATTTTAGCAAAGCATGTAAGGTCTGTTTCTAAAGTTACTTTTTTGCACATGGATGTCTAGTCATTCCAGAACCATTTGTTGAAAAGACTATCTTTTCTCCATTGAATTGCCTTTGCTCCTTTGATAAAGATCACTTGACAATATTAATGTGAGTCTATTTCTGGGCTCTCTTATTCAGTTCCATTGATCTATTTGTCTGTTCTTTTGCCTGTAGTACACTGTCTTGGTTACTGTAGCTTTACAGTATGTCTTGAAATCAGATGGTGTCAGTCCTCCAACTTTGCTCTTCTTGTTCAATATTATGTTGGCTATACTGGGTCTTTTCCCTGTCCATGTAAACTTTAGAATCAGTTTGTTATATCCACAGAATAAATTGCTGGAATTTTTATTGGGATTGTACTGAATCCAAAGATCAAATTGAGGAAAACTGACATCTTGACAATCTTGAATCTTCCTAGCCCTGTACATGGACTATCTCTCAATTTCTTCAGTTCTTCTATAATTTCTTTCATCAGAGTGTTGTAGTTTTTCTCATATAGATCTTGTACATATTTTGTTAGATTTTTACTCAGTGTTTCATTTCTGAGGGACATAATGTAAATAGTATTGTGTTTTTAATTTCAAATTCCATTTGCTCACTGTTGGTATCTAGGAAAGTGATTGATTTTTTTGTACTCTGCAACCCTGCTATAATCACTTATTACTTCCAGGAATGTTTGTTATCCAATCTTTTGGATTTTCTGCATAGATGATCATGTCAGTTGTGAACAAAATAGTTTTTTTTTCTTCCTTTCCAATATGCATACCTTTTTAGTTTGTTTTTAATTGAATTAGCTAAGACTTCAGCAATGCTGAAAACCAATATGAGAGAAGACGTCCTTGCCTTGTTCCTGGCCTTACTGGGAAAGCGTCAAGTTTCCCACTGTTAAGTATAATGTTAGCTGTAGGATTTTTTGTAGGCATTGTTTATCAGATTGAGGAAGTTCCTCTTTATTCCCAGGTTACTGAGCATTTTTAAAAATTATGAATGAGTGTTGAATTTTGTCAAATACTTTTTCTGCTTCTACTGATATAACTATGTGGTTTTTTCATTAGTCTGTTGATGTAATTGATTACATTAATTAATTTTTGAAATTTGAACTAGACTTGCATACCTGGCATGAATAATTTTTATACTTTGTTTTATACATTACATTATAGTAGTTTAGACATTTTTGGGTTTGATTTCCTAATATGTTTTTGAGAATTTTTGCATCTATGTTCATGAGAGTTATTGGTCTGTAGTTTTGTTTTCTTGTAATGTCTTTAAATGGATTTGGTTATTAGGGTGATCGTGGATTTATCATGAGTTAGAAAGTCCTCCTTCTGTGTCTGTATTCTCAAAGTTCCTCATTCTTTTTAATTTTTGCATTGTATTTTATTGGATGAATGTAACAAAATTTAATCTGACCAAATTGCTTTTGATCTTTTGCTCATTACAAAAAAAAAGCTACAATGAATACCTGTGCACACACACATTCCTTTGCATGACTGTGTGTTTGTCTATAGAAAAAAATTACAATAGTTTGTAACCTAAGTGTCTATCAACAGATGAATGAACAAAAAAAAATTG
The DNA here is from genome assembly GCF_000001405.40 of Homo sapiens. Lineage (NCBI taxonomy): Eukaryota > Metazoa > Chordata > Mammalia > Primates > Hominidae > Homo > Homo sapiens. The sequence continues at coordinate 51,776,706 of NC_000019.10, forward strand.
TTCATATACATAATGGAGTACTATTCTGCCATGAAAAATAATGAGACTCTGTCATTTGCAACAACATGGATGGAACTGGAGGTCATTATGTTAAGTGAAATGGATCAGGCACAGAAAGACAAACTTTGTATGTTCTCACTTATTTGTGGGAGCTAAAAATCAAAACAATTGAACTCATGGAGATAGAGAATAGAAGGATGGTTACCAGAAATTGGGAAGGGTGGCAGGAGTCGGGGGAGAAGTGGGGATGGTTAATGCGTACAAAAAGAACAGAAAGAATGAATGAAACCTAGTATTCAAAGGCACAATAGAGTGAATATAGTCAATGATAAGTTAATTATATATTTTTTAAAAACTAAAAGAGTATAACTGGATTCTTTATAATCCAAAGGACGAATATTTGAGGGAATGGATACTCTATTTTCTATGATGTGATTATTACACATTGCATGCCTGATATCAAAGTATCTCATGTACCCCATAAATATATACAACTACTATGTACTATGTACCGACAAAAATTAAAAATTAAAAAAAGTAATACTAAAAAAGATCGTTTGTAATTTAGTTGATTTCTCTGCTCTTATCTACTATCAGAGCTATAAAGCCCATTGCCACATCTTAGGAAGACAACTTTTCTGAAAAACAAATAGTGATCTATTTCTTGACATGAGTGGGAGTACATGAGCATTTTGTTTTACACAAATATATTAATCTTCACGTTTATCTTTTTCTCATTGTGTGTGTTTGTGTGTGGGGTGGTTGTTATAGTCCACATTTTAAAAGCTAAGAGAAATAAGTCAGCTGGATGTAGCGGCTCATGCCTGTAACCCCACCACTTTGGGAGGCCGAGGTGGGCGAATTGCTTGGGCCCAGGAGTTCGAGACCAGCCTGGGAAACATAGTGAGACCTCGTCTCTACTGAAAATACAAAAATTACCTGGGCTTGGTGGTGCGTGCCTGTAGATCCAGCTGAAGGACTGGGGCTGAGGTGGGAGGATAGCTTGAGCCCGGGAGGCGAAGGCGGCAGTGAGCTATGATTGTGGCACTGCACTCCAGCCTGGGTGACACAGCGAGACCTTGTTTCAAATAAAAGAGGAAAAAACGAAAAATAAGTCAATCGAATTCGGGTCCCCTTTTCTTTATACCAGTAAAGCTTCATAGCTCCTGAAATTAGGCTGCTTGAAGCAGGACACCTTTCATATAGGTGCTGCAATTCTCTAAATTCATACTTGCTAGGACAGGGAGGGTCAAAGGCAGCAGGAGGAAGCCATCCCCGGCATGACTGGCTCGGGTCTCCTGGGCTCGTGAAAACGAACTCATTAGACATCGAGCTCCCTCTTGTGGCAGCTAAAAGAAAACACAAGGAAATGCAACTCTTGCTTCACTCAGTTCTGTGACCGCATTGGGAGATAACCCTTGGAAAGCTTGATTATTTGTGGGCTAGCTCGCCCAGAATACATTTCTAAGCACATCTGTACAAGTAACTTTGTTCTTTCAATGCAGAAAGTCCCCTTCATTCCAAAATGTACATTCCAGAGACGGTGGAGGCTAGAGATCTCTCCTGTATCTCATCCCATTCTATGAGTTACCAGTGCCATTAGACGAAAGAAAGTCCATGTAAATGCTTAGGATGCTGGCGACTGTTCAACTGTGATTCCATTCTATCTTTCCATCTCATGCCTCCTGCGGCTCCAAACACCATCTAGTTAACTGCGTCCCGAATGTTGACCTACACTGATGCTGTTTCATCAGAGTCAATTGGGGAGGTGTTTGTTTGTTTGTTTGTTTGTTTTAATATGGGTTAGGTCACTGCAACATCAAAGCATCTTGATTTATAAAGTTTGGAGCAGAGCACAATAATCTGTGTTTAATCACAGATTAACTTTGTTCCCTTTAGGTATTCCCTGGTAAATTGTAATGTGCAATCAGATTCCCCTGTTTTCTTTTTTTGTTTTGTTTTGTTTTTGAGTCAGGGTCTTGCTCTATGGTCAAGGCTGGAGTGCAGTGGTGCAATCATAGCTCACTGAAGCCTCAACCTCACCAGCTCAAGCGATCATCCCACCTCTGTCTCCCGAGTAGGTGGGACCACAGGAACATGCCACCACACGGGGCTTATTTCTGTGTGAGCCACTGCGCCCAGCAATGATTCCCCTGCTTTCTAGCAGTTGAATAAATACTCTTTTAACTAGAGGACATAATAAGAACTAATATTAGACCATGAGAATTAGAACTAATATTACCTCTTGGAAACACGGATATATCTTTATGGTCCACACCATAGAACAAATGGTCTTTTTTATATGCGGTGGTAACACAGCCATTGGGAGGGAAACATGGGGAGAAGTCCTAGTTAGGAAAGCAAATTTGGAGAGTGAGGCTGTGATCGTGAAATCACAGGTGTGGACAAGCTAAGCTGTCAATACTTTGTTCTTCTGAAAGAAGAGGTTCTCAGCAACAGTGAACAGAATTAATAATTTATCAGAAAAAAGTCCCCCATGCCCTTTACACCTCAATTCTTACCACAAATAGCAAACCAACTAAATCTGGATCTGATTTTTGTATGTACACACAAAGCACATAACAGTTACTGAGAAACACAGTGAAAGAGGAAGGACAACCTCTGATACAAAAAGAGCCAATATCGCCTCCAAAAACTATGTCCCTTACTCTCCCTCCCTCAGGTCCTAACACTAACTTCCTGTCCCAATTTGTAGGGAAGTAGGTGCTCAATGGTTCCTCTTGCCCAGTGTGTTCTCTTCCAGTTGAAATGGCAATCTAGGCATAAAGTTTGGAAGATAGAGTCAAAGAATTAACTACTAATGATGGAGATTTTGTGAGACCCACACAGAGTTGGGAGGCTTGCTGGTTGATAAAACTCCTGGCAATTCATAATGTTTCACCTATTCTAAGTCACACTTGAGCTAATATTATACCAGGTTGTCCCTGTGTTAGTTATCTATTGCTGCAGGCAAATCACCCTCAAAACATGGCTTAAAACAATAGTAATCTAATTTACTATCTGTTACAATTTCTCTGGGTCAGGAATTTGGAAGTTTCTGGCTTGAGTGTTTCTGGATTGAAATCTCTCATGAGTTTGTAGTCAGATGTGAGCTGAGGCTGCAATTATCTGAAGGCTTGACTGAGGCTAGAAAATTCACTTCCAGGTGACATAATCCCATAGATAATGAGTTGTTGCTGGAAAGTTGCTTCCTCACCACAGAACTGCTGGAGTAGTCTCATAACGTGGCTGATGGTATCTCCCAGGATGAGTGATCTGAGGGGGAAAGCGTTAAATGGAAGTTTCATTCTTTTTATGAACTACACTTGGAAGGGATATAGCATTACTTCTGCCATACTCCATTGGTCAGGGCAGTCACAAGTCCTGGTCCAGATTGAAGAGGAGGGGGAAAAAATCCTCACTTCTCTGTGGAAGGAGTGGGAGGAGTGTGAATTACCTGTACAGACAACATGTGGGATGAGATAAATATGTAACATAGATATCAGTGGAAAATATAGTCTGCCACTGTCTCTAGAGATCATTCTAGATAGTCAAATCACGGTAAACATTTTACCAGTCACGATGGGTATCTAGACTATGGGAATAGGAATGTAATTTCAAGCCCAGTTTTAAGAAAGGGCAAGATTTTAAAAATTTATATAGGTTATGCTGTTGTACATCAAGTACAATTTCTTCCCAGTTGGCACCTCCTATCCCGTTCTTGTTACAGTCAAAAAACCATAAGAGGAAGTAGATACATTCAGAGAAATCTAGTTTCTATCCTTGATCATTCTAACATGTTTCCTGCTTCTACAGTTTCAGTGGCAGGAACAGAAGCTGTTCCTGGGATCAGCAACATGGACTTTGACTTGCCAAGGCCAATCTGGCTACACTCACTGCTGAGTGCCCAATCTGCCCACAGCAGAGATGGACACTGAGTCCCTGATATGGCACCATTCCCTGGGTAATCACCCAGCTCCCCAGTGGCAGGTTGAACACACTGGACCACTTCCCTTGTGGGAGAAGCAGAGCCTCGTTTTTATCGGGATAGATGTTAACTCTGAACATGAATGTGCTTTCTCTGTACATAATGCTTCTGCCAAAACTATCATCTGTGGACTTACAGAATGCCTTGTCCATCATCATGGCATTCCATACAGCATTGGTTTGATTGTGGGATTAAATTCACAGCAAATAAACTGTGGCAATGGGTCCACACTCTGGAATTCACTGGTCCTACCATATTGTCCATTTTGAGTAGCCGGCTTGAAGGAATGGTAGGATGACCTTTTGAAGACTTACCCAAGTACCAGCTAGCAGGCAATACCTTGCAGGGCTGGAGCAATATCCTTTAGGAAGCTATACATACTCTAAATCAGCACTCAGTGTATGGTGCTCTCTCTCCCATAACTAGAATCCAAGGATCCAGGAATGAAGGGGTAGAAATGGGAATTGTATCACTCATTATTACCTTTAGTGATCCACTAGAAAAATTTCTGCTTCCCATCCTCATGACCTTATGCTGTGTTGGCTCAGAGGTCTTGGTTCCAAAGGAAGAAATGTATCCACCCAGCGACACAACAATGTTTCTACTGAACTGGAAGGTACCACTGCCCATCACTACTTTGGGCTCCTCTTGCTCTGAATCAGCAGGCAAAGAAGGGAGTTACTGTATGGATGGGGTGACTGATCCTGGCTACTAAGAAGGAAATTGGTATGCTACTATATTATATAGAGATAATGAAGAACATGTCTGGAATATGACAGACCCATTAGGGCAGCTCTGAGTACCACCTTGTTTTGTTATTAAAGTCCATGTAAAACCACAGCTCTATCAAGCAGGACTGTAATGCCCCAGATCTTTCAGGAATGAAGGTTTGGGTTTCCCCACTAGGCACAGATGATGACCAACTGAGGTACTAGTTGAGGGAAAATGGAAAATGGATTGAGGAGTGAAAGATGGTAGTTATAAATACTACCATGATCGCAGAATCAGTTACAGAAGTGAAGACTATCATTTTAATGAATATTTCTTATTTTGTCATGAACAAATTTGTGTGTTTCAAAAATTTTTGTTTTCTTTCCTCTTTTGTCTCATTATCACATAACATAAAATGTATTAATAATAGGTAATTTTAAATCATGGTGTTTATATTAGAGGAGATCAAAAAGAAGAGAGAAGGCTGGGTGTGGTGGCTCACGCCTATAATCCCAGCACTTTGGGAGGCCAAGGCGGGTAGGTCACTTGAGGTCAGTAGTTTGAGAACAGCCTGGCCAATGTGATAAAACCCCGTCTCCACTAAAAACATAAAAAGTAGCCTGGTGTGGTGCTGTGCACCTATAATCCCAGCTACTTGGGATGCTGAGGCAGGAGAATCCCTTGAACTCAGGATGCGGAGGTTGCAGTGAGGTGACATTGCACCACTGCACTGCAGCCTGGACAAAGAAAAAGAAGAAGAGGAAGAGGAAGAGGAGGAGGAGGAGAAGTATAGGAGGAGGAGGAGGGGAAGGGGAAGAGGAAGACGAAGGAGAAGGAGGAGAAGAAGAAACATCACCCAAGGACTCTGCATCCTCTTCTGGAGAAAGAGTCAGTGCATTTTTGGCTATAAGGAAGATAGGTGTATCATGTTAGGAGGAAGGAGGACTTTGTTCTTACCTTTCTTTGGAAAATAAACATGATTTAAGGAAACGTGTATGGGTGACTGGATGACAAGAATGGACTGTGAGGGTTAGCTTTGTGTGTCAATGCGGCTAGGCTATAGTGTCCTCCTCATCAAAAATTATTATAGATGTTGCAGTGAATTTCTTTTCAGATATGATGAACATTTACTACCAACTGACTTTAAGTAAAGCAGACTAAACTTTATAATATGAATGAGCCTGAAACAAAAAATTGAGAAATTTTAAGAGCAGAACCAAGGTTTCCATGAAGAAGAAGAAACTCTCTGTGGACTGAAGCATCAACTACAGCCTGGGAGTTTCCAGCCTTCCCTTCCTGATGGTCTGCCCTATGGATTTCAGACTTACTGAGCCAGCTTCCAAAGTCTCATAAACCAATAAATCTCATATATATATATAAGTTCTATTTACCTGGTAGAACCCTGACTGATATATGTTTTCAGTGCTTTCCCCCCAGAGAGGTGGGAAAAAAGGTCTACTGCTCTGTAAAAAACCGAACATAATTATTATTGCTTTAAAATTCCTCATTTGATTCTTTATCATCTGACATCCCAGGTACTTACACTAATTATTTTTATTTATCTATGGAAACTCTGTAATTATGAACTGTGTTTTGAAACGCCAATAATATCTACTTAATTTCTCATTGAAATAAGGCTTTATATTTTGCTCTATTTAAAAACTGTCATATTACTTTTATCGCTTCTGTACTTTCTATTAAAAATCACATATTCTGAGAAAAAACAGAGGAATGATAAAACATTAACTAATATAAATGAGTAGGTATTGAGAGGAAGAGATGGAGGTGGTCTCTCTTTTTCTCTCTCTCTCTCTACTGTATCATTAAATTTTTTGTTATTGCCATCAGCATATATATATGTATATATATGTGTATATATGTATATATATGTGTATATATGTATATATGTGTATATATGTGTGTATATATGCATATATGTGTATATATATGTATATATATGTATATAAAATATGTTCTCTAATCTAACTGAAAAAAAAAAACTCTGTAGCACAAACCTCCTTCTGAACGTTACAACCAATCTCTGTTCTCCTTGACAGCAAATACAAGGGCCACTACCACTTCAGTTCTCTACTTCCTCATTTCACATTTTCACAACAACCCATTCTATATGGGTTCCTTTCCTGATTACTGCACCAGGACTACTCTTATTATGGATAACAGTGACATCTGTTGCCATGTTACCGCACTGCAGGTTCAGACATTTGGTGCTTGGCTAAGAATCCAATGGGGGGAAATCTACCATCTCTCAGGTAACAGTGGAATCTTATGCCCCTAAGCATATATGACTCAGTTGACCAGTCCTTTCATCTTTGAATAGATAATGTTCCTGGTGACATCACTCGTGTTTGGTTTCCCTCCCACCTCAGTGACTTCTCTTTCTCAATTTCCTTGATTGGCCCTTTTCTGACTTTTAAATATTGGTGTACCCAAGGGCCCAATTCTAGACCCCCTCACCTATTTGTGTCAATGTAGTCATCCTAGGTAATTTGTCCCTATAACTTGAAATCCCACCTGTCCATTGATGACCCCTCCCAAATCTCCATCATAATCCACAACCTCTTCTCAGAAGAAGTCCTGACTGGTATCTACCTCCCTCCTCTGCATTTCCACTTGAAAATCTAACTGAAGTATTTTATGTGGCATGACCAAAACAGAACTATCAATCTGATTCTTCCCAAGAAACTGATTGCCATGTTTTCCACATCATTTCCAATTTTAGAAAAAGTCACCACCCTCTACCTAATATCTTAAGTACCAAATATGAGTTATTCCTGATTCTTTTACTGTCATCCATCACCAAATCACATTGACTCTATGTCAGAAACATCGATCAAATCTGTGTGTTTCTTTTCTATGCACTGCTATCACGTGACTCCAATCCACCTCCATCTGGATGACTGTAATAGTCTCCTAATTCTTCTTTCTGCTTCCACTCTTGCTTTGTAGCAATCCATCTTTACAAACCTTTTTCATAGTGTAAGCATCATCATGCTCCTCCCCTGATTAACACCCTATAATAGCTGTCTATTGCACTAATAAAACAAACATTTAAAGCCTTTCTCTAGGAAAGCCTCATATTATCTGGTTCTTGCGTATTCTCTCACGTCATGTTTCTTCTCACTTATTATGATGTAACTACACTAGTAGTATTTTTATTTCTCAAACACACCAAGCTTACTCTTGTCTCACAGTCTTTGTACTAACCACTCCTCTGCCTGGAATATTTCTTCTCTTGAACTTCTGAAACCACCTTTGCAAAACTATGACCGAGACAGTGAAAGAGCTCTAATTTAATCAACTCCATCTTGCTTCTAACCTCCGAGCTGTCCTTGTTCATTTCTGGGTGTAGGCTGAACTGACTTTGGGAAAAACTTAGTTTGTAGTTTAAAACAAAGATGATAACAGCCCTTTCCCAAAGCAGACCTCCTTCTTCCCTGGGGACTAGATTGCCTTGTAGAACTAACATTAGCCACAAGATTAGAAATTATGGTTTAGGAGTCATGCAGCTGGAGGCTACAAGATTCTGACCCTCCCTAAACTGCTCCTAAGATCAGTGTTTGAGATATTTTGCAGACTCTACACTTGATGGATCAGCTGGCACCACCCAGATGGATAAACTGGCTCATCTGATCTTGTGGCCTCCACCCAGGAACTGACTCACTGCAAGAAGACAGTTTCAATTCCCTGTGATTTCATCTCTGACCCAACCAATCAACACTCTTGGCTCCCCGGCTTCCCCCCACCCACCAAGTTCTTCTTCAAAACTCTGCTCTCTGAATGGTTGGGGAGGCTGATTTGAGTAATAATGAAACTCCAGTCTCCTGCATAGCTGGCTCTGCGTGACTTACTCTTTCTCTGTTGCAATTTCCCCGCCTTGATAAATTGACTCTGTCTAGGCAGCCGGCAAGGTGAACCCATTGGGTGGTTACACTTCACATTAGCAGTTCATGTAATTCTGATTTCAGCTCACATGTCACCTCCTCAAGATATTGTTTTCTGAGCCTCTAAGATAAAGTAGCCTCTCAGTCACTCTCCATTCTAGTCCATGAAACTGTACTTATTCTCTTGATAACCTTCATTGCTGCCTTCTGTCAATCACAAAATTACCCTTTTCCCTCAATCTTTACAATCACTGATCTGAGTGCCTTTGCATTTCTCACTCTCTGTCTCTTCATCTATTGAAACAGCCTCTGCATTCACCTGCTATTCTGTGAAAGGGGAGTAGATTTCCACCGAATGATGTCTGCGCCAGTTCTGGTAGAGCTTGGTAAGCATGAGTTAGAAATTTGGAAACCACTGGAGAATGAAGAGCAGGGGAATGTCATGATTTGCTATGTTTTTAAAATTTTTATATTGACTCTGAAGCCGAATAGCAACTTTCAAAAGAGTAAATATTTTCCATTTTAATTAAGTCCAATTTATACTTTTTTCTTCTATGGATTGTGCTTTTGGTGTCGTGTCTATGAACTCCCTGCTTAGCCTTAAGTCTTCACTATTTCTTCTATGTTTTCTTCTAAAAAGTTAGTAGTTTTGCATTTAATATTTAAATCTGTAATCCATTTTGGATTAGTTTTTATAAAGGAGGTAAAACTTAGATTGAGGGTTTTTTGTTTGTTTTTATTTATTTATTTTTTTTCGAGACGGAGTTTCGCTCCTGTCGCCCAGGCTGGAGTGCTGTGGCACAACCTCGGCTCACTGCAAGCTCCGCCCTGCCGGGTTCACGCCATTCTCCTGCTTCAGCCTCCCGAGTAGCTGGGACTACAGGCGCCCACCACCACGCCCGGCTAATTTTTTGTATTTTTAGTAGAGACAGGTTTCACCGTGTTAGCCAGGATGGTCTCGATCTCCTGACCTCGTGATCCACCCGCCTCGGCCTCCTAAAGTGCTGGGACTACAGGTGTGAGCCACCGCGCCCTGCCTAGAATCTCTTACATGTTCTCACTCCTAAGTGGGAGTTGAACAATGAGAACACATGGACACAGGGATGGGGAATATCACACACTGGGGTCTGTCGGGGGCTGGGGGGCTAGGGGAGGGATAGCATTAGGAGAAATACCTAATGCAGATGACAGGTTGATGGGTGCAGCAAACCACCATGGCACATGTATACCTATGAAACAAACCTGCACATTCTGCACGTGTACCCCAGAACTTAAAGTAAAAAAGAAAAGAAAAGAAATTATTCTTCAACTTCACATTCTTCTACTCACTCCAAAGAGTCTATTGTACTCCAAAGCGTCTATTAAGTATGCCCTTAACAAGCTCCCCATCCCCAGAGATATGTTCTTCATCTGGATTTTATATTCCACCAGCTGGGTCCTTGCTCTGGGAAGTTCTAGGTCCTGATCTCCTGGAGAGAGTCACTGTCATGTAATTTTCACAGCAGAAGTTAGCCCAAGGGACAGGAGGAGGAGTAAGAGAACTGAAACCAGTTGGGGAACAGGAAACAGAAAGCAGAGCTCCTTCTGATTTTTAATGGCCCTAAGAACACACCAATATACTACTTGTTTTAATAGCAGTGGATTGTTGTGGGCCCATTTAGGAACTAAAGTACCTGACTGTGTTTCTCAACCTCAGTCTTTGTGGGATGCAGAGATTCAACCCTCTCAACCTAAAGGGCCAAGGAATCTGGGTGTCCAGGACCCTTCTCTCTCCAAGGGTCAAGGTAAAGAGAGGAGCAAGTACTGTAATGATGTCAGAGGCACTGGAACCAGAGCAACTCCATGTTGAATAGTAGCTGGGTAAAATTAGGCTGAGACCTACTGGGCTGCATTCCCAGACAGTGAAGGCATTCTAAGTCACAGGATGAGATAGGAGTTCAGCACAAAAAAACAGGTCATAAAGACCTTGCTGATAAAACAGGTTGCAGTAAAGAAGCCGGCCAAAAGCCACCAAAATCAAGATGGCCACGAGAGTGACCTCTGGTCGTCCTCACTGCTACACCCCCACCAGTGCCATGACAGGTTACAGATGCCATGGCAACGTCAGGAAGTTACCCTATATGGTCTAAAAAGGGGAGGAATGAATAATCCACCCCTTGTTTAGCGTATCATCAAGAAATAACCATAAAAATGGCCAACTAGCAGCCCTCAGGGCTACTTTGTCTATGGAATAGCCATGCTTTATTCCTTTACTTTCTTAATAAACTTGTTTTCACTTTATTCTATGGAGTCACGCTGAATTCTTCCTTGTGCGAGATCAAGAACCCTCCCTTGGGGTCTGGATCAGGACCCCTTCCAGTAACAGAAGAATTAGAGGGAAGCAATGAAAGGCAGAATGAAGACGAGAAGGATGGAGACCAAAACCACTGAGAGATTGAAGGGAGGCAGAGAAGTTGACAGGACAGAGCATCCACACCCAGGCACCCCAAGATTAACCCCATAATTTTTGGCTCCAGTGGAAGCTCATTTGTAGGTTTCTAGTGCAAAGAGGTGGTGGGCTTTCTGAAATATTAGGTTCTATCCAAGGGTATCAGAGTGGTATGGAGATAAATGGGAAGCAGAGACAGAAATAAGGTAGTCCACCTAAAAGCATTATTCCCAAGGCTTTGTGTCATTAAGGCTGTTTACAATTTTAAGTAGTTTATAATTTAAAATTACACCTAACAATGGCTTAAACCAAAGACAACATTTATGGTTTATTTGCTTTCCAAGAATTTTGCAAGTGAGTAGTACTAAATTACTTTCTGTCCAAATTATATCATTTAATAAGTTTATTTTGATCTTTTCACTTTTTCATCACTATTTTGGTGTGTTTTTTTTTTCCTGGAAATTGCCACCTCACGGCCCCAAGATAGCTGCCATAGCTCCTGGTCTCACAATACAGCATCTCATGCCAGGAAGATAGGGATGAAATGAAAAAATACTGAAAATTTTAGATCTGAGGCGAGATATGTTCAGATTTATTTTATAAAAATTTATCTTTGGGTCCTAATAACAAGAAGCATTTTAGAAGATTCCCAAGGAAGGAAGGGTAAGAAGTATAGATGTGTCTAAGAGGCACAAGGAAACCAAAATACTGTGTGTGTGTGATGGTTGGGAGGGGGGAATTAAAATAAGGGAAATGGCAGAGGACACCATTATGCATAAAGGAGAAGGACCCAGATGTCAAGAGAAAAAAAGAGGCAAAGGACCCCACAGAGACTAATTGCCAAACACATTTGCAAGTCTTTTGAAGTCCAATTATTCTTCCTAAAACTGGGTTCCTGGATGCCTCTGCATGTTTCCCATAAACTCTCGTTATTAAAACATAAGCAGTTGGGTATGGTGGCTCACACCTGTAATCCCAGCACTTTGGGAGGTCGAGGTGGACGGATCACCAGGCTGGTCAGGAGTTCGAGACCAGCCTGGCCAACACGGCGAGACCCCATCTGTGCTAAAAATACAGAAATAAGCCGAGCATGGTGGCGCATGCCTATAATCCCAGCTACTCAGGAGGCTGAGGCAGGAGAATCACTTGAACCTGGGAAGTGGAGGTTGCGGTGAGCTGAGATCATGCCACTGTATTCCAACCTGGTTGACAGATCAAGACTCCATCTAAAAAAAAAAAAAAAAAAAACAAAAAACCAAAACATAAGTAGGTTTTCTTTCTTGCTACGAAATGGCCCATGATTAACAAAAATGCCTAGAGGCAAGTAAACAGAATAAGAGTCTTAAAATGAACTTTCACTCCAATGGGGCAAAAATCATCTAAGGATCGTCTCAGTCAGACATGGGTGAGACTCAAAGTATGATTCATCCTGAGGCAAATTCCTCTTCAGCTGTAAGCCTGTTAAATCAGACAATTACGTGCTTTCGAAAATATAGTGGTGGGACAATCTAGGATTGACATTCCCATATCAAAAAGGAGAAATAGGAAGGAAGAAAGGGGAACCAGATCCTGAGGAAGTCCAAAACAATGTGGCAAATACATTTTAAGGCCTCAGTATAATGTTCTTTGACTCCATGTTCTGCTTTTTGGACACATTGGAGCTGGGGTTGGGCCACAACAGCTCTGGGCAGAACCACCATCATGGCTTTGCTGGGTGTAGCTGATGCAGCAGCTCTCAGGGGCTGAAGTCAGGTGCTGTAGCTCCCCAAGGGTGGTATTGCACACAGGTGGCTACACTGTTCTGAGGTCTCAGGGGCAGCCTCACCCCCAGGGTTCCACTGGACATTGCCCTAGTGGAGGCACTCTGTGGTGGCCCCATCCCCGCTGCTGTACTGGGCATTCTCTTAATGCCATCATATTGGGGGAGGGACTCTCTGTGGAGAGACAGAGAGTCTCTGGAGACAGCCCTCTCCCTGAGTTGCATGCCTGCGACTCCAGGTAGCACCTTCCTTCAAAATCTAAGGGGAGGCAGCCACAACCCCGCAGCTCATGCACTCTGTGCCCTGGTGGAGATGACACCACACAGATGTAGCCTTGGCTTACAGCCTGTGCCATCCAGAGAAGTGGCCTGAGCCGCAGTCTGGCGTGCTTGAGCCAAAGCTTGGAAGGCCAAGGAGTGCTATACTGGAATATGGGGAATACAATCTTGAAATTGTTTGCCGCCAAAACCTTGAAATTGTTTGCATTCTGTGCCTGTGATGGGCAGGGAAGATGTGAAGATCTGTGAGATGCCTTCAGAGTCATTCTTCCATTGTCTTGATGAATACTATCTGGCTTCTATCCATGCTAATCTCCGTATCAAATGTTCACTTACCCACACCATTGGTGTTCTCCCCTGAACATACTTTTGCACTTTTTACAGGCTGAGAATTTTCCAAATCTTTAGGTTCTACTTCCTTTTTGATTATAATTGCCTTTTTTTTTTTTTTTTTTTTGAGATGGAGTCTTACTCTATCACCCAGGCTGGGGTGCGCAGTGGCGCGATCTCGGCCCACTGCAAACTCTACCTCCCAGGTTCAAGCAATTCTCTTGCCTCAGCCTCTGAGTAGCTGGGATTACAGGTGTTCACCACCACACCCGGCTCATTTTTGTATTTTTAGTAGAGACAGAGTTTCACTATGTTGGCCAGGCTGGTCTCGATCTCCTGACCTCATGATCCACCTGCCTCGGTCTCCCAAAGTGCTGGGATTACAGGAGTGAGCCACCGTGCCTGGCCTATAATTGCCATTTTTTATGTAACTCTTTTCCTGCATTTTACTATAAGCAATCAAGAGAAGCCATGCCACACCCTCAATGCTTTGCTTAGATGTAACTTCCACCAAACATCTTATTCCATCACTCAGAAGTTCTACCTTCCACAAAGCACAAGGACACAGACACAATTCAGCCAAGTTCTTTGCCACTTTATAATGAGGCTGTCCTTTCCTACAGTTTCCAATAATATTTCTCATTTTCATCTGAGATCTCATCAGAATGACCTACTTCTACATTTCTACCAATACTCTGATCATTATTGCAATCTTCTTCTGAGCCTGTAGCAGAATCACCCTCAACGTTACATTCATGGAAATGTAGAGTTTTTTCTAGCACTCACAAACTCTTCCAGCCTCTCACATTACCCAGTTCCAAAGCCATTTCCACATTTTTAGGTATTTCTAATTATAATACCTCTACTTCTTGGTACAAATTAGTCTTTTAGCCCATTTGACCTGCTATAACAAAATCTATTAGAGTAAGTTATGATCCACATAAATTTATTACTCACAGTACTGGAGGATAGAAAAACCAACATTAAGGCTGGGCACAGTGGCTCATGCCACCATAATCTCAGCAGTTTGGGATCGCTTGAGGCCAGGAGTTTGAGAACAGCCTGGGCAACATGGCAAAATCCCATCTTTAACAGAAAAAAAAAAAAAAATTAGCCAGGCATGGTGGCACATTCCTGTAATCCCAGCTGCTTGAGAGGCTGAGGCACGAGAATCCCTTGAACTCAGGAGGTGGAGGTTGCAGTGAGACGAGATTGCACTGCTGCACTCCAGCCTGGGTGACAAAGCAAGACTTTCTCTCAAAAAAAAAAAGGAAAGAATAAAAAAAGAAAAACCAAGGTTAGGATGCCAACAGATTCCATGTCTGATGAGGGCCCATTACTCATAGACAGCGCCTTCCATATGTCCTCACATGGTGGAAGACAGACAAGCTCCCTCAAGGCTTTCTTACAAAGGCACTAATCCTATTTATGAGGGTGCAACCATCACGCTCTAATCTCCTCCCTATGGTCCCGCCTTTTAATACCATAACCTAGGGGGTTAGGATTTCCCATACAAATCTGGGGAGGGGAGAAACAAACATTCAGACTGTAGCAGATGCAGCAATAGTAACTTTAGGAATGTGGAATTTATAAAGAGCACTCATTCTTCCCCATTCCCCACAGCCATCCAGTCTCCAAGGCTGGTCTACTCAGCCTGGACAATCTGTCTCTAAGCTACGCCTCTTCTTGATCACACTATTCCTGCCCTGGGTAGCTCTTCAAGAACCTTACCTTGATTTCTGGCAACATTCTCCATTCTAATATCTCTGTCTCCAATTAGAAACATTCTCAAAGGCATCCCTTTGCAGGACTACAGAACAATATTTTTCAGAAGCACACACCTGACAAGTCACTGTCCTGCTTAAATGGTTATTCATGTTATTATGAAGAAATTCCAAGTCCTTCTTGTAGCATTCAGGACCCTCCAACAGATGGCTTCTGCCACTTGCTACACACTCAGTGTTTATTGCTGTCTGCCTCACCATCTATGCTCCAATAACCGCAGGTAACCTGCTATTTTTTGACCCTTTCCTGCGTGCTTTCACTCTCCTCTGCCTGGAATGTATTTTTTTTTGCTTCTTTATCTGAGTCTTTAAGATTCATCCCGGATGTTATCTGCATTGCACTTGGAAGTGACCCTGGACCCTGTCAGTCTCAGTTAGTTGTTCCTTTTGGGAAATCTCATAATGAACCAGGCATCTGTCTATCACTATATACCCCCACTCTACTGTGACTGCTTAGGGAAATGGCAGAGGACACCATTGTGCACAAAGGGTGCATAAGACTATGCTTAGTCACAGTAGAGTGACGCTGTCACCTCTTTACCTGGGTAGTCGGCATCTCCAGGGTAAGGCACATGTCTGTTTAAGCTCTATGTCTGCAGGAGCCAGCAAGGGAGCACCTCTTCAGAGGCCTCATGCAATACCCACCACCCTTTATTATACTGATAAGTAAATTCCATTTTAATCAGGTGGCAGGTAGCAATGTGCCACTGTCCTAGGAAAGCAATCATGATTGGCCTAAGCCAATATGAGCAACTTGTCTTTTTTTTTTTTTTTTTTTTTTTTGAGGTAAGGTATTGCTCATTGCCCAGGCTCGAGGGCAGTGGCATCATCATGGCTCACTGCAGCCTCAACTTCCCTGACAAAGCAGTCCTCCCACTTCACCTCCTGAGTAGCTGGAACTACAGGTCCACACCACCACACCCAGCTAATATTTTTTTGGTTTTAGAGATGGGGTCTCACTATGTTGCCCAGGCTGGTCTTGAACTCCTGAGCTCAAGCAATCTTCCTGTCTTGGCCTCCCCAAATTCTGGCATTACAGGCGTGAGCCACTGTCCCTGACCTTTATTTTTATGTATCGGTATTTTTGTTATTTCTTGGCCATTGATTGGTCTAGAGATGGCATGCTCTGGCAATGAAAGACAAGGAGAGGTCCTGAAGAGACTCTGGACAAGGTTTCCCTCTGTAATAAAATGGAAGAGGCATGTGAATGAGTCACATTTTCTGCCTGTCTCATGATTCTGGCTCGGGAGGGCCTGTTGATGCAATGTCCAGAACAGTGGCAGCCATTCTGTGGTCACTTTCAAGAAAGCCCTAGAAGAAAACCAATATGATGATGGAGTGGAAGGGTGACATTAAACTCAATTTTTGTTCAAACTCCAGATCTATCCCCTTCCAAAACTTTTTTTAATAATAAATTTCTCCATGGCTTATGTGCTTCATTGGTTTACTCTACCTTATCACTGAAAACATCCAGTGAATCAGAGAGAAAATAGAAAATAGTTGACTCTTGTTTTGTGGCTCTCCACTGTTTTTCATGGTTCTATTCCTTGGGCTTGAGAACAACATTCTGATGGTGTTTAAAAACTCAGAAAGAGCCCATCTCCTTAGATCAGTAGTCCATAGAGCATCTCCCTAGGGGCAGAAGGTTAGGGGGTTAATCTCGGCAATGGTGTGGAGTGTACAGTGTCTCTCATTTACCTTCCTTACCTCTCTACATGCTCCTAGTTACTGCTTCTCTTTGTAACTCTGAGGTATGAAATACCTCAAAGCATATTTGATTTTGTCACAGATTTCTGGCACAGGGCTCTTAAAACCCTTGGAATTCCCTGAGTGATAGGAGTATTATTTGTTATTCATAAACAGCCCCTTTTGATCATAGCTGAGTTTATGCTAAGGAGATCATGGCCTTAGGATGGGACTGGTCACCAGAAAGACCAAGGGATTAGAGGGTTGGAGCTGTCAGCCCCACCTACTGATCTCCAGGAAGGGGAGGCAGGGACTGGAGATTGAGTTCCATAAAAACTCTTGAACAATGAGATTTGATGAGCTTCCACATTGGTGAACACTCAGGAGTGCTGGGAGAGTGGCTGCCTGAAGAGAGCATGGAAGCTCCATGCACCACCCAACCCCTTCCCTGCCATATACCTGCCATATGCCTCTTTCCAATGGACTATTCCTGAGGTATATTCCTTATATAAAGCAACAGATGCAAACAAAGTGCTTTCCTGAGTTCTGTGTGCCATTCTAGCAATTTATTGGTGTCATTGGAACACCCAATTTATAGCCTGTCAGTCAGAAGTACAAGTAGCCACCTGGGACTTGCAACAGATGTCTGATCTGATCTGAGAACAGTTTGTGGGAGTGAGCCCTTTAGCTTTTCGGATCTGAGCTGAATCCAGGTAGACAGCATCATAACCGAATTTTTAATTGCAGGTGGCCCAGGTGGTGTCCCCAGAGAATTGGAGAATTTCTTGGTGTAGAGAAAAAGTATATTTGGTCAGAAGGATTGTGAAAGTAGAGAATCGAGTTTTTGTTTCACCGTGCATCTTTGTTTTTTTATTGTTTTTCCTCTCATTCTTCTCACCTTGGTAATTGTTTCTTTCATTTTCCTGAATCTCTGAAAAGAAAGGGCCTGGACTCTCAGATTTCTTGGCCTTTGATATTTGGAAGGATGAACTCCAGTCTCCCACAGAAGGCTAGAGGTGAAGGAACATTCAGACACATAAGTTTCCAAGATAAATCGTCTGAGAACATCTCCAAGGTGTCTTCTGGGAATGGTAAGAAACCCTGAGTTTGTGTCACTGGATTGATTCCAGCTCCATTGTCCCCGTGTCCTTCAACTAAGTCTCTGCTGAAGCCTGTTCTATAAAAACAGCAAGTAAGTGGTTTGGACTGACCTATTGTACTAGGTTCGACAAAGCAAACCAAATGGAGTCAGTCATACTAAAACTCCACATCACCAAACCAAAACTAATGTATCTGAACTTTTGAGAAATCAGGAGAGAGAGAAAATGGACAAATTCCTAAAACAGGCCAGTTTCAGTGGGCATGAACATGAAGTTCTGTCTGCTTTCATCTTTACAAAAAAAAAAAAAAAGCAATCTGTGGTAACTTGACTTCAATCAATCAGTTGTTCCTTATTGCTGTCTCTCTATTCCTGCTGCACAAAAAAAATGCAACATCCAGATGACCAATCAGGTTTTTGTTCTCTGTTTCTGCTTTCTTTAGCCCTCCTATCCCTGTAAAACCAACTTCCTTGGCTCTAACTATCAAAACACTCATTTTGTTTTATAGCATGACAGGCTGTCTGATTCCATCTTTATAACCAAAGCCAATTAAGATCTTAAAACCAAACATATAACTTCATCTTTTTACAAGTACTTAGAGCCTGAGTTGCTCCACAGGAATCCAGGAACTGGGCACAGGAAAAGGATCTAAGCTGGTGGTAAGTTGGGGTCTGAAAATTTTAAAGTTATTGTTGAAATGCCTGCTATATGACAGAGCCCTTCTAACTCTGGAGTAGCGTAGTCCAGTGAAGAATCCACTTCGTTAGTATGAAAACAATGTTAACTATTTCATTAACAGTGTTTAATTTGGTTACATGTTCCAGTAACATTCTTTTTTTTTTTTTTTTTTTTTTTTTTTTTGATGGAGTCTTGCGCTGTCACCCAGGCTGGAGTGCAGTGGCACAATCTCAGCCCACTGCAACCTCTGCCTCCCAGGTTCAAGCGATTCTCCTGCCTCAGCCTCCTGAGTAGCTGGGATTACAGGCACCTGCCACCACGCCTGGCTAATTTTTTGTATTTTTAGTAGAGACGGGGTTTCAATATGTTGGCCAGGCTGGTCTTCAACTCCTGACCTCGTGATCTGCCCACCTCGGCCTCCCAAAGTGCTGGGATTACAGGCGTGAGCCAATGTGACTGGCCAATTCTTTATCATATATGTAATTAAATAAAATTTATTACTAAAATAATTTCCCCAAAGGTGTTTTACTTTTTTAAAAACAGTGGCTACAAAAAAATTTTGAGTCCCATATGTAGCTAAAGTTAACACATTATATTTCTACTGGACATGTAGCATTGTAGAGATGTAGCATTGAAGGATCTTGATAGTCCTGTGGAGCTTACGTACTAGTGTGGAGGGTATTTAAGAGAGAAGATAAATGAACAAACAAATAAAGGAGAAAAGTATCTGGTGAGATAGGCTGTACCTGAGCATTCTGCTTTGCAGAGTGGGTGAGGTGGGATCTCTCTGAAATAATATTTGACCTGAAATATGAATATTCAGGATGAGCCAGGTGCAGGAAGCTCAAGACGAAGAGCACGGTAGGCAGAAGGAATAGAGAAAGCAGAAGCCCTGAGATGACAAAGAGCTGCAAGTTCAAGGAATTAGAGCCCAGTGGGTGGAGCCCAGTGTGTCTGATGAGAGTGCAGAGATGAGGTCTGAGGGATGCACAGGGCACATGTGGCAGTGGATAAGGGAACCTAGGATAAGGGAACCTAAGATAAGGGTAACTTAGAAGTCTGGAAGCCATCGGAAGGTATTGCGAATAACATCACCATCTTATTGGACCTTTTTAAAGCTCATTTGGTTTCTGTCTGGAGAATGGATCTTAGGGGAGGGGGCAGCAGGACCAGGAAAAAGCTATTTGCAAGGCTTGTGCAAATATCCAAGCCTGACAGGGCCATGGACACCGGTCGTGGAGATGGCAATGGCTCTGGCTGTGCATTCAGCATGTTCTGTAGATAGAATGAGTAAGACGTGGATGGCGTTGGGTGGTGAGGAAAAGAGAAATGAAAGGTGAGTTCTAGATCTGGAGCTTTAACAACTGAATATTTAATCTCCAAATAGATACAGAATATTGGAAGAGTGGCAGGTCTGGGAGGCAGAGAACATCAACAGTTTGGTAAAACCATGTGAGGTTTGGAGTCTATGGGACTCCCACGGGGAGAGGTTTTATCAGACTTGAGTGCCAGGGAGAGGCCACGGCTGATAATTTAGATGAAAAGACAGCATAATGGTTTAATCCCAGAGACTGGATGATATCATTTATAGAATGTGAGATACCCCAACATTTAGAGTCAAATTTAGAATAGAAAACACCGTAAATTGGACTAAAAAGAGGAAGAGAATCGAGCTGTAGAGACGACCAAGAGTGTATTGTGTGCACATATCTCTTGGATATATCTCATGGCATAGGAAAAATGTGTTTGAAAAGGGAGAAAGTGATCCAATGGGTCCTGTGTCATTGGGATATCAGGTCTTAAAAACTGAGAAGGACTCACTGGATTTGGCAGCCTGGGGGTCATAAGCATCCTTGGGAAAATGCATTAGGTGGAGTGCTAAGGACAGAAGTCAATGTGGAGTGGATTAAGGAGAACAGCTGAGGCGAAGAAGGAAAAGGAAGAATTAGAGACATTCTCTTTGGATGTTTGGCTGGAAATTCTGTCTTACAGACAGACCTTACAGAGAGGTCATTTGGCTAGATAGGGTTGAAGCTGGAAAGAAATATGCTTCAAAGGAGGTTTCTCTTGAAAGAGAGGGGGCGTGATTATGTGATAGAATGATCTAGTAGAAATACAATTTTCAATTTTTTTGGTATAAAAAATGATCTTTTATCCCTCACCACATCCCACCTCAATCTAAGTCTTAACTTTCTCGTCTGTACAATGGTTATACAAATTAAAACTAACATTAATCAATATTCACCGTGTCTCAGGGTGTGTTGAGTGCTTACACATATTAACACATCCCATCCACAGAGCCTATGAGAGGAGTTGTGAGGGTTAAGGGAGAAGCTCTTGGTGTGTGGATAATGTTCATAAGTAGAAGCTACTATTGCTATAAGCATCGTTCTTGTCCTGACCCTGAGCTTCATAGTGCAGGGTTCGGGATTGTACCCCACAACACAACACACAGCCTGGTGAGGGCTAAGAGTTCTAATTTGTTACAGATTTACCGACCTATCCTAGATGATTTCCATGTCTATTCTTTTTTTTTTTTTTTTTTTTTTTGAGACGGAGTCTCGCTCTGTTGCCAAGCTGGAGTGTAGTGGTGCAATCTCAGCTCACTGCAACCTCTGCCTCCTGGGTTCAAGCGATTCCCCCACCTCAGCCTCCAGTCCATGTCTATTCTATTTAATCCTCCCCTGAAAATCAGTCTTTATCAAAAAACCATTTCAGTTCTGCAGAGGGGAAAATGGGGGCTCAAAGAGATGTCACTGATCAAGAATTTACACCATCGAGGTGTCAGAGATAAGATCAGAGTAGAGATCTAACTGACTCCAAAGCCTGGTACTCTTTACACTGTTACAGTGACACCCAACTGGCAGGGGGAGGGGGTGGGAGGTATTTTGCCTCCCAGGGGATCTTTGACAATGTCTTTTGGTTGTCACTCCTGAATGGGGAGTTGCTACTGGCATCTCTGGATAGCGGCCAGGGGTGCCGCTAAACATCCTACTGTGTACAGAACAGTCCACCACAACAAAGAATTAACCAGCCCAAAATGCCATTGGTGTCAAAGCTGAGAAACCCTGAGCTACACTAAACAATGTCCCTGGGAAGACCTCAGTGAAAGTGACTGATAATGATAGGAAAAAAGAAGGAAATGAGTAAAAGAAATAGGAGAAAAAATTTATTATACGAGGGCAGGACCCTATCCTGGTAATTTTGGAAGAACGCCTTTCAATGGCAGCACTTGAGCGTGCAAAGGTAGTGGCTCTGTTCGGTCTGGTTTACAAATCTTCCTGTCTCCACTGACTGGCTAGGTATGATGCTGAAAAAACTACAGGAGTCCCTGGGCCATGGATTCTCCCTAGTAAAAAAGGGATGATGATGGCTGCCTCACAGTGTTATTATGAGTATTAGATGTAAACAAGTGCTACATAATTGCTATCATTCTTAAAGAGGCTAAATAGCCCAGGGTGGGAAGATTCTCAGATTTTCATGATCATAGAAAATTGCTGTAGCTTGGCTGGGCGTGGTGGCTCACACCTGTAATCCCAGCACTTTGGGAGGCCGAGGAGTTCGAGACAGCCTGGCCAACATGGTGAAACCCCATCTCTACTAAAAATACAAAAAATTAGCCGGGCGTGGTGGTGGTGCCCAGCTACTGGGGAGGCTGAGGCAGAAGAATTACTTGAACCCAGGAGGCGAAGGTTGCAGTGAGCCGAGATCACACCGCTGCAGTCCAGCTGGGTGACAGAGGAAAAAAGGGAACCATTCGGACATTTGCCCCTGAACTTGAAGTGCGCCACACCCCACTCCCACTGCCAGTTGCCACCCCCGTCAGCTCTCTTTCTGCCTGTCCTCTTGCTCCTCTGAGTGTGGCCTCCAGATGTCTCATGTACCTCCCGGGGTCTGTGAATACTAAAACCTCTCGAACTTTAACACTGTCGTCGCCTCATTGAAGCCGCACCCACAATCCAACCCACGATGTGAGGCTGCCCGAAAGCGACCTGGGCAGTTGGATCCCCTCTTGATGTTCTTTTGTCCTGACCTCTGGTGGCTGCTGAGGATGGTCACTAGCAGCTGAGTTGATAGAGAAACTTGAAGAGCTTCATTTAATACTACTGGCATAGCAGGCAGGCTTTTGGCTGTGTCTTGGACACAATCCCAATGTCTGTGTGTGTGGATGACTCACGCACTTCCTGCATCAGACAGCCCAGTCGGTCTGGCCCAGACGGCACTACTGCTTGCTGGTGCTCCATTTTGCTGCTTCGTGCAGCTTAGTACTGCTGTCCTCAGCAGTTAACTTGGAGATTCTCCAGAAATTCCAGTGACCGTGGACGGCTCTTTGAGGCTCCAGGCTCCCCAGCAGCTGCAGGAGGGCAGATCCTATTGTAATGAGGGTGTTTCCCTGTGGGACATCAGAAACCCTTTCTGGGATCAGGCCCCTGACAGGGGGCCACTACTGGAGGGCATGTTGCCCCTTGAGCCATACATGCTTCTCTGGTGACCTAGGGCCTCGGTAGTGGTCCGGCCTGTATTGGCTCTAAGTAGCAAAGTACTGGCCTCCAGCCAGAGAGAGCTGGCCAGGATGCTGAGCTGGCCACCCGGTAGCCCATGGCTCGATCCTCAGCTCTACCTCCATCTTGCTGATGATAGGGCCATGGGCCACCAGGCTCCTGGGGAGCAGCGATTCCACCATAGTGAAGTTGAAGAGGATGACAGAATGCTGGCTTCAGTGTGTCAGTGAAGGGGAGCTGGGTGAAAGGGTCCAGTCGCCTAACTCTAACCTGTGACACGGCAACTGCACCTGAGTCCCCAGGGCACCTTGCAAGAGCCGGTGCTGCTGAGGCCAGTGCCTCCTTGGTTGCTGCATTCCTTGGTGCTATCACTTCTCGTTCTCCCAGCCCCTCAGAGGTCGATCGGGTCACCCTGGAAAGAAAAGCGGCTGCCTACAAGGCCAGTGCAAGTGGAGCTCATTGTTCGGTTTTGAAGAGAAAGTGAGATTAAAGAAAGACACACAAAGACAGAGTGTCTCAACAGCAAATGCAGGCATTTATGTCCAGTATAAACCTGCAGAGGTGCCAGTGCCCACCACTGCTTACAGGCTGGGGCAATTACAGGCCTGGGTGGGAGAGGTCTGGAAGTGGAGCATGGCCCGTTGCCTGGGAAAATGTTGATAACATGTTCCCATGATGAGGCGGTTTGGCACTTGTTCCTGCAGAATGTGATAGTGATGTTCCTTGGGCCTTTGCCCGGCAGAGTGTGATAAGGATGTTCGTGTGCCTTGTGGTCAGGTGGTTGGGCAGGATGTTTCTCATGGCCCGAAACCCCATGGAATGTTTCACTTTGACCAAAGTCTGCAAAATGGTGGGGGGCTTACAAAGTGGTGCAGTTTGGACTAACTCTCAATACCATTTTTTTTTCTTTTTTGGTAACAATGTGTAAAGTGAAAACAGCAGAGTGCTACTCCATACCACTGGGATCTTGTCCAGTAAACATCCAGAGAGTGAGGTTAGGAAATAAAAAGTATATAAATATTAGATGCCTAGAAATGCAAGTCACTTTAAAGATTTTATGTGAAATAGAAAAAAAAGAGAGGAGAGGGACTCATTGTCTTGTAATGGGTCCTTCCCAGAGAGAGGTGACTGTCCAGTGGCACCGGGCCCTTTTCCTCCTTCCCCTTTTACTCTTATCAACTAGGACAGAAACTAAGAATTTTGGCTTCAAGTGGCTAAAAGACTGATGGGGGAAAAAAGAAAATAGAAAAAAATAACAGAGAGACTGACGCTCTAGGCAGTTACAAGTCCAAGAAAAAAGACAGAAACTTTTAACTTTAAGTATTGAGCCAAAACCAGGTCTAGCAAACATAATGCTGGCCCTAGATTATTTATTAATTTATGAAGAAACTTCTAGATATGGGGGTGACAAAAGGAAATTAAATCCATTATATATGCATATATTTTAATGTAAATATATAATAGATAAATTATGTATACATAATATAGAACCAAATTGAAACAGTTTTACAATTTGGTTTGACTGGAAATTCAAAATCCATATATTAATTTTTGTAGTAAAAGTTTATGTAAAAAAAGACAAAAAGGACACTGATTGGCTTTTGTTCCTCTACAATATAGGTTCTAACTTAACTTCTAACATTAGCGGCCGGACGCGGTGGCTCACGCCCGTAATCCCAGCACTTTAGGAGGCCGAAGTGGGCAGATCACCTGAGGTCAAGAGTTCGAGATCAGCCTGGCCAACATGGTGAAACCCCATCTCTACTAAAAGTACAGAAATTAACCGGGCGTGATGCTGGGTGCCTGTAATCCCAGCTACTCAGGAGGCTGAGGCAGGACAATTGCTTGAACCTGGGAGGTGGAGGTTGCAGTGAGCCGAGATTGTGCTACTGCACTCCAGCTGCACGAATTGACAAAATTTATGGACTTCATAGTGGGATTCAAATTATAGTTATACATAGGGATCTCATTAAATTTACTTACTCTACTCCCATAATCTTGAGAAGCTAACTAAAATTTTGAAAAATGAGTAGACCTCACTTTATCTGTAGCGTCGCCTAAATTTCCCAGTCATACAGTCATTGCTCTAAAATATTCTATGTTGGACATAGATTCTGTGACACAATTAATAACAAATTAAAATTAAAGTAAGCTTTTGGCACTTACAAATTGGCTTGATCAAATGAGGCCCCTTAGTCCCCCAGTTAAGATAATTTATTACGGCCCAATAGAAGTTGAAACAGCACCTTCAAGGATTAAAATTTATTATATAAAACCGAATTAATAAAAGCGTGATTATCGACACCACATCTCCATTTAGCAACCCAAAAGTTCTTCCTGTTCCCAAATCTGAAAAAAAAAAAATTCGTAAAAATGCCTTACGATGGATGACTACAGCAGACGGGCTGTTGAGGGCTGCCTCAGCTCTTCAGCCCAGACCAGTGACAGAGCTACCAACACTGCTTCACCTCCTGCAGAGGTAGAGGTACAGGCAATGAGAGGAGGGGGTCAGGGATATTTTTTAGCCCTTTCTCATCCTACCCTCATGCCAGTCCCAGCTTTATCTACCCTTGAGTCATATTAAGCCATTCAAGGATGAGTGGATGAAGTTTTTAATCAGGAAAAAATACTTCCATGCCCCCCAATTTGAGAGTAAGAAATAGAAAATGAGGCTATTGTGGGTGTCATTTCTAATTTCTGGACCTCAGCCTGTACCCTGGGGTAAGTGGAAGTGGAAAAAAACTACAAGAAAACAGAAAGAGTGGTGGGGATTTGTAAGGCTTGGATGAGATAGTATATATTAAAGGGAAAACTTAATTACTTTACCCTTAAGTGTAATGTTTGCTGTCACCTTTTTGTATCTTTCTCTTTTTAATCAGACTGTTGAAGGTGTCTTCTATTCTTACTTTTTAAGAGTTCTCTTCTTCTATTGCTTAAATTATGAATGGATGTTAAATGTTTTCAAATGTAATATCTGCCAATATTAACATGATTATTTTTATTCTTTCATTTACATCGTTACAGATTATTTTATTGTATACAACTGTATACAAACTTCATATGGTTCCTTTCATATAATAAGAATGTAAGCTGTCTGAGGGCAGGAATTGTGGTCTGTATTGCTTACAGATGAATCCTCACCCTCTATGTGTAAAATAGTGTCTGACATGTGGTAGGCACTCAATAAATACTGAATTAATGAATCAATAAATAGTGTCACCTAGATATTTAAGTGAGAAACATTTGATGTCTAATTAAAATTATCTCTGTTACAAATTATTTTATTAAATTAAATTAATTTAACTAAAATTAAAATAACGTGAACCAAGTCATGTCTAGTAAATTCTCATCCTCATGTGCGCAATATTTATAAATTCCCAGGTGGCTTCCATTTTCATGAACACCTTAAATTTTGAGTTTCCACTTCAATACAGTACTCTCACTAACAACTGCCTAATGACTTTGTATTTAAATAAATAAACTCATAACTCAGCCCTTTACCTTGCTTTCTCCACAAAAACACTCAGAAATTGTCAATTTTGTATTGTGTAACATACTTTCCTGATGCACTGGCAAAAGACACCACTCAACATGAATACCAAGGAATCCTGTTATCAATGTCCTCTCTCACTCCACTGCTTTACTCATTCTTCTCGTCTTCTCTAGAGTTCTGTGCATTTCCAAGGCAGAGCAGTTTGACCATTTCATTCACACTTTTGACTCCTATAAATGCTTTCAATTTCCAAAAAAAAAAAAAAAATGTATATTCTTTAATGCCCAACTAAGTTGTGGCCATAGAAAATGAGGAACAATGAAAAAAATGCAAGACAGAAAGTCAGGAGCCACGAAGGACAGCGTGAGACCTCTAGATAGGAGAGCCAGGGCTTCCAGATGGGCTAATTAATAGACTCCCTCTACTGCCAGGACAGGGGATTCTTACCTTTCCTTCCCACTGGCCTTGGTTAATTGCAGTAGAACAGTGTCCGCTACATCTCCCTTTTTTCTTTTCCTCATTAGGAGTTTCCATTGTGGATTCCCAATTCTCATTGCATCGTGGTATATTGGGGCTTTGAAGCTAAGTATTCTTTTAAGTTATGGGACACTTATCACAAAGAAACTTCAACATAAAACGTTGGGGATCTCATCCTTGGGAAGGATGGCTCTACTTCTTCTATTTGGAAGAAGAGTGTAAAGGGATCTTGAGTACCTGAAGGCATAATTCTGGCCAAGACTGACAGCTGCCTAACCAACATTAATCACCCTTCTTCACTGCAGTGAATGCTTATAAGGGTCTGTTGCCTCGGCATCCAGTCTAAATACAAGCTTAATTTTCTCATACGAGGCTCAGGGCTCAGTCACCCTTGACACAGTTTCCAGTTCTACACCACAGTCACGAGTACAAGAAAAAAAAAAGAGGAACTTTAAATTTAAGTACTGGGCAGAATCCAGATCTAGGAAACGTAATCCTAGCCCTGGAATACTTACTGATTTATGAACAAACTTCTAATGGGAGGGTGATAAAAAGGAAATTAAATACATCATATGTATATATGTATATAATATTTTAATGTAAACATAGGACAAATAGGTGAATTATGTACATTTAATATATAACCGCATCAAAACAAAGTTTTACAATTTGATTTGATTGGGAATTCAAAATTCATATATTAATTTTTATACCAAAAAAATTATGTAACAAAAGGATAAAAAGGCACTGATTTGGTTTTGTGCCTTTACAACATAGGTACTAACTTAACTTCAACAACAGCAAAAATGCTCAAATTGACAAAAATTTATGGACTTTACATTGGGGCTCAAATTATAGTTATATATGAGGATCTATCGAGCACCCGATTCTGTGGCTGTTCGGGGCGCCACTATGTAACCTGCCATGATCCCTGGTGGACTGAACAAAGGGGGGTGAATGCAGGAATAAAAGACAAGAGACAAAAGAGTATATTTGGAAGAAGGGGTCCGGGGGCACCTTGCCTCTAGTGGACAAGGCCCTGAGCTTTACACGGCCCTCTGTATTTATTAGAGAAAAGCGATAGTGAGAAGGGGGGTGGAAGAAGAGGTCAGTTGGTTGGTCCAGAGTAGGCTTGCAAGACTGCATTCTCTAGATGTTCCAGTAGATAACTTCAAAGAGCTTGGCGTCAGGAAGCGATTGCCCTCAGCAAACCTTCTGGCGGCAGGCACAGTCGTGAGTTTGCTCACATCCTGTATTCATGATAAACAGTTTGCTGTTTGATCATATAGCCTCCAGTGGAATGCTGAGTTGGTCACGTCCCATGGGCCTTCGGCTCCCTGCATATCCCCCTGTTTATGAATTAATTGAAAGAATGTAAGACCAGGCTGGGCAGCTCTCATTCTCCGATTGGCGGTCCATCCGATTTTACAGACTATAAACAGAAGACAG
Source organism: Homo sapiens (assembly GCF_000001405.40). Lineage (NCBI taxonomy): Eukaryota > Metazoa > Chordata > Mammalia > Primates > Hominidae > Homo > Homo sapiens. The sequence continues at coordinate 51,805,272 of NC_000019.10, forward strand.
AGACAAAACAACATTACTCCAAGAACTACATATAAGATGTTACTGTGGTACTTTAGATAGGTCCAAGGGTTGAGGCTCTCCAGGCCTTCCTGGAATTCAGTCCAGTCTTCTAAAGAAGGCTGAAATTCTTGAGTGTGCCTATTTAAATCAAGAATTTTGTTTTGTAATTCACTAATATCAAAGGTGATGTTGGATGTGAAAGCTCCTTGCAAATGGGCTTTCACAAGGTCCCACGGATACTCACTTTTGTTATATTCTAAGTTGGTTACACAAATACGAGTGTGATTAAAATGACAGCGCAATTGCCGCTGCAACTGCAAGCTTTATACTTGTTCCCCTAACCACAGAACCATGGATTTCAACATTGCCACTTCAGTTTGTAACTCAGTGTTAATTTTATTCTGAAGTAGCCTCGCTTGGTTGGCTGTACGTGTCCAATTCTCTACGTACTGAGCCGTTTGAACAGAACTATGCAAAGTTACAGAGGACATCACAACAGAAGTTATTAGTGTGACCAAGGAAACGATAGCAAAAATTATCATGCCTAAGGCTCTACGGGCACAATAAGTAACCTGAAGTAGAAGAAGTTTCACAAAATGCAAAGCAGGTGTGGCAGCCCAAGCCTCGGACAGATTAACAGGAATCCCTAGCCCAGGGATGCAACCTAAAATCATCAAAGTCGAGATATTATGTGTTCGCAATGTGCTATGATTAATGCAGTGATATAACTGGCAAGATTTACAGGTCAACTGGGTATTGTTTACCTGGAGCTGGTCCTTCTGAGCTGCCAAAAAGACATAAGGATTAAAAACACAAACCACAAATTGAGTGGTGATATTCTTTACAAATGTAACATTAAGACTGTGTCGTGACTCCAGTCGGCCTTCTCTCCATCTTTGCACTCAGGCTCAGCTGACTCATGGCTCGTACCGGAGGGACTGGGCCCATGGTTGGCCACCCCATGTTTCTCCAGTCTCCCATTCCAGGGTTGCAAGCACCTTGAGGGCACCCACATGGCTTGTCAATCTCCTGTAAACACACAAGCATACCCTCTTCCCCATGTCAGTAAATCCACCGGGCCTTTCCATTGTCCTTCTTCTGGGGATTTCCATAACACTTTCAGATAAACTTTCCTCTTTTCCTCTAACACTTGCCAATGTCTTTCTGCTGGAGTCTTACCATCCGTACCAGGAGTCAAAAATTTTAAAGTAAATAAGGCTAAATGTAGTTTTGATTGAGGTGGTAGTTGGCCTCCTATACCCCCTTTTTGTCTTTTCAACATTCGTTGTAATGTTTGATGTGCCCATTCTATAATGCCTTGTCCTCTAGGATTATAAGGAATTCCTGTTTTATGGGTTATAGCCCAAAGCTGTAGGAAATTTTGAAAAGCATGACTAGTATAAGCAGGTCCATTGTCAATTTTTAATTGTTTAGGTATTCCCATATGAGCAAATGATGACAGACAATGTCGCTGTACATGACCAGCTGTCTCACCTGTTTGGCATGTACCATGCAGCATATGAGAATAAGTGAAACAAATTAAGCAGTTCTGGGTCTAGCGTACTTTTAACTGTAGCAGTTTCTATGCGAATGGCTAAATTTACAACATAAGCTGAACAAGAAGAATCTCCTTGCAGGGTTTGGTAAAGATGTGTAAGTTGATAGGTAGCAATACCTAACATCGGGCGTAGCCAATTAATATCTCCTAATAATTGCTGAAAATCATTTAAAGTCTGTAACCTGTCTTTATGGTTGACAATGTTGATTGTAGCCTGCCACGATCCCTGATGGACTGAACAAAGGGGACGAGCGTGGGAATAAAAGACAAGAGATAAAAGAGTATATTTGGAAGAAGCGGTCAGGGGGCAGCTTGCCTCTAGTGGACAATGGCCCTGAGCTTTACACAGCCCTCCGTATTTATCAGGCAAAAGAGATAGCAGGAAGTGGGGGGGGTGGTTGCTGGCTAGCAGCCTGATTCACAGCAGGCTTGCAAGACTGCATTCTTAAAACAGTAGGCGCTAGATTTCTCAATAGATAACTCTCAATAGATAACTTCAAGGAGCCAGGGAGTGAGGCCCTCCACAAACCTTTTGGTGGCAGCGCAGTGTGAGTTTGCCACATCCTGCATTCATGATAAACAGTTTGCTGTTTGATCATATAGCCTCCAGTGGAATGCTGAGTTGGTCACGTCCCATGGGCCTTCGGGTCCCTGCAGTTGATAGGATCTGAAGCTGTGAGCTGTAAAACCTCACAGCTGACTGCAACTAGCTCTGAGCATTGACCTGAAACCCCAGAGATCCTTATTGTTTGAGTATGTTTTAGTCCATAGATGGCAGCATGACCTTTGGAAGAGCCATCAGTAAAATAAGTCTGTCCACCTGGAATAGGTTTGTGATGAGTAATCACAGGAAGAATGAAAGAATGGATTTTATAAAACTGTAAAATTTTGTCTGAGAGTAGTGGTTATCTATCACGCCCATGAAGTCTGCGAAAGCAGTTTGCCAGGCAGTCGACATTTCCCAAGCTGCAGCTTGTTGCTGAGAGTCTAAAGGAACAATAATTTTGTCAGGATCATATCCTGTAAGCATTTGTGACCTATGCCTGCCCATAGTCACAATTTGTGTAATTAAAGAAAGATAAACTTGCAAGGTTTTGACTGTTTGATTAGATAGAAAGAACCATTCTATTACTGTTACAGACTAGTCTATAAACTGGCCCAAAAGTCCTGTTGGAGAGTAGGGGGTAGGAAGAATAAACAAAAGCAAAGGTTTTTGTGGTTGTAGCCATGAGGCATGTCTCTGCTGTAACATTTGCTCTACAAGCTGTAATTTGGCTTCTGCCTCTTTAGTTAGTTGCTGCAGGGAATTTAAAGAATCTCCGTGCAGGGTTTGGTAAATATGTGTAAGTTGATAGGTAGCAATACCTAACATCGGTCATGGCCAATTAATATCTCCTAATAACTGCTGAAAATCATTTAAAGTCTATAACCTGTCTTTATGGAGAACTACTTTCTGAGTCCATACACTTCTCTCTGTAACAATAGTTCCTAAGTATTGGTATGGGGAAGTTGTTTGTACCTTTTCTAGAGCTATTTTGAGATTCCATTTAGTCAAAGCCTGCTTTGTTTCTCTGAATAACTGATGTAGGTTTTGATCTGTAGGAGCAGCCAAAAGAATATCATCCATATAATGAATGATGTAAGCAGTAGGAAACATATTCCGAGGCTTCTTTAATGCCTGTCCTACAAAATGCTGACATAGCGTAAGACTGTTAAGCATGCCTTGGGGTAAAACTCTCCATTGATAATGAGAAACAGGTTCTCTTTGATTAATAGAAGGCACAGAGAATGCAAATCAAGGCTTATCCTTCTCGTGTAAGGGTGTAGTAAAGAAACAATCCTTAAGATCTATTACTACAAGAGGCCAGTCTCTTGGAATAGCCGCTGGAGATGGTGAAAGTTTTTGTAAGGCACCCATCAGTTTTATGTGTACATGAATAGCTCTTAAATCATGTAGTAGTCGCCATCTTCCGGACTTTTTTGGAAAAACAAACACTGGAGAATTCCAAGCTTATGTGTCCGGCATCCCATTGTTCTTTTACTAGCTGCTGAAGTTGCATCAGGTTCTCCTGAGATAGGGGCCATTGATCCACCCACACGGGTTTGTCACTGAGCCATTCTAATAGTGAGGCAGTGGGCAGAGGAGAAATATCAATGACCCTCGTCAGAAATCCTGACGTCCTAGCCCTTTTCTATCTGTTTTTCCAGTTACTGATATTGGGTTAGGATTTCCTTGAAGAAATTTTCCTAAACATTTTCCCCTCTGATATCTCATGTTCTTCAACATTTTAAATCCTGGGTTATCAAAGTTTTCATTTGTAAGTCTCATATTCCATGTTATAAGTAAGTCTCAACCCCATAAATTGATAGCTATATTTTCAACATAAGACTGAAAAGTACATGACTGTCCATCTGGACCAAGACAAGGTAAAATCTCAGTGCTCTGTTGAACACTTTGAGCTGTTCCTACTCCCACTAGGGATGTAGAAGTTAATTGCAAGGGCCAGGATGGGGGCCAACTGTCTTTAGATATGACTGACACATCAGCTCCCGTATCCATAAGCCCATAAAATTTCTTTCCTTTAATGTGTACTACACAGGTAGGTCTATTAGAGGCTATGGGTTGGGATAGATAGATTTCTCATGTAGTTGTGCTCCCAACCTCTTTATTTTCTCATTTCTCCTTTCATGGAGAAGGGTGTGATTTGCAGGGAATAAGCAATAATTGAGCAGTATATTGTCCCAGCTCAAAACCCAAAGATCTTGTGACATTAAAACTACTTGAATTTCTCCTTCATAATCAGAGTCAACAACTTCTGGGACTACAGTAATGCCCTGTAAGTTAAGGCAGATTTTGCCTAAAATTAGTTTCACATATCCTGCTGATAAAGGTCCCCAAATATCAGTGGGAACTTTGATGGGTTTGTCTGCCCCAACTAACATTACCCATTCTTTGACTGGGAGATCTAATCCTGCACTCCTTGTGTTCCTGGGGTGAGGGAATCAATGTGCCTCTGGGAACCCATGCCTGGAACGGGGTTGAGGTCTGGACTGGGAATGCCCTCATTGTTTGTGGGGCCTGGGTCCAGGCCCCCATCTCATTTCCCAGCAGGGGGGTGCCATTCTGATGAAATTTTGAGCGGCACTGATTAGCCCAGTTATTTCCTCTGTTACGCAAGGACAAAGTCCTGGCATTTTTTCCACTGGGTGGGGCACTGCATTGTAAGGTCCTTTCTGTACTGAGATCTGGCGGCATTCCTTTTTAAAATGTCCAGGTTTTTCACAATTATAACATTTTCCCACTTTAGGGTTTGACCCTTGGCTCCTTTTAGATTTGTCAACTGCTAAATTAGCCACTGCTTGCGCTAATATTGCAAAGTGATGAAGCTCAGTTCCTACATCTTGACAAGCTCTGAGAAAACTTCCCAAGTTTTTTATACACCTCACCAGTGCCAGTGCATGTTTACAATCCGCGTTTGCATCCTCAAAAGCTAGAGTTAAGGTTAGCATTTCTGCAGCCGTGGTATGAGGAATCTGACGCTTCACTGCCTCTTGTGATCTTGTAAGAAATTGCACATAGGGTTCCTGTGACCCTTGCATATGTAAAAAGGATTGTACTGGGACTCCCTCTTCAGGAATTGCGGCCCAGGTGCATTTAACAGCCTGTGCACACTGCTGATAAGCAGCGTCTGGGAGTGCCATTTGACTTTCCAGGTCTGAATAAGGGCCATTACCTAATAGCATATCCTCTGTAATGTCTCCGTGTCCAGCAACATGGTTCTGTTTAGCCTGGTCTGCACACATTTCTTGCCAATTTAAATTCCATGTCAGATATGCACTAGTGGACAAGCAAGTTCGCATCAAGTGTCTCACATCAAAGGGTAAAAAACGCATAGCACCAAACACAGATTCTAGCAATCCTAAGGTCAACCGGCTCTGTATGCCATTATTTACCACTCTCGCTTTTAATTCCTTCAACAACTTACTCTAGTGGGGTGTGTTCATGAATAACCTGCTGTGGATTGTTGGGATCAGGCCTTATGGAAATAGGAAAAGTGCAAGGTCCTAGGGGCTCTCCAGCTATGGCAGCAGAGCATAAAATTCTTTGTATTGGGGTCTCTAGTTCTGCTACCAAAGGAGGCAATACAGATGTTTCTGCAACTGGAGGAGGCTGTATAGGCCAATTTTTATCCTCCCTCTCCTGTTTTTTATTTTCATCTGGAGCTGTGAGTGGGACAACAGATTCTTTCAGATTTTTAGATTCAGCCTGTTGTCCCACAGAATAATAAGGAGATAATGGCAGAAGTACAGTATGAACTAAACTCCAAGTGGAGAAAACAGAAGGATCAATTTTAAGACCTTTTTGATGAGCCCATTTTAATCCTTCTGCTCTGTCCCAATTTTCCACATCAAGGGTGCTGCCTGTGGAAACCATGGGTTATGTGTAATAACCTCCTGCAGCAGCTAAGTTAATGTCTGAGAACTAACCTGAGCACCAGTTTGTTTCAACAGAACTCTAAGCAACTGCACATAATTATTTTTTTCAGTAGACGAATTCTGCCCCATGTTACCGTGATTCAGAAAACTTCCCATTCCCAGTACTTCTTTAAGGAACTGATCCCAGTACCTCTTTAGGCGCTGACCTCATGTGCGCTGCCAGCTGACTCATCCCAGGGTCCCCATTTGCGTTGTCAATTTCAGTTCCTCTATTCCAGGAGATCTTCTTCATTCACATCCTCATAGTCCCGTGTTCAGACTGTCGCCTGTTTGAGTGCCACTTGTAGAGCCCCTGATTCTGTCGCTGTTCGGGGCACCACTATGTAACGTGCCATGATCCCTGGTGGACTGAACAAAGGGGGATGAACACGGGAATAAAAGACAAGAGACAAAAGAGTATCTCTGGAAGAAGGAGTTAGGGGGCACCTTGCCTCTAGTGGACAAGGAGCTCGGCACCAGGAGGCGACTCGCCCTCAGCAAACCCTCTGGCAGTGGGAGTAGTCGTGAGTTTGCCCACATCCTGCATTCATGATAAACAGTTTGCTGTTTGATCATATAGCCTCCAGTGGAATGATGAGTTGGTCATATCCCATGGGGTCTTCGGCTCCCTGCAAGGATCCCACTAAATGTACTCACTTTGCCCATATTGTCTTGAGAAGGCAACTACATATAAAATTTTGAAAAATGAGTATACCTCGCTTTAACTACAGCCTTGCCTAAATTACCCATAGTCATACCTATTGTTCTAAAATAGCCTATGTTGGAGGTAGGTTGCTCTAAAACAGAATATGTTGGAGGTAGACATAATAAATAATACATTAAAATTAAAGTAAATTGTTTGCACTTAGAGATTGGCTTGATAAAATGGGATCACTTAGTCCCCCAGTTAAGATAGTTAATATGGCCCAACGTAGGGTGAAATAATGGCCTTCAATAATTAAAATTTGTTAAACAAAACGTGATTAATAAAAGGGTGACTATCCACATTGCATCTCCACTTAACAGCCCAAAGTGCTTCTTGTTCCCATATCTGAAAATAAAAAATATCACAAAGAATGTCTTATGATGGATGACTACAGCACTAAGGCTGTAGTCCCATCTATCAGGGCCCCCATATCTAACATCTAATATTATTAAAAATTGCTAATACTATTCAATCAAGAACTGGTAAACATTTTGCTCTCATTCATTTGGCTAGCATGTTCTGTTAAGTGCTTATTTCTACAGACCCTCAGCTACAGTTGCCTCCACCTCTGAAGAAACACAATACACCTTTCCAGGCTACCTAGGGGTACCCTCATAGCTTTGGCATCACACACAAGCTTTGCAGACAGGAGCTTAATGACATCCACAGTCTCCATAAGCACAGGTGCAGCATTACATTGAGGACAACCTCCTCTAAGAAGATTCACTTGATACACACATTACAGTCATTTAATTCGTCTCTTAGTCCATTCAAGGTACTATAACAAAATTTATTATGCTGGATAATTTGTAAACAACATAAATTTAGGCCAGACGTGGGGGCTCATGCCTGTAATCTCAGCATTTTGAGAGTCTGAGGTGGGTGAATCACCTGAGGTTACAAGTTTGAGACCAGCCTGGCCAACATGGTGAAACTCTGTCTCTACCCAAAAATACAAAAATTAGCAGGCATGGTGGTGAACCTGTAGTTCTAGCTACTGGGGAGGCTGAGGTAAGGGAATTGGTTGAACCCTGGAGATGGAGGTTGCAATGGGCCGAGATCACGCCACTGCACTCCAGCATGGGTGACAGAGTGATGCTCTGTCTCAACACACACACACACACACACACACACACACACACACACACACCCCATAAATTTATTGATCACAGTTCTGGGGGCTGTAAAGTCCAAGATCAAGGTGCTAGCAGATGCAGTATCTGGTGAGGGCCATTACTCACAGACAGTGCTTTCTATGAGTCCTCACATGGTAAAAGGGAAAGACAAGTGCCTATAGGACTCTTATAAGGCACTCATCCTACCTATGAGGGCAGAACAATCATAATTGAAAACCTCCACCTTTTAATACCATCACCTTGGTATGAGCAACCTCATTTATATTTTTATTTTTATTTTTATTTTTGGCCCAGGGAATGATCTAAGGATGTCATGTTTCAGTGGTGAAAGATAAGGACAGGTCCTGAAGAGACTCTGAAGGAGTCTTTATAAAGGAGGATGGGATGTTTTCCTTTTTTTTGAGACAGAGTCTCACTCTGTCACCTAGGCTGGAGTGCAGTGGCGTGATCTCGGCTCACTGCAAGCTCCACCTCCCGGGTTCACGCCATTTTCCCACCTCAGCCTCCCGAATATCTGGGACTAGAGGTGCCTGCCACCACGCCCAGCTAATTTTGCTTTTGTATTTTTAGTAGAGATGGGTTTTCACTGTGTTAGCCAGGATGGACTCGATCTCCTGACCTCGTGATCCACCCACCTCGGCCTCCCAAAGTGCTGGGATTACAGGCATAAGCCACCGCAGCTGGCCGATGTTTTCCTCCTTTATAAAATGAGACAGGCATGTGAATGAAGCCAGTTTTTTTGTTTATCTTCATCCTTCTGGCTCTGGAGGGCCCGTTGATGTGATGTCCAGAACAGTGGCAGCCATTCTGTGGTCACTTTCAAGAAGCCCCTGGAAGAAAGCCAATAGGATGGTGAAGCAAAGGGCTTAAATGAAAACCAATTTTTATTTAGACTCAGATTCTATCTCCTTGCAAAACTTTTTGTAATAGTAAATTCCTTCTTGGTTTATGTGCTTCATATGTTTACTATACTTTATCACTGAAAACATCCTTTGGTATAGTGATTCGGGGAGAAAAGAAAAAATAGTTGACTCCTGTTTTCTGCGTCTCCACTTGTCTTCATGGTTGTGTTGTTTCAGCCGGAGGACAATGTCCTGATGTTGCTTAAAATCTCAGAAAGGGCCCATCTCCTCCGATTTAGACCTTTAACTCTTCTCAGATTAAGATATTTGAACTAAATTTGTTGTAATTTTGTCTATTAACTAATCCTTAGAGCTGCGTTGCAGGTCCCACAAATTATCTCCCTCTGGAGCAGAAGGTTAAGGGGTTAATCTTGGTAATGATATTGGATAACGGGTACTCTCTCATGCATCTGCCTCACCTCTCAAGGTTTTTGTTTTTTGTTTGTTTTGTTTTTTTGTTTTGAGACAGAGTCCAGCTCTGTCACCCAGGATGAAGTGCAGTGGTGTGATCTCGGCTCACTGCAACCTCCATCTGCTGGGTTCAAGTGATTCTCCTGCCGCAGTCTCCTGAGCAGCTGGGACTACAGGCATGTGCCATTCTGCTGGGCTAATTTTTGTATTTTTAGTAAAGATGGGTTTTCGCCATGTTGGCCAGGCTGGTCTTGAACTCCTGACTCGGGTGATCTGCCCACCTCGGCCTCCCAAAGTGCAGGGATTACAGGCATGAGCCACTGCACTCGGCCTAAAAACCACTTTTTTTGTTTGTTTGGTTTGGTTTGAGACACAGTCTCACTCTGTCCCACAGGCTGGAGTGCAGTGGCGCCATCTCAGCTCACTGCAACCTCCACCTCCTGGGTTCAAGAGATTCTCCTGCCCCAGCCTCCAAAGTAGCTGGGACTACAGCCGCCTGCCACCACGTCTGGCTAATTTTCGTATTTTTAGTAGAGGCGGGGTTTCACCTTGTTGCCCAGGCTGGTCCTGAACTCCCGACCTCAAATGATCCGCCCACCTCGGCCTCCCAAATTGCTGGGATTGCAGGCGCGAGCCACCTTTTATCACATCTCATTTTATGTTAGTGAGGTTATTTAGGGCGAGGTCCCTTGATAGGCTCAGGTTAGGGCTGACCACCACAAAAATCAAGTGACTAGAGGGTTGGAGCTTTCAGCCCCACCCATTGACTTTCAGGAAGGGGAAGTGGGGACTGGAGATTGAGCTCTATAAAAAAATGTTGGCTGGGTGCAGTGGCTCATGCCTGTAATCCCAGCACTCTCGAAGGCCGAGGTGGGTGGATCTCAAAGTCAGGAATTCGAGACCAGCCTGGCCAACATGATGAAACTCTATCTCTACTGAAAATACAAAAATTAGCCAGGCATGGTGATGTGCGCCTGTAGCCCCAGCTACTCAGGAGACTGAGGCAGGAGAATTGCTTGAACTGCTTGAACCTGGGAGGTGGAGGTTGCAGTGAGCCAAGATCCCGCCACTGCACTCCAGCCTGAGGGACAGGGTGAGACTCTGTCTAAAAAAAAAAAAGGTAGACACCAGGCACGGTGGCTCACACTTGTCATCCCAGCACTTTGTGAGGCCAAGGTGGGCAGATCGCTTTAAGCCCAGGAGTTTGAAACCAGTCTAGGATACATGGCGAAACCCTGTTTGTACAAAAAATTAGTCAGGCGTGGTATCTCACGCCTGTAGTCCCCACTACTTAGGAGGCTGAGGCTGGAGAATCCCTTGAGCCCAGGGAAGTGGAGGTTACAGTGAGCAGCGATCATGCCACTAGACTCCAGCCTGGGTGATAGAATGAGACCCTGTCTCAAAAAAAAAAGAAAAAAGAAAAAAGAAAAAGAAGAAGAAAAAGAAAAGAAAAGAAATTAGCCAGGCATGGTTCCAGGTACCTACAGTCCCAGCAACTCAGGAGGCTGAGGTGGGAGGATCACTTGAGCCCAGGAGTTTGAGGCTGCAGTGAGCTGTGACTGCACCACTACACCCCAGACTGGGGAAGAGAGTGAGATCCTATTAAAAAAAAAAAAAAAACCCTTGAGAAATGAGATTAGATGAGCTTCTTGAGTTGGTGAACACAAAGAGGTGCCGGAAGGCTGAGTGCCTGAAGAGAGAGCATGGAAGCTCCATGTACCACCTCAACCTCTCCCTTGCTATATACTTGCCCTATGCATCTATTTTGACTGTTTTTGAGCTGTATTCTTTTCTCCTTTTTTTTGAGACAGAATCTCACTCTATTGCCCAGGCTTGGAGTACAGTGGCATGATCTCGGCTGACTACAACCTCTTCTTCCTGGGTTCAAATGATTCTCGTGCCTCAGCCTCCTCAGTAGCTGGAATTACTGGCATGTGCCACTACACCCGGTTAATTTTTGTGTTTTTAGTAGAGACAAGGTTTTGCCACATTGGCCAGACTGGTCTCCAAATCCTGGCCTCAAGTGATCCACCAGCCTCAGACTCTCAAAGTGCTGGGATTACTGGCGTGAACCACCATGCCTGGCCTAAGATGTACTCTTTAGAATAAACCAATAAATGAAAGCAAAGTGATTTATTGTGTTCTGCATGCCATTCTAGCAAATTACAAAGCTGATGAGGGGGTCACAGGAACCCCTGATTTATAGCCCATCAGTCAGAAGTACAGGTGGCCACATGGGACTTGCATTGGTATCTGAAGTGAAGACAGTCTTGTGGGAGTGAGACCTTTAACTTGTGCGATCTGATGCTATCTCCAGTTAGACAGCATCAGAACTGAATTTCATTGTAGGATAGACAGTGGTGTCTCCAGAGAATTGGAGACTTGCTCTGTTTGGAAAAAAGCCCACACATATGCTGTTAGAAGTATGTGTGTAAATAGAGAAGTGAGTTTTTGCTTAATCATACATCTTTGTTGTTTATTGTTTTCCTCTCATTTTTTCACCTTGGTAATTTTTTGTTTCATTTCCCTGAATCTCTGAAGAAGAAAGGGCCTGGACTCTCATATTCCTTGACCCTTGTTATTTGGAGGGATGAACTCCAGTCTCCCACAGAAGGTTAGAGGTGAAGGAACATTCAGACACATAGGTTTCTAAGATGAGTAGTTTGATGACATCTCCAAGGTGTCTTCTGGGAATGGTAAGAAACCCTGAGTTTCTGTCACTGGATTGATTCCAGCTCCATTGTTCCCTTGTCCTTCAGCAAAGTCTCTGCTGAAGCCTATTATGTAAAAATCACAGGACACCATTGGTTTAAACTGAGCTACTGTACTACACTCAACAAACAAAACCAAAATAGAGTCACTCATACTAAAGTTCTATGTCACCAAACCAAAAACTAAGTTGTTTATCTGGCTTTCCAAGAAATCATAAAGAGAGAGAGAGAGAGAGAAAATAGCCAAATTCCCAAACAGGTCACTTTCAGTAGCCATGAAAATGCCTCTGCTTTAATCCTTACAAAAGAAGTAACGTAAGTAACCATGTCAGTCAATCTGTTTTGTTTTTTTTTTTAAATTATTGTTTCCCTATTCCCACTGTATGGAAAAAGCAACTTTGAAATGACCATTCAGCTTTTTTTTCTTTGTTTCTGCTTTCTTTAGCCCTCCTCTCCCTATAAAATCAAACTTCTCTGTTCTACTCATCAATACAGGCATTCTGTTTTGAGGGATGAGGTGTTGTCTGATTCTAGAATTATGAATAAAGCCAATAAAAACTTTACACTAAATTAGTTGTAATTTTGTCTTTTGACAAATCCTTGGAGCTTGTGTTGCTCGACAGGAAGCCAGGGACTGGCCACAAGAAAAGGAACTCAGCTAGTGGTAAGTTGGGGTCTGGCAATCTAAAAATTATTGTTGGAATGCCTGCTGTATGACAGACATTTCCTAAACTCTGGAGCAGGGCTGTGCGATGAAGTATCTACTTGCCAAATACAGCTTTTTTGTTTTGTTTTGTTTTTTCAGTCTTTTTTTTTTCTTTTTTCTTTTCTTTACTTTTCTTTTATTATACTTTAAGTTTTAGGAAATGATGAGTTCACGTCCTTTTTAGGGACATGGACGAAGCTGGAAACCATCATTCTCAGCAAACTGTCGCAAGGACAAATACAGCTTTTGAGTGCTTGCTATTTTTCTCATTTAACCTTAAGTGTGCTATAAATATAAAATGCATCTCATGTCTTCTAAGACTTAGTATGAAAAAAGAACGCCATGTATCTCATTAATAATTTTTATTCTGATTAAATGTTCCAATGATACCCTTTTTGATATATAGGATTCAAGAAAATATATTATTGGTGTTAATTTCCCAAATGTTTCCTACTCTGTTTACACATGGTTACCTGAAAACTATAAGACACAAACACGGCCCGTGTTTACAGACCACATTGTGTTTCCATTGGACAGTGCTATGCTAGAGACACAGCACTGAAAGAAGGTGCTACTTGTGGAGTTTGTATATCAGTGCAGAAAGTATTTATGATAGAAAATAAATGAACAAACAAATAAGAAAAGCATCTGGTGACATAGGCTGGACCTGGGGCAGCTGTTTTGCAAATGGGTTAAGAGAATACCTCTGAGGACAAGATATTTAAGCTAAAATATAAATATTCAGAAAGAGCCAGGTGTGGAAAACTCCAGAGGAAGATCATAGTAGGCAGAAGGAAGAGAGAAAGCAAAAGCCCTGAAATGGCAAGAAGCTGGCATGGTCAGGGAATCAAGGAGTCCACCATGGGTCCAGCACAGTGTGTCAGGTGAGAGTGCAGAGATGAGGTCTGGGGATACACAAGACAAATCTCAGGGTGCTTGAGAAGTGTGAGTTAGAAATGTGGAAGCCATAGAAGAGTGCTGAGAAGAATAACATCATTGTCTTATTTTTCCTTTTGAAATATAATTTGTCTGTGTCTGGATTTTAGCAGAGGGAATAGCAGGACCAGGAACAAACTATCTGCAAAGTTTGTACAAATATCCAAGCCTGACAGGGCCATGGACATGGGTAGTGGAGATGGAGATGGCTCTGGCTGTGCATTCAGCATGTTCTGTAGATATAATCAATAGGACTTGGATTGTATTGGGTGGTAAGGAAAATGAAAGGTGAGTTCTACATTTAGAGCTTTAATAACTGAATATTTAAACTCCAAATAGATACAGAATATTGGAAGAATGGCAGGTTTGGGAGGAAGGGACAAGCAACAGTTTAGTTTGGGCAATGTTGGGTTTGGAGTGTCTATGGGACTGCAGGGGAGATATCAAGAAGTCAATTGGTTATATGAGACTAGAGCTCCTGGGGAGGCCAGTGCTAATAATTCAGATGAGAGGATAGCATGGTACTTTAAGCTGTGATACTGAATGATATCACCTATAGAATGTGGGACACCCTAAATTTAGAGACATTTAGAGCAGAAAACTGGACTGAAAAGAGGTGGCCAATTGAGCTGTAAAGACAACCAAGAGTGGATTGTGTGTACATCTTATCATCTTATGATATGGAAAAAAAATGTGTTTGAAGTAGGAGAAAGAGATCCAGTGGTTCCTATGTCACTGGAACATCAGGATAAAAACTGAGAAAGGTCCACTGGATTTGGCAGTCTGGAGGTCATGTGTATCCTTAGGAGAGTGCATTAGCTGGAGTGCTAAGGACTAAAGTCAATATAGAATGGATTCAGCAGAATAGGTGAGGTGAGAAAAAAAAAGCAAGCAATTAGAGACAACCATTTCTAAAGTTTGGCTAGGAATTCTCTTTACAGAAAACACTTCTCTTAAAGAAATAGGGTTGAAGCTTGGAAAGAAATATGGGCCAAGATTGGTTTCTTTTTAAAGGGAAGGGATAGGATAATGGTTACTTGGTAACAAGAAGGATCTAGTAGAAATCAAATCTTGAGGGTTTCTTTTTAGCAGAAAGCAGAAGGACAAATACCATTTCTTGGGAAGACGAGAGACAGTGGGATGGAAAGCAAATGTAAAGAGGGAAGTCACTGGGAAAAAGAAGTCTTTATTCACAATAGCAAGGGCACGTAAATTGAGGGTTAGGAAAGAAAAGGCTAAAAAATGCACATCTAATTGTTACAGTTTTCTCATTAAAATTCAGCCAAGGCCATCAGCTGAGAGTGGAATAGTAGAGGAAGTTGGTTAGTTTGAGGAGAAAGCAGAAGGGCTGAATGTTATTTTAATGCATCAGAAATCACACGTGCTGGAGAAGCACAGATGCTAACAAGGAAGTGCCGAGTTTCCATTATAGATTACATTCCAATCTGTAATCATACATCCAGTTGTACCTCTCAATAATTGTGACATTGAACAAGTCACTTCCCCTCTCTGAGCCATGGTTTCCTATGGATTATACAAGAACAATATTTGTCCCAGAGCAAGGATGTTGTAATTAGAAATAATAAAATACACATTGGTTGATACACATTGGGATTGCACCAAATAGCAGCCCTCATAATCAGTACAGGTATCATCTCTGGTCCACGGTTCTCTTCTCCACTTTGTAACTAGGGTGGATCCAAAATTTTACAACATTGTCTTGTTGGCCTGTCCCCACCTGTCACTGCACATTGTTGGAATGTGTCAACATTTCCAAATGACTTAGAGATTATTGATACATCATACTGTCTGAATGTCTTCTAGGATATTTGGAGAGTGGTAGAGAAAATCTGAGTCTGTTGAGGAACTAGGGAATGGGAGAGGGTTAACCATACAATTCTGTTGAAATCAGTCTGATTGAGCTCCAACTCTGGTTCTACCCCTTTCTGACTGGGGGCTTTAAATAATTAATGTAACCAATATAAGTCAACTTCCTCATGTGTACAATGGTTATACTAATTAAAACTAAGGTTAGTCAATATTCACCGTGTCTCAAGGTGTGCTCAGTGCTCACACAGATTAACACGTCTCATCTGCAGAGGCTGTGAGAGCAGTTGTTAGGGTTAAAGGAGAAGCTCTTGGCATGTGAGTAATGTTCATAAGTAGTAGCCACTATTGCTATGAGCATTGTTCTTGTCCTGACCTTGAGCTTCAAAAGGCACGACCCAGGATTGAGCCCCATGACACAGCACACAGCCTGGTGAGGACCAGAAGTTCCCATTTGTCACAGACACTCAGTCTAGCCTAGAAGATTTCCATGTCCAGTCTCACTTAATCCTCACCTGAAAGTTAGACTTCACCACAAAACTGTCCTTGTTCTGCAGAGGAGAAAACTGAGGCTCAAAGAGATATCACTGACCAAGAACCCATATTGGCAAGGTGCCAACGATAAGAGTAGCGATCTAACTGACCCCAAAGCCCAGTGTTCTTTACTCTGTAACAGTGATGCTCAACTGGGGGGAGTTTTGCCTCCCACGGGACCTTTGACAATGTCTATAGACACTTTCAGTTGTCACTCCTGAAGGGGGAGTTGCTACTAGCATCGGTGGATAGAGGCCAGGGGTGTTGCTAAATATCCTACTGTGCACAGAACAGTCCCCCACAACAAAGAATTACACAGCCCCAATTGTCTGTAGTGCCAACGTTGAGAAACCTTGAGCTACATTAAACAATGTCCCATGAAAGACCTCAGTGAAAGTGACTGGTAATGACAGGAAGAAAAGAAGGAAGAGAGAAAGGGAAAGGAGGAAAAAACCATGATACTAGGGTATGACCACATGCTGGAAATATCTGGGGAACTCCTTTCAAATGCAGCATTTTAGAGTTGCAACGGTAGTGGCTCTAAAGTTGCTCATCCTGAATTTCAAATCTTGCTGCCTCCACTGACCGGCTGGACATGATGCTGAAAAAAAAAAACCTACAAAAACCCCAAGGCCATGAATTCCCTCTGGTACAAAAAGGGGTAATGATGGCTGCCCACAATGTTATTATGAGTATTATTTGTGAACAAGTGCTGTATAATTGCTGTTACTTTTAGAGAGGCTGGATATCCCAAGGTAGGAAGAGTCTCTAATTTTCCTGGCCATAAAAATCACTGTAGCTTTTACACAGAGAGATTCTAGAGTTGGGTTCATGAATATGCATTTTAACAAATACCTTGGATGTTTCTGATACAGCCCACAGACCACAGTATAAGCAAATTTGGTCAAGTGGCAAAGACACAAGGGACACAGAGACCTTTGGGTTGAGTTGGATGCAACAGCTTCCCATGTGACCTGGTGCAGAGGCAGGGACTGTAATTTTGTGATTCTGTTTCTTAAAAGCAAGGAAATAGATCCCAGAAAGATGCCAGGATATCCTCCCATAGTGTTATTGCCCAGAATTTAGTCATGTTTCCACCAATAAAGCAATCCCTTGCAAAGCAAAAGGAATTCTAGTTAGAACAAATTAGAAAATCAAGATATGCCCGCAAAGATGGAGGAGGGATACCTTCCCCCAAAAGAGTGAGTAACTGAACAAAATTGCGATTTGATTTGCAGAGAAGAAATGAGGAACAGTTATTTGTGGGGGGAGGGGGCATCACCAGCAATATCTGTCAGAATTGTTGCATAGAGAAAGGGCTTAGAAGTCAGACTAAGCTAGATTAAAGATCTTTGTCTACTGTTTCCTACTTAAGTGACCAGCAGATTTCACAATTGCTCTCAACATTGAGTCATTCCTGTGGAAACTACAAACAATGAATATTACAGAGCTACTATGCAGACCAAACTACAACCCATATGTAGCAATTAACACAGTGAATAGTCTCTGATAAGAACCCTACAAATACTAGCTAAATATTCATGCTCATTCTGTTTATCCCACAGACCTTGAAGATATACAACGGATGCTAAGTAGGGACAATGAAAAGCAGACGGGAGAAAGTAAATATAGGGCCCTCTTTGTTGACTTCATCTAGCACAGAATCTATAGGATGTAATATATTTCTGCTCTTTTTTTTTGTGGGGGGAAATGGAATCTACTCTGACATCCAGACTGAAGTGCAGTGGCACGATCTTGGCTCACTGCAACCTCTGCCTCCCAGGTTCAAGCAATTCTCCTGCCTCAGCCTCCTAAGTAGCTGGAGTTACAGGCTCTTGCCACCACACCTGGCTAATTTTTGCATTTTTAGTAGAGATGGAGTTTCACCATGTTGGCCAGGCCAGTCTCCAACTCCTGATCTCAAGTGATCCACTCTCCTCAACCTCCTAAAGTGCTGGGGTTACAGGCATGAGTCACCACGCCCGGCCTATAGCATGTAATATATGTCTATATATTACAAGTAATGGTTCAAAATCCTCTTCAGCTAACTCAATCCAAACCCTAAAACTTCAAATTAAATATCAACTAAAAAATAGGTCAAGGGTCCTCACAGTGGGAGGGACAGGAGCTGGGAGACTGGGAGAGCATGGGGCCGAAAGAAGTTGCAGAGCTTGCCAGCATGTTTGCATTGAGTGATGGAGGCCACAGATGTGAACCTTCTGACTCTGAGTCTTGTGCCTTCCTCACGAAGCTGAAGCTGCCTATGCTCAATTTTCCATTGTCCATACACTCTCAGTTCAGTATTTCCGCTGGTGGACAGAGCCCTTTAATCCTCTTGGTAATCAGCTTGATAGGTGGCATGCATATTAATAATGATGGGAATATAGAGAACTATCGTTTCCCAAAGGAACTCCGAGAGAGTGCCAATTTTATGTTATAACCATTCACAAGGCTCACTGGGGAGGGTCTGCTGGTAGGAGGAGGAGCTACAGTGGAAGTTAATGAATAGTTGTATTGTAAGATGGTGTCACAGCTGAGAAATGGCCATTGCTGAAATGTTTCAGGTGTGGGAAGATGGAAACCAACTTCTCCATTCCTCTGAATGAAACTGAGGAGGTGCTCCCTGAGCCTGCTGGCCACACCGTTCTGTGGATCTTCTCATTGCTAGTCCACGGAGTCACCTTTGTCTTCGGGGTCCTGGGCAATGGGCTTGTGATCTGGGTGGCTGGATTCCGGATGACACGCACAGTCAACACCATCTGTTACCTGAACCTGGCCCTAGCTGACTTCTCTTTCAGTGCCATCCTACCATTCCGAATGGTCTCAGTCGCCATGAGAGAAAAATGGCCTTTTGGCTCATTCCTATGTAAGTTAGTTCATGTTATGATAGACATCAACCTGTTTGTCAGTGTCTACCTGATCACCATCATTGCTCTGGACCGCTGTATTTGTGTCCTGCATCCAGCCTGGGCCCAGAACCATCGCACCATGAGTCTGGCCAAGAGGGTGATGACGGGACTCTGGATTTTCACCATAGTCCTTACCTTACCAAATTTCATCTTCTGGACTACAATAAGTACTACGAATGGGGACACATACTGTATTTTCAACTTTGCATTCTGGGGTGACACTGCTGTAGAGAGGTTGAACGTGTTCATTACCATGGCCAAGGTCTTTCTGATCCTCCACTTCATTATTGGCTTCAGCGTGCCTATGTCCATCATCACAGTCTGCTATGGGATCATCGCTGCCAAAATTCACAGAAACCACATGATTAAATCCAGCCGTCCCTTACGTGTCTTCGCTGCTGTGGTGGCTTCTTTCTTCATCTGTTGGTTCCCTTATGAACTAATTGGCATTCTAATGGCAGTCTGGCTCAAAGAGATGTTGTTAAATGGCAAATACAAAATCATTCTTGTCCTGATTAACCCAACAAGCTCCTTGGCCTTTTTTAACAGCTGCCTCAACCCAATTCTCTACGTCTTTATGGGTCGTAACTTCCAAGAAAGACTGATTCGCTCTTTGCCCACTAGTTTGGAGAGGGCCCTGACTGAGGTCCCTGACTCAGCCCAGACCAGCAACACAGACACCACTTCTGCTTCACCTCCTGAGGAGACGGAGTTACAAGCAATGTGAGGTCGGGGATATTTTTGGGCTCTGTCTCTTTCTACCCTGCGTTAAGCGGAAAAAAAAAATTCTGACAGTGTTTTTCTTCCTCTTTCATACCACCACCACCACAATCATCAACATAAAGGAAGTCTGTACCAAATCTGTAGGGGGTTTTTCCCACAACCAAGCAATAGACACCAGCTGGGTGTCCTACAATTAAATTCCAACACTATCTACCTGGAGCTACTGTCAGATCCCACAGGTTTAAGGGCTCATTCCCCAAGTCTGCTCCTCCAGTTGAGACACAAGTCACAAATCCAGGCTTCTGAAACTTCGGACCAACCAGCTTCAATCAGGGTTCCCACTACCCCCTCTTTGGGGGTAGAGTGGCTCATGGAACTCAGAGAAACATTTATTTCGGCTTGCTGGTTTATTATAAAAGCAAGGTTTATTATAAAAGATACTACAAAGGATACAGATGAAGAGGCACATAGGGCAAGGTACGGGGTTCCACGCCCTCCCTGAGTGCATCACCCTCTGGGAACCTCCGTGTGTTCACGTCTCATGAAGCTCTCCAAATCCAGTCCTCTTGGGTTTTTATGGAAGCTTCATGATGTCAGCATTCTTTCCTCCAGTGTATAGGATGGGATCCTCTCTGGGGAGGGTCTTAAGACCCACAATTAGAAAGGCAAGGGAAGATTAGAGTCCTGCTTTGGGGTAGATGAAAGGAAAGGAGAGAGATTCTGTTTCCTGAGGCTTAATACACCCAACATTATAACAAAGGACTGTAGCAAGGGCTATGGGAGTTCTGAAGCAGAAACCATGGGCTAAAACCAACATACATCTTAATACCAGATACCCTAATCCCAGTCCTAACTTCATTTAACCTTGGTCACATTGAGTCATTCCAGGATGAGTGGCTCAAGTATTTCCTCAGGGAAAATACTTCTGTGCCCCCTGATTTGAGGGTAAGAAGTAGATAATGAGGCCACTGTGGGTGTTATTTTTTCATGTCTGGACCTCAGCCTATATCCTGAGACTAAGTGGAAGTGGGAAAAGAGTACAAGAGAAGAGACAAAGTGGGGATATTTGTAAGGCTTAGATGAGATAGTGTTTTTTTAGAAAAAAACTTTATCTTACCATTAAGTAAAATGTTTGCCATAGGCTTTCTGGGGCTTTCTCTTTTTAAAGTCAGACTGTTGAAGGTTTCTTCTATTCTTATTTGTTAAGAGTTTTCTTTTATTGTTTAAATCATGAATGAATGTTGAATTTTATTAAATGCAGTTTCTGTAAATATTAACGTGATCATATTATTTTTATTCTTTCATTTACATAATTATAAATTAGATTAAGTTTTCAATGTTAAGCTACCCTTGCATTTATGAAATAAACCACGCTTGCTCATGATGGTTTTTGAACATTTATAATCTGTCTCACAGATTTGTTTAGAATTTCTGTATTTATGTTTATGTAGAGATGGCTCTGTTATTTCACTTTTCTCTACTGTCCTTGTTAGCTTTTACATAAAACTTAGTTTTCCTGAAAGGAGTTTGGAAGTGATTTTCTGATTCTATCCTCGGGTATTATATCTTTGTTAAACATTTAGAAAAATTTGCTAGTGAAGCCAACTGGATCTTGGGTTTGCTTTTTGGGAAGGCTTTTAAATATAGGTTCGATTTCTTTAACAATTATTAGACCTGGCAGTTTTCTTTTTCACATTGTTCACTTTTGGTAAACTGTGATTTTCAAATTCAAGGAATTTGGCCATTTCATCCCAATTACCAAACTTTTGTAATCACCCAGTGGGTTCTCCCTGCCTGCTGCACAGACAAAACCAGTTTACTGAGACTGTAGTATTGCAGTAAAGAAAGATGCAGTATTGCAGTAAACATGATGCTGGCCACATGGATGAACTGGAGTTATCAGTCAAATCAGTTTCCCTCAAGGCTGAGAGATTATGGTTTTTCAAAGATAGTTTGGTGGGCAGGAGACTAGGGAATGGGTGCTGCTGACTGGTTGGGAAGGCAATCATAGGAGAGTGGAAAGTGGTCCTCAAGCACTGAGTCTGCCTTGGAGTGAGGGGGTCACAGGACCACTTGAGTCATAAGTCATGAGCCCTGGTAAGGTCAGTCAGTTGCTAGAATGCAAGTCTGAAAAACATCTCAAAAGACTAATCCTAGGTTCTACAATAGAGGTGTTACCTATAGAAGTGATTGGGGAAGTCACAAATCTTGGTCTTTACTGCCCAGGTGTCTCTGGCCACATGACGTCTGGCAATAAAGGATTATAGAAACTATAATCCTACATTTTAGCAGAATTCAGACTCCTTGAATAATCCTAATCTTAGGGCCTTTCATTACTTTTCAGTCTCAGAGCAAGAAGGGTGTTAGTTAGGGAAGGCCTACTATCATCCTTGCTTCCATGTTAAACTATAAACTAAATTCTTCCCCAGTTATCTTAGCCTACAACCAGGAGTGAACAAAGACAGATAACCTTTGAGGCTAGAGGCAGGAAGGAGTCAGCCACGTTAGATTTCTCTCACTGTCAAAATTTTTGCAAATGTGGTTTCACTTATTGGCATGAGACAGTATAATAACTGTATGGTACTTGATATGTTTCTTTCAAGTAATGAGAATGTAAGCTATCTGAGGGCAGGTATTTTGGTCTATATTGTTTGCTGATGGATCCCAATCCCCTGCAAATAAGATAGTGTCTGATATGTGATAGGCACTCAATAAATGTTTATGGCATTGATAAACAATAATATCACTTAATGTCCAGTCAAAATTATCTCCAGCCCTCATAATATGAATCAGGTCAGGTCTAGTAAATTCCCATCCTCATGTCCACAGTATTTGTAAATTCCCAGCTGGCTTACATTTTCATGAACATTTCTGATTTTGAGTTTCTGCTTAAGTAAACTACTCTGGTTAACCATTGCCTAAAGACTTCATATTTAAATAAATAACTCATAACTCAGCCCTTTACCTTGCTTTCTGCACATAAACACTCAGAAATTGTCAATTCTGTATTGTGAACATACTTTCCTGATGCACTGGCAAAAGACACCACTCAACATGAATATCAGGCAATCCTGTTATCAGTGTTCTCACTCACCCCACTGCTTTACTCATTTTCTTCTCCTTTTCCCTTCTGTCTCTCCTAAAGTTATTGCATTTCCAAGGCAGAGCACTTTGCGCATTTCATTTGCACGTTTGACTCCTATAAATGCTTTAGAGTTCCCAGGAGGTGTATATTCTTAAATGCCCAGCCAAGGTGTAGCCATAGAAAATAAGGAACAAGGCTGGGCATGATGGCTGACTCCAGTAATCCCAGCACTTTGGGAGGCCGAGGTGAGTGGATCATTTGAGGTCAAGAGTTCTAGACCAGCCTGGCCAACATGTTGAAACGCTGTCTGTACTAAAAATACAAAAATTATCTGGGCATGGTGGTGTGCACCTATAATCCCAGCTACTTGGAAGACTGAGGAAGGAGAATTGTTTGAACCTGGGAGGTGAAGGTTGCAATGAGCTGAGAATGTGCCACTGCACTCTAGCCTGGGAGACAGAGAAAGATTCCATCTCAAAAAAAAAAAAAGGAGAAGAAAAAGAAAAAGAAAATAAAAAGGCACAAGGACAAAACCTAGATAGGAGAGCCAGGGCTTCCAGATGGGCTAATTAAGAGACTTCCTCCACTGCCAGGACAGGGGATTCTTACTATTCCTTCCCACTGGCCTTGGTTAATTGCAGTAGAACAGTGCCTGCTACATCCTCTCCATTTTTCTTTTCCTCTTTAGGAGTTTTCATTGTGGAGTCTCAATTCCCATTGCATTATGATATATTGTGGGTTCAGGAAACTGAGATTTTTTTTTTAAAGTTATGGGACAGTTACCACAAAGAAATACTTCCCAATGTATGTCCATGTGGATGGCTCACTAACTTCCTGTATCAGGCCTGGTCGGTCTGGGACAGCACTACTGCTTGCTGGTTTTAGATTTTTTGTTGCTTTGTGCAACTTAGTACTGCTGTTGTCAGGTGTTGCCTTGGGGACTCTCCAGAAACTCTGGTGAATATAGACAGCTCTCTGAGCCTTCAGGCTCCCCTGCAGCTCCTGGAGGGCAGGTTTCATTGTAATGAGGATGTTTCGCTATGAACAGTAGTCACTCTTTCTCTAATCAGGCCCCTGGTGACAGGCCACTACTTGAGGGCACGTTGTCCCTTGAGCTATATATGCTGCTCTTGTTACATGGGGTCTTGGTAGTAGTCTGGCCTGTACTGGGTATAAGTTGCAAAGTCCTGGTCTCCAGCCAGAGTGAGCTGGCCAGTATGGTGAAACTCTATGTCCATCTCTGCCAGGGTCCAACCTGGCCGAATGACAGATGAAAAATGCACTCTGAGACTGATATCCAGTGAAAAAGCAGGCTAGGGGACTGGGCAGCTCACAGACACCGAGGAGGGAGCTGTAAAGAGTCAGTAGCCACAGCCCCGACAAGCTGGCACTGTGGGCATTTATTCAGTACAGATTTAATGACAAAGGCCTGGAGTCAACACGTCTTGTGGGTAATTAACATTGTCACCCCCCACCCCCCAAGACAGCAGTCCTGTGCACAGATGATTAAATACCAGGTTCCGAGGCCTAAGTAAACTAACTTATCTAGATCAATTCCTTTACACTTCCTTGTTATCCATTCTGAGAAAATTCAGCTGCCTTCAGCCAAATCCTCTTCTGAAGCTATGCAAATCCCAGGCCTTCCAAGAAGGTTTGCATCCTTTTCCTATAATTTATCTTACAACTTTTCCCACCATCCTGACCGATCTCCTACACATCTCACTGATGAGAGAGCCACAGGATACCAGGCTCCTGGGTAGCAGCAATTCCCTCATAGTGAAGTCAGAAAAGATGATAAAATGCTGGGCTTCAGTGTGTTGATAAAGGAGAGCCAGGATGAAAGGATCAAGTCACCTAAGCCTAACCTGTAATATGGCAACTGCACAAGTCCCCTTGGCAATTTTCAAGAGCAAGTGCTGCTGAGGCCAGTGCCTCCTTGGTTGCTGCATTCCTTCCTGCTATCACTCCTTGTCCCCACTAGCCACTCAGAGGTCAAGTGGGGCACCTTCAAAAGGGAAACAACTGCCCACAAGGCCAGTGCAAATGGAGCTCACCCCCAGATGTTTTTAGTAACAATTTGTAAAGTCAAAACAACAGGGTGCCAAACCCAAGGTCATCTAGATTTTCTCCTGTTATCTTCTAGGAGTTTTATAATTTTGTCTTTTACATTTAGGTCTGTGATCCATTTTGAGTCCTATTTATCTGGTGGAAACCTGACTGACATAGCATATGCTTCTAGTGTTTAAAAAAAAAAAAAAAAACAGAGGAAAGATGAAGCATTAACTAATATAAATTAGTAGAAATTGAGTGGAAGAAATGAAAATAGTCTCTCTGTCTACTTTATCATGCCATTTTCTTTTTGTGTTTTTGCCATCAGCATATACATCTGTTCTCTAATCTACTAACTGAAAACATAAAAACCTTTTGTACCACACGCGTCCTCCTGAACTTTACAACAAATTTCTCTGCTCTCCTTGACAGCAAACTCAAGGGTCACTTCCAGTTTCTTTCTCTACTTCCTCATTTCACATTTTCTCCAGAACTCATTCTAAATGGGTTCATGTCCTGATTACTGCAGTGGGACTACTCTTATCAAGGACAACAGTGACATCCATTGCCATGTTACTGCACTGCAGGTTCAGACATTTGGTGCTTGCCTATGAATCCAATGGAGTAAATCTAAGTCATATATGCTTATCTGATAATGATGGGAATCTTAGGCCCCTAAGCATATATGACTCAGTTGTCCACACCCTTTTATTTTAAAATATATAATTCTCTTGGTGACATCACACTTGTTTGGTTTTCTTCCTACCTCAGTGATTTATCTTTCTCAATCTCCTTGACTGGCTCTTTTCTGACTTTTAAATGTTGGTGTACCCGAGGGCTCAATTCTAGACCCCCCTCATCTATTTGCATCAATGCAGTCATCCTAGGTAATGTGTTCCTATAACTTGAAATCCCATCTGTACATAAATGACTCCCCCTAAACATCCATCATAATCCACAACTTCTCTTCAGGACTCCAGACTGGTATCTACCTCCCTCCTCTGCATTTCCACTTGAAAACCTATGGGGCATCATCAAAGTAAAACTATCAATTTGATTCCCCCTGAAACAGTTGCTTGACAAATCTTCTACATTTCTTCCAAATTTAGGAAAAGTCATCACACTCTACCAAATGTCTTAAGTCCCAAATATAAGTAATTATTGATTCTTTATTTTATTTATTTATTTTTTATGAGATGGAGTCTCACTCTGTTGTCCAGGCTGGAGTGCTGTGGTGCGATCTTCACTCACCGCAACCTCTGCCTCCAAGGTTCAAGCAATTATCCTGCTTCAGCCTCCTAAGTAGTTGGGGTTACAAGGTTCATGCCACCCCGCCTGGCTAATATTTGTATTTTTAGTAGAGATGGGGTTTCACCATGTTGGCCAGGCTGGTCTCAAACTCCTGATCTCAAGTGATCCACCTGCCTTGGCCTCCCAAAGTGCAAGGATTACAAGCATGAGCCACTGCACCCGGCCTATTGATTCTTTTAATCTAATCCATCACCATATCCCATTGACTCTATGTCAAAAACGTGGACCAAATCTGTGTGTTTCTTTCCTGTCCACTACCACCTGACTTCAAACCATCATCATCCGGACCACTACAATAGTTTCCTAATCTTTCTGCATTCACTCTTGCTCTACAGCAATCAGTTATTTACACAGCAGCCAAAGTTTTTTTTTTCTAATATAAACATGATCGTGCCCATCTCTTGATTAACACCCTCCAATAGCTTCCCATCATGCTAATAATAAAAACATCTGAATCCACTATCTGACTCCCAAAGCCTCATATTATCTGGCTTTTGCCTGTCCTTCTGATGGTCTTCCTCAACAGTTTTTCTTTCATCGATTATGTTAGTAATTACACTAGTAATATCTTTATTTCTCAAACATACCAAATCATTCTTGTCTCAGAATCTTTGTACTAACTGTTGTCCTGCTTGGAATATTCTTCCTCTTGAACTTTCATGTGACCAGTTCATGTAATTCTAATCTCAGTTTAAACATAACCTCCTCAGAACATTTTTTTCTGAGTCCCTAAGATAACGTAGCCTCTCAGGCTCTCTCCAGTCTAGTTCAGCAAATATTTTAGTTCTTTTCATAGCACTTGTTGTAGCTTTTTGTCAATCACAAAATCACCTCCCTTCTCTCATTCTTTGCTGGTCTGAGAGCCTTTGACGCCTCTGTTTTTCTTCATCTATTGTAGCAGCCTCCACATTCATCTGTCATTTTTCAGTGAGAAAGAGAGTGGGTATCCAGAAAATGAGGTCTGAACCATATACAGCAGAGTTTGTTAAGCCTGAGGTAGACACCTGGTAGCCATTAAAAGATACAGAGCAATGTGATGATCTGCTCTATTTTTTTTTAATTTGTATTGAGTCTAAAGCTTAACCATAATTTTCTTTTTTTATTTTTATTTTTTATTTTTTTGAGACAAGGTCTTACTCTGTTTCCCAGGCTAGAGTGCAGTGGTGCAATCTCAGCTCACTGCAGCCTCTGCCCCCTGGGCTCAAGTGATCCTCCTGCCTCAGCCTCCCAAGTAGCTGGGACTGGAGGTGCAAACCACCATGCCTGGCTAATCAACCATAAAAATTTTTCATTTTTATGAAGTCCAACTTATTCCTTTTTTACAGATTGTGCTTTTGGTGTCATGTCAAAGAATTCTTTGGTTAGCTCTTGGTCCTGGACATTTTTTAATGTTTTCTCCTAAAAATGTAGTAGTTCTACATTTAATATTTAAATCTATAATCCATCTTTAATTATCTTTTGCAAAGAATGTGAGGCTTAGGTTGAGTTTCTTTTTTGTTAATATTTTTAATGTCCAATTACGCCAGTATCATTTGTTGAAAATAATATTCTTTCTTCATTGAATTTTTTACGTATGTCAAAAGTCAATATTGTGTGTGGATCTATTTCCGGACTCTATTGTGTTCCATTGGTCTGTCTACCGTTTAGCCAATATCACACTGTCTTGATAATTGTAGCTTAATAGCAAGTCTTGACATACTCCAATGTTGTTCCTTTTCAAAAGTAATTTGGCTATTTTAGTTCCTTTGCCTTTCGATATAAATTTTTAGAATTAGGTTAATGTTTTTTTAACTTGAATCACATTGAATCTATGGATTTGCTTGAAGAAGAACTGATGTCTTAATCATATTCTGTCTGCAGTACTCTCTTATTCAGTACTAATCTTTCAACTCTATCTGCCTTGTTCTTCCCAACTCCCAACTTTATCTTCTTATTTCAAAGAGTCTACCGGGCTCTACCTGTGTTTCCCCTCCTACTCTGTGGCCTGGGAACTCTCTCAAGTCAGTAATCAAGGCAATCACGGGAATCATCTTATTTGTTTCCCCTTTTTTGGAGATTACAATGCTATACTACCTGTTGTCCAGTGTCAGAAAACCATTCTTTCCCATTTTCCCTAGATTTTTAGTTGTTTAAGGTAGGAGCATAAATCTGGTCTCTCTTATGCCATCACCGCTGGAAGTAGTTATGTTGATTGTGTTTTAAAAAGTCATTTTTTGCTTCTGTTCATGGAGAGAGAGAGCTGTTTGCAAAAGCTAGTTCAGGCATCCAGACAAGAGATGGCATGAGCCTGTAGGTGATTCTTGGGGTGCATAAAATCAGCAGCACTTGGATTTTGCTTACCAAATGAGAGAAAAATCAATAATAAATTTTAGACTTGGCACTTAATCTACTGAGAGGACAATGCCTCTGATTCCTAAAAGAAAGAAAACTGAGGAAGGGGCAGGTCAGGGAATAGGAGAACTGGGGATACTGTTTTCAGAATGTTTAGTTTGTCATGCCTACTGCTTGTGTTCACAGAAATTCCAAGAAGTTGACTGATTTTATGAGGCTGGAATTTTGGGAAGTGGTCAGGGCTGATGGTTTAGATTAACAGTTAGGGGTACAATATATTTTTTTCTTTTAGTTTTAGTTCACATCGTAATTGTACATGTTTAAGGGATACAGAGTGATATGTTGATACATGCATACAATGTGTATAATAGTCAAATCAGGGTAATTAGCACATCCATCACCTAAAACATTTATCATTTCTCTATGTGGTGAAGATTCAAAATCCTCTCCTCTAGCTTTTCAAAAACACACAATAGATTTTTTTTTTTCTAGCCACTTATGTAGCTACAAAAATAGTACTGGAGTAGGGGCAGGGTCTTGCTCTGTCACCCAGGCTGGAGTGCAGTGGCACAATCATAGCTCACTGCAGCCTTAAAACCCTGGGCTCAAGTGATCCTCCACCTCAGTCTCTGGAGTAGCTGAGGCATGTGCAGCCACACTCCTTTTATTTATTTATTTGTTTTGTGGAAACAAGGTCACACTATGTTGCCCAGGCAAACTCCTGGCCTCAAGATACAGAGAATTAAAAAGCACAATCAAGTAACCTAACTGACATTTATAAACCATTTCTTACACCTAAGAGTAGGATATTTCACATAATACCCAATATAATTCTTTTCAAGTGCTGGGTTATAAAATAAGTTTTAATAAAAATCTAAGGCTTTAAATTATACTAAGTATATTCCATGACCATAATCTATCAAATTAAAAACCAGCAATAACAACATAACTAGCAAATGCCCAAATCTTTGGAAACTAAACAACATATATGTAAATAACCCATGGGCCAAATAAATCTTAATGAAGATTAGAAAATATTTTTAACTGAAGGATAAGAGGAGTACATTTCAAATTTTGTGATTTAAAGCTAAAGACAGTGTGCACACGATTTTTTTTTTTAAGACAGGGTCTTGCTCTGTCACTCAAGCTGCAGTGAAGTGGCAGAATCACGGCTCACTGCAGCTTCAACCTCTTGGGCTCAAGCAATCCTCCTGCCTCAGCCTCCTGAATGGCTGAGGTTATAGGCACTCACCACCACATCTGGCTAATTTTTAAATTTTTTTGTAGAGGTGGGGTCTTGCTATGTTGTCCAGACTGCTCTTGAACTCCTGGCCTCAAGCAATCATCCAACCTGAGCCTCCCTTACAGGGGAATTTTTACCTTAAGTGTTTTTATTAGAGAATAAGTGTGTGAACTCAATGATCTAAGTTTACATTTCAAGAAGCTAGAAAAATATCAAATTAAATCTAAAGAAAATATAAGAAAATAACTTTTAAAAGTGGAAATAAATGAAATAGAGATCAATAGAAGAGGAAATATTAAAGTTATGTTAAGATATCAATAAAATGGATAAGTTTCTAGCAATACTAATCAAGAAAAAAGAGAAAATACAAATGACCAATCTTAGGAATGAAAAAAGGAACATTATTACAGAGACTAAACACACTAAAATGATATTACAAATCACTTTATAACATTATATTTGACAATTTAGATGAAATGGACAAATTCCTTGAAAAGCACACATATGAAACTGTCATAAAAAGAATTAGAAAATCTAAATAGTCCAATACCTAGTAAAGAAATTGAATTTCTAATCAATACCCATTAAAAAAAAAAAAAACTTCAGGCTTGCATTGTTTCACCTGTGAATTCTACTGAATATTTAAGAAAGAAGTAACATCAGTCTTACAAGAAACACTTCCAAAAGACAGGGAAAAAAGGAACACTTACTAGTTTACTTTTAAATACATCTGTTCAATACAAAAATTGTGCTTGAAGAATAAAGTGATTTTTATGAACTGAAGTTAAAATTAATATTAATAAATTTTTTATTTTAACCAATATTTCAGAAAAGTTATGTTTTCACTGACATGGCCAGACATAACTGAAATCAGTATCTTTTTTTTTGAGACAGTCTTGCTCTGTTCCCCAGGCTGGAGTGCAATGGCACGATCTCGGCTCACTGCAACCTCCGCCTCCCTGGTTCAAGCAATTCTCCTGTCTCAGCCTCCTGAGTAGCTCGAATCACAGATGCCTGCCACCACGCCCAGCTAATTTTTGTATTTTTAGTAGAGATGGGGTTTCACCATGTTGGTCAGGCTGGTCTTGAACTACTGACCTCAGGTGATCCACCTGCCTTGGCCTCCCAAAGTGCTGGGATTACAGGCGTGAGCCACCGCACCCGACCTTGAAATCAATATCTTAAGTAATGTTTGGATCATGCAATTTTAAAGTGACACATACTTTACACATTAGTGGTTTTAAAAAGTTTTTCTCACATTGATGTCATGGCAATAAATGGAAGAAAAAAATACCTAGTTCTTGAAAACAATAATAAAAACCTTTGTTTCTAATGATTACTCATCATGTGGAAATTTGCAGTGAAACCAAAATGAAGCCAAGTAATTTAATTTCTACTCTTCAAAAATCTCTGTATGTAGTATTTCTGGAGTATCTGACTAGTATAATAAGGTTTTTTTGCCTTTATTGTCAGACACTTCATTAAATCTTAAGGTGGTAAAAACAGTGTGAAATCATCATAAAATCTTACCATTCAAATAAATGTACTTATGTTTTACACTTTTTGAAATAGATATTCTGACGGGGGTAAGATAATATCTCATTGTGGTTTTGATTTGCATTTCTCTGACGATTTGTGATGTTTGGCTTTTTTAATGTACCTGTTGGCCATTTCTATGTCTTCTTCTGAAAAACGTCTATTCATGTCCTTTGCTTACGTTTTAATGGAATTACCAGTTCTGTTGTTGTTTCCACACGAACATTTTCAGATGAACATTCATTGAGATTTTATTCATAAAAGTCAAACCTGGAAGTAACTCAGATGTCTGTCAACTGGTGAGTGGATACACTATAGCATATCTGTATGATGGAATGTTAGAGTTAAAAAGGAATTGCTAATAAATGCAACAACATTGTGAACAAAAGTTCCTGAAAAGGGCTGGGTGCAGTAGCTCACGCCTGTAATACCAGCACTTTGGGAGGCTGCGGCGGGTGGATCACCTGAGGTCAGGAGTTCAAGACCAGCATAGGCAACATGGTGAAATCCAGTCTCTACTAAAAATACAAAAATTATACGGGCATGGTGGCACGCACCTGTAATCCCAGCTACTTGGGAGGCAGAGGCAGGAGAACTGCTTGAACCCAGGAGGCAGAGGTTGCAGTGAGCCCAGAGGGCGCCACTGCACCCCAGCCTGGGTGACAGAGTGAGACTCTGTCTCAAAAAAAAAAAAAAAAGAAAAGAAAAGAAAAAATTATCTGAAAAGGAATGTGAAGGAAACAGACTTTATTCCAGCAAAAGGCTGCAAACTACAGAAACACAATCTTTGTTGTAAAATGAAGGTGTGTTCCAGGGAACAGAGGGAAGGCTCCGGTTTTAAAGCAAAAGTTTCTGCCCAGGTTCCCTATCACCTATGTTGCTATCACCTATGTTGATGCCAAGAAAGAGTGAAACTTACTTAGTTCTTATTGGTTAACACAGCTCAGTCCTGATTGGTTGATACAGCTGAGCGCTGATTGGCCAGGGAAGGTGAACTCTGATTGGTTGCTTCAGGTGAGCTCTGATTGGTTGGTTTCCAAGCCCCAAAATTAAAAGGTGTGAGTTTTGAGGGGACTTAGAGTACCTGTATGACCTCTAGACAGCAAATGGCTGGTAGGTTCTATTTTAAATTTAAGCCCAAGTAACCATACAGGATCCATCCCAAAAGACTGGCTCTTTCAAATTCACATTTGTTCACAACATGAATGCATCTCAAAAGCATTATGCTAAGTGCACAAAGTCAGACACAAAAAACTATCTCTTATATAATTCCATATGTGTGACGTTCTAGATTACAAATAACTATAGTAACAGAAATGAGGTGAGTGGCTGTCAGGGAACAGGAGGTGGGGAAAGGGGATCAATAATTGCAAAGGGGCACAAAAAAACTTTGGAGTCAATATAAATATCTATTTTCAGATGATGGTTACATGATAATATTTATAGTCCATTTTCATTTATAAGTATAGCTACAAAAATCCTAAATAAAATATTAGCAAACCATATCCCAAAATATATAGAAAAATATTGTACTATGACTAAGTTGCATTTATTACAGAAGTGCAAAGGAACTGATTTATGCCAACCACCTGACTGAGCTTGGAGCCAGCTTCTTCCCCCATCTTCAGATAAAAACCCAGCCCAGATGACACCTTGGTTTGATTTTGACCTTGAGATCCTATGCAGAACATTCAGCCAAACGCATTCAGATGCCTGACCTACAGAGCTATGAGCTAAAACATGAGTGTTGTTTCACACTGCTAAATTTGTAGTCATTTCTACATAGCAACAGAGAACAAATACAAATATTATAATACTATTTATAAAACTTAAAAATCTAAATATTGAGTTCTTTAGGTATCCACATATAAGTGCATATTTCTAAAAATCAAGGAAATCACATACACAATTCTAGATGGAAATTTTTAGCGGGGTGGGAGTATTGGAATGATTAGGCAAATACACGATTGATGCAAAGATGGGACAGAAATGAAAGACTGTCATTAGCATATTATCAAACATTACCTTTATTAAGCAAAAAAAGCCAATGGTTAAATATGCATTTAAATGTTTAATTAGAAACTAAATTATTCGTTGTGCACATGTACCCTAGAACTTAAAGTATAATAAAAAATTTTTTTTTAAAATAGCCATTCTCCCTGGTATAAGAGGGTTAAAAAAAGAAACTAAATTTTTATATTTATTATATAATTATATAAATATTTATATATAAGTATAAACATAAATATATATAAATTTATATTAAATTAAATAGAATTTAATTTTAAATTTAATTTAAAAGTTTAAATATGCGTTTAACCTGATCTGCTTTATGTATTTAAGAAAATGAAATATCCATACTATGCAGTTCAATTTAATAACATAGTACAAAAGATAAGTTTGGTATAGATGGTAAATTGTAGATGCTTTTACTATTACTGCCTGGTTTTTTATTTACAAGCATGTAACAATTTTTGTAATAAATAATTGTTGTAAGGAGATCTTTATTTAAAATCCTCAGAAGTTTTCAAATATGTACTCAAAGATAAATTCATATAGGAAAACGAACTATATGAAAGCAGAAAAGGAAAAGTTAATTAGATAATTAAAATTGCCACAGAAAGGTATATATTTGAATAATAATAAAAGAACATTTCTCAATTATCTACTATAAACCAGGCACTTTGCTAGCATTTCAGGCACACCATTCCAATAATCTTCAAAAGAAATTTGCAAAGGAGATACCATCATTTTTTCCTAACAGTAAAACTTACAGCATTTCAATACCTTGCCCAAAGTCATGCAGACAGTAAATAGCAAAATCGGCATAAAGAATCAGGACTAAAATGTTATTTCAAAGGATTCATCAAGAAATAAATTATGTTAGCCAGGCGTGGTTGAGCATGCCTTTAGTCCTAGTTACTCAGCAGGCCGAGACAGGAGGATCACTTGAGCCCAGGAGGTTGAGGCTGCAGTAAGCTATGATCACCCCTCTGCACTCCAGCCTGGGTGACAGAGCAAGACTCTTTCTCTAATGATTAAACATAATAATAATAAGAAGAAATTACACACACATACCCATACACATATACCAAGTATTTATGACACAATTTTAATAATTGCTGAATCTAGGTGATGGGTACACAGGTGACCACCATGTTGCTATTCCTTCAGTGTACTTGAAAGGTTTCAGTATGAAATGTTGGGAAATATGGTTGGGTACTTAGTACAGCACCCAAATCCCTGGCATCTGAAGCAATGAAGTACCTCCTTCCCCAGCCCTTCCCATCACCGATAGCCATAATGGCCCCCAACTCCGCATCGCTTGCTCGCTTTTCCTGGTTCCCCAGACACCGACTTCCACTCGACGCTGAGGATGCTCCAATCCAGACCACAGAAGCCCTCAGTGGCTAACCCCCAGCTTCAGATTCCACTGACCATTCCCTGAAGCCTTCTTACACCGCAAACCTCCACAAGTACCCCATGCTGGTCGCATCCGGTCAAGGACCCCAACAGCGCTGGGAAACTCACCCTACAGCTGGAGTCGCACAAACATTCGCTTGAGGACTAGCAGGTTTCCGTAACCTCTTCACTCACTGCCGTAGTCACGCTCTTGTGCAGACTCAGTAGCACCTTCGCGGAACACAAGATGTCTACAGACTTTGAAACCAGGCGTGCACATGGAAGCAGCAGTCTTGGAAGATGCTTCTTACAGATAGCGAGATGGCCATTTTCTGGCGACTAAATTCCATCGTGCTAGAAAGGAAAGAGGCAATGCAGCTGATCTTCTACTGTCCTTTTCACCACTTCCCCAGCTGCTACCAGCAGCGTTGTGCATTCTCAGGAACAACATTCAGCGTTCTCACCTGTCTACTTCAAATCTAGCAACAGCCCTAAGCCAATCACAGACAAGACCTAAGCAGAAGATGGCTGCACCTATTTAGCCCCATAGGCCCTTAAAGCAGCAGGTAAGGCGCAGCCATATTTGAAAAAGTTTTGGGATCTGTTGATCAAAGACTAGGCAGTGGAGCAAGGAAGTGGGAGCAGGCAGAGGGTGGATTCTGGGAATGTGTTTGTCGAGAGAAGTCTTAGGAAACCAGAATTGGGTCTGGAGGAGCTCAGGTAGTAAGGGGGAAGCCACCTGGGTACATTTGGGTGTGGGATTGTGGAGAGAGACCTTGAGGGGTAAGAACTGGGCCAAACTGGTTGTGGAGCAGACACTGACAACCACAACCCATTCCAAGAGAATATTAGTTGTACTTCAGAAAGATCATGTGTATTCTGAACAGTCATGTGAAATAGATGTAAAAGTCATGAAGAAATTATTAGCAATCAAATCTAGCATTATATGAAAAGAATGAACTTCAAGATCAGGTTCCCAGGAATACAAGGATGTTTTATCCCTTAAAAATAAATACATGTAATGTATGGTGCCAGCCATGATTAAGTAAGCCCCCTAGTTTATCACTCCCACTGGTTAGAGTTAAAACTTTTGAAAAAAAACTAATAAAAACTACTTGAGAACTTTTAAAATGAATAATTGCAAAGAGATTGGAGAATAAAGTATAGAGTTGAAAACCAAGCAATGCACAGAGTAAGTTCCCTCATTTTTTTTCTGTCTATATCTCCTGCCTTTGACCTAAGGGTAAGACAAATTAGGAAATTGTTAGTCCAAACTGCACCATTTTGGAAGCCCCCCACCATTTCACAAAACCTGATCAAAGTGAAACATTCCACAGGGGGTTCGGGCTGTGAGAAACATCCTGCCTCTTATCATATTCTGCTGGGAGAAAGTGCAAGGAACACCACTTTCCGCGGGAATCGCCTCATCCTGGGAACATGTCCCCCCAGGCCCCTCTCACCCAGGCCTATAAATTGCCCCAGCCTATAAGCGGTGGGCACTGGCATTAGGCTGTTTCCTCACTTCTGCAGGTCTTATGCTGGACATAAAGCCTGCATTTGCTGTAGAGCCACCACTCCATGTCTTTCTTTAACCCTTGCCTTCCCTTCAAAACCTAACAGAAATTTCGCTGCTGAGGTGAAGAGCAAGGACACTAAGAAAAACCAGCCTTCATGGCCAGAAAACAGAGAAAATGAATCCACATGAGCCAAAAAGTGTGTTGTGGGGATCTCTATTTTATTTTATTTTTTCCGTTTTTCTAGTTTTTCTAGCATGGTCTTGCTAGTTCTACTGTTGAAACTGCACTGCCACAGTACTGGCAGTGACATGGACACCTAAAACTCAAGAAAAAAAATCTATAGATAGAAAATATTAGGCCCGATGCGGTGGCTCATGCCTGTAATCTCAGCACTTTGGGGGGCCAAGGCGGGTGGATCACCTGGGGTCAGGAGTTTGAGGCCAGGCTGGCCAACATGGTGAAACCTCATCTGTACTAAAAATACAAAAATTAGCCAGGCATGGTGGCAGGCACCTGTAATCCCACCTACTTGGGAGGCTGAGGCAGGAGAATCAGTTGAATCTTTCTGATGCCAATCATAAGCTTGCCACATTAGTTCTAGAGAATAACAAACAAAAAACAATGAATTCTACCATTATCATGAAATGGAGAGGGATGGAATCTCAAGTTCATATACAAGAAAAATTCAGAAAGTGATCTGCAGATACACAGTGTAAGTCTGAGACATTCAATAAAAGAAATATATAATAGGCTTGAAGGACACAGGTGTCATCAAACTTGGAAAAGATTCTAGGAATATTTGAAAGCATACTAGAAGAGGTCTATAAATATTGGTAGGAGGTGAAGGGTGGTTGTATCTAATAGGCTGCAAAAGAAAAGTGACTAAGCAAAAAGGCAAGGGCCAAATAGGCAAGAATCTCAACCAGAGGGAGAAAGAGAGGCACATCTCCTATGAGTCATACATAGAAATATAGTGCTATGGTCTGATGTGTCCCCCAAAACTCATCTGCTAGAAAGTTAATCCTCAGTGCAGCAGTGACAGGGAAGTGGGGCCTAATGGGAGGTGTCTAGGTCATGAGGGCTCCACCTCATGAGCAAGTTAATGCCATGATAAAAAGGCCTTGTGGGAGTGGGTTTGCTACTTTTTGCTCTCCTGCCATATGAGAACCCAACATTCATCCTTACTTGCCGTTCTATTATCTGCCATGTGAGGATGCTGCAAAAAGGCCCTCAGCAGATACCAGATACTGGTACCCTGATCTTGGACTTCCCAGCCTGCAGAACTGTGAGAAATAAATTTCAATTATTTATAAATTACCCTGTCTCAAGTATTTTGTTATAGCAGCACAAGTGGACTATGACAGATAGTAAGAGGAGGAGAAATTGTTCATATTGAAGACCTCTTTTCACTTATACTCTAAGTCACCCTTAAAGGTTCACAGACCATGAGAAAATGTATTAAAATAACAAGGGTGCCAACCCATCAATGGCCAACTAGTACTTTGGTTCCACTAACTCCCATCGCATTGGTTTCACTCACCTGGACTGCACCAACTTGGGAATTCTCTCTCTACTATTCCTTGTTCTTCTTTCCCCAACTGGAATATTGCTTCTGGCTTGGTAGCTTGACAACCTGTCAAGAGGTAATCACAGAGAATCTGAGCAGCATTAGAGCTTGTGAGAAAAAGTTCTGTTTCAGGAAATGCACAGTATACATCTCAGCAGAACAGAAACCTTTCATTTGGAAAGTGAAATTACATATGGTCACTGTACGATTATAAAGTAAAAAAAGTTCTAAAAGTCAAAGTCCAAAATCATTGAGGATATCAGAGTACCCACAAATTGTGGCAATAGAAAAAAAGGCAATTAATCGGCTTACAGTGAGATATTTAGGAAAGTTGTCTTTACCCAGTGACACTAGGTTGTTGTAATTTTCCAACATCACATCCTGGTAGAGGTTCTTCTGAACAGGGTCTAATAGATTCCACTCCTCCCAGGTGAAGTCAACAGCCACATCATTGAATGATGATAAACCCTATAATAACATAATCCTTTTAAATTCTGGAGTTAATATAATAAAATTCAGTCTATAAGACTCGTAGGACATTATTCTCTTTATCTTTACCACAAAGATTCACAAACGAAGATTTTCCTGTGCCTAGTTTTGGTTTGCACTTTGTGAGTGGAATACATTAAAAACTATCTTTTCTTTGTGCATTCTTCATTCACTTGTTTACTCTTTCATTCATTTGCCCGATGTAAAGTGTCTTTTAAACCTTTAAACTACCTAAAAACCATCTGTAACCCACCTTAGGAGCATTTAATGTAATTCATTATACATATTACAATAAAAACAATAAAGGTTAGTCCTTCCTTCAAGTGTTTCTGATCTTGCACAGAGTAGCAAATACAGTCCTATGCAGAAAGCCTATGTATTGCATGGTATTATGGATTAGCAAGGACTAAGACAGAAGTATGCTCAAGCTAATATGTGAGCACAATTAGGTAAGGCCATAATTGTTCTGAAGAGGTAGACAAGCTGGTAGCATGATTAGTAGTGCGTTCTAAAGGAAGAAGTGGAAGAAATGGGGGCTTCCTTGGAAGGGGGCAACATATGTATCTGTATTAAATACCATTCTGCGTTCAAAGAAATGCAAATAGTTCATTAAGACAGGAGAAGCTGAAGAGAAGAAATGCCCATTTGAAAAGCAGGAACATGTCTTGGAGCAAAGGGTACACATTTCCTTAAGATACTCGATAGCCACTACACTTTTTTTTTTTTTTTTTTTTTTACATAAGTAAGTTACGGTCAGAATTGCATTTTGGAAATTGTGCTACAAATTAAATGATGATACTCATAAAGAAAAACAGACTTCTTACTATGTGCTATGTATCATTCTACAAATTTTACATATATTAACATAATAATCTGCACAATAACCCTTGTTTAAGCACTATTATGTTCTTTTTATAAAGAAGAGATTTTAAGTTTCCTAGCTGTGCCTTTTATATCTCCCACATTTCCTTAAAGATTACTGTTCACTGGGTCCATATGCTGGCACACAAAAACTGAAGAGGAAGAGGAAGATCCATCAGAGACATTTCTTCACACTGGATGCCCAGGAAATATTTACTGATATCAACGATTTTATGTGCTTTCTCCTTCTGGACAAAGTAAATCTTGTAACTTTTAAAAATTCTCTTGTGATGGTTGTCAGTACTGCCACAAAAATGTTTGCAACTTAATTCTAGATCCTGCTACTTATATGGCAATTGTCTAATTATTAGCACCTTTCAGGACCCTACGACATGGAGATAGATCTCCCTTCCTAACTGGCTACTCTTGATCATTTATTCTGTCTCCTAGTCTAACCACATCCCTGCCAGCCAGAGTGTACTTATATTCATTTTTCTCTTTGATTACATATATGGTTATAAACTTCTAAAAATCTACTGGGAAGTAAATAAACACCTCACTTGGAACTTTGTCATGTTCAAGAGCTTTCAGAAGATGGCCAGTACTTTTAGTATCTGTTTGTCCTGCAATTCTGATAATGTCTCATCAAGGGTATCCTCAACAAAGATGAATTTCTGGACATGAGATATACTTTTTTCCTTTACAGGAGCTGCCTCATTCTAAGAAGTCAGCATCTATGAATTCAAACAAAAATGTGTTTTAAAGTAGAAATAATAAAGAGCAAGTCCGCGTAAATAAAAAGACTTTTCTTTTTAAAATTAATTCATTTCCTATACCTAACAAATAAAATTGTATGTATTTATCAGTACAATACGTTGTTTTGAAATAAGTATATACTGTGGAATGGCTAAATCAAACTAATTAACATATGTATTACTTCACATACTTGCCATATTTTTGTGGTGTGAACACTTGAAATCTATTCTCTTAAGCAATTTTCAAGAGTACAATACTTGGCCGGGCACGGTGGCTCACACCTGTAATCCCAGCACTTTGGGAGGCAGAGGCAGGCGGATCACCTGAGGTCGGAGTTTGAGACCAGCCTGATCAACATGGAGAAACCCGGTCACTACTAAAAATACCAAATTATCCGTGGTGGTGTATGCCTGTAATCCCAGCTACCCGGGAGGCTGAGGCAGGAGAATCGCTTGAACCCGGGAGGTGGAGGTTATGGTCAGCGAAGATTGCACCATTGCACTCCAACCTGGGCAACAAGAGCAAAACTCTGCCTCAAAAAAAAAAAGAAAAGAAATAATACAATACCTTGTTATTTACTACAGTCACCATGTTGTACAATAGATCTCTTAAACATAAAAGTTCATGTCTTATCTAACTGAAATTTTTTATTCTTTCACCAACATTTCCACAACCCTCTCCCTCCCCCAGCCTTGGTAACCACCATTCTACTCTCCATTTCTATGAATTCAATAATTTTAGATTTCACACATAAGTGAGATCATGCAATATTTGTCTTTCTCTGTGAGGCTTATTTCACTTAACATAATGTATTCCAAGTTCATCTATGTTGTCACCAAGTGACAGGATTTCCTTCTTTTTTGTGGCTCAAGAGTATTCCATTGTGTATATATGCCACGTTTTCTTCATTCATTGTTGTTGGACACCTAGGTTGATTACCTCTCTTGGCTATTGTGAATAACACTGCAATGAACATGGGAGTGCAGCTATATCTGCAAAGTGCTGATTTCATTTCCTTTCGATATGTGCCCAGTAGTAGGATTGCTGCATTATATGGTGGTTCTATTTTTTTTTTTTTGAGACAGAGTCTTGCTCTGTTGTCCAGGCTGGAGTGCAGTGGCACTGTCATGGCTGACTGCAGCCCCAACCTCCCAAGCT
This sequence comes from Homo sapiens, assembly GCF_000001405.40. Taxonomy (NCBI): domain Eukaryota; kingdom Metazoa; phylum Chordata; class Mammalia; order Primates; family Hominidae; genus Homo; species Homo sapiens. The sequence continues at coordinate 51,846,112 of NC_000019.10, forward strand.
CAAGCAATCCTCCCACCTCAGCCTCCTGAGTAGTTGGGACTACATGTGTGTCCAGCTAATTAGTCCACCATGCCCAGCTAATTTTTTATTTCTAAAAACAAATAAATTTTTATTTGAGACCAGCCTGTATAACACAGTGAGTTCTTGTCTCTATAAGAAATAAAAGGTATACATTTGCATAATAATAGCTACCTTTTGTCAAGTATCTATTAATACGTATTTGCAGATGAGTCACTGGAAGGTAACTAGGGTTAGATGAGGTCATGAGGGTGGGCCTTCAATATGGAATTAGTGACCTTAAAAGAAGAGATATTGGCTGGGTGCCATGGCTAATACCTGTAATGCCAACTCTTTGGGAGGCCGAGGCCGGTGGATCACTTGAGGCCAGGAGTTTGAGACCAGCCTGGCCAATATAGCAAAACCGTGTCTCTACTAAAAATACAGAAAATTAGCCAGGTGTGGTGCAAACGCCTGTAATCACTGCTACTTGGGAGGCTAAGGAATGAGAATCACTTGAACCCGGGAGGCAGAGGTTGCAGTGAGCCGAGATCGCGCCACTGCACTCCAGCCTGGGCCACAGAGCGAGACTCCATCTCAAAAAAAAAACAAGAAGAGAATTTGCATTCTCCCCCTACTGCCATATGAAAACAGATGGCCATCTGCAAACCAGAAAAAGATCTCTCACCAAAACTCATCCCACACTGGCACTGTGATCACGGACTTCCAGCTTCCAGAACTATAAGAAAACAAGTTTCTCTTGTTTAAGCCACTCAGTCTATGGTATTTTGTTATGGCAGCCCAAGCTGACTAATACATTACATGCCAGCACTTTGTCAGGGACTTCAAATGCACTACCTCACTCAATCCTCAAAACCCATCTGCAAGGTAGATATTTTCAATTTGTCATAATGGAAAAACTGAGACTTACAGAAGTTGGGTATCTTGCCCAAAGTCACACAAAATAGGGTAGAATTGACATAAAAAGCTAGTACTAATTTCAAGTGTATACAAACACTCGTGTACGCACACACATGCACACACATAGCATTTATGACACGATTTTGACAACTCATGAATTTTGGTTGTACAGGTTATCATATTGCTATTCTTTCGAGTTTTCTATATACTTGAAATTCTTCGACATAAGATATTGGGAAATATAATACCTCAATGTAAAATACAGCACCCAAATGTCTGTACAGCTGAGGCCTCCTTATGTTCCAGCCCCACCAGCCTCTCCCGTCGATGTCCGTGTTGCTCTCCACCCAAGCATCTTGCTGTTGCCTCACTCACACCTCCCCAGACACCTACTTTCAAGTGGAGCATAAAACGGACCCTCCAAATACTCAAACTTGGACCCCTGAAACCTCAGATCACTAACCGCCAATCCCTGTCCTCGCCGACCACATCCTGACGGCCCCCTCCATCGGTGGCTCTCCCAGGCCTCTCTCTCTGTGGCAGGGAGCACGATGAGGAGAGGATATTTCACGAGAAACGAGAGAATGGTCTCTAGTTTCTTCCTCAATCCACAGCTCTAAACACTGATGCCGGCCCTAAAAGCCCTCAACAACCCCGAAGCGGCCTTAAACGGCAACCCCAGATGGTACTCATCAGAAACCAATCCCAAGTCACGGAATTCCCACAGCGCTGCGGGATTCCTAAGGGCTTTAGGCAGAGTCAAATGTAATCTCACACAGGAGTCCCGTGAATTTACTCCCTGGAAGGCAAAGCTTCCATACGTCATTTCCTCTTCTGCTCACTGGGCTGGATGGCCAGGCTTTCCAGCTATTATACAAACTCAGTAGCACTTTGGAAGGCCAGGATCCATCTACAGACGCGGATCCCGGTCCCACCAGGAATGATCGCTCAGCAATATGGTCGCGCCCAAGCCCTGACATGCTGTTGGAAGCCACCATCTTGGAAGACGCAGTACAGACTGCGAGACAGCCATTCTAGGCGACCGGATTCCGCTGACCAGGCCGAAAAGGAGTAAATCTAACTGATCCTTTCTAATCTTCTAAAGACCTCTCATCCTGTACTTCCACCTTCTTTCCTGTCAGCGTAGGGCATGCTTAGTAGGATTTCGGCACTTTCAACTAGTCTTCCGACCTGACCAATCAGAACACACCGAAACAGAAAATGGCTGCGCCCACGCTGCCTCGTTCTTCTAAACCACACGAAAGGTGAGGCCGTATTGAAAAGCCTGGGTCCCTAGGGGAAAGAAGGGAGGGAGAATTAGGAAGCTTGTACAGCTAAGACGCGGAAGACGCTGGGAATATACCCAAAGGAAATGAAATCACTATGTGGAAGAGGTATCTGTACTCCCACATTTACTGAAGCATTATTCACAATACCCAAGATATGGAATCTTTCTCCATACGACTGAGAAAGATGGAGATTAGGAGACCTAGAACTGGATCTGGACGAACAGAGGTGGTATGGGAAGAGCTCTCTGGATGTGTGGTTTGTGGGGAGAGATGGTGAGGGCTTAAGAACTAATGTAAAGATGCCTGTGGAGCAGACACGGGCAACCACAATCCAGGCCACAAGAAAAGCATTTGTAGCTCACAGGGATCCTGTGTATCTTGAAGAGCACAACCCACCCAGACATTTGTCAATACTGTGATGCAGGAGTCAACTTCCTTTTTTCCCTGGCTAGATAATTATCCCAACAACATTATTTAAAGTTGATCTCTTCCCCAATTTGCTAATATTTTGTAAGGAGTTGTACATCTAAGTTCATGGGATATTTGGTCTGTAATTATCTTTTATTTTAATAATGCCTCTGTCTAGTTTTGGTGTCAAGATTATATTGCCTTTAGATAATGAGCTGGAAAAAAATCATCTTTTTGATGTATGTAGTTCTAAACCATTTTTTTGTTTTAATATTCCATTGTATGAATCTGTTTTCTGCACTGACACATTCAACACAATTGCCAAGCTGTTACCCCCTTTTAAAATATGTGCACATTTTCTGTCTCTTTTATTATATAAAAACTTGAACTATTTCCACAGTTTGGGGAAGGAAACTATACACAGGTCTTTCTGTGTCATTACCTACTCTTCTCCAATGGAGAAAGGGTAAGTTTAACAAAATAGGTTGCGCATACAAAACAGGTTGTGCATGGATGGTTTATAACACTTCCTTTTTCTATGTTCTTTGTGTTTGGGTTAACCTGTCTGCAGGATGAAGATTTGCTCTTCAGAATACATTTGCTATGTTCTGAATGTGTCCCCTAAAATTCATGTGTTGAGACCTTAATTCCCAGTGCAATGGTGTTGGGAAGTGAGGCTTAATGGAAGGCGTTTCGTTCATGAGAATTCTACTTTCATACCACTTGTAAAAGGACTTACAGGAGTAGGTTCACCCCCTTCTGCCTTTTGCCATGTGAGGACACAGCAAGAAATCTTCACCAGATGTCAGCACCTTGATCTTAGACTCCCTGCCCACTACAGAACTGTGAGCAACTACATTTCTGTTCTTCATAAATTATCCAGTCTCAAGCATTTTGTTATAGCAGTACAAATAAAGACAACGCTGTTAAGGAAACGATACTGGAACCCTCATACACTGTTAGTAACATTCAAAAATGGTACCACTTCTTCGAAAAAGTTTGGCCACTTTTTATGTTAAACAAGCAATCTAACTATTAAGCATTTACCCAAAAGAAATGAGAAGTTATTCAAAATAGTGAAAAACCCAGATGCCTATCAACTGGTGCAGATAAACCTATTCCAGTTTACTTATACAATGGAATACTATTCGTCAACAAAAGAACAAACTACTGACATATACAGCAACATGAATGAAGTTCCATTTTATTATGCTAAGTGTAAAAAGGTAGACTCAAAATGTTATGTGCTGTATCATTCTTTTAATAACACTATGGAAAAGACAAAATTAGACAGAGAACTGATTTGTTCTCTGTTCTGGGGATGGGGAGAGAAGGGTTGACTAAAATGGACAGAAGGAGGGATTTTTGGGCGGTGGTGGAACTTATGAAGTAAAGCACTAATCTTCTCCAAAGAGAGGTTTGGCCCTTGCTCTCAACTCCTGGGAGATGACCTCTAAGCCTCTGAAATTTCCTGCTTGGGAAGAGTATCTTTGTTTACCTGGTTGCCTTGGGCCATGCCAGATATGCTAACAATATGTTTTATGATGGGGGCCCTTAGGCCATGCGGTATGAACTCCACCTGTGCAGACTATGGTCACCCATGTGGATAGTCAATCACGTCTATGTGATTGAACCCAAGTAAAATATCTGGACACCAAGGTTTGGGCAAACTTCCCTTATTGGCATTATTCTGCATATTGTCGCAAATTGTTTCTGAAAGAAATAGGTGCTGCCTGCATGATTTCTCTGAAAGAAGACAACTGGGAGCTCTGTGCTTGGTGTCCACTGGACCCTACCCTATGCAGTTCATCCCTCTACTGACTTTGTTCTGTAGCCTCCTGCTGTAATATACTGTACCTGTGGGTATAATGCCTTTTCTGAGTCTTGTGAGTAAATTATTAAACCTGAGGGTAGTGTTTAAACTTTGAAGTTGGTGTCAGAAATGAGAGTAATCATGGGTATCCCCAAATTTACAGTTGGTATTATTATAAAAAGTGATATTGGGGAACACTGAACTTGCAGCTGGTGTCAGAAGTGAAGATGGTCTTGGGGACTCCCAAATTACAAAACTGTTTTGCACCATAATCATGGTGGTAACATGATTCTATTTGTCAAAAGTCATAGAACTGTAGACCAAATCAGTGAGCATTACCATATGTAAACTAGTAAACAAATAAAAAATTTAAAGATACAAAACATTGTGTATAGTACGGTGTAGTTAGTAAGTTGAAGGTGATTTTTACTTTTGTTTAGGATAAGCATATAATTTTGTGATAAAAATAAGAGATCACCATTTAAAATTATGGAAAGTTCTCAAATCTATACTCAAATTCATATAAGATTTAGGATATACATTTAGAAGAAAGTTAAATCAGAAATGGCATAATTACAATCTTTATAAGGTATCAGAAATGAGGATAAATATTTGAAAAATAGCTACCATTGGTCAAATACCAATTATAAGCCAGTCATTTTGCCAGGCATTTCAGATACCCCATCTTATTACTTCTTCAAAACAAACTTGACAAGTAGATATCATTTTTCTTTTCCTAATGGAAAAGCTGAAACTTGTAAGAGTCTGTGTACCTTGCCAAAGTTCACACAGCCAATGAGTAGCAGAAATAGATTAAAAATTAATCTTACTTTCAAATAGCTCAGTAGGAAAAAAAGTACAGATACACACATACAAATATACATTAAGTATTTATAAAACAGTGTAAATAATTGTTGAATATGTAAGTGGTGGGTTACTATTCTTTCAACTTTCCCATACGTTGAAAATTCATATTGCACCCAAACTTCTCTCCTGAGTCCTAACTACTAAGCTCATCAGCCATCTCCTAGCACTGACACCCATAATGCCCCCATATCCCCACACCTCACATTTGCTCCTGTTCACAACTCCCCAGACACCTTATTTCACACAGACCCTAACACAGACTCTTCAACTCCTCAAACCCAAAATACAGACAGAAGCCCCAGATGACCAAGCCAGCAGCCTATGCTCTCAAAGACCATTCCCTGAAAGCTAGTGGGTCTCCCAATGCCAAGATCTGGAGCCGCCCTGTCACTGCCCCAGGAAACAACCCTTACGTCTGTCATTCCTTTTCCACCCACAAGGTATTCTTGTAAACACAATGATGTCTTTAGGACATTCGCCCCAGACACTTTAGAAGCTGCCTTTAACCAACCCCAATGAATACCCTCACGCATCACCTGCCACATCCCCAAGTCACGAATCCCTACAGTGGCGCATTCCAGCAGTTCACAGAAACTGAAACTTTGCCTTAACTTCTACAGTGACCTGCTGCCATGAAAGTATAAGGCTTCCTACACTGCACATCCGCTTCCACCCACTGGCCTGGCTGTCCTGCCTCTAGGGCTATTGCGCAGACTCAGTAGAAACTGGAACGACCAGGAGTCCCAGATTCTGATGTCTAAAGCCTTTAGCTTCCTGCTCTTTGGAAAGCTCATTTCAATCAAGTCTGCAGGAGGTAGCCATCTTGAAAGAAGTGCCACCAGACAGCGTGCTGGCCATTCTTTTGGGCTAATGGGCTGCCTCTGAGAGGAAAGAAACAATTGCAACCCACCTTTTCTGTCCTTTTCCAAGACACGTCAGCACGAGCATTTACACCTGTCCAAAAGTTGCAAGGAGTGTGGCTCATGCTCAATAGCATTTCCGTGATCCCACCTATCTGTCATGAACCTCCAGACAGCGAAAACCAATCACCAGGTCAAACCTAAACTGAAGATGTCTTTTTGCCCTGTTGAAATCTTGTCCATTTTGGAGGAATTTTGAGGTTTATAGAGCAAAGAATACATTCCCTCACCGAGGAAGAAGGGAACAGACAGGGCAGATTCTAGGTCTACCTCTAACAGAGGTAAGCTAGAGAAGTGAAACTGGCTGAGGGAAAGTGCTCCTGGCTTTCTCTGTGTAGAGATCTTGCCCATAGAAGGTGATAGGTGGGATGTTTATGAGGAATGGATAAATAGGACTTCTGGAATGCTCCATTGCTTGATCTGAGTGGTATTACACAGTTGTCCACATATAGGTGTTCCCATCACATGTTAAAATGTCATGTGTGTGTAATTGTGTTTAATATACTTTTGTAATGATATGAATGTTTTAATAATTGTATATGCCCTGTCTTTACATGGCTAGCTGTCAGGTAGGGTGAATGGCTCTTTAAAAGACAGTTTTCTTTTCTTTTTTTTTTTCTTTGAGACAGGGTTTCACTCCCATTGCCCAGGCTGGAGTGCAGTGGCACAATCTTGGCTCACTGCAACCTCCGCCTCTGCCTTCGGGCTCAAGCAATTCTCCCGCCTCAGCCTCCAGAGTAGCAGGGATGACAGGCACAGGCCGCCCCACCCAGCTAATTTTTGTATTTTCTGTAAAGACAAGGTTTCACCATGTTGCCCAGACTGGTCTCGAACTCCTGAGCTCAAATGATCTGCCTGTTTTGGCTTCCCAAAGTGCTGGGATTACAGGCATGAGCCAGGTGATGGGCCCTGACCCCAAAGACAGTTTTCTTACTTCCTACTCCTTACTCCCTTTCTCTAACTCAACACCACTGGGTCTTCAGTGGTCAGCTCAGCAATTACAGATACTTCTTAGAACCCACTATCTCAAACTTCCCAATAGGGACAACAAGTTTTGGCCAGCCTCAAGTAAAAAGTGAGCCAGGAGCCAGTAATCTCATGCAAAAAGGGCACTACCCTAAGATTTAACATTTTTTCTCTTTCTCTTTTACCTGCTGGATCTTGGGTGAACTGCGTTGTATTGGTCTTTTTACAGATGCATTAGAGGATTTTGGTCAATTGGACCAATCTAGAGGATAACGGCTGTTCAGCTTCAAGAACAGGTAACTGTACGGGAGTCTATGTAGTAGAGCCTGGTTCTGAACCTGGCCATATGATCTTTAAAGATAATGAAGGCTCTGTTGCTACCTTCTATAGTATCCCCAGATTTGTGAGCTTCTTGGCTTCCTTGAAACTTTCATTGAAAATAAGTTTCTCTTTTTCAGCTTGCTAGTCTTCAGTGTGTAAGCCCCCTTCTTTCTTAAATACCACACCCCTAAAGGATTGACATCGTGAAGGTGTTGTGCTTTGTAGGACAATACATTATTATAAGCTCCAAGTTGAGGTATTTGGGAGTGAAGGGTTATGATGTCTGCTATTTACCTTCAAATAGTTCAGTCGAAAGAAGCAAACTGGATAGAAGAGCGAGATAGATTATAGGTAGAAGATAAAGCAAATATGGCAAAAATTAACATTTATTGAATCTATGTGATGTATGTAAGGGTCTCTGCTATACTATTCTTTAAGTTTTTCTATATGTCTGAAAATTTTTATAATAAAAACCTTGAGAAAAACTACCAGTGACTGATTCTGGATTGTATGTAATTGATTCTTTGGTTGCTTGTTTTCTGTGTAGCAGAAAATCCACGAATAAAGTAGAGGTTCTGTCTATCATATATCATTGGCATAAATATCCTCAGTGCTCATCTGATAATAACCATTCTGCACCCATCTGGGAAGGACCAGGTTTCTGTTTAGTTTACCAGGATGAAAGCCTGTGGAGAAGGTAATGAATTGATGCTATTTGGATTTTTTTTTTTTGAGACAGGATCTCACTCTTGTCACTGCAGATGGGGTGCAGTGCCACGATCATGGCTCACTGCAGCCTTGACCTCCTGAGCTCAGGCAATCCTCCTGCCTCTGCCTCCTGAGTAGCTGGGACTACAGGAATGCACCACCATGCCCAGCTAAATTTTTTTTTTTTTTTTTTTTAGAGATGGGGTCTCGCTATGTTGCCCATGCTTCTCCTGAACTCCTGGACTCAAGCAATCCTCCAATCTCAGCTTCCCAAAGTACTGGGTTTACAAGTGAGAGCCACTGTGCCCAGCCTATTTGGAATTTATTGACCTTCTCAGATGGACGGAATAATTTTCATCAAATTTGGGAAGCTTTGGCCATTATTTCTTCAAATATTCTATCTGTTGCTTATCCCCTCTATTTACTTTCTGAGACTTTCATTACATATGTGTTGGTGTGCTGGAAAGTATACCATATGTTTCTAAGAGTCTGTTCACTTTATGTTTTTCACTTTTTTTCTGTTTCACTTCTTCATGTTCCTCAGACTGGATAATTTCCATTGACCTAGCTTCATATTTGCTTATTCTGTCTTCTGCCACCTCAAATCTGCTGCTGAGACCTGTTCTCTTTGTTGCTACTTCATAGTTCTTTATACATGGTTTACTTCAGTTCCTTGAACATAGTTAACATAGCTGACTTTTAATCTTTGCATATTAAGTCTGACATATGAGCCTCCTCAGGGGTAGTTTCAGTTGACAACCTCATTTCCTGAATATGGACTATACTTTTCTGATTGTGTGTCACAAATTTTTGTTGAATATAGAAATTTTAGATCATATAAAGTTGTTACTTTGGAAATCAGATTCCCTCTCTCCCCAGGGTTTATTGTTGCGATTGTTGTTGCAGTTTGTTCAGTGGCATTCCTGGAGTAATTTATGTATTCCCTGCAGTGTGCAGTCACTTGAAGTCTTTTCTTAGTTAGCTAATGATTAATCAAGATTTCCTTCATTTCTCTGAGCAAGTTTTCCACTCTTTGCTGAGGGTGCTGTGTGTGTGTGTGTGTGTGTGTGTGTGTGTGTGTGTGTGTCTACTTCAATGCTCAAGCAGTTTGTAAGTCTACTTTAGCCTTCTCTTCCTTCTTCTCAAGGGCTTCAAGATCAGCTAGAAGTGAACTACTGGTACCCTCAGGTATCTCATGGGCATGCACACATCCCTGTGTATGTGTTGGGCCTTCTAGATCCTCAGGAATATGTCAGAGTATTTAAGAGTTCCCTATTAACATCTTGTTCTTCAGATGTCCGTTTAACAATTTTTCAGAGCTCTTGTTTGCTCCCTAACGGTACTGCAGGCTTAGGCTACTACAAAGTTAAACAATTGAAGCTGATCGTTTTTGACCAGTGCCCTAGTATCGCACTTTTCCTTCAAAGTGAGCTTTGAGTCAGGTGAGAGAATGAGTTAGGACAAAGAATGGAACCACATCATGGAGCTGTAAGACAAGATATATAATGACATTGCTCTGAGGATGAGGCTTTTTGAGGATTTCCAAGCTTATTTGTCTCCTCTGATACAAGGGTGGTGGTTGAAGGCTGATGGTCTTCATGGCTACTGTGGTTCTGAGGCTGCTGTTTTCCAACGGTAATGCAGATCTGGGGAAAGGGATATAGAAGTAGGCCAAATTAAAATTCCACATACCCCACTATTTTTAATGAGGTTCAAAATTTTTTTCTTGAAAAGAAAATGCTGTTCAAAATATTGTAAGCCTTTGGTTATTTTCCAAAATTGACTGTGATGATGTTTATGTTGTTTTAATGAAAGGATGGATACGCAGAGGCCTTGTCTCTGCTATTCTGGACATCATGCCTTATCACATAATTTATTTTTTGCACAGTAATCTCTGGGATAAAAATTTATTAACTTTACAAGTAAATACCCTAAGTCTTCTAATGATTAAATGGTTTACCATGGGTTATACAGTTGATACACAAAGCCATTACTGTTTATCAATATATAATACTGCACCAATTTAATAATTGTGCTAATGAACTGTTAAAAATTCGAATATGTCCCCAGATTATTTCTACCCAACCTCACCTCCATGCTTCCATCAAGTATCTCAAAGAAAAAATACAGAGAACATCAGGATAATGCTAACAGACAGTTTTGTGTTTATTTGGTTGTATGCCTGCCTTCTGAGTAAAGAGTAAAGCCTCTACATCGCTAAGTCAATGTCATACAAATCCTTTAATTATCCGTATTTTGGGTGTATGTCTGTCATATTCTAGACATCCACATACCCTTGCTTTCTTAAGTGAATAACCAGATTCTCTGAAGAAGAGACACTGTTGTGAACAGGACCATCAGTAATTTTGGATTTTTTTTCACCATTTAAGACGAGAAACTTGGTGCTCGGGGACCTTGAACATCAAGATCGGGGGGCTGAGGGAGGGATAATATACTGCATGAAAGGTGGTAGTATATTGCAGCCAGAGGCTTGATTGGAAAAGAACAGCATTATGAATGAGCAGGATAGAACTGATAAAGTAAAACGAAATGAAAGTACTTCCTAGAAGCAGCATGATTTGAATGGCTTTTGCCTCAGGGGAGAATCTGTAGGAGCTGCTGAGGGTGTGAATGCGCCTCACTCTACCATGTAGACACCAGCTCCAACCATGAGTCCATGAAGACAACATCTGGGAAAGTCAAGAGAAATGTGTATTTTGTGTAATCTCAGCACTTTGGGAGGCCGAGGCAGGCGGAACATGAGGTCAAGAGATCGAGACTATCCTGGCCAACATGGTGAAACCCCATCTCTACTAAAAATACAAAAATTATCTGGGTGTGATGGCGCACGCCTGTAGTCCCAGCTGTTCAGGAGGCTGAGGCAGGAGAATCGCTTGAACCCGGGAGGCGGAGGCTGCAGTGAACCGATATCGTGCCACCGCATTTCAGCCTGGCGACAAAGCGAGACTCCATCAAAAAAGAAAAGAAAGGAAGGAAAAGAAAAGGAGAAAGGAGAGAAAGAAAGAGAGAAAGAAAGAAGGAAGGAAAGAAAGAAAGAAAGAAAGAAAGAAAGAAAGAAAGAAAGAAAGAAAGAAAGAAAGAAAGAAAAGAAAAAACAAAGAAAGGAAGGAGAAGAAATGTGTATTTTGCAGTAGATGTTTCAGGATTTTTAGAAGAGCATAGACCACAATTTCATATCTTGGTAGAATTGGGGATATGCCGAAGGGCCTCTACATGTTTAAGAACAAAGATTTTTATTGTAGGTTGAAGAACCAATACAGAAAGCAGGAGAAACCGATGTTCTTCAAAGCTCTGTCTTTGAACCTCATCCACCCACCAGCCTTCGGGTGGGTGATTGCCTGAGAACTGCTCAAGTGGCAAGTGACTGTAGCTTTCAGGCTGCTCACCAGAAATATACAGATACATATATATCTGTACACATACACACACACACACGCACACACACAAAACTCTAAGAACCTATTATCTCATGTGCTGCTTTCAAATCTAAGATTATTATTTTAAAATTTTTTGTAGAGATGGAGTCTCGTTACGTTGCCCAGGCTGGTCTCAAACTCCTGGGCTCAAGGGATCCTCCAAAGGATCCACCTGTAATCCCAAAGTGCTGGGATTACAGGTGCGGGCCATTGTGTCTGGCCTGCTTTTAGTCTTTGAGCTTTACAGGGCCCTGAAGGCCTATCTTTGAATTCCCTTACTCTCACCAGATATGCTCCCACTGCACAGGAAAGGCTCCCACCCAGCTAACTCCCCAATCAGCTGAACTAGCTGCACCCAACATGGTCCTCAATCTATATTCAGCCCATGGAATTATACAAAGCAATTGCATTCTTCCACAGAAACCATGGGCACGTTACCCTCTCATTATATAAAGCCTACTTCCCACAATCTCCGTGCTTGTTCACTCTATTCCTGAGTGCAATACCTATATGCAATGACCATTTCTCTCAGGCTGTATCTGTGACTAATAAACTGCTGTCAATTTCATCTAGCCAGTGTCAGGTGTTGTGTTCAGCCATTCCATACTACTTAGGGTAGGGAGTCCCTCCCTCATGCACCAGGGTGAATAGGAGGTTGTCAGAACATATGACACACACAAACACACACAGAAAAATGTTGCAATGGTCAAATCCAGATTAGTGTTTAGTACTCCTTAAACATCTTTATGTCTGAAGATTTTCATAATAAAATGGTGAAGAAAAGATTTCTTGACAACTGTCAAACAAAATGGGGAAGGGGCAAAAATCTAGAGAAAAAAATAAGCAAGATTTTGCTGGTACATTTTTACAGAATTCCTTGCAAAACAATAGGTTTCACTGATAACCAAAATAAGTCAGTTATTTCACATGGAGGTAAAAAAAAACCTTGCTTTTTAATAACTAGAATACCCACTAGAAGTTTTATAGAAGATTCAGTCAAGTAAGTCTCATTTTGTTAAAAAAAAGTCCATATTTGAAGTGCCAGAGTTCATGCAATATTTTTCTTTTTAAATATATTTTTCTTCATGTAAAAATTCAAATATTAACAATTTTAGAGTGTACAATTCAGTGAAGTTTAGCACATTCACAATATTATGCAACCACCATCTCTATCTAGTTCAAAAACATTTTCATCATTCTAAAAGAAAACCCCATACATACTACGCAGATAGATTGCATTCTCCCTTCCCCTCTAGTGCCCAATAACCACTAATTTGCTTTATTTCTCTATAGATTTACCTATTCAGAGTATTTGATATAAATGAAAGTATAAAATGTGGAATTTGCATTTGGCTTCTTTCACTCAGTATGTTTTTTGGGGCTCATTCATGCAACATGTCATCAGTACTTCATTCATTTGTATAACTGACCATTTATGTATTCATGTGTACATGCATGTAGCACATTTTATTTATTCATCCTTTGATAGGCATTTGAGTTTTTTCAACCAAATGCTATTTTGGCTATTGTGAACAGTGCTATAAACATTCATGGACAAATATTTGGTTGAGTACCTGTTTTCAATTCTCATGGGTATTTTACTTAGGAATGGAATTCCTGGGTCATATGGTAAGTCTGGATTTAACTTTTTGAGGAACCACCAAAGGAATGGCATATTATCATAACAAATCAAAAGTTTCGGTGTGACACAAACTTGAAATATATAGCCATAAACTCACCTCATATAACCTCACACTTTTTTCTTCCATTACTCTAATGTGTTGCTGGTTTTTAAATATTTTAGGTAAATCTTTTATAATCTTTGGATGTTTCAGAGTTATAAGGCTCTAGAAAAATGTAAACTTCTACTTGTGATGGATCATCACAGTGGGCAAAAATACTACAAATGACAGCAAAAATAAGGAATTCACACTTACGTGGTATAATCCTTTAGACTCCTTAATAATGAGTCAAATATGTATTACAAGACATTTTGATTCATAAGAAAAAAACATTTTATTTGCACTACATTGAATTATTCAACATTTTGTCTTATGTTGAGAATTTCTTTAACCCTGAAAATTGTTTCTTCGTGTAATTCCAAGTAAACAATGAAGTTTATAAATATATAAAGTACATGTCACATAGTACAGTCCACAACACAACCCCTAAGATCCTTTGTCACTATTCGACTAATCCTTATTATATTCTTATTTTTCATATATTCAAAAGGAATATTTGACAATGAAATGTCTAATATTTATAGAATATTCTCTGGAATCCTTTCTATAATAATTATGCAAAACCATTATAAAATTATATATACAGGCAAGGGTAATTACTCAAATCTAAAGTGCCATCACACATTTAAAAAGCCCTGACAATTACTATGACATTCCAGATCATAAGATGCTTCACAATTTAAGACATGGTAGGATGTGAAGAAGTGAATCCATGAAATAAAAAATAACTTATCACTGATGCTTTTACCACTTTCACTGCATTCATAAAATCTCTGTATGGAGCAAATTCTGCTCCTATATTTAAAAGCTTGTGATGTTTAATGCTATCTAATCCTCCACAGAAATTATTTCCTGTGACCAGAACCATTGCTTTTAGGTAAATGTATGACTCTGCTGAAGCAGAATAGATATGGCTCCATTAGGATTTTATACCTGCATTGAACCTAAATATTATTGCCTTCGAGAATAGGATCTTTCTGATAACTGAGTTAGGGGGCAATTCAGCTCTGAATTTTAAATAAAGAATTTTAGACAATCACTGCAATTCTTTCCTGCTATGCAATGGGTTTTGTGGCCAATGGCCAAGTTTAACTCTATCGTTTTCCCTTCTGATTTAAGTATCTGATGTATATGTCACTTTCAAAAGCTTTCCACATTCCGTTTCAGAAGGACCTATCTACCACATGAGTTTGCTGATATAATTAGTGACCTTTGGTATCTACATGAAGGCTTTACCACATTTACTATATTAATAGGGGTTTCCTCTTGTATGAGTTTGCTATAACAAGAAAGATAAACATTAACTGGGAAGACTTTATCACAATCACATTCACTGTATCTATGAGATTTCTCTCGTAAACAAGATATTCAAAGAGTTTTGACTTTCAGATTTTAATTTTTACCTGCAATGAGGTGTGATTCTTCTTAGCTTTCCTGCATTCCCTCCATCTGTAGGGTCCTTCTCCTGAATGAATACCCTAATGTGTAACAAATATAATTTGAGAATGATTTATCATTTTCATTACATCCACTGGTGCTGCCTACTAAATGGAAAGCTTCTAGTTTTCTAATAAACTTTTTTGACAATCACTGCACTCATAATTGACTCTCTCTTTTTTTTTTTTTTTTTTTTTTTGAGACAGAGTCTCACTCTGTCACCCAGGCTGGAGTACACTGGTGCAATCTCGGCTTACTGCAACCTCCACCTCCTAGGTTCAAGAGATTCTCCTGCCTCAGCCTCCTGAGTAGTTAGGATTACAGGTGTGCACACCACACCTGGCTATTTGTTTTTTTTTTTTTTTGTATTTTTAGTAGAGACAGGGTTTCATCATGTTGGCCAGGCTGGTCTCGAACTCCCAACCTCAAGTGATCTGCCTGCTTCAGCCTCCCAAAGTGCTGAGATAACAGGCATGGGCCAATGCGCCTGGCCAATGATTCTTCTTGTGAGATCTCTACGGTAAACGAGGGATATCTTCAAAAAAGAAGGCTTAAAATATTCATTGCATCTATAAGGTTTCTCTCCCACAAGAGTTCCAAAAGGGCCCATTACAATCATAGTATTCATGGAACTTCTATTGTGTCTGAGCTGATGTGACTAATCAAAAAAGCTCTCTCATATTCCAAGTCACTGCATGGACTTTCTTCCTTCCTGCTGGGGTTTCTGATGATTAGTAATAGCTGATTTCTGAGTAAAGCTTTTTGACATTCACTGCATCTATAGGGCCTCTTTCCTGTGTGAGTTCTCTGGTGACCAATGAGAGTTTACAAAGTAGCGAATGCTTTCTTACAATCACTGCATTTATATGGTTTCTCTCCTGTATGAATTCTCTAATGTACAGTGAGACAGGATTTAACTATGATGGCTTTATTACACATGCTACATTTGAGGAGTTTCTCACCTGTATAGGTTCTCTGTTATATAATGAGAGTTGACTTACAGGACAAAACCTTCCCACATCCACTGTATCCATAAGATTTCATTCTTGCATGGCAAGTTTTTCGATGCTTACTGAGACCTGTCTTTTGGGTGAAAGCTTGTTGACCTTCATTGCATCATAGGGTCTCTCTCCTGTGTGAATTGGCTGATGAGTCATGAGATATACCTTACTGGAGAAGGCCCTATCACAGTCTGAGCATTCATATGATTTATTTCCTATATGAGTTCTCTGATATACAATGAGATTTCCCTTTGATGTGAAGGCTTTATCACATACATTGCATTTGAAGGGTTTCTCACCTGTATGGGTTCTCTGATGTATAACAAAGTTTTTTTTGGAGGATAAAACCTTCCCACATTCACTGCATTCATGGGATTTCCTTACTGCATGATGAGTTTTCTTATGATTGTTGAGATCCAACTTCCAGATGAAAGCTTCTTGACATTCACTGCATCCATAGGGTCTTTCTTCTGTATGAATTCACTGATGCTTCATAAGCTGAGCCTTTTTCAAGAAGGCTTTCTCATAATCCAAGCAAGCATATGGTTTCTCTCCTGTGTGAGTTCTCTGATGTATAGTTAGCTGTGTTCTAACCATGAAGGCTTTATGATAGACTTTGCACCTGAAAGGTCTCTCTCCTGAATGAGTTCTGAGATGCAAAATGAGGTTCGACTTCCAAGGAAAAGCTTTCCCACATTTACTGCATCCATAGAATTTTCCTTTTCTATGAAGAACTTTCTGAGGATAACTGAGCTCAGATCTGGTCTTCAAAGCTGTTTGACATTGAATGCATTAATAGGGTATCTCTCCTGTGTGAATTCACTGATGAATCATGAATAAAGCCTTTTTTGAGAAGGCTTTTTCACAATCTGAGCAAGCATATGGTTTCTCTCCTGTGTGAGCTCTCTGATGTACAGTGAGATGTGTCCTAACCACAAAGCCTTTATCACATACTTTGCAAATGAACGGTCTCTCTCCTGAATGATTTCTTTGACATAAAATGAGTTCTGACTTCCAAGGGAAAACTTCTCCACATTTGCTGCATGTACAGACTTTCCCTTCTCTATGATGAGTTTTCTGATGATACACAAGCCCTGAATTTGTAATGAAGGCTTTTTGACATTGATTGCATCAGTAGGGTCTCACTCCTGTTTGAGTTTGCTGATGAGCAATGAGCTTTAACTCACTGGGAAGGGCTCTCCTAAAATCATGAGATTCCTGGGATTTGTTTCCTGCATGAGTTCTCTGAGGCATGGTCATGAGTAGTTTACAAGTATTCACTGCACATTCACTGCATCCATATGATTTCTTTCCAAAAAGAATTGGTTATAATTAGCAAGCTCTGACTTCTGGATGTTATGAAAGCTAGTGTACGCACAACAGAGTAAGTGAGATAACAAGAAGAGGTCCAGAAAAAGGCTTCTTTTCCCATTTACCATAAAAAGATATTAGTAAGATGGTTAAATTTGAGTAAGCTCTGTATTTTAAATAATAATACTATATCAATGTCAATATTCTGATTTTGATCACAGTATTCTGATTATGCAAAAGAATGCTCTTCTTCCTATGAAATACACACTTGGGTTTTAGGGTAGAGTTCAGAAAAACCATATGTACCTGTGTGTGGTGTGTGTGTATAGATAAAATAAAGCAAATTGGTAAAATCATATTTTGGGGAAATTTGCAAAAAGAATGTGCAAGAATTTTGTGTATCATTTTGGAACATCTCATTAAATCTAGACCATTTGGAGACAAGCATTTTCAAAAGGAGAAAATAAAAATAAAGATATTGATGAAAACATACATAGGGACACTAAGTATAATGGCCTGAATGTAAAAGAGATAAACAGTGTAATATTCACCCAATGCCATTCTGCACAGGACTCAGATTCTTGATCTAGGTGCTGGTTGCACAGTGTGCTGACTAGAAAGTTACCTAGCTGTATAATTACATTATATGTATGTTATACCAAAACATTTTTCATTAATAAGTAAACAAAAACGTTTAGGCCGAAATCAGGGAATGCTCCCTTGTAGGAGGATCCTGAAAAGAATTTGGATCTTGTGCTAACAGTAACAGGATGCCATTACCAATGATAGTGGGAGCAGGATGACATGTCCTGATTTCCAATTTAAAAGCAACATCCTGTGTGTATGTTTATCAGTAATTAACACTGACCATGTCTTAAATATTATGGCATGAATATTTTTAGGCTTGCACCCTGTGAATGAGTACAGATTTGCTACATCATATAGCATTTTTTAGACCATAATTTAGATCTTTCCATCCTCCAACTAAGATTTACCTTTTTATATGAAGCTTTAATTACTTTCCGCAACACTTTTGTCAAAATCTGAAGTCTTTTAAGAACCAAGATGTTTCTGATGTTTATTTTAATGTTCAGGGATTTTGGAGGTGAGGGGCTAGAAACACTGACTCCTGCCCCTGACTCCCGCCCCTGACTCCCGCATTTATTTTCATAAATGAAAATAGTAAAATAAATTCATTAAGGGTATTATGTGGAGAATAGAAACAAGAGTAAAGGACTGAGAGTATATTAGAGAAAACTATCATAATTTTGGCAAGAGATAATGGACATCGAAGCTTGAGTGAAAATAACTGTTAGAGAAAGGAGTAGAGGACCTCGAGATATAAGGAGAAAGTAAAGTCTAAACTTGCTAAATGGACTGGATTTGTGGGATGAGTGAAACGGTGAAGCAAGGATGACTTGAAGTTTGAGTTAGCTATTAGATCTCCAAGCAATTCCCAGGCAAATGTAGGAGGATAAGGAAATATCTAGCCTGTAGAGAGAAATCTGTGAGTCATCAACATATAAATAGCATTGTTAAGTCCATGAAATCGAAGAGGTCACACTGGGAACAAAGAAAAGAAATTACCAATGATGAAGCACCCTTACGCCCTCCAACTCTGAAGGCTTTGGGAGAAGGAGATGCCCAGAGAATGGAAAAAGTCCATCCATCACGCTCAAACAATAAGTACCCAGAAAAGAGGCCAACTTAAGTCTTAGGAACCAACATCTGTGGGAAGCAAGATAAAATGAAGTCTTCTCAGCTCTTCACATAAATGTAAGTGCTGTCACTCTGTTTCAGATTCATTCTTCTTTAATTCTGCATGCAACAGTCAATGAACTTTCCCAAAGATTTTTTTTTTCTTGAGACGGAGTTTCGCTCTTGTCACCCAGGCTGGAGTGCAATGGCGCAATCTCAGCTCACTGCAACCTTCGCCTCTAGGGTTCAAGTGATTCTCCAACCGCACCTCTGGAGTAGCTGGGATTACAGGGCACTCGCCACCATGCCCAGCTAATTTTTGTATTTTTAGTAGAGACAGGGTTTCGCCATGTTGGCCAGGCTGGTCTTGAACTTCTGACCTCAGGTGATCCACCCACCTCGGCCTCCCAAAGTGCTGGGATTACACACGTGAGCCACCATGCCCGCGCCTTCCCAAAGATTTCTAACACCATATATACAGGAACACCACTGTGGTGAGCACTCCCACCTTCTAGGTTGCTTTGATACATTCTCATATGATTCACTCAGGTCTGTAGGAAATACAAAAATCAGGCCAAATATCCTTACCCCAGGATAAAAGGCAGTGCTGTGATGATGTGTCGATTGTGAGAATCTAAGTCAATATAAAGAGAGAAAAAGGCACATTTTCTTTGAAACGCCAAACAAAAGAGAGCCTCATCAATGATCTAGGTATCTGTAGTCACCTTCCAAGTCTTTGCCCTGTTAAACACATTTGGAAGGGGTCCAACCCTCATGGTCAGCTCCTTTACTTTCCAGGTCTCCCATCTTGTTGGTTCTCACTCACCTGAAATGCACTGACCTCACATTTTATCCTCTATTCTCCATGTTTGAAATTAAATATCACTGGCTGGGTGCGGTGGCTCACACTTGTAATCCCAGCACTTTGGGAGGCTGAGGCGGGCAGATCATGAGGTCAGGAGATTGGGACCATCCTGACCAACATGGTAAAACCCCAGCTCTACTAAAAATACAAAACTTAGCTGGGTGTGGTGGCACACGCATGTAATCCCAGCTACTCAGAAGGCTGAGGCAGGAGAATTGCTTGAACTCGGGAGGCAGAGATTGCAGTGAGCTGAGATGGCGCCACTGCACTCCAGCCTGGCGACAGAGCAAGACTCCATCTAAAAAAAAAAAAAAATTAAAGATATCTGGTTTGGTAGCTTAAGAGCCTGTTTATGGGAAATGACAAAGACTTGAACACTTATAATTGGGCTTGATGGGAGGTGTCTATGAACAGCACAGAAATGTTTCTGGAACTGACACACTTTCAGCTCGGCAGATTCAACATCTACTATGACAGAGGCTGCAGTGAGCCAAGATTGCACCACTGCACTCCAACCTGGGTGACAGAGCAAGACCTGTCTCAAATAAAAATTAAAAATAAAAAAAAGTAAAATAAATACATAAGGAACCACCCCCAGCTGACAGCCAGCAAAGAAACAAATCTCAGAATTAGTCTGCCAATACCCTGGATAAGCTTGGAAGTGGATTCTTCCCAGATTCTTCCAATAAGAGCCCTGTTGGCCCACACCTTGACTTCAGTCTTTGAAACCCAGATCAAAGAAACCAGTCAAGCCAATCCAGACTTCTGACCTAAAGAACTGTGAGACAATAAATTTGTGTTGTTTCAAGCTGCTAAACGTTTGTGAGAATCTGTTTTGGCATCAACAGAAAATTAATACATTATTGACACCAGAAACATCAGAAACAGGCCAGTTGTGGTGGCTCATGCCTATAATTCCAGCACTTTGGGAGGCTGAGATGGGCAAATCACCTGAGGTCAGGAGTTTGAGACCAACCTGGCCAAAATGGTGAAATCCCATCTCTACTAAAAATACAAAAATTAGCCAGGCGTGGTGACACACACCTTAATCCCAGCTACTCAGGAGGCTGGGGCAAGAGAATCACTGGAACCCAAGAGGCAGAGGTTGCAGTGAGCCATGATCGTGCCACTGAACCTGTGTGACAGAGTGAGATAAGAAGAAAGAAAGAGAGAGAGAGAGAAAAGGAAGAAGGAAAGAAAGAAGAAAGAAAAGAAAGAATCAGAAACAACTTAAGTACATCATACATTCTTACATATTTATTCACCTGTATTCACACTTAAGGCACTCTGTATGAAGCTACATTTCCTCATTCCACCTTTACCTGAATCTTGATTTTATGGTTTCTGTTTAGTTTTCCTTAAATTTTTAAATTACAAATGTATGTATTTCCATTTAATAGTTATTTGTCTTAAGCCTTGCAAAGTCATTGGAAAGAAAGGCAAAAGAAAGAAGCAAAACCTCACCGGGGCTTTTATCGTTTTTTTCTTCGGTTCTTAGGAAAAGGATATCATTTCTAAGGTATGATCTAGATATTGTCTTTTCTGATTCTGAACATCGGACAAAAGATCTCTTTTCAAGAGAAAAGAAGACATGTCAGAGAGAGGCCCAGCTTTTAGAATTGTGACAATTACTCAATTTCCCTCCCTTAATGAAGGACAACTTTTTAAAAACACAAAGCTGGCCAGGCGCGGTGGCTCACACCTGTAATCCCAGCACTTTGGGAGGCTGAGGTGGGCGGATCACAAGGTCAGGAGTTCGAGACCAGACTGGCCAACATGATGAAACCCCGTCTCTACTAAAAATACAAAAAAAAAAAAAAAAATTAGCCGGGTGTGGTGGCAGGCACCTGTAATCCCAGCTACTCAGGAAGCTGAGGCAGGACAATCACTTGAAACCGGAAGGTGGAGGTTGCAGTGACCCACGATTACGCCACTGCACTCCAGCCTGGGCAAAAGAGCGAAACTCCATCTCAAATAAACAAAAAACAAAAACAAGCAAACAAACAAAAAGAACAAAGCTAGGGTTGGAAAAAGCCCTCAGAGGTCAGACTAATCAGCACCAATGAGGAATTTCTAGTCCTCTACCCCCACCCCTAAATACAGATACAGAAAAAGGCAATGAGAACCTGGAATGTCTTCTCCCTTGCATGGGATCAGAGCCAGGCAAGTTCTGGTGGGAGAGCTGACACTGGATTTCTACTCTGAGGTCTGGCAGGTTCTAGTATTTACAGACCCAAGTTCTAAACTGGGAATCAAGACAAAGTGGATGGAATCTGTAAATCTGTGCACCAGCAGTTGTAGGTTTTTAAGTGTGTCAAATTTCTTTATACATAAATCATCTTCCCACTTGTAATAGAAGTTCTTTTTAAAAGTTGCTGACTTAGTCCTCAAAGCACTGCATTGTAGACACTGTTCTAGAAGCTTTCTGTTAACAGTGATGCAGTTGTTAATAGGCCAGTTCCGGACACTCCATAGGACACAGACACCTACACACCTAAAAAAGTTTCATCTGGGGTGTAAAAGGAGAAAGTCAGCAGAGTAAGGTTAGGTAAGACCCATGCCCTGAGTCCCCTCCCCAGCCTCCAACATGGGATCCATCTGGCCCATGAGAGCAGGAAGAACAAGGGCAAACATGTCCCACACAACAATGGGATTCTGTAGGACTGCTTCCCACCTCAGCCACACAGCAGGGCAGACTCACCAAGAACCGACTGGGTCTGACCCACCAAAGACTGCCCCAGCCAAAGCAGAACTGCCAGATGAGCTCAGAATTAATATGCCCAAGGCCAATTCCCTCATAATGTTGCCTACAGAAGCCCCAGCAAGCACCGGCTAAGGTTCTGACTACTACCGTCTTCAACTGCCTTGAACACCCAGATAGAATTCACTCATGTGTGTGGGGGAAAGAAAGATAGATCAGACTGCTACTGTGTCTATGTAGAAAAAGGAAGACATAAGAAACTCTATTTTGATCTGTACTAAGAGAAATTATTCTGCCTTGAGATGCTGTTAATCTGTAACCCTAGCCTCAACCCTGTGCTCGCAGAAACATGTGCTGTGTTGACTCAAGGTTTACTAGATTTAGGGCTGTGCAGGATGTGCTTTGTTAAAATGTGTTTGCAGGCAGTATGCTTGGTAAAAGTCATCACCATTCTCCAGTCTCGAGTACCCAGGGACACAATGCACTGCGGAAGGCCGCAGGGACCTCTGCCCAAGAAAGCCTGGGTATCGTCCAAGGTTTCTCCCCACTGAGACAGCCTGAGATATGGCCTCGTGGGAAGGGAAAGACCTGACCGTCCCCAAGCCCGATACCCATAAAGGGTCTGTGCTGAGGAGGATTAGTGAAAGAGGAAGGCCTCTTTGCAGTTGAGATAAGAGGAAGGCATCTGTCTCTTGCTCGTCCCTGGGAATGGAATGTCTTGGTGTGAAACCCAATCGTACATTCTATTTGCTGAGATAGGAGAAAACCACCTTATGGCTGGATGTGAGACATGCTGGCAGCGATACTGTTCTTTACTGCACTGAGATATTTGTGTAAAGTCAAACATAAATCTGGCCTATGTGCACATCGAGGCACAGCACCTTTCCTTAAACTTATTTATGACACAGAGTCCTTCGCTCATGTTTCCTGCTGACCCTCTCCCCACCATTACCCTATAGTCCTGCCACATCCCCCTCTCCGAGATGGTAGAGATAGTGATCAACAAATGCTGAGGGAACTCAGAGACCAGTGCCGGTGCGGGTCCTCCATATGCTGAGCACCGGTCCCCTGGGGCCACTGTTCTTTCTCTACTTTGTCTCTGTGTCTTATTTCTTATTTCTTTTCTCAGTCTCTCGTCCCCCCTGACGAGAAACACCCACAGGTGTGGACGGGCTGGACCCCTTCAATGTGGAGAAAAATGGCCAAAGGCAGATGTGTGCCAGAAACCCCTACAGGGGCTAAACAGTCAAGACACACCAGCCGCTAACTAGAATAAGTTGTTAGGCCTCCTAACTGTACTTCCCATAAACCTCAACTGCCCAGCACAGGTGTCTCAAGCACTGCCCATGGCCAAACTACACTTCCTAGGAAGCTCAGCAGCCCTGTTCAAAAGCCTCAGTTCCCAGAGAAGGCAAAGAGGGGCTAAACACCGGGTAGACTACACTGCACAAATTCAGCTGAGCTTGCTTCTCCCTCTCAGGGAACCTGGTGCTGATTGCTGGTAATTGCCTCCTTCTGGTCCCTCCCTGGGAGGATTAACATCCTAGGGGCATTGGGTCCAGTGCGTAGACTGAGCTTCATCTGCCCCTTGTTCAGGTGGGGGGAACCCATCAGTAAATTATAGTTTTTATAATCCACTTGATTCATATGGGACATTTATAGCAGCTATTTCTAACATCCTTTTCTGCTATAAGTGTGCCACTTCTGGGTCTCTACTGAGTTTTCTTCATGTTATGGGGTTATATTTTCCTGCTTCTTTGCACACCTGGGTAAGTTTGTATTGGATGCCAGACATGGTCAATTACTGACTGGTAGATTGCTTTCTATTTCTTTATTAGTCTCTGTTTGGAAAATTGCTAACTTACTTGGAAAGTATGGCCTTTTCATGGCTTGCATGTATGCTTTGTGAGGAGAGTTCGAGGCAGCCTTTACTGTAGAGCAAATCTGAGCCACCCACAGAGGCAATACTCCTTACTTAAGGTCCACTGTGATTCTCCAAATGTTAGGAGGCGTTTCCACTCCAGCTGGTGGAAATGCTTGTGTGTAATCCAAGGATTTTTCTGCGTGTTCATTTCTTCCTGTTCTTCCTCCAGCCTAGGGGGGGTTTCTCACATACATATGCTGATTATGACTCAAAAGGCTTGTGGGGGAAACTCTACAGAACTCTCAATTCTTGAGTGCAGCTCTTCTCCAATAATCCAATTCATGAATTTGGGCCACCTTGAATTCCTCAAACCCTAAACTCTGTCTCAATTCAGAGAGATGGCTGGGATCTGCTTGGGTTTCTCCTCCCAATCCTGCAGACTGGAAACTTTCTCCAGGCACTAAGCTGGGGCAATCATAAGGCTCATCTCATTGTTTCCTTTCTGTCATGGAAAGCTGTCCTAAGCCCTTTACTTCTCAATGTCTGATGAAGTTCATTCATATATTTTGTGCATCTTTTTTAGATATTTAAGGCAGGAGATTATATACATTAGACATTTACTGTAAAAGAAAAAGGGACTGTTTGGGTTGGCTATGAAAAAGTTAGTCAATATCCAGGTGCATTATGTCATATGCATTCCGTACTCATAATGAAGTATGTTAGTTTCTTTTCCCCCCTTTTTTAGAGTCAGAGTCTTATTCTGTCACCCACGCTGTAGTGCAGTGGCATGATCATAGCTCACTGCAGTCACTGCAGCCTAGAACTCCTGGACTCAAGCAATCATCTTGCCTCAGCCTCCCAAGTAGCTGGGACTATAGGCACACACCACCATGTCCAGCTATTATTATTTTTTTTTTTTTTTGTAGAGGTAGTCTCGCTATGTTGCCCAGGGTGGTCTCAAACTTGCGGGCTCAAGTGATCTTCCTGCCTTGGCCTCCCAAAGTGCTGAGATTACAGGTGTGAGCCACTGTGCCTGGCCAGGTAGGTTAATTTATATAATTTCAGAATAGATACAAATTTACGTTTAGCAACATTTCAAGCACCATAAATCTCATGTTCTTTTTGGACATTTAGGAGTTATTTTCCAGTGCTGATGTGATTTTAACATTTCAAGAGCATCTATAATGCTCACATATAACAATCATAGCATAAGATTCTCTGATTATAGAATAAAATCTTAACATACTTGCCTCATAATAAGATAGGGAGATTATCCTGGCTTATCTGGGTTTTCACAGTGTAATCACAAGGGTCCTCAAACATGGAAGAGGGAGACAGAACACTCAAGTGTTTGAGTGATGTAAGACTGATTGGCCATTGCTGGTTTTGAAAGGAGGCCCCAAACCACAGAATTTGGGCAGCTTCTAGAAGCTGGAAGGGCAAAGAAAGACGCTCCCCTAGAGCCTCCAAAAAGAAAAGCAGCCCTGTCAACAGCTTGATGTAGCCCCGTGAGATGCATTTGGACTTCAGTCCTCCAGAACTGTAAGATAATGATTTTGTGTTGTTTTAAGCCATTAAATTTGTGTTAGTTTGGTGCAACACTCATAAAAAACTAACACAATTTTACTTCCATATTTGTTATATTCATAGGTTTTCATTACATAATACTATTCCTGGGGTTCAAGATTTCATTAAACACGTCCCTCCAAGACTCTCAAGACATAAAAGTATGATACATGAGTTAATTTGGTGAGTTGCCATCATTTCTTACTTTCAAGAGTTTTTCTTTTCTACAAATTCTCCCATATTTTACGAAAAATGTTTTCCATATCCATTGCCTCTACAGTTGTCTATGTTTCTTTGGCACACGAGGCACAATTTAGCGCTAAAAGCACCATCACAATCTTTCATAAATATTCCTGTAAGAATTCTTTTGATACCAATTGAGATATCATCTCCAGGTAAAGACTTCCTCATAACAGCTGCATTTCTACCCAACATGATTTCAATGGTGTTTAACAGGTTTGACTTCTCACAGAAATGTCCTCCACAACCACTGCCTCCACAGTGTTTCAGCCCTAAATGAGCTCTCTGGGATATAATGGCTGGAGGATTCCTACTAAAGATTTTCCCACCTTTCTGGTATCAGAAGATTTATTCTGATACAATATCTGTAAGATACAAGATATAATTTATTACTGATGGGGCCACATTCACTTCATTTGTGAGGCTTATTCTCTGTTCAAATTCCTGATTAACTACAAAGGCTTGATTTCTTGGAAAAGGTTGTTCCACAATCACTACATTTCTGCCCACTAGGCGCTCACTCTTGTTTAACAATGGCGGGGTTCCTGAGGAAGGCATTTCTATAGGTACTGTGTTCACAGTCTTTTGCTCTTGTATGAGTTCGCTCATGTATAAGGAGGTATGACTCCTTGAGGAAGGTTTCTCCACCGTCAGTGAATTTATGGCTGTCTCTCTTATGTGAGTTTTCTCATGTTTAATGAGGACTGACATGTGGGCAAAGGCTTTGCCACATTCTCTGCATGAATATGGTCTCTCTCCAGTGTGAGTACGCTGATGCTGAATGAGCTTCGACTTGCTTCTAAAGGCTTTTTCACACTCACTACATTCATAAGGTTTCTCTCCCGTATGAATCCTCTGATGTCTGGTCAGGTCTGACTTAAAATAGAAGGTTCTTCCACAATCACTGCATTTATAAGGCTTATCTCCTGTGTGAAGTCTCTGGTGTGCAGTGAGGTATGCCTTCTGAGAAAAGGCTTTCCCACACACACTGCACCCATAGAGTTTCTCTCCAGTATGTGATCGCTGATGTCTATTGAGCCGGCACTTCCGGCTGAAGGCTTTTCCGCATTTGCTGCATCTGTAGGGTTTCTCTCCTGTATGGGTTCTCTGATGGACCATGAGCTGTGACTTTCTGGAGAAGGCTTTTCCACATTCACTACATTCATGGGGCTTCTCTCCTGTGTGAGTTCTCTGATGCTCAGTGAGCTGAATCTTCCTCATGAATGTTTTCCCACATTCACCACATCCATGGGGTTTCTCTCCTCTTTCAGTTCTCTGATGTTGAATAAGCTGTGCTTTCCTGGAGAAGGCTCTCCCGCACACACTGCATTCATGTGGTTTCCCTCCTGCACAAATTTTTTGTAGGTCATTGAGCTGTGATTTAGGGCTGCTGGGTTTAACACATCTATGGTATTTAACTCCAGTAAGAGTTTTGTCACGCTTGATATGGAGGCATGATCTCCCATATCCACCAAATGCATCAGAATCTTTTCCTGCATATCTTCTACTCTGGATTACAAAACCTAAATGAGATTTCAAACTTTTACAATGCGAGCCAAACTTATTGTGTCTTTACATTAAAGGAACAATGCTCTTACATAAACCAAACTTATTTCCAAGGGCATAACTTTGTTGACATCTTTCAAAATGTTTAAGCTCATTTTGGTTTTCTGGGTACCACTGCATATGGTAAACCCCCCAAATTTCTCCTAGGAAAAAGCACAATATGAACATCCATGATAATTTTTTGTGGAGGTGGCAGAAGGTGCAAAAATGCCATGGTTTTGGCTGGCTTTTATAAGATCTCAGTCTCAGAGTAATGTACCTCACACTCTGTGAAAAAGGATGATACTATAAAACAGCAAAAGGAAAATACAGCAACTTCAGCAACAACAATGGATACTCTATAATGAATCAATACAACTTGGGCTGCCTCCCAAATCGGACCTTGCAAATGGAGACAGAATAGAAACAGAAACACATTGCAACTGGAATAAATCAAAAATAGATGGAGGGGATGGATGTATTCACCCAACAAACACTGAATAGACTGGTATTTGGGATACTACAGTGACTAATCATTATTCTCTCTCTCCATGAACCTGTCATTCAGGTAAAGACAGAGAATCAACAGGTATGCAAAGACGTAAGAAAATTACAGAATGTGAAGAACAGTACAAAGGAAGTGGCTCACATCATAGGGTAAGAAAAAGCAATGTTATGCAAAGAACAAAATAAAGAACATTCCAAGAAAAGGGAACAGCCAGTGTGAAAACCCAGAGGCAGAAAAAACTTAGGTGTGATAAAAAAAAAAAAATGTAAGAGAAGCTGGTTTACCCGGAATATCCTGAGCTTGAGTGAAGTAGAAATACAAAAGTTTGGCAAGGCTGGCAGGATTAAAAACATGAAGATTTTGGAGGAAGACTTTGTTAGAAACTGGAATTTATGCTAAGAACAATGGCAGTAAGCCACCAAACATTTTTTTGCCAAGAAAACATGTTCTGAATTGACAGTTCCAAAACATGACTGTCCTATGGAGAATGAATTGAAAAGATGAAATTATAGAAGGGAATATGCTGGAGGTTATGGCAGAATTCAGATGGCTTGATCAGGAATAATTACAATGGAGATGGAGAAATGTGAAAAAACAAGAACATAAGTATGGAGGAGGAAAAGATAGGATTCACTCTTAGAACACATGTTCCCAGCAGAAAAGCGAAGAATTGAGGATAACTGCTCAGTATGTGGCTTAAAACACCTATGTAGGTGCTGGTGCCATTTAATAAAATGAGGGTAAAAGAAGCCTCATACCAACCAGTAAAACACACACACAAAACAATATATGACCATTACTAAGTTAGTGCAGCATAGACACAAAGGAGATAAAAGTCAGAAAAGAGGGTGGCCAGGCGCAGTGCTTCACGTCTGTAGTCCCAGCACTTTGGGAGGTCGAGGTGGATGGGAGGAGTTCAAGACCAGTCTGGCCAACATGCTGAAACCCTGTCTCTACTAAAAATACAAAAAAAAGGATTAGCTAGGCGTGGTGGCAGGTGCCTGTAATCTCACCTACTCGGGAGGCTGAGGCAGGAGAATCCCTTGAACCTGGGTGGCAGAGGTTGCAGTGAGCCAAGATTGGGCCACTGCACTCCAACCTGGGCAACAAAAGCAAAACTCTGTCACAAAAAAAAAAAAAAAAAAAAAGAGAGAGCTCCAAATGTGCCCTGGCATAGTCAAAAACTAGTTCTTGGAAGTAAAACAAGAGCCGACAGCGAAAGAGGGCAGTATCTGGATGTAAAAATGCAACGTGATCAAATGCACAGATGTCAGTCCTCATGTTATTTGACATTATCTGTAGCATTCAATAAAATATATGTCTTCCTCCTCCTTGGAATAATTTTGTCACTTATTTCATGGACATCTTCTGACTCTCCCACCACAACCCTGATACTTTTTCTATGTGGCTGGGTTCTCCTCTTTTGAATCTCTGAATATATGTGGACCTCTTCTTTCTTCAAGCAACACTCACTCCTCATGTCTTCTCATCAAGTTCCAGTGCTTTGATGGCCCCTGCCCAGAGGGGAATGAAGCCATCACATCAAATGGAACTCACAGAAAAAGAGAAGTCAGTCAAACGTGCAGCAATGGAGGCGATAAGAACCTCTACTACCATGGCCTACTGTGAAGTGGGACTTCAAGAGTAGAGTGTTCAAAACAATAAAAATTAACAGGAGCAGCTGAGACATTCAGACGTAGAACAGAGTAAACCGAGAAGACTCAAGGCAACTCCAAGGTGACCAGGCACCGGAGTGATGAGCAATACAGCAGAACCTAAATATAATGCACAGGGAGGGAAAGGATTTTCCAGGAGGAAAGAGAATCACAGTTTCTAACCCTGAAGCTGAGGGAAGAAGAATTTCACAGAATACTCGTCCAGGGTGCTGGCAAAATATAGAATAAGAAGGCAGGTGAGATTACAGAAAAGGAGATATCTGCATGAAGCTATTTGTCAGAAGACACAGCTGAAATCTTTAGTATATGTGAGTATACTACATGATGGTAGAAACAACTGGGAGAAAGGAGGATTCTGGTTTCACATCCTGGAAGAAGGAAATATTCGGAGAGCTGTCCTGGTGGCTGGCGACACGCAGCGGGTTAGAGTGCAGATGAGACGTTAGTAGCAGACATGCTACTTTGCGAGTCTCCAGCAGGGGCCAGAGAGCTCAGGCCCTGAGAGTGAATTAAACTTCTACCAGGAGAATCAGCAGAAGATAAAAAAAAAAAACAGAAGCTGGAAAGGCGGGGAGCAGTGGGTGAGTAAGTCGACAGAGATGCCCCAAGAGACATGGTGTGGAGGCATTGACGTGAGCTAAGGTGAGGTGATTTTCAGTGAAGGAAATCAGGCCTTTCCAGAGGGGCCGGGATACACTTTTAAGCGACAGAAGTGCTAAAAGTAATGCAATCCAGCCAGGCGCAGTGGCTCATGCCTGAAATCCCAGCACTTTGGGAGGCCAAGGTGGGTGGTTCATGAGGTCAGGAGTTTGAGACCAGCCTGGCCAATGTAGTGAAAACTCGTCTCTACAAAAAATACAAAAAAATTAGCCGGGCCTGGTGGCCGGCACCTGTAATCCCAGCTACTCGGGAGGCTGAGGCAGGAGAATCACTTAAACCTGGGAGGTGGAGGTTGCAGTGAGCCAAGATCACATCACTGCACTCCAGCCCAGCCACAGTGCGAGACTCCGTCTCAAAAAAAAAAAAAAAAAGGCAACATAATCCAGATGGGTTACGAGGGGAATTTCAAAGCAAGTAAGGAAGGGGCAAAAGTCAGGAGCAGGCTGGGAAGAATGGAACCAGGTAAGAATTCAAGGTCTTCGATGACATGGACTGAAATCAGATCCAGAAAATAGAAGAAAGGAAGACATTATCCTTTGAGAGCCGGCTCTATTAGGGATGGACACAGATGCAGAAAGGCTGATTAGGTTTCTGGGCCACCAACTACTGTGAAGTCCTCTAAAGAACACTTTAAAAGCATCAACCCTTCTCCGACCAGCTGGGATTTGCATGCCATTTCTCCCCATTTTCTTAGTTTTCACTCACTTACCTGGACAGATTTGACTGTGGGCTGCTCCTTCTGCTATCCCTGGGGGTTCTCCTTGCTCCAACTTGAAGAGCGAATCTGGCTTGGTGCCTCGATACCCTGTAAATGGGAGATCACTGAACACTTGGCACGTGTGCTTGGGGAATGGATGAAGATGGAGAGGGTTATGTCTCAGGAACCACAGCATTTGCACTTTGATAAAGCAAAACTCTTTCACTCAGGAAAAGAGCACAACCACTTCGTGCCAGGGAGGAAAATAACAGTCTGCGTGACACACCCATACCCATTAGGATGGCTACTATCAAAAAAACAAACAGACAAACAAAAACAGAAAATAACAATTGTTGGCAAAGATGTGGAGAAACTGGGACCCTGTGTACTCTTGGTGGGAATGTAAAATGGTACTGACATTGTGGAAAACTGTTCCTCAAAAAATTAACAATGGAATGACCATATCACCCAGCAATTCCACTTCTGGGTATATACCCCAAAGAATGGAAAGCAGGGTCTCAAAGAGATTATTTGTACACCCATATTCATAGCAACATGATTCACAAGCGCTAAAACATGGAAGCAACCCAGTGTTCCTTAACAGATAAGTGGATAAGCAAAAGGTGGTATATATATATACAAAAGAATATTATTCAGCCTTAAAAAGGAAACTCTGGCACATGCTACAACATGGATAAACCTTGAGAACATCATAATAAGTGAAATAAGCCAGACACAAAAAGACAGACACTATATAATTCCACTTATACGAGGTACTTAGAGAAGTCAAAATCCTAAAGACAGAAAGTGAATGGTGGTCACCAGGAGCTGGGGAGAAGTGGGGGAATGAGTAGTTGTTGTTTTGTGGGTACAGAGTTTCAGTTTTAGAAGACAGAAGGTAGTGTTGGTGGCTGCATAACACTATGTGCGCGAATGCATTTAACCCACTGAACTGCACGCTTATGGTTAAGACGGTAAATTTTATGTTATATATTTTACCACCACAACAAAAAATCTATAACATATAATACTTTAGTCTAAACCATTAAATATTTATGGGACCGTACAGTGGTCACCAAATAAGAAAGAAAAGGTAAGTGACGGCAATGCTGTCCTTACCTATTGATACTAGGTTGATGTAGTTCTCCAACATTACTTCCTTGTACAAGACCTTCTGAGACTGGTCCAAAAACTGCCACTCCTCCCTGGTGAAGCCCACAGCCACATCTTCGAATGACAATGACCCCTATAATAACAATTCCAATGCAATCTGAGGTGGATAACAATAGATGATGCGGAGAAGAGGGACGGGGACATGTCTTGATCCTTTTCTCCATGACAACGTATGCACACCATGGCTATTTCACATACCAAAGGACCATGGAATTCCACCAATTCTGCCTACCCTAAAAGCACGAAGGCAGTACTAGCATAGATATGAAACAACATGTAATAAGACTGTTCATTATTCCTTTGTTTCTCATAATGAAAAACTTACCAATAATCTAAATGTCTATCAAAAGCAGACAGGGTTAAATTACAGCACCTCCATGCTATAATATACTGCAAAAATGTTAAAATCAATGAGGTAGATGTATACATACCCACATGATTATCAATGATCTCCAAGGCAGTCTCTTAAATGCAAAAAATTAAGCTCCCAAATAATATATGATCTAAGACATATTTTAAAAATGTAATAATACGGCTGGGCGTGGTGGCTCACACCTGTAATCTCAGTACTTTGGGAGGCCGAGGTGGGCAGATCACAAAGTCGGGAGATTAAGACTATCCTGGCTAACACAGTGAAACCCCATCTCCACTAAAAATACAAAAAATTAGCTGGGCATGGTGGTGGGCACCTGTAGTCCCAGCGACTTGGGAGGCTAAGGCAGGAGAATGGCATGAACCCGGGAGGCAGAGCTTGCAGGGAGCCAAGATTGCGCCACTGCACTGCAGCCTGGGCGACAGAGCAAGACTCCGTCTCAAGAGGAAAAAAAAAAAAAAAGTAATAATATGGCTGGGCATGGTGGCTCACGCCTGTAATCCCAGCACTTTGGGAGGCTGAGGCAGGGGGCTCATGAGGTCAGGAGTTCGAGACCAGCCTGGCCAACATGGTGAAACCCCCATCTCTACTAAAAATACAAAAATTAGCAGGGTGTGGTGGCACGCACCTGTAATCCCAGTTACTCAGGAGGCTGAGGCAGGAGAATTGCTTGAGCCCAGGAGGCAGAGGTTGCAGTGAGCCAAGATTGCGCCACTGCACTCCAGCTCTGGGCGACACAGCAAGACTCCAACTTGGGGGGAGAAAAAAAGTAATAATATTTATAATTACATATGTATAAGTATACACAAGTATGTATACATAAATGTACATAAATATGAATATATTCTACCAGATGTCAATCACAGGGAGGAACTAGATAGAGACCCAAACTATGAACACTTATTTAGTATCCTTTGGGTTGAAGTTTGGGCAGAAAAAGGGTGAAAGGAGATACTGTCTTTTGATACAAATGCTTCTGTTTGCTTGAATCTCTTGCGTGCAAATGTAGCCATGTATCATTTCAGTAATTAAACATAGAAAAAGCAAAACAAGCCGAACTGGTGCTTTGTTTTTTGAACCTGGAGTTAAGAAGGTAAGAAAGAAGCATTGTCAGTATCTGCATTCCAAGCTGTTACCAAAGAATGGAGCTGTTAATTGTCTCCTGCTGTCTCAATAACAAAAATCTGGATGAGAGAATTCTTCTTCAGGGAGGATCATTCAAAGGTCAAGCAGCCCATTCATTCTACTGGATACTCCAGGCTTTATCACTGGGCAAAGTCAGATGACCAGAAGCCTCTATTTTCAAGGCACGCTATTTTCGAAGAATTTTGTCCAATCCAGTTTTCCTTTGGCATTACTCCTTAGCTTACCCCACTAAACAACAGGAAAAAGCCATAGAAAACATCCCATGCCTTTATTACAAGGCTGACTTTGAGGATACCGTCAACCACAAAAGCTCTCTGAAGGAAAGAAGTTTCTCAAGCTCTCACAGCAATGACAAATTTACCTCCCCTGAAGAACTGCCTTGCTCTCTCCTCACAGACATTACAATCGTGGCATTTTTCATGTGTTTCCTGTTATTTCAGCTGCCAAAAAAAAGGAGACACAGTTTAAAGCAGAGAAAACCCACAGGGTCTTAACAGTCACTTAGCTATGTTCCGACATTAAGAACTTTCACAAACCCCCTGATCCATATATCTTGTTTCTTAATTTGCCAGGATTTTAAGATTCCAACTTAAACTTATTTTCCCACAGATCCTGATTTTTATCAGCATACACTATCTCATTTAACCAGACTGTCTTTTACAAGCTTCCACAGACCCATTGGGAAACAAACGACAAAATAGGTAAAACAAACCTCACCTGGGCCTTGCCCATTTCGTTCAACTCTTAGGGGCTAGCAACTCTAGTATGTTCTCTCTCTTCTGTCTATTCTGGGCCTTCCCAGAAGTGGTGGTCAGGTATCATCTCAGGTCAAGCTACCACTGGAAATGATGATCTTCCCCAGCCTGGAAGCTCCTTCTTCCATTACTGAAAATGTCTTGTTCCTATAGGCCAGAACCTGTGGATTCAAGACCAAATTCAATGATAAGAAGACATGCTCCTAGGATCACAAGTCTCCAATTGCCATCTGGACTCACATTAACATCAGGTTCCAATATTTCATCTGTCTCCTTAACACCCTGGAAGCCATTACATCATGGGGCAGTGATCCAGAGGAAGATATGGAATGTGCAAGAGGAATGCCTTTTTTTTTGGTTATGTCAGAAATAGAGTGGATGTGAAACAGGAGAAAGTAAACAAAAACCACCTATGGTCTTGTCCACTGCCAAGTTCTCACATATATCAGTTTTAGGTAAGACAATGAAGGAAGTGGTAAAGCCAGACATGGTGGCATGTGCCCTAGAGTTCCAGCTATTGTAGAGGCTGAGATGGGTGGATCTCACCTGAGCTCCAGAGTTCAAGACCAGCCTGGACACATGGCAAGACTCTGTCTCTAAGAATAAAAACATAAAAGAAGTGGTGGCTCAAGAAACTGACTTAAAATCACCACCGGCAGCCACATGCTCCTAAATTTTTGGTTTATTGCACTGTCTTACTAATCATACAAACCATAAGCACTGTCTTACTAAACCCTCGATACTACTTTATAAGGTACTCATTATTATTTCCATCCTAAACATGAGTAAGCTGAGGCTTGCTGAGACAACGTGTGTTGTGCAGGTTAACATTCTTCCTCATTAGTAGCATGGGAACTTGAATCTACATCTGGGGTCTCTCCCTTGTGATACTTCCCTCCTACAACAGCCTTACAGTGCAAATTTGTTCTCTTTCCTACCCACTTTTAGAACTTTACTTCCCAGCACTTTACACTGCGGGGTGGCCACATAGTCACAGCTACACAAACAAGGGCCTGTGATCTCCTAATGCAATATTCAGTGTGGATGCTCAGCCTGCTCCTTCCACACAGACAGGAAAGCAAAGGCGGTCCCATCTTTGCCCCAGAAGCAGCAGTTCAGAGATCAGTCTCCCCAAGAACCACTCTAGAAACTCACACTCTGAGAACACCCACACTGTGAGAACAACTTGAATTTTGCTGTCATCCCAGCAAGTCATTCTCAAGACTCTCTAGCAAGCCTGTATCCTTTACACCCAGAGAGCTGATCTCCAAGCCATTTTCTGACCCACTGGTAAACGCACTGGTCAAGATGCAAACCTCCTCTACCTTCAATCCTGAGACCGCTTCATCCCAGCCCCAGCCCTTCAGTCTAGCCTCCCTACAGGACCAGTCCAAAAACAGTGGTACCCAACCCAAATGCAGAAATCCATATGGATAGCTAAGAGGTAGAAAAGGCCATTACGCATGAATGGGTTGGAGCTGAGATCTCCAGGGTTGAAAAATCCAGGATCCAACCATTCCCAGAAGCTCATGGCAGGCTTTCCCTCATACATAATACATCAGAATTGCACCAAATACTCACGCGGAGAACATGGCAATGTAACCGAGAAGGGCAATGATACCACCCTGACTGGTAAGGATAATCTGGATTTCCTACTGAACTGAGGTTCAGGTCAAATGTCCAGAGGACACTACCTAAATTAAAGAGGAATTTTCTTAAGAAAGGGGGCTTGGTTGTCAGATTGGCAGCCAACAGTATCCAATAAAAAAAAAAAAAAAACTAGGGTCTGCTGTGTTGGCTCAGGCCTGTAATTGCAGCAATTCTGGAGGTGAAGGCAGGAGAATTCCTTGAGGCCAGGAGTTCAAAACCAGCCTGGGCAACATACCAAGACCTTGTCTCTACAAAAAAAAATTAAAAATTTGCCAGGCATGGTGGTGCATGCATGTAGTCCCAGGTACTTAGGACGGTGAGGCAGGAGGATCGCTTGAGCCCAGGAGTTCCAGGCTGAATTGAGTTTATGACCGCATCACTGCACCCCAACCTGGGCAACACAGCAAGATCCTGTCTCAAAAAAAACAAAAGGCAAAAAAAAGGCTTCCACTTCAAATAAAAGTTAGGATGCTTCCAAACCATTACAAGCCCTCAGCCTTATCTGCTTTTGGGAGGAATGAAGCAGGGAGGAAGGAAACAGGTGATTTCTCCCATATGATGTCCTACCTTTGGATATGGCTGACTGCTGTATCAGGGTATCATTTTGTGTGGGCTTTTTAAAAAAAATTTTTTTTTTTTTTTTTTTGAGAAGGAGTCTCAATCTGTCGCCAGGCTAGAGTGCAGTAGCGCGATCTCAGCTCACTGCAACCTCCACCTCCCGGGTTCAAGCAATTCTCTGCCTCAGCCTCCTGAGTAGTTGGGATTACAGGTGCCCACCACCACGCCCGGCTAATTTTTGTATTTGTAGTAAAGACGAGGCTTCACCATCTTTGCCAGGCTGGTCTTGAACTCCTGACCTTGTGATCCACCTGCCTCAGCCTCCCAAAGTGCTGGGATTACAGGTGTGAGCTACTGTGCCTGGCCAAATTTTTTTTTTTTATAGAGACAAGGTCTCGCTATGTTGGCCAGGTTGGTCTTGAACTCTTGGCCTCAAGCAATCCTCCCACCTCAGCCTCCCAAAGTGCTAGGATTACAGGCATGAGCGACTGCTCCCAGCCTCATGGTATAGTTTAACTTGTTGTTCTCTACCTACCCAACTCCCAGTTTTTCCTTTTAATTAAGTGAGTAGTTCAACTTAGAGGTTTGATTAGTCCCATGTTCAATTTTTTTAGGTAAGAATCCTTCATGGATGGTGCTGTGTACTTCCTACTGCAACATATGAAGAGGCATGAGGGCAAAAAAAACAAAGAAAAAAAAAGGGGGAGCTGTTATAGAATTAAAGAGATCTAAGAGATACAACAAGCAAATCGAATGCACCCACATCATTTGGATCATGATTCAAACAATCCAATGTTAAAAGACAATGATGAGATGATCAGAAAAAAACTGAATGTGGACTAACTATTCAATGAACTAAAGAAATAGGCTGGGCACAGTGGCTCACACCTGTAACCCCAGTACTTTGGGAGGCCGACATGGGCAGATCACTTGAGGTCAAGAGTTCAAGACCAGCCTGGCCAACAGGAAGAAACCCCATCTCTACAAAAAAATACAAAAATTAGCCTGGTGTGGTGGCAGATGCCTGTAAGCCCAGCTACTCGGGAGGCTGAGGCAGGAGAACTGCTTCAACCTGGGAAGTGGGAATTGCAGTGAGCCAAGATAACGCCACTGCAGTCCGGCCTCGGTGACAGAGTGAGAGTCCACTCACCCAAAAAGATAAGGAAAGAAATTATTATTAACTTGGATACACTGAAAATGGTCTAGGATGGGTGAAGTGGCTCACACCCGTAATCCTAGCACTTTGGGAAGCCGAGGCAGAAGGACTGCTTGAGCCCAGGAGTTCAAGACCAGCCTGGGCAACATAGCAAGATCCTGTCTGTAAAAGAAAAAACAAAAAGGAAATGGTCTAGTGGTTATAAATTTTTTTAATGACCTTACTGGTTAGAGATTCATACTGGGATACGTACAAGTTTCAAGGCATGAAGCCTTGGATTTGCTATGAAAGTCTCCAGACTAAAACAAAAGTGGAGGCACAGATAAATATGACTGATATGACAGATGAATATGAATTGATAACCATTGAAGCTAAGTTATGGGTAAATATTATACTCAATTTCCATGAAAAAAAGTTAGAGTCATCAGAGCCTGATGAGTTCTATCTAATCTTTACAGTACAGAGATGACTCCAATATTATGTAACATTCATCAATCACAGAAAAAGTGAAGCCTCTCTAACAATTATATAAAACCAGCATTTCCAAACACAAATCAATAGAATAAAAAAAAAAAGAATTATAGAGATAGGTGCTTTTCCATTGATTTTCATCCTTCCTTCTTTTCTAATACTTGCATTCAAGGTTATAAATTTCCTCCACTGACTGCTTAGGTTAAATTCAACAAGGGTTTACATGTAGAATTCTTATTAAAATGCAATTGAAAATATTTCCACTGTGATTTTTTGAACTCAGATTATTTAGAAGCGTATGGCATAATTAACAATCATTCTGACAAGAAAACAGCATGTTCTGAATTGATAGTTCCAAAAAGTCACATGACTATTCTATGGTGAATAAATCATTTTGATATTGATTTATAGCTTAATTCCACTATAGTTAGAGAAAATATTCTATATGGTTTTAATCATTTGAAATGTATTTAGACTTGCCTGATGGCCAACCATACGGTGACTTTTTATAAATGTCCTATGTGCATCTGAGGAAAATTATTGAGTGCAGTGTTTTATATTGGTCAAGTTTGTTAATTAGGTATGTCATTCTAACCTTTCAGGGGTTGGGACTATTGTGGGTTAGCTGAATGTTTTTGTAAATAATGTTTTATCAGAACACAGCCACACCCATTTGTTTACACATTCTGTACAGCTACTTTCATTCTATAATTGCAGAACCTAGTAGATGCAGACAAGACCATTTAGCCGGCAGAGACTAAAATATTTGTCATCTGTCTGCACCTTTACAGAAAGTTTGCCAGCAATGGTTAATCTATACCCTTTTAGCTTTTTGTCTGCCTGTTCTCTCAGTTACTGAGAGAAGTATGTTAAGAATTTCCCATTATGATTGGGCATTTGCGGTTTCTCCTTGTGTCTAGCATACTCCATTCCTCTATACTTAACACACTAAGTATATGCTCTATTGACTTTTTTTTGAGATGGAGTTTCATTCTTGTTGCCTAGGCTGGAGTGCAATGGCATGATCCCAGCTCACTGCAACTTCTGTCTCCTGGGTTCAAGTGATTCTCCTGTCTCATCCTCCTGAGTAGCTGGGATTACAGACACCCGCTACCACGCCCTGCTAATTTTTGTATTTAGTAGGGATGGGGTTTCATCATGTTGGCCAGATGTCTCGAACTCCTGATCTCAGGTGATCTATCCGCCTCAGCCTCCCAAAGTGCTGGGATTACAGGCGTGAGCTCTCATGCCCAGCCCTCAATAGAACTTTTATGCACCAAAAGACATGTAGAAAAACGTTCATATCAACAATACTCATAACTCCCATAAGCCATAACAATGTCTCTTGATAGTGGAATGGATAATATGGGGTATAATCATCAATGGAATACTACACAGTAATGAAAAAGAAACGAGCTACTGCTATATGCAGCAACTTAGATGATTTTCACAACAAAAATATTAAGCAAAAGAAGCCAGCCACAAAAGAATGTGTACCTTAGGATTTCATTTATATAAAGATGACAACCAAGCACATCTATGATGTTTTTAAGATAATAATTACCTTTGGAGAGGAGAGAGAAGATGAGGGCTTCTGGGATGCTACATTATTCTATTTTTTTAACCTGGTGATTTTCAAGTATAATCACTTGAAAAAAACTTAAGAGACCAATTTCTCTTATAAATGTATAGGCAAAAAAATTTTTTAACTTTCTACTATGAAAAATTTCAAGCAAAAGAACAGTATACTCAAATTCCACATATTCATCATGTGACTTCAAGAATGACGAACTCACATCTAATTTTGTTTTATCTATACCACCATTCAGTCCCTCTCCAGCAATGGATTATGGATTATTCCGAAGCTAATCCAAGATATCTTTTCATTTTTTGATGCAAAAATATTAAATAAAATTTTAGCAAATAAAATCCAGTCTCATATTAAAAGAACAAACCATTATTGACAAGTATGGTTTATTCCCTCAGGAATACATGAAATTGGGAAATAGAGCAACACAAATCAAAGAAAATTTTAAAGAGAAAAAAATAAATGAAAATAATTGTAATGGTCAAAAGCCCTTAGGAAAGAGAAATAAAAACTTGATAAATCACAGTAATTATTTATTCAGACCATACTACGTACCTAGTACTACACTTTGAACATACTTAAAGAACATTTGCTCACTTAATCTTCATAATGATTCCATGAAAAAGAAACTATGACAGCTTTTTTCCACAAATAAGGAAACTGACTCAGAGATTAACGTACCCAAGTCAGAGGCAGAGGCAGGTACTTCTTA
Source organism: Homo sapiens (assembly GCF_000001405.40). Taxonomy (NCBI): domain Eukaryota; kingdom Metazoa; phylum Chordata; class Mammalia; order Primates; family Hominidae; genus Homo; species Homo sapiens. The sequence goes on from NC_000019.10 coordinate 51,886,852, forward strand.
CTCCACAGTCCATACACTTGCCACCTGGCTAAAATTATTTGCAGATGACAAAAATGCTCAACTAGAAAAAAGACGTCAATTTATAAGTTATATGTAATGACATGAGTACAATGAAGTGACAGAATAAACATATATATTTTTAACTTCTGTTCTTGTCAACTAAGTAAAATTAGGAACAAAAAAGGAAAGGGGGAGGGGTCTTATGCAAAAAAAAAGTCACGATTTACAACAAAAAGTATTAACTATGTAGAAATAAGCATAACCAGAAATGTCCAAGATACGTATGGAAAAACACTACAGATAGTCAAACAAATAAAAATATTGGGTTAATAGAAATCCATCACATGTTCCTGAAAGTGTTGTATCTAGATCTACATCAATTCTACCCAAATTAAAGCAACCACTTGATGAAACTGCAGCAATTTAAAAAACTCTCAAAGAGCATGTAATATGGGAATACGAAGTTGACAAGATGTTATTAAAGACGAATAAAATTATACCAATACCTAGACACCTGATCCCAACATTAAACATGAAATACACTAAACCAGAGTTATTTTCTGGAGGAGTATTTAAAATGATGGGGATGTTATTACTTGGGTCGCAATGAACCTGAAAACCCATTTTCTACAGAATATACAGCAGCAGGGAAGCAAGGGGACCAGCAGACCCCTTTTTAAGTACGCATGTGATAAGCAATGAACACGAACTGCCCAGAGCAGTCTCCAACACTGACACGATTCGCTTCCCCACCACGACGCCCTAGCGCTACTGTGCAACGAAGACCTCCCAAGCACTGGTTCCAATGCGGAGACCATGGGCTCCCAGACTCTGGGAACTCCAACACGACTGCGAAACGAACTCCGAGCGAGGACTCCCCGAGAGCTCCCCGCAACACGGACCTCACGCGCTAGCGAACAACAGAAAAAAAAAAGCGCGCTCTCCCTGCCCCTGAAACATTCCCAGAAGCCCACGCAGACCAGACCGATGACCTGTCTCCACTGCTGGAGGCGAGTCAGGGACCCGAAGTCTCTAAACACTCGCCTCTACCCGCCGCCCCGCGAACCCCACACACTGCAGACGCGACACTCGCAAGTTTCGGGGATGGCGGCCGGCGAGGGCCATACTGCGTCTTTCCGGAGACACGGAATACGGCACCAGCCGTCCCTTTATGATGCAATATGTCTGCGCCCAGGGGACGCTTGCTGGGAGCAGCCATTTTCAACCCTACTGCCGTAGAGCAGGCGGAGTCCCTCTTTTCGCGCCTTAAGACAGGTAGGTTCTGACGATGAAAAGCAATTGAAAACGACCCATTTCACCCTTTTTCCAGTCCACGTGAACTGCTAGATCTTGGCTTTGCAACATTAGCCAGGGGCGCTACATAAACTGCTTAGTTTCTCAAAGGCTCAAGCCTGCCCTGATCTGTCTACAGGATGGGTAGAGATGGTCACAGACATTTAGGCACTTTGATCCTAAGAAGAATGGAAAGAAACCATGTGGCGCGGCAGTCTTACAGGAATTTCAAGAGGGAGGGACCTGAGCAACAATCGGAGGGGTTATTACTCCTGAGGATGCATCTGGCTGGAGAAAGCAGCCTTTGAGAACTGCCTAAGAAGTATCTTTACATCTACATCAGATGTAGCCTCAGAGGAAGGAGTCAGTCATAGAATGGATAAAACAACCGCGTGTTAAAGCTTTGGTTATAATTGGTGTGGAGAATGGAGAACACAGTTGATCAGCAGTTGACAAAGTGGGGAACCAACACGAAAACAGGGCTCTCTCACCCTGGAAAAGCCAAAGGCAGAACAAGCCTTTACATCCAGGAAGGTGGGAGCAACTTGAAATCAAAACTCTGAAGGGGAGATGATTCTGTTCAATACTGAAACTCAGCTGATCAATTAACTGATGAATTCTAGCACCAAACCTGCTCCCTATAATTTTATAACCAGCCTCAGAGAACCTTTAAAGGGATTGATCATTCACTCATTTATCCAGCGAATGTTTATAAAATGCCTAATGTGTCAAACACTGTTGTGCGTGCTGGGAATACAACAGTTGGAAATTCAGGCACAAAGACTCTCATTCATGGAGATTACATTCTACTGGCAATTTCAGTGTGTGAGCTAAATTGAGTGGTGCTAACTGTTGACTTGGCTGGTTGACTGAAACTTGGACTCAAAATTTGCCTACACTAAATGAAGTTTAAATGCCAGAAATTTCCTCATATATTATAAAGTACCCAAAGATAAATGGAGTTTGGAATGCTAGAATGAATTTATCATGTAAAATCAAGATTACCCATACCTCAAATATGTATTCCAGTAGCATCTAGAAGACAATCTCTTCACTGACACTGATCTGGTCACAGGAAATAGAGATATACTACTGTAAGATTATTTTATTATACAGTAAGTGATATAATGTCCTTGAAGTTAGAATGATAAGTTCATGATTTTCTTTCAGTCAGTTCAGGCTACTAGAAAAAATACACCATAGACTGACTGACTGCCTTAACAAACATTCATTTCTCACGTTCCAGAGGCTGAGGAGTCTCTAGAACTGGACTCTAAAACACAATCAAGGTGTTGGCAGGTCTAGTGTCCAGTGAGAGTCCATTTCCTGGTTTATGCATGGTCATCTCATTCTGTCTTCACATGGCAAAGAGCAGAGAAAGAGAAAACAAACTCTCTTCTGTGTTGTCTCATAAGACACATAATCTCATCATGAGGGTTCCACTTTCAAGATGTAATTACCTTCCAAAGGTCACACTTCCTAATGCCATCCCTTAGGGATTAGGACTTCAACATGTAAATTTGGAGAGGACATAAATATGCAATCCCTCACAATGATGTATGCTATAAAATCTCAAGGAATCAAATGACAAGGATTTACAGTTAATAAGCCAACAAAGGAGACAATATGTAATATAAACACACTCAGCTACTCTAAGGGAAAGCAGAAAAAGAAGAAAAGGAGAACAAAGAAGACATAGAATAAACAACAAATAGTAAGTTAGTAATTTAAACCTAAAAACATCAATACATTGAACGTAAATGATCTAAATACCCCAGTAAAAAGACAGAGATTGTTAACTGGATAAAAAAGGAAGGCCCAACTGTATGTTGCCCACTAAACACCCACTTTAAATATGAAAGCATAAATAGGTTAAAAGTAAAACCATGATAAATAAAGATATGAAAGATATAACAGGGAAAAACCCATGTCAAATTATTAGAGGTTAAAAATTACAATTTCTGAGAGAAAACATACTTTGGATGGGATTAATGACAGATTAAACACTGTGGAAAAAAGATTAGTGAACTGAAAGACATAGCTATGAGAACTATAAAAAATGAAATAATGAAGGGTAAAATAATAAAAAGCATGAACATCATTTTCATGTACATATGTGTATACACAAAAAGATTTGTGAACTTGAACAAGGCAAGAGATACAATCTAAACTACAAAGAGAACAAAAGCTAACCCCTACCTTGGCCCCCGGAGTAAGAGATATCATTCTGAGGAACACCAAGTGGAAGCCTCTAAAACTGCCCCCCTCCCCAGCCAAACTCTATGATCAAGATAGTAAATGAAAAACAATATTGTGGGAGGGGTAGTGAGGTTTATAAGATATAAAAAAGTAAAATATATTTCATATCTTGTAAACCCTACTATACATATTAGTGCAGGGAGCCAAAGGCCCATGGGACATGACAAACTCAGCATTCCGCTGGAGGCTATATGATCAAACAGCAAACTGTTTATCATGAATGCAGGATGTGGGCAAACTCACACTGCCCTGCCACCATTGCCACAGTTACCATATTAACAGGGCTTTTCCCCTGCACATGTTCACTAGGACTTAAGCTGTGACTTGCTGTGGAAGGATTTTCCACCTTCACTGAATCCCCCCGTTTCTCCCTTGAGTGTATTCTCTTATGTTTAACAAGGCAAGACATATAGAAGTAAGCTTTCTCACACTCATCACAGCCATAGGGTCTCTCTCCCGTGTGAGTTCTGTGATGTACAATGAGCATTGTCTTTGTAAGGAAGGCTTTCCCACAGTCACTGCATTTATAGGGTTTCTCTCCTGAGTGAATTTTCTGATGTCTAATGAGTCCTGACTTCTGTGAACAGGGTTGCCCACATTCAGGACATACAAAGGGAGTCTTTCCTGTATGATATCTCTGATGTGCTACAAGGCAAGACTTCTGGCTGAAGGCCTTGCCACAGTCAATGCATCCATAAGGTTTCTCTCCAGTGTGAGTTCGTTGATGTATGTTGAGATTGCCCTTCTGAATGAAGCCTTTTCCACATTCACTGCATGTATGAGGCTTCTCTCCTGTATGAGTTCGCTGATGTACAACGAGTAGTGATTTTCTGGAGAAAGCTCTCCCACATTCGCTGCATTGATGGGGCTTAATTCCCGTGTGAATCCTTTGATGTTCAGTAAGCTCAGATTTCCTGGGGAAGGCTTTCCCACATTCACTGCACCCGTATGGTTTCTCTCCTTTGTGAGCTCTCTCGTGTTCAGTGAGCCTGTACCTCTTGTAGAAGGCTTTCCCACACAAGCTACACCCGTGGGGTTTCTCTCCTCTGTGAGCTCTCTCGTGTTCAGTGAGCCTGTACTTCTTGTAGAAGGCTTTCCCACACAAGCTACACACGTGGGGTTTCTTTCCTGTATGAATTCTCTTATGCTCAGTGAGCTGAGACTTCTTGAGGAAAGCTTTCCCACAGTCAGTGCATTCATGGGCTTTCTCTATGTTGTGTGTTTGCTGATGTTTAAGGAATTGTGACTTGGTGCTGATGGGTTTTCTACTTTCAGGGAATTCAATTTCCGTAGGCATTTGTTCATGATTATCATGGAGAAAAGCTCCATCTCCATTAAACTCAGCAGGCTCCTTTCTGTTGTATCTTCTGCTCTGGTTGGTTAAACCTAAATATGATTTCAAAGTTCTTCCGTGTTCATAGCGTTGTCCCGTCCTCTTCAGTATTTTTTGGTTTTGCAAGGGCTGCTGCAGATGATCATCAGCTTTCTCAATTTCTAAGAGAGAGAACAATAAATCCTTCCATGATCATCACACGGAATAAAACTGCTTCAAAGATGCCTTGGGGTTGGCTGGCTTTTTACTGGAACCCCTATAATACCAACATGGAAGGAATTCCAAGTATAAGTGTTCCCTATCTGTTAAAAAAACTTTTAAGAATTGTAGTTAAATACATATAAGATAAAATTTGCCAGCTGGGTGCGGTGGCTTATGCCTGTAATCCCAGCACTTTGAGAGGCCAAGGCGGGTGGATCACAAGGTCAAGAGATCAAGACCATCCTGGCCAACATGGTGAAACCCCATCTCTACTAAAAATACAAAAAAATTGGCTGGGCGTGGTGGCACGTGCCTGTAGTCCCAGCTACTCAGGAGGTTGAGGCAGGAAAATCGCTTGAACCTGGGAGACAGAGGTTGTAGCAAGCCAAGATCGCTCCACTGCACTCCAGTCTGCCAACAGAGCAAGACTCCATCTCAAAAAAAAAAAAAAAATTTGCCAGCCAGGCACAGTGGCTCATGCCTGTAATCCCAGCACTTTGGGAGGGTGAGGTGGGAAGATCACTTGAGCCCAGGAGTTTGAGACCAGCCTGGGCTACAATAGGGAGACTGTCTCTACAAAAACTTTTTTTTTAATTTAAAAAAGAATAATCCTGAGTAGGGAAACAGCAGACATAGGTAGTAGAATAAATATCCCAGAAAGGCAAGTTAGAATGTTGGATACACAGCCTTTGACTTCATCCTAATCCTATTAGACTGTTGGGTGCTAAAATATGCCCTTCTCCATTCTGTAGACCATCATCACGCTAACTTTCCTAGAGCACCAATCTCATATTTCCAGGAAAACTGCAGTCAATACTCTAACCTTTGTTAAAACAGAGATCACAAGACTGATGGAACAGACTCTTTGTAGCAATAAGATACCAAACTATAAACTAGGTCTAAGGACATACAGGTAAGGGTTAAGTCACACACCCCCTACATTTAAAGAATAAACTATGTTCTAACTGCCACGAGTGTTTTTTGTTTTGTTTTGTTTTGTTTCTTTTTCTGTAGCAGCTAAACAAACACTGGCCTTGGGACAAGCAATATTGAAACAATTGCAGCTCCCGGACCACCAGATGCTGACTAACTGATGCCCCTCACCCCCAACAGCATTCCACAGGCCATAACTGCAGCTATGATTGGACAGGAGACTGATCTCAATATCCTTCTCCTGATAAACACCAGCTGTTTTGGTCAGCTGCCGGAGTCTGTGCAGACTTTTCTTATATCCTGTAAAAGACCTGCTAGCATACAGTCAAATTCCACCTCATTTTAATGTTAAAACTCCACTCCAAAATGAAAGTGGATTATATGTTACATATATGTTTGCTCACTATGCACATGTTTGCTGATTCTCATAAAGATATTCATAAGACTCCCCATCTCTCACTGAATAGGTATGCAAAGCAAATCCTAGAAGGCAAAAAGCCTCCTGCAAGGCAAAAAAAAAAAAGTTTCCCCTCTTCAGTGATGTGTGTTTTTTCCACTTCCTCAAAGTCACACCACTCAGATCTGCGAATCATCTTTTGTTAGAATATAAAGTTTCTCTTTGCCTCCTCAATTTTTTGGTTAACACCTTGTATCTACCTGGCTATGATATATTCTCATATGTTCCAACAGAAAGAGAAACAGGGTGATCCCTATGGACTTTCAGAACATGCAAGCAGAACACGTGGTCCTCTCCACACAGCTCTGCCACTGCACCAAATATGGAAACTGTCACCTTCTTCATCATGCCCTACTTGCACAGATGTCATATTGGATTTTTTTTCCACTTTGCTGTCCCTAATATACTAATTCCTCACCTTGCCACTAACAGCCTCTACTCTCTGAATTTTGTACTTATGTCTCTGTTGGCATCGGTGAATGGAGCCCTCAAGGACCACCTCCCTACTTCTGAATCAAGACTTGAGGCAGCTTTACTTTTAGTTTTTCTTAGAACATCAGCTATACAGTATGATTGCTATAGTACTGCCACCAGGTGAAAGGTAAGCTCTACCTAGAGCTAGAAAAATACAAAACTTTACCTCCACCACTACCCTGAATTACTGGCACAGAAAATTCACAGCAGGAGCTGAACAATAAAAGTTTTACCATTACCATGACGCATCCACTTTAAGTTCCCACTTCACCATTTCCCAGCAAATATCTTCTAACTGTGGCCTCCATGTGACCAGTTTCAAGCTAATCTTTTTTTTTTCTTTTTTTTTGAGATGGAGTCTTGCTCTGTCACCCAGGCTGGAGTACAGTGGCACGATCTTGGCTCACTTCAACCTCCGCCTCCCAGGTTCAAGCAATTCTCCTGCCTCAGTCTCCCGAGCAGCTGGGATGACAGGCACGTGCCACCACGCCTGGCTAATTTTTTGTATTTTATGTAGAGACAGGGTTTCACCACATTGGCCAGACTGGTCTCAAACTCCTGACCTCAGGTGATCTGCCCAACTCGGCCTCCCAAAGTGCTGGGATTACAGGCATGAGCCACCGCACCCGGCCTTCAGGCTAATCTTCTGACAGTCCCCACATGGCCTTGCATTTCCAGTTCTACAACTTCTTGTCATATGTCTTCATCTTAATTCAATACCTAGCTATGTCTCTTGCATAAGATATTTTATCAGTCTGTCTTTCTCCATCTTGTCTAGACCACTGTAGGTTACATTTCTTCTAAAGTCCTACAATTCTTTCTGTATTTACTATTCACTTTAACTTTGTATAGCCCTGAATTGTAACAAAAACATTTCACACGTTCAAAAGTTTAATTTGTAAATATTACATAAAAATTTGCCCTATTTTTGCTAACAAAATCTTTGCTCAAGAAAGACATTTCTGTTTCTCACTAAATTCAGTCTCTTCTACTGTGTATTATGGCTACAGTTCATCAACTCATAAAAACAGCCCCCGAGAGAGCTTCATGTAAAGACACGCCCAGGCCCCCAACTCAATTCTAACAAAACCAGACTCACAGAGCAAGAGGCCTTGGTATGGACAGTGTCATGAAAACTCCTTTAATAAAGATCTAGCCTTTAAGAAATGCTTAATAGATGGAAAAGTATGACCTCTCTTCAGCCTGGCTAATCTGTCCTTCGATGAAGAAATGCATGAATGACCAAGATGTATTTCAATCTTACATGAAGAAGAATGAAAACCAGGCCCTTGACTCCAGAGTAGCAAAGGAACCTCAAGCACCACCAAATCACACTGATGTGGTATCTATGGGAGTGGCTTGTGTGTGATTGGGATGCAAAGTAGAATGGGAATTTAGACATGGAAGATATTATTATATTGTAGTGTATTAAAAACCATTTCATGAAAAGAAAATTCAAGGTGAAAAATACATAGTGTCAGAATGTGAAAAACAAACCATAATCACATACCGATGCCTCAGTTTTTTTGTTTTTTTGTTTTTCGTTTCTTTTTGTTTTTTGAAACAGAGTCTCACTCTGTCACCCAGGCTGGAGTGAAATGGCGCGATCTCAGCTCACTGCAACCTCTGCCTCCTGGGTTCAAGTAATTCTCCTGCCTCAGCCTCCTGAGTAGCTGGGACTACAGGCACATGTCACCACGCCCGGCTAATTTTTGTATTTTTAGTAGAGATGGGGTTTCACCATGTTGGCAAAGCTGGTCTCAAACTCCTGACTTTGTGATCCGCCCGCCTCAGCCTCCCAAAGTGCTGGGATTACAGGTGTGAGCCACCATGCCCGGCCTCCTATGCCTCAGTTCTTATCTCACTTGATGAATCAGTAACTCTAGACAATGCTTATGGCACTCTTTCTCCCTCTCTCTCTTATATAAATGTATATATACATATAAATATATAAAGTATATATATAAATGTATATACACACATACACACACACATACACATATATACACACACGCATATACATATAAATGCTGTTCTAGCAAATTAATCAAACTTGAGGAGAGGGTCTTGGGAACCCCTACTTTACAGCTGGTTGGTCAGAAGCTGAGGTGACAACCTGGGACTTGCCACTGGCATCTGAAGTGGGACACAGTCTTGGACTGAGCCCTTAACCGGTGGGATCTGATGCCGTATCAGGTAGATAGGGTCAGAGCTGATTTGAAACAGACGATACCCAGCTGATGTCTGCTGGAGAATTGCCTGGGCTGTGAGAAAACAACCCCTATATATCCAGTGGCATAAATGCTGTGTTGAGTGACTATGTGACAGAGAAAAAAACAGTTTGTCGTTTTTGCCTCAGAAACACAAAATGATCCTCTGACAAGTGATGAAGAAGAATGGGAAGATGTGAAAATCCAAGCAAGAAGAACTTAGGGGAAGCAACTCAACATCTAAGAAGAAATGAATAGGGATCAGTTCCAAGAAGAGATAAAGGGGTATGTATGCTTCTCTGAATTCCTATAAGAAAAAGAGCTCTTGTATCCTAGGGGAGAAGAAGATGTGGCAGCTGTTTCTGTCTCCCTAGACACTTTCACAACTGTCATGCCTTCTCTAAATGACCAGAATGTGACTTCCGCTGCCTTCCCCTCTTGCTGGTTCTCTCTCACTTACCTGGGTGGGCTGGACTGTGGATTTCATCTTCTAGTGTCCATAGTGGTTCTCCTTGTTCCAACTTGGTGAGGGCATCAGGTTTGCCGGCTTGATACCCTGTTTGTGGGAAATGGGAGAAGACTTAGGCTCACTGAATTGCACCACGTGGCTCTGATGATAGGAGAAAGGTACATGTTAGGGACTGCATAATTTGCATGTTAGCAAATTAAAGGCTTTTTTTCTAAGACGAAGGAAGATTATGCCTCTTCCTGTGGGACCAGAGACGGGCCTGAGGATCTGCCATTTGGGAGCACAGCAGACATACCAAAGCTTCCAGAAGCTGAGAAAGCAAAGGCCACTGACTGGGTACCCTCTGAGTGACACAGGGCAGCTGTCCTCACCCACTGACACAAGGTTGCTGTAGTTCTCCAACATCACATCCCGGTACAGGTCCTTCTGAGCAGGGCTCAGGAACTGCCACTCCTCCCAGGTGAAGTCCACAGCCACATCCTCCAGGGTCAGTGATTCCTGTAATAACACAGTCCTGCTTAATATGTTTCTCTTTTATTGACATGGAAGAAATATGAAGTTGTTCGGCCCATTTTCACCACATAAGCTGCACCTGCACAGTTGTCCCTTGGTATACTCAATGGAATGGTTTCAGGATGCCCCACATATACCGAAATTGTGCATACTCATGACCTACAGTTGGCCTAGTGGAATCTGCTTATGTTACTCTGTATAAGCGAGTTTCACATCCTGAGAATACTATATTTTTGATTCAAGTTTGGATATAAGTGGACCCTTGCAGTACAAATTCATGTTCACAAATAAACTGTATTCCTAGTTTTTTAAATATACTGTGAAAGAAGCAAAGTCATAGTAAAATATTCTATATTTTATAATAACCATGCAGCCATCCATTAATCCAACAAATCATAAGTTTCTGTAATATGCAGCCATTAAATCCTCTTGCTAACATGAGAATGTCTGCAGTGTTTTTCAGCACCTACTTGCAACCCTAAACTATATGCTACAGTCATATAGTACGTGCAGAATAATCTAGCATGACCCCCTTCATGTAAACTATACCATGATATTTAGCAAAACAACAAATAAACTATGCAGTGGCCATAAAAAATAAGCCATCATACATGTAAGCATTGACATGCATAGATACATGTATATGTATACAACGCATGTATACACACACATACACACGCATGCAGACATAGATGTCCTCACAGGTAAATCCCTAGAACAGGAAGACAAGCATTTGTTAGTGACATACTAGGGAATTAGGAAAAAAAGTATACAGAGGGGGAACTTTGTTTTCACACTATGTGTACTATTTAACTTGAGTCTTTCACATTGAAAATCTATCCATGAGGCCGGGCATGATGTCTCACGCCTGTAAACCCAGCACTTTGGGAGGCAAAGGTGGGCGGATCACCCGAGGTCAGGAGTTTGAGACCAGCCTGGCTAACATGGCTAAACATGGTCTCTACTAAAAATACAAAAATTAGGTGGGCATGGTGGCACCTAGATGAAGCATGAGAATCGCTTGAACCCAGGATGCAGAGGTTGCAGTGAGCGAAGATCACGCCACTGCACTCCAGCCTGGGCAACAAAGTAAGACTGTCTCAAAAAAAAAAAAAAAAAAAACTATGAATCTGTGGTTCTTTCTGACACCAAATACACAGTGTCTTTTCCAGCAACACTTTCTCTGATGCCAACTGGGTATCCTAGAGTTCGATGCTATGCTAACACTAACCGCTGAGGGTTATCATCAGACTCTGCAGGTTTCAGGGCTCGGTCCCACAAGACTGCCCTCACATCATGTGCCACTCTGGGGTCCCCACGTTATCACACTTCTGTCCAACTTGACCACAACTGGAGGTTGCCACAACCTCCCTGCTCAGGTTCGATAATTTGCTAGAATGACTCACAGAACTCAGGAAAATGTCACACAATTACAGTTTATTATATAGGATACAAATGACAGCCAGGTAAAGAGGTACAGAAGTCAAGGTCCAAAGGGTGCCAAGCACAGGAGCCTCTGATCCCATGGAATTGCAGTGCCCCCTTCCCCCACCCCCCACTTCCACATGTGATCTCCAAACCCCATGGGGGTTTTTATGGAGCTTCTACGACGTGGGCATGATTAAATCATCAACCATGGCTGGGTGCGGTGGCTCACACCTGTAATCCCAACACTTTGGGAGGCCGAGGTGGGCAGATCATGAGGTCAAGAGATCGAGACCATCCTGGCCAAGATATTGAAACCCTGTCTCTACTAAAAAAAAAAAAAAATTAGCTGGGTGTGGTGGTTTGTACCTGTGGTTCCAGCTACTCAGGAGGCTGAGGCAGGAGAATTGCTTGAACCCAGAAGGTGGAGGATGCAGTGAGCCGAGGTTGCACCACTGCACTCCAGCCTGGCAACAGAGCAAGACTCCATCTCATTAAAAAATAAAAAATAAAAAAAAGAAATCATCAACCATTGGTCACAGAATCTGGAGGTCGGGGGTGGGACTGAAAGTCCCAACTCTGTAATCAAGGCTTGGTCTTTCTGGCAACCAGCCCCATCCTGAGGTTGTCTAGGAGCCCATTCTGAGCCACCTCATTACCATAAACTCAGGTGTGGTTGAAAGGCACTGGTTATGAAGAACAAAATACACTCCTATCACTCAGGAAATTCCAAAGGTTTTAGGAGCTCTGTGCCAAGAACCAGAGACAGAGACCAAATATATATACGTGTAAAACCATAATGAGTCATTTGCATAATTTTTTAAGTTAAGGCATTAAAAGAGGTGAGAGGTTAATAACTGGATTTGAACACAGGGAAGGGCTCTGTATTTTCTGAGACAACATGACATTCTAAAGCAAACCCTGTGGATCTCAACAACCCAAGCCATTGCCAAAGAGAACTTTCAACTCCCTTTGGTCAAATCTGTACTTAAACACCAGTTTAGTGACCTGTTCATGGAGCTCCTTTGAAAGCAAACCTTGCATTTTTTAGGCAATTAGGTTTACTCACAGATAAACACAGACTGCAACAAGGTTGGGTATATAGGCCGCAGTGCTGTGAGCTCTGGAAAAACTGTGTTCATTAAACCCTTCTTGGTATAGTCCCATAGAGGACTCAGAATAATCATGTAGAAACAGTCACACAAAACTTGCTTGTGTATCTTTTGGAAAAATGCTGTTAAGGACAAAAAGTCTATCTTGTCACCTCTAGCAAAAAGCATCAAACTAATTTCCCAAGATTTAAGTGCCATGAAATACTGACATCCCCTGAGGAACGGACCCGCTTTCTCCTCAGAATCAGTGCACATCATGTAACTTACCATGATTCTCTGGGTGTGATGGTGGCCAAAGATTTTGGACACAAGCTGACACTTAATGTAGCCAACAGGGTCTGGCAGAGTCGCACATTATATTCCAACACTGGTCACATGTGAACTATGTGAACAAAGTATTTGTGATCCCACTTTGTCCTGGATTAAAGGTACAGTCTAAGTCTGTTTCTCCCCAGAGCTCATTTTTTCCAATTTATACTTTTAATGTAAATGAACTGATTTCTTCAGACTTCCACAAATCCATCAGGGAATCGAGTTAAGAATAAAACAAACCAAAAGTTACCTGGGCCTTTGTCATTTTCTTCTGTTTCAGGAAATACCCAAGAACTGGGATGCTTCGTCTTTGGTTTCTTCTGGATCCTCCCTAAATTTTGGCTAAGAAATCTGAGTCTCCATTTAAGAGTGTTCCCAGAAATGATGACATCCACATCCAGGAACCTCCTCCTTCCTTCATTTGAACTCTCTTGCTTCTGGGGAGCCAGGACCTATGGAGTAAAAATCAAGTTCATTTGGTGACACATTCCCTCCGGGCCCAGATGCTGTCTCTGCTGCTGTAAACTCTCCTGCAGTCAAGGCCAAGCAATATATCTAAGCATCCCTTTGTCAGGTGTCCCCAAGTCTTTACATCCCAGGGCAATAAAACAACACTCTGAATGTGGGGAGTCATATGGCAGTGGGCTTAACCAGGAGCCGGCATATCTGGCCACTTTCCAATGCTTCAAAGGAGTGTCTTTCTCCTTAAGCACAGTGTTTATAAATAAGAGAGCAGGTCACGCTCTGGTCATGAGAACGTGATGGTAATAAGGAGGCTTTCCTCCTCAGAGGCCTCCTGTGATTTTCCAAAACTTATTGTCCCATATTTTTATGGCCAGTTTATGCCAGCACCCCATAAGCCTTTTTCCCAACAATCGTGAGACACACAGAGAAGAAACACACAGGTAAAAGAGAAGGCCATGTGAAGATGGAGGCAGAGACTGGAGTGATGCTGCCACAAGCCAAGGACACCTGAGAGTCTGTTAGAAAAGGGGAGACAGGTGAATGAATGTGGGCAGCTGTGCCGGAGCCCCTCAAGACCACTCCCAGATGCAGTGATTCACTAGGTGAACTCACAACACTCAGTCTATAATTATATTCATGGCAACCACTTATTACTGTGAAAACATACACAGCAAAACCAGCAAAGGTAAAAGGTACATGTGGCAAAGTCTGGAGGAAACCAGACATAAGTTTCAAGTTCAGTCTCTTTGGAGTCACACAGGATACACTTAATTCCCCGAGCCACAAGTCATGACAACACACGTGAAATGCTATAGACCAAGGAAGTTTATTAGAGAGAGATTGTGTGCCATGGTTTTTATTGGGGGCTGATCGTGAAGGTGCTCACTGCCTAACATTCACCAAAACTCCAGAATCCTAGAGGAAAGCATGTGTTCAGGATAAATCACATTGTTTGAAAAAAACAGCTTAGGCACAGTGAGCCACTCTTATTAGGAAATAGTGGGACTGCCTCCAAAAATCTAAGCTCCCAAATGCCAGCTGCTATGGTTTGAATGTTTGTGTCCTCCAAAATTCATGTTGAAACTTAATCTCCAATGCAATGGTATCAAGAGGTGGGCTTTTAGTAAGTGATTAGGTCATGAGGGCTCCTCCCTTGTGAGTGGCATTAAGGCCCTTATAAAAGAGGCTTTGGCCAGGCACAGTGGCTCATGCATGTAATCCCAGCACTTTGGGAGGCTGAGGTGGGAGGATCGCTTGAGGCCAGGAGTTTGAGGCTGCAGTGAGTTGTGATTGCACCACTGCACTCTAGCCTGGGCAACAGAGCAAGACCCTGTCTCTTAAAAATAAAAAAATAAAAAAAAATAAAGGCCGAGCGTGTTGGCTCACACCTGTAATCCCAGTACTTTGGGAGGCCAAGGTGGGCAGATCACTTGAGCTCAGGACTTGGCAACATGGTGAAACCCCATCTCTATAAAACATACAAAAATTATTCAAGCATGGTGGCACATGCCTGTATTCCCAGCTACTCAGATGGCTGCGGCAGGAGGACTGCTTGAGCCTGGGAGGTTGAGAGGTTGAGACTGCAGTGAGTTAGGATGGTGCCACTGCACTGCAGGCTGGGTGACAAAGTGAGACTCTGTATCAAAAAAAAAAAAAAAAAAAAACCTAAAGAAAGAAGAAATAATAATAAAAATAAAAGAGGCTTCACACACAGATCGGCCCTTTCTGCTCTTCTGCCTTCTGCCATGTGAGGGCACCGCATTCTTCACCTCCAAAGAAATAGCGACAAAACACCATATTGAAAGCAGAAATCAGGCCCTCACCAGACACCAAACCTGCTGGTGCTTCGATCTTAGACTTCTCAGTCTCCAGAACTATAACAAATAAATTTCTGTTGTTTATAAATTATCCAGTCTCAGCTATCTTGTTATAGCAGCACCAACAAGGCTAAGACAGCATCCTATAATTTAATTCAGTCTGAGACTGTGTATCTAGATATAGTGTCAGACACCACAGATTAAGGGCTCAGTTCAAGCCTGCCCCCAACTTCAGACGCAAGTTGCAAGCAGCAGGTTGTCACCTGTACCTCTGATGGACCAGCTATAAATCAGGATTCACACGGCCTCCTCCTCAGGTTCGATTAATTTGCTGGATGGCTCACAGAACTCAGGAAAGCACTTAACATTTACTGGTTTATTTCAACTCTTTTCCTGTCTAGAAAAACGAAGTGCAGCTCACTGCCAGCGCTTATTTCATTTTACATAAACATGCTCTTTGAGGCTGCAGTAAATCTGATTTTCAATGTGAAAATAAAATATAAAAGCTGTTCTAGGAGTTATTTCTAAACAGAACTAACATCAGAATCATCTGAATCATCAGAATTCTCGATTTGGAATCATCAGAATTCTCGATTTGGTAAAAATCGGATCCATCCAGTGAGTCTTCAGCCAAGAACTGTTTGAGAATGATGTTAACATCACATGTAGGAATGCTACGTTTTCTAGGATTTGACATTTTCAGTGATCGAGAACTACTACATTTTGTAAATGGAAATACCACTACTAAAAACAGAATGCTATAAGTAGAATGATGTCTTTTGTTTCCCAAGGCGACCTACTAGAGCGATGTGAAAATAATAAAAGTGAGATCGTTCATGGCAAAGTTATCTCGGGGTAAATGCTCCAGCTGCAAGCACCAAAGGTGAGTATTCTCAGGGCAAATGGGAAAAGGAATAAAGGATATTACGAAGGATACAGATGAAGAGGCAGATGGAAGGGATAGCACAGAGCAAGGTTTGTAGCAAGGGGCGTGGGACTTCCATGCCCTCCACGGAAGCTTATTAGAGACTCAGTTCACCACCCTCAGGCACCTCCACATGCTCAAGAATCTGTAAGTTCCCCAGAAGTTCACCAGTCCTTTTGAGTTTTTACGCTGGTTTCATTATGTGGGCATACTTGATTAAAACACTAACCACTGGTGATCAACTCAACCTTCAACTTCCCTGTTGCCAGGCAGAGCTAAAATTTCCAACCCTCAAATGACATGGTTAGTTGCCCTGGCAACCAGCCTCCCCCGTCCTAAGGCCAGCCAGAAGCCCCCAGTCACCAGCCATCTCAATGCCACACAAAAAGGCACTGTTTACTGAAGAGGTTCCAAGGCTTTTGGGAGACATGTGCCAGGAAACAGGACAAAGATCGATTATACATTTCTTATAAATCGTAACAATCATAGCTAGGCGCGATGGCTCATGCCTATAATCCCAGCACTTTGGAAGGCCGAGGCGGGCAGATCACCTGAGGTCAGGAGTTCAAGACCAGCCTGGCCAACGTGGTGAAAGCCTGTCTCTACTAAAAATACAAAAATTAGCCGGGCGTGGTGGCGGGCGCCTGTAATCCCAGCCACTCGGGAGGCTGAGGCAGGACAGTCGCTAGAACCCAGGAGGCGGAGGTTGCAGTGAGCTGAGATCGCACCACTGCACTCCAGACTGGACAACAGAGCTAGATTCCGTCTGGGGGATAGGAGGAAACTTTGATCCCCAAATGCTCAAGGAGACTGATGCTTAAGCAAACTAAATATTGCCTGAGAACGACTCCATACTTCTATATTTGAGTCCTTGTGGATAAACTGCAACCTAGCTTAACAGACAAAATTGAAAACCGAACTTAATCGTATGCACCTGTAACAATAGCTGAGTGGTGGCCAGTCCCAGCGGCCATACTCATAGACTGCT
This sequence comes from Homo sapiens, assembly GCF_000001405.40. Taxonomy (NCBI): domain Eukaryota; kingdom Metazoa; phylum Chordata; class Mammalia; order Primates; family Hominidae; genus Homo; species Homo sapiens. The sequence continues at coordinate 51,904,038 of NC_000019.10, forward strand.
GAATGTTCCAACTGCGTTCAAATAAGGCAAACGCCGAATGGTAACCAATCTCACTGTTTCTGGACCTCGCTTCCGATTCCTGTATGTCACTTTACCTTTTTTGTCTATAAATTTGTTCTGACCACGAGGCACCCCTGGAGTCTCTGTTAATCTGCTGTGATTCTGGGGGCTGCCCAATTCGCGAATCGTTCATTGCTCAAGGAAACTCCTGTAAATTTAATTCGGCTTCAATTTTTCTTTTATCACTGATTTGAGTAATAATAAAACTCCGGTCTCCCCGCACAGCCGGCTCTGCATGAATTGCTCTTTCTCCATTGCAATTTCCCTGTCTTAACAAGTCGGCTCTGTCTAGGCAGCCGGCAAGGGTGGGCGGTTATAGTTTCACAACTCAACCCCAGCCAGGGGCCTGGGCTTGTAAAATACCAGATTTTACAAGCCTCTGAGCCCCACATGCCTGGGCCTCCCCGAAACACTTAACACACATCCCCGATTCACCCCAAAACCTACACCACACACCCTCGTACGCTGCCCAGCACCCCGGCTTCATCACCGACTTTAAACTGCAGCATTTGGAGTGATAATAATGGCGTCGGTGATAAAGCCGGCGTGCTGGGCAGCGTCCCCCTAGAGTTCTCCATCCAGTGATCCAGAGGCCTACTAACAGAGTGACCCTCAGAGACCCCAAACTCTGACGCCGAGTCTCAGTCGCTGAACTCGACAGACCTTTAACGCCCGACCACAAGAACTCTCCCACGCCGGACCGCAAAGGCACCCCAACCCAAAGGCTCCACCGCCCAGGCCGCCAGCTCTCCCCACAGGCTCCTCAGAAGCTCCCTACCCCTTTAACCTACTCCACGGAGAGACCCAAACACTCACCTGATTTTCTTCTGGCTACACCTAAATTCCCTGAATGCTTCCTTTCCTGGCCCTTAAACCCCGGCACTGGCCTATGGCGGCGGACGAGGGCGCGAGTCAATTCTGCCGCGCTAGGACGATGGGACATGGGCTTCTCTTCGAGGAGGTAACATGTCCGCGCCCTGAGCCACGGCTCTCTGGGCGCGGCCATCTTGGTAGATCTGCCGTACAGAAGGGAAACAGTTGTTCTTGTGTCATTAAACCGGGATGACTCTCCTGAAAGCAAAAATTTGAGGCGCAGGAGCATTTTCTAGAGTTTATCTGAACAAACAGCAATTCATGAATTAGGAAGCATCAAACCAAAAGAAGTCTCGCGCTTCTATGCTTAAAGCATTAGACACAAGTATTCACAGGGTGAGTGAAGGAGTAAAACAAAGAAATTATTTGATTAGTTACAATTATAAAAATGCATTTTTTTAAATTTGCCTTGGAAAGTCCCTAATGACATAATAGCATGTGAGTTGCCTACTTTTGATCGGTTGAGATTGAGTTTTGTCCTTCCCTAACACAAGCATTTACCAGAAATGACTCAAGTGAATTGTTGCTTATGTTTGCAGGTTAAGCAAGGTTAAGGCTGTTTTTAAGGCCTACTGGGTTTTGTTTGCTCAGGAGTTTTTGAATTCTGGTCTGCATTTTAATTTTGCTTTGACACAGGAGACAGTGAAATGGCACTGATGTGTTCCCTCTCCTGACACCTCAACCCCTGCACTGTGAGGTTGGAGCACTAACAACAGTGCACTGTGGGGAAAAGAAAGAGAGATCAGACTGTTACTGTGTCTATGTAGAAAGAAGTAGACATAAGAGACTCCATTTTGTTCCGTACTAAGAAAAATTCTTCTGCCTTGAGATGCTGTTAATCTGTAACCCTACCCCCAACCCTGTTCTCACAGAGACGTGTGCTGTGTTGACTCAAGGTTTAATGGATTTAGGGCTATGCAGGATGTGCTTTGTTAAACAAATGCTTGAAGGCAGTATGCTTGTTAAAAGTCATCACCACTCTCTAATCTCAAGTACCCAGGGACACAATACACTGCGGAAGGCCACAGGGACCTCTGCCCCAGAAAGCCAGGTATTATCCAAGGTTTCTCCCCATGTGATAGTCTGAAATATGGCCTCGTGGGAAGGGAAAGACCTGACCATCCCTCAGCCCGACACCCGTAAAGGGTCTGTGCTGAGGAGGATTAGTATAAGAGGAAGGAAGGCCTCTTGCAGTTGAGACAAGAGGAAGGCATCTGTCTCCTGCTCGTCCCTGGGCAATGGAATGTCTCGGTATAAAACCCGATTGTATGTTCCATCTACTGAGATAGGAGAAAATCGCCTTAGGGCTGGAGGTGAGACAAGCTGGCGGCAATACTGCTCTTTAATGCACCGAGACGTTTATGTATGTGCATATCAAAGCACAGCACCTTCTTCTTAAGCTTGTTTATGACACAGAGACATTTGTTCACATGTTTTCCTGCTGACACTCTCCCCACTATTATCCTATTGTCCTGCCACATCCCCCTCTCCGAGATGGTAGAGATAATGATCAATAAATACTGAGGGACTCAGAGACCGGTGCCGGCGCGGGTCCTCTGTATGCTGAGCACCGGTCCCCTGGACCCACTTTTCTTTCTCTATACTTTGTCTCTGTATCTCTTCTTTTCTCAGTCTCTCGTCCCACCTGACGAGAAACACCCACAGATGTGGAGAGGCAGGCCACCCCTTCACTGCACAAACCACACAGATATTCAGAGGCTCAAATGCAACCAAGGCTGTTGCGGGAAGTCAGGGACCCCAAACGGAGGGACCGGCTGAAGCCATGGCAGAAAAACATGGATTGTGAAGATTTTATGGACATTTATTAGTTCCCCAAATTAATACTTTTGTAATTTCTTATGCCTGTCTTTACTGCAATCTGTAAACATAAATCGTAAAGATTTCATGGACACTTATCACTTCCCCAATCAATATCCTTGTGATTTCCTATGCCTGTCTTTGCTTTAATCTCTTAATCCTGTCAGCCGAGAAGGATGTATATCGTCTCAGGACCCTGTAATAATTGTGTTAACTACACAAATTGTACAGCATGTGTGTTTGAGCAATATGAAATGTGGGCACCCTGAAAAAAGAACAGGATAACAGCAATTGTTCAGGGAATAAGAGAGAGAACCTTTAACTCTGACCGCCGGTGAGCCGGGCGGAACAGAGCCATATTTGTCTTCTTTCAAAAGCAAATGGGAGAAATATCACTGAATTCCTTTTCTCAGCATGGAACGTCCCTGAGAAACAGAATGCGCACCTAGGGGTAGGTCTCTGAACTGGCCTCCCCCGGGCGTACCTGTCTCTTATGGTCGAGATTGCAGAGGTGAAATAAACTCCAGTCTCCCATAGCGCTCCCAGGCTTGTTAGGAAGAGGAAATTCCCGCCTAATAAACTTTGGTCAGACCGGTTGATCTCAAAACCCTGTCTCCTGATAAGATGTTATCAATGACAATGGTGCCCAAAACTTCATTAGCAATTTTAATTTCACTTCGGTCCTGTGGTCCTGTGATCTCGCCCTGCCTCCACTTGCCTTGTGATATTCTATTACCCTGTTAAGTACTTGATGTCTGTCACCCACACCTATTCGTATCCTCCCTCCCCTTTTGAAACTCCCTAATAAAAACTTGCTGGTTTTTGTGGCTTGTGGGGCATCACAGATCCTACCAATGTGTGATGTCTCCCCCGGAGGCCCAGCTTTAAAATTTCTCTCTTTTGTACTCTGTCCTTTTATTTCTCAAGCCAGTCGACGCTTAGGCAAATAGAAAAGAACCTACGTGATTATTGGGGCAGGTCCCCCGATACAAGGCCAGCACAGTGCCAAGTATGTCCACCTCAGTGAGCTGCGGAGAGGTGACTGCACCCTTTATTGACTGACTACTAGGAAACTGTCAAGAGGCAGCCCACTGAGCATGGCCATCTTAAAGGAATTTCAGGTGTCCCTACAACAGAGAATATGCCTTGAGAAAGGGGGAAAAAATAGGCCACTTAGCTTGGGTAGACAAGGCTCATGACAAGTCCCTGCATCTCAGCTACTGACTTTAAAAGTTGTTTGGGGAAAAGAAAGAGAGATCAGACTGTTACTGTGTCTATGTAGAAAGAAGTAGACATAAGAAACTCCATTTTGTTCTGTACTAAGAGAAATTCTTCTGCCTTGAGATGCTGTTAATCTGTAACCTGAGCCCCAACCCTGTGCCCACAGAGACGTGCTGTGTTGATGAAGGGGTGGGTTGCCCCTCCTCACCTGTGGGTGTTTCTCGTAAGGTGGAACAAGAGTCTTGGAAAAGAAAAGACACAGAGACAAAGTATAGGGAAAGAAATTAGAGGACCCGGGGAACCAGCGTTCAGCATATGGAGGATCCCGCCAGCCTCTGAGTTCCCTTAGTATTTATTGATCATTCATGGGTGTTTCTCCGAGAGGGGGATGTGGCAGGGTCACAAGACAATAGTGGGGAGAGGGTCAGCAGACAAACACGTGAACAAAGGTCTTTGCATCATAGACAAAGTAAAGAATCAAGTGCTGTGCTTTAGATATGCATACACATAAACATCTCAATGCCTTACAGAGCAGTATTGCTGCCCGCATGTCCCACCTCCAGCCCTAAGGCGGTTTTTCCCTATCTCAGTAGATGGAACGTACAATCGGGTTTTATACCAAGACATTCCATTGCCCAGGGACAGGCAGGAGGCAGATGCCTTCCTCTTGTCTCAACTGCAAGAGGCATGCCTTCCTCTTATACTAATCCTCCTCAGCACAGACCCTTTACGGGTGTCGGGCTGGGGGACGGTCAGGTCTTTTCCTTCCCACGAGGCCATATTTCAGACTATCACATGGGGAGAAACCTTGGACAATACCTGGCTTTCCTAGGCAGAGGTCCCTGCGGCCTTCCGCAGTGTTTGTGTCCCTGGGTACTTGAGATTAGGGAGTGGTGATGACTCTTAAGGAGCATGCTGCCTTCAAGCATCTGTTTAACAAAGCACATCTTGCACCGCCCTTAATCCATTTAACCCTGAGTTGACACAGCACATGTTTCCGAGAGCATGGGGTTGGCGGTAAGGTCATAGATTAACAGAATCTCATGGCAGAAGAATTTTTCTTAGTACAGAACAAAATGGAGTCTCCTATGTCTACTTCTTTCTACACAGACACAGTAACAATCTGATCTCTCTTGCTTTTCCCCACAGTTGACTTAAGGTTTAATGGATTTAGGGCTGTGCAGGATGTGGTTTGTTAAAAAAGTGCTTGAAGGCAGTATGTTTGGTAAAAGTCATAGCCATTCTCTAATCTCGAGTACTCAGGGACTCAATGCACTGCAGAAGGCTGCAGGGACCTCTGCCCAGGAAAGCCAGGTATTGTCCAAGGTTTCTCCCCATGTGATAGCCTGAGATATGTCCTCATGGGAAGGGAAAGACCTGACTGTCCCCCAGCCCAACACCCGTAAAGGGTCTGTGCTGAGGAGGATTAGTGAAAGAGGGAGGCCTCTTTGCCGTTGAGATAAGAGGAAGGCACCTGTCTCCTGTTTGTCCCTGGGAATGGAATGTCTCGGTGTAAAACCCGAACGTTCGTTCTATTTACTGAGATAGGAGAAAACTGCCTTATGGCTGGAGGTGAGACATACTGGCGGCAATACTGCTCTTTACTGCACTAAAATTTTTGTGAAAAGTCAGACATAAATCTGGCCTATGTGCGCATCGAGGCACAGCACCTTTCCTTAAACTTATTTATCACAGAGATCTTTGCTCACTTGTTTTCCTGCTGACCCTCTCCCCACCATTACCCTATTGTCCTGCCACATCCCCCTCATCGAGATGGTAGAAATAGTGATCAATAAATACTGAGGGAACTCAGAGACCAGTGCCGGCGTGGGTCCTCCGTATGCTGAGCGCCGGTCCCCTGGGCCCACTGTTCTTTCTCTATACTTTGTCTCTGTGTCTTATTTCTTTTCTCAGTCTCTCATCCCACCTGACGAGAAACACCCACAGGTGTGGAGGGGCTGGCCCCCTTCAGTTGTGAGGATCAATATGTATACTCATATTAAAGATTGTTTTTTGCTTCAGGCTGTTTGGAAAACACCAAGCGTAGAAACTTGAAATTGTGTTCTATGAAAAAACTGGATACCAAAGCCACTATCAAGGTAGGAGGTGGGACTTGACTCAAGAGACCAGGCTCCAACACCAGACAAAATTAAGGACTAGCTAAAACAGCAACAGGGCAGAAGCAGCTTTTCATAAGACTTACCCACCAGTATGCCATGTCACGTTTACCATTTCCATGGTAACACCTGGGAGTTATTGCTGCTTTCCATGACAACAAGCTGATGACCTGAAAGTTACCACCTTTTTCTAGAAATTTATGCATAATCCACCCCTTACTTTGCATATAATTAAAAGTGGGTAGAAATATGACTGAAGGGCTGCCTCTGAGCTGCTACTCTGGGCATACTGCTCCACAAGGAGTAGTACCTCTGCTGCTGCTGTGCACTGCCACTTCAATAAAAGTTGCTATCAAAGGCTGGGTGCAGTGGTTCATGCCTGTAATCCCAACAATTTGGGAGGCTGAGGCAGGCGGATCACGAGGTCAGGAGTTTGAGACCAGCCTGGCCAATATGGTGAATCACCATCTCTACTAAAAATACAAAAATTAGACTGGAGACCATCATTCTCAGCAAAGTATCACAAGGATAGAAAACCAAACACCGCATGTTCTCACTCATAAGTGGGAGTTGAACAATGAGAACACACGGACACAGGGAGGGGAACATCACACATTGGGGCCTGTCGGGGGTGGGGGACTAGGGGAGGGATAGCATTGGGAGAAATACCTAATGTAAATGACGAGCTCATGGGTGCAGCAAACCAACATGGCACATGTATACCTATGTAACGAACCTGCACGTTATGAACGTGTGCCCTAGAACTTAAAGTATATTTTTAAAAAATACAAAAATTAGCTGGGCATGGTGGCGCGTGCCTGTAGTCCCAGCTACGCAGGAGGCTGAGGCAGGAGAATCACTTGAACCTGGGAGGCGGAGGTTGCAGTGAGCTGAGATCGCGCCACTGCACTCTAGCCTGGAAGACAGAGTAAGACTCCATCTCAAAAAAAAAAAAGTTGCTATCTAACATCACTGTGGGACCCCTGAATTCTTTTGAAATGTAAGATGAAGTCTTTTTGCAAAATGGAGTTAGTTATGTCAAGAGTGCTCTGTACATGTTGCGAACTCAAAACAGACAACTCCCCATTTTCTCTCTTTTTTTCCCCCCTGAGATGGGGAGTCTCACCTTGTTGCCTGGAGTGCAATGGGACGATCTTGGCTCACTGCAATCTCGTGACCCACTATGCTTGGCCTTAATATTTTCTACTATAGTTTATGCTAAATCTTTTTAGAGAAATCCTTCCCCACATCAAGATCATAAAAATATTATCTTATATTTCCTTCTAACACTTTTAGAGTTTTGCTGTTCAATTCAGGGTTCCAGGGGTTAGCAAACTGCTGCTCATGAGCCATATCCAGTCCACAGCCTGCTTTGCCCTTGAGCTAAGATTGGCTTTTAATACTTTTAAAGAGTAAAATAAATAGAATATACAACAGAGATCATATGTAGCCTGCAAAGCCTGAATACTTACTATCTGGTCTTGCACCAAAATAGTCTGCTGACTTTTATAGTCTAATACACGAAACATTGATTTGTGTAGGATATGAAGTGGCACCTGTAATCCCAGCTACTTGGGAGGCTGAGGCAGGAGAATTGCTTGAACCTGGGAGACAGAGGTTGCAGTGAGTGGAGACTGCACCACTGCACTCCAGCGTGGGCAACAAAGTGAGACTCCAACTCAAAGAAAAGAAAAAAAAATCCCAAAACTCCCCTTAAGATGCATATACCAGCTTACCTACAATATCTTTTTTTTTTTTTTTTTTTTTGAGACAGTCTTGCTGTCACCTAGGCTGGAGTGTAGTGGTGCGATGTCAGCTCACTGCAACCTCTGCCTCCTGGGTTCAAGTGATTTTCCTGCCTCAGCCTCCCAAGTAGCTGGGATTACAGGTGTGCATCACCACATCCTGCTAATTTTTGTATTTTTATTAAAGACAGGGTTTCACCATGTTGGCCAGGCTGGTCTCGAACTCCTGACCACAAGTGATCCACTCGCCTCGGCCTCCAAGAGTGCTGGGATTACAGGTGTGAGCCACTGCACCTGGCCTGTCTTTTGAAAATAGGTGGATGATCTAACTCTGTTTTAAAAGCCTGATTTTGGCTGCAACTTGTGTATATAAAAGACTTCTCAGCAATCTTGTGCCTTGGTTCCCCTGAAACAGGTACCTCACCTATATTTGGTAGTTGGTGATCTGGAGACAAATAGTATCCTGTGTGACTGAAAAAGATCCCTGGAATCTGTGCCTGTGTGTCTCAGAACATCATCATATTTACATGTATTTTATTTCATTGGATTTTATTTTTCATGCTGTACTGTAGCCTTTGTCTTTCTTGGAGTCTTAGGTAAGTATAACTTGTGGAGTCATGTGAGACTGTTCAACATCTTACCCTGAGTAACTGCTATAATTGCAGTCACCTATTTTAGGGAAAAACATTGTACTTGAAAAGGAAACATATTTTTGTAAAATTAATATCAAGTTCAGTGTATTTTATAATTTATTCTCAATTTAAGAAAACCGTTTAGGGGACTTTGCTGCTACATTCTAGAGAGGGATTAATAAAAACATGTCTCACATTTGGCTTATGTTGTTTCAAAGGGAAACACATCTTGCACACCTTGTGGCTATGAAGGAAAGAGAGGCTTATTTTATTTGACTATAGGATCAAGCCACATTATCTATTCATGCAATAAAACCAGGACTGCAAAAATTATTTAATTTCCATCTCTCTGATATCAGGGACTATCTCTCAAACTATTTAGAATTCAGAAGCGGCATAAAACCTGTGAAGACTCATCTTCCTCAATCCCCAAGTATTTCGTTGGTTTACAAGAAACAAAACCCTGTATAAAGATGACGGCTTCTACTATATTTCATCCAATCTGAGATACCTTTGGTTGTATGGCACACCACACTTTTACACACCAAGTTCTCCATTTAAATATGTTAAGCCACATATATAAATAAGTATGCCACACTTAAATTTTAGCAGTGGTAATATGTTGGAAAAATGTCTATCTTAGAATTGATGAGATAAAGTTTTACCCAAGAGTGGCACAACATCTTCCAGACCCATTTACAAATACTAGCAAACACTACAGAGATAAAGATAAACAGTATTGTATTGAGTTTTTTACTGAAACAATGAACCACAGCAGTTCTGTGGGGAGTCGAAAGCCTGAGGGTCGTGACCAATTCAGCATTCCACTGCAGGCTATATGATCAAACAGCAAACTGTTTATCATGAATGCAGAATGTGGGCAAACTCGTATCTGCACCTGCCACCAGAAAGTATGCTGAGGGCAATCACTGCCTGGCACCATGCTCCTTGAGGTTATCTACTGGGACATCTGGAGCCTACTGTTCAAAGAATGCAGTCATGCAGGCCTGCACTAAATCAAGCAGCTGACCGACAACCACCCCCGCTCCTTGTTTTCTTTACTCAATAAATATGAAGTGCTATAGAAGCTCAGGGGCCTTGTTCACTAGAAGCAAGAAGCCCCCGACCCCTTCTTCCAAACATATTCTTTTGTGTTTGTCTTTATTCCCACATTCATCCTCCTTTGTTCAGTCCAGTAGGGTCCGTGGCACAGATCAATTATAAGTTACGTAGCATTATACAAAGATTCAATGCAGATATTCTATGGGAAGTCTTTATGCACATTTAATCATACATACTACAAATTCACAATTGTGATGTTAACACATGCAGTTCCCAAATATGAGCAATCATTTTTACAATAAAAATAGGCAAAAACACTTAAATATTTGGTATTGTTCTTATATTTTTTGCTTTGTTTTCTGACAAGCATATTTATTTACATATTTAATACAATACTTTCTATAATGCTGATTATATAACAAGAGCAGAAAAAAAATACAGATGAAAGCATGATTTCCCAGATTCATTAACATACAAAATTACAAATTTCTTTTTTCTTTTCCTTATTTATTTATTTATTTTTTTTTTTTAGACAGGCTGTCACCCAGGCTGGCAAAATCTTGGCTCACTGAAACCTCCACCTCTTGGCTCAAGTAATTCTCTGCCTCAGCCTCCTGAGTAGCACTATCTCCAGCTAATTTTTGTATTTTTTTGTAGAGATGGAACCCTATGTTGAAAACACTGGTCTCGAACTCCTAAGCTCAAACGATCCTTCCAATTTGGCCTCCCAAAGTGCTGAGATTACAGGTGTGAGCCACTGCACCTCACCTAAAGTACAGAATTTCTTCCTTAGTGTCAATTATCTGAAACTGATGTAACTGCATATTATGCCAACAACATCCCCATAATCAGTAATACATAGATGTTCCTTCCTGTGTGTTCCCTCTGGCTTATATTCAATTGACATTTATTGAAACAGGTATTACCTCCTGACTGGCATCATGCCCAGCACTATTCTCTGATAAGAAAGGATGTGTAAGCTTGAAATTAAGGTTTGTTCACATTTGCTGCAGCCTTGAGGTTTCACTCTTACATTAACCTTGTGGTATAATGAGCTAGTCCTTCTCACTGCCAACTTTCAGATATTCACTTCATTTATGATTTCTCTCCTTTGTGTGTTTTCTGATGTAGAATGAGGCTGAATTTGCGGAAGAAGGTTTTCCAACACTCAGTGCATTCGTAAGGTTTCTCACCTATATGCGTTCTTTGATGTATAATAAGATGTGACTTCTGGGCAAAAGATTTCTGACATTTGCTGCATTCGTGGAGTTTCTCTCCTGTATGTGTTTTCTGATGTCAAACCAAGCTAAACTTGACGGGGAAAGTTTTCCCACATTCACTGCATCCATAGGATTTCTCTCCTGTATGGATTCTCTGATGAGTAGTGAGACTAAACTTACGAGAGAAAGTCTTCCCGCACTCAAGGCATTCGTAAGGCTTCTCTCCTGAGTGAATTCTCTGATGGATCAGGAGATAGGACTTCCGGCTGAAGGCTTTGTGACATTCTCCACATTCCTAAGGTTTCTCTCCAGTGTGAGACCGCTGATGAATATTCAGGTGTGACTTTTGGCTGAAAGTCTTCTGACACTGACTGCATTCATAGGGTTTTTCCCCTGTATGAGTTCTTTGGTGTAGGATGAGACTAAACTTGATGGAGAACATTTTCCCACATTCGTTGCATCCATAGGGTTTCTCTCCCATATGAGTTCTCCAGTGAGTATTGAGGAATGACTTTACACTAAAGCCTTTTCCACATTCACTGCAGTGATACGGTTTCTCTCCTGTGTGAGTTCTCTGATGTCTACTGAGCTCAGATCTCTGGATGAAGGCTTTCCCACATTCATTACACCCATGCGATTTTTCCCCGGTATGGATTTTTTGATGTAAAATGAGGTTAAACTTAAGGGGGAATGTTTTCCCACACTCATCACAACCATAGGGTTTCTCTTCTGTGTGAGCTCTCTGATGGATCATGAGCTGTGACTTATTGCTGAAGCTTTTCTGACATTTGCTGCATCCATAGGGTTTCTCTCCAGTATGAGTTCTTTGATGGAAAGTGAGTTTTGACTTATCACTAAAACCTTTTTGACATGTATGACACTCAAAGCATTTCTCTCCTGTGTGAGTTCGTTGATGTTTATTAAGGCATGACTTATCAGTAAAAGCTTTCCCACATTTATTGCACTCATAAGGTTTCTCTTCTGTATGGGTTCTCTCGTGTAAAATGAGACAGGACTTCCATCTGAAGGCTGTCTGACATCTACTGCATCCATAGGGCTTCTCTCCTCTTTGTGTTCTTTGATGCTTAAAGAGGTCCAACTTCTGGGAAAAGGCTTTCCCACAGTCACTGCAGTCATACTGTTTCTCTCGTTTTTGAGTTTTCCAGTGTTTTATGAGCTGTGACTTATGACTGAAAGCCTTTACACGTTCATTATATTCATTGTATTTCTCTTCAGCATGAATTTTCTCATGCTTAGGATAAAGAAAAACTTTGTCATATCCATTACATTCACCTTCATTTCTTGCATAGCTTCTGTTTTGAATAAAGTACTCTAGATTAGGATTCAGGTGTTTCCCAAGTACAAAAGGGGTATGAAGGTTTGAGCTCAGATGAGATGTTATGTTGCCAAATATATGATATTTGTGGTGTCTGTCCATAGTTTCAAGGCTGCTTTGGTTTTCTCGGTGCCATTCTGTGTGATCATTGACTTGCCAGGCATCTTCTAGAAAGGAGACCAATTAATCCACTGTGATCATGTAATAAAAGGAGTAGAAGCTCACAGCAAGAGCCAAGGAGAGAAGAGGAAGTGAAACTGTGGGTAGAGAATGAAAGTCTGAGATATTTATAAATGGAAGAAGAAAAAACAGAAGAAACTATGAGAGGTATGAAACACATACAAAATGAAGATAAGGGAGGAAAATTTAGGAATACTTGAAAATAGGGCTATGACTATGAATTAGGGGGATGAAGACAGGGAAAAGCAAGTAAACTAAAGATGCCAGGGAGAAAGATTAACCAGGAAAGCAAGTTCTGAGATGAGCCAGAGAGGGATTTGATCAGAGTACCTAAAAGAAGAACATGGATTCTTTTAAAAGCCAAGCAAAAGAGTTCTAATATGGAGCAACTAAAAAGTGGAGGCAGTATTAAGGTATGTGAGGAGCTTATGTCAGCTGTTCTTAGTCACATTCACAACTTTAAGAACTTCAAAAACATTTCTCCAAACAGCATTTCAGAGATGCCCCCCTACTTCTGTTCAACTGGGATATTACTTTAAGTTCTCCTATAGGACTGGTTTTTCACTTACCTGGACAAACCTGACTCTGGATTTCTTCCTCTAGTATCCATGGTTTTCCTTGCTCCAACCAGAATAATGTGTCTGCTTTGGTAACTTGATACCCTAGAAAAGTATCAAGGAAAATTATAAAGGACACATGAATGCAAATACTAGGGCTACAAGACTTCTGAAAAATGATGAAGATTACTTTTTTTTTTTTTTTTGAGATGGAGTCTCACTCTGTCACCAGGCTGGAGTGAAGTGGTGTGATCTTAGCTCACTGCAACCTCTACCTCCCGGGTTCAAGTGATTCTCCTGCCTCAGCCTCCCAAGTAGCTGGGACTACAGGTGTGCGCCACCACACCCAGCTAATATTTGTATTTTTAGTACAGACGGGGTTTCACCATGTTGGCCAGGATGGTCTCAATCTCTTAACCTCATGATCCACCCCTCTTGGCCTCCCAAAGTGCTGGGATTATAGGCATGAGCCACCATGCCTGGCCGAAGATTACATTTAAGGGGTTAAATAATTTGCATCTGGGCCAAGTAAAGGCCTTAACGTCCATTGGAAATGAGAGAAAAACACTCTGTTAGAGGCCAGAAAAGTACTAAAAATCTATGATGTATTAAACTGAAGTCTAAAAAAAGTAAAGTATTTGTGAGGCCCCACGCTTTTTAATTACTCAGAAAGGAAGGGCAATTGATTGCCTACACTACCCAGGAAAACTGTGCTTACCCAGTGATACCAGGTTGCTATAATTTTCCAACATCACGTCTTGGTACAGATTCTTCTGAACAGGGTCCAGTAGCTGCCATTCTTCCCAGGTGAAACCCACAGCTACATCCTTGAATGACAGTGAGCCCTGTAATAGAACATTCCTACTCAATTCTAAAGGATTACCATTGTGTAATGCTATGAACATAAATGATAATTTCTTATAATACATTTTCCCAGAGTAAGTTATTTGGCTGCCTTCCATGTAACTAGTTTTGCCTTATAATATATAGGAAAAATGTTTTAGTTAAAATATCCTATTTCGGTACTTCCATTCATTCACTGATTCACATATTTAATTATTCATTCACAAAAGAGAAACAGAACCTCCTTACATCCTTTAATAAAATATTTAATCTGCAACAGCAGTCCCCAACTTTTTCGGCACCAGGGACTCGTTTTGTGGAAGACAATTTTTCCACATACTGGGGCAAGGGGATGGTTTTGGAATGATTCAAGTGCATTACATTAATTGTGTACTTTATTTCTATTATTATTACATTGTAATATATAATGAAATAATTATACAACTCACCATAATGTAGAATCAGTGGTAGTCCTGAGCTTGTTTTCCTGAAACTAGATGGTTCCAGCTGGGGGTGATGGGAGACAGTGACAGATCATCAGACATCAGAGTCTCATAAGGAGTGTGCAACCTAGATCCCTCGCATGTGCAGTTCATAACAGGATTTTCACTCCTAGAAGAATCTAATGCTGCCTCTCATCTGACAGGAAGGGGAGCTCAGGCAGTTATGTGTATGATAGGGAGTGGCTGTAAATACAGATAAAGCTTGCTCACTGACCTGGTCCACTTCCTAACAGGCCACAGACCAGTGGCAGGGGTTGGGAAGCCCTGTTCTAGAGAATCATTGAGCCTGAGGGTGGGCAAGGGACACTCAACTAAAATTCACTCAAATTCACATTTAGATATGTCAATGCTGATACAGGAAACCATAAGAATACACAAAAATGTTTCAAGATTGATTATTTTAAAGATGGTGAAAAAGGATTAAGAGGGAACTTTCAGGTTTTGCACTATAAAATTCTATATTGTTTGAAAGTTTGACACTGCAAATTTTTTTTTAATTCATTCAAGTTGGAGAAGTATTATAATGATGATGATTTTGTTTAGAGACAGGGTATTGCTCTGTTACCCAGGCTGGAAGGCAGTGGCATGATCACAGCTCACTGCAGCCTTGACCTCCTAGGCTCAAGCAATCCTCCCACCTCAGCCTCCTGAGTAGCTGGAACTACAGGTGTGTGCCACCGTGCTCAGCTAACTTTTGTATTTTTTTGTAGAGACAGGGTCTTACTATGTTGCCCAGGCTGGTCTCAAATTCCTGGGCTCAAGTGATCTTCCCACCTCAGCCTCCTAAAGTGCTGGGATTACAAGTGTGAGCCACCATCGCCCAGCTCACATTGTGAATATTTTAAGCTTCATTTATATAACTGGAATTTTAAAAAAATAAGTAGATAAGTATTGGCTTTGAACAGAGAGCTAACACTGCATTCTTGGGTGTGAAGAGATTATGAAGGGAAACTCTAAGACTCTGTCAACATAACTTGGAACTGTTTACTAATCAATGTAAATAGGAGTTTCTCTACCTCAGCACTACAGGTTGAGCATCCCTGCTTCAAAATTCTGAAACCTATAATGCTCCAAAATCTGAAATTCTTTTTAGGGCTGAGGTGATGCACAAAGGTCATGCTTGAAGGAAATGCTTACCAGGACATTTCAAATGTTGGATTTTCAGATTAGGGATGCTCAACTAGTAAGTATAAGTAAGTAAGTAAGCAAGCATTCTGAAAAAAAAAAAAATCTAAAATCTGAAACACTTCCAGTCCCAAGCATTTCTGATAGGGGATGCTCAATCTGCATTTGTTGGAGGCCGAGAAAATGGGGGTTGTGACCAACCCAGTATACCACTGGAGGCTATATGAGCAAACAGAAAACTGTTCTCATGAAAGCAGGATGTTGGAAAACTGACAAATTGCATCTGCCACCAGAAGGAGTGCCAAGAGCAGTCACACCCCAGGCAGAGTGTTCCTTGTGGTTTGTAGGGAGCCAAAGGCCCATGGGACATGATCAGCTCAGCATTCCACTGGAAGCTACATGATCAAACAGCAAACTGTTTATCACAAATGCAGGATATGGGCAAACTCACGACTGTGCCTGCTGACAGAAAGTTTGCTGGCGGCTATCATTCCCTGGCGCTGAGGTTATCTGCTGGGACATCTAGAGCCTGTTGTTTGAGGAATGCAATCTTGCAAGCCTACTCTGGACCAACCAACTGACCCCTTCTTCCACACCCCTTCTCACTATCCCTTTTGCCTAATAAATACAAAGGGCTGTGTAAAGCTCAGAGCCTTTGTCCACTAGAGGCAAGGTGCTCCTTGACCCCTTCTTCCAAATATACTCTTTTGTCTCGTCTTTTATTCCCGCATTTGCCCCACTTTGTTCAGCCCACCAGGGATTGTGGCAGGTTACATAGTGGCCCCCCCCAAACAGTGACAGAATCGAGTGCTCCACAGTGGTTATCTATAGGAACATCTGAAGCCTGTTGTATAAAGAAAGTAATTATGTGTACCTCTAATGAATCAAAGCAGCTGACCAACCGTTACCTCTCTCTCCCTATTGATTCTACCTAATACATATGAAGGGCTGTAGAAGCTGAGGGCTGTCTTTGCTCACTAGAAGCAAGGAGTCCCCTGACCCCTTCTTTTAAAATGTATCTTTTTGTCTTTGTCTTCACTTCTGCATTTGTCCCATTTCGTTCAATCCCATAGGAACAGACTGTAACAGGCATTGACATTTTGGTTTGGAGAATTCTTTATTTTGGGGCACTGTAGTGTCATTGTAGGATGCTTAGCAGCATTCTTAGCCTCTATCCACTAGCTCCAATTAGCACACCCTCCTTTCCCAGGTGTGACAATCAAAAATTTCTCCAGACATTGCCAAATGTCACCTGGGGTCAAAAAATGAAAACCACTGATAAAAAAAAAAGCAGAATATTGAGGACTCTTTGTGGAAGACCATATGATGGTCATAGAATCCATCCATCTTAAAAATCTCTACATTTTATCCCTGAATAAAAACAGACCCCCAGGAGGCTGTGGACTTTGGCTACACTGTTCTGGGTCCCTGAAGCACTCTGATCACTGAGTTTGGTTTTGGTATTACACCACTGGCTTATCTGTGGGGGCACTAACTTCTATATGATCTATATCATGACCCATCAAAGAAATTTCTTCTTAAGTAACATGAAATATTCACTTTTCTAGAGGAGCTTTCTCCTCAGGGAAAAGGAAACGATTTGTTATTGTGTCCATGTGGTAGACTGCATTTCCCAAAGATGACCACAATAATATCTCACATTCCAAAGAAAACCTTCTGCTAAATCTTGCCACTCCCACACGAAGAGATGGAGCCTATTCCCTTCCCCCTTGAACCTAGCTAGTCTTGGTGATTTGCTTGTACCTGCAGAATACAACAGAGGTGACACAACATAACTTCCGAGGCTAAGGCAGAAAAGCATGGGGGAAAGAATGAGAGATCAGACTATTACTGCATCTATGTAGAAAAAGGAAGACAAAAGAAACTCCATTTTGATCTGTACTAAGAGAAATTATTCTGCCTTGAGATGCTGTTAATCTGTAACCCTAGCCCCAACCCTATGCTTGCAGAAACATGTATTGTATTGACTCAAGGTTTAATGGACTTAGGGCTGTGCAGGATGTGCCTTGGTAAAAATGTGTTTGCAGGCAGTATGCTTGGTAAAAGTCATGGCCATTCTCCAGTCTCGAGTACCCAGGGACACAATGCACTGCAGAAAGCCACAGGGATCTCTGCCCAAGAAAGCCTGTGTATTGTCCAAGGTTTCTCTCCACTGAGACAGCCTGAGATATGGCCTCATGGAAAGAGAAAGACCAGACTGTCCCCCAGCCTGACACCCATAAAGGGTCTGTGCTGAGGAGGATTAGTGAAAGAGGAAGACCTCTTTGCAGTTGAGATAAGAGGAAGGTATCTCTCTCCTGCTCATCCCTGGGAATGGAATGTGTCAGTGTAAAACCCGATCGTACATTCTATTTACTGAGATAGGAGAAAACTGCCTTATGGCTGGAGGTGAGACATGGTGGGGGCAATACTGTCTTTACTTCACTGAGATGTTTGTGTAAAGTCAAAGATAAATCTGGCCTATGTGCATATCAAGGCACAGCACCTTTCCTTAAACTTATTTATAACACAGAGTCCTTTGCTCACGTTTTCCTGCTGACCCTCTTCCCACCATTACCCTATAGTCCTCCCACATCCCCCTCACCGAGATAGTAGAGATAGTAATCAATAAATACTGAGGGAACTCAGAGACCAGTGTTGGTGCGGGTCCTCCGTATGTTGAGTGCCGGTTCCCTGGGCCCACTTTTCTTCCTCGATAGTTTGTCTCTGTGTCTTATTTCTTTTCTCAGTCTCTCGTCTCCACCTTGTGAGAAATACCCACAGGTGTGGAGGGGCAGGCCTCCTTCATCTGGCACCCAACATGGGGCACGAACCCATGACCCTGAGATTAAGAGTCTCATGCTCTACCGACTGAGCTAGCTGCAGAATGCAACAGAGGTGACACAACATAACTTCTGAGGCTAAGGCAGAAAAGGCCCTGTGGCCGCATCTTGGCTGTCTCAGAGCCAGCATCATGCTGTGAGAAGCCCATCCATGTCACATGTGGAGGTCACACACAGGTGCTCTGGCTGGCAGCCTCCTTGAGCCTAGTTTTCAAGTAATCCCAGCCTGGCACACAGATACAGAGAGGAAGAAGCCTTCAGATGATTCCAGTCCCCAACCTTCTGAGTCTTCCAGTTGAGATTCAAGACATCATGGTGTGAAGACAAGCTGTGCAGTAAAGGATAAACAGAGCGAGTCTGGGTTACCCAGAAACTGAACATTCCAAAGAAAGGCTCAGCCCTTCCCTATACCTGGCAGGTAACTTCTAAACCAAGCTTGTCCAACCTGCGGACCATGGGGTGCACATGGCCCAGGAGGGCTTTGTTTTGTTGTTGTTGGTGGTGGTGCACACAGCCCAGGAGGGCTTTGTTTTGTTGTTGTTGTTGTTGTTTTTGTTGTTTGAGATGGAGTTTCACTCTGTTGCCCAGGCTGGAGTGCAGGGGCACAATCTCAGCTCACTGCAACCTCCAACTCTCAAGTTCAAGCGATTCTCCCACATTCGAGCAATTCTCCTACTTCAGCCTCCCAAGTAGCTGAGATTACAGGCATGTGCCACCATGCCCAGATAGTTTTTTGTATTTTTAGTAGAGACGGGGTTTCACCATATTGGCAAGCCTGGTCTGGAACTACTGACCTCAAGTGATCTGCCCACTTCAGCCTCCCAAAGTGCTGGGATTACAGGCATAAGCCACTGTGCCTGGCCTCCAGGAGGGCTTTGAATGCAAAACAAATTTGTAAACTTTCTTAAAACATTATGAGATTTTTTGAGTTTTTTTTCTTTTTTCTTTAAGCTCATCAGCTATTGTTAGTGTTAGTATATTTTATGTGTGGCCCAAGACAATTCTTCTTCCAGTGTGGCCCAGGGAAGCCAAAAGACTGCACACTCCTACTCTAAGCCGTTGGAATATATTGTCCGATGAGGGTCTTTGTTTACTGGGAGCCTTGGGTCACACAAGATCGTCTATGCTAACAATGTATGATGGAAGCCTTGGGCCACACTGTAGTTATGGTGGCCTCTGAAAGGGCTGAAGAATAAGGTCAGCCACTCATGTGCTCAGCCTCACCCATATAACTAAAGCCAAATAAAAACCCTGGACACCCAGGCTCAAGTGGGCTTCCTGTACTGGCAATACATCATGCCTGTCGTCACACATCATGGCTAGGACAATCAAACATTGTCCATATGACTCCACAGAGAGAGGAAAACTCAAAGCTTCTGCACAGCATCTCCCAAACCCTGCCCTACACACCTTTCTCTGTTTCTGATTTTAACTGTATCCAGTCTATGTAATAAAATAAAATCATGAATATGACAGTTTTGCTGAGCTCTGTGTTATTCTAACAAATTATTGAACCTGAGGAACCCCAGATCTTGCGATCCCCAGAACATACAAGCCATCACCATGTCTCACTTCCTGACTCAGTGAATCCATGCAGATCATAAAAGTAAATTCACATCTCTAGGTCTTGGGCTGGCTTGCTATATAGCAACAGATTACTTGGAATAGGGAAACAGTCATAACAACATTTTAGTCCATGATGGGTTGCACACACAATGGTGGTCCCTTAAGATTATAATGGAGCTGCCAACAAACATATGAAAAAAAGCTTATCATCACTGGTCATTAGAGAAATGCAAATCAAAACCACAATGAGATACCATCTCATGCCAGTTAGAATGGCAATCATCAAAAAGTCAGGAAACAACAGATGCTGGAGAGGATGTGGAGAAATAGGAGCACTTTAACACTGTTGGTGGGAGTGTAAATTAGTTCAACCATGTGGAAGACAGTGTAGCAATTCCTCAAGGATCTAGAACTAGAAATACCATTTGACCCAGCAATCCCATTACTGGGTATATACCCAAAGGATTACGAATCATTCTACTATAAAGACTCATGCACACATATGTTTATTGCAGCACTGTTCACAATAGCAAAGACTTGGAACCAACCCAAATGCCCATCAATGATAGACTGGATAAAGAAAATGTGGCACATATACACCATGGAATACTATGCAGCCATAAAAAAGG
This sequence comes from Homo sapiens, assembly GCF_000001405.40. Lineage (NCBI taxonomy): Eukaryota > Metazoa > Chordata > Mammalia > Primates > Hominidae > Homo > Homo sapiens. The sequence continues at coordinate 51,924,368 of NC_000019.10, forward strand.
ATGAGTTCATGTCCTTTGCAGGGACATGGATGAAGCTGGAAACCATCACTCTCAGCAAACTAACACAGGAACAGAAAACCAAACAGCACATGTTCTTACTCATAAGTGGCAGTTGAACAGTGAGAACATATGGACAAAGGGAGGGGAACATCACACACCGGGGCCTGTTGGGGGTTGTGGGGCTAGGGAAGGGATAGCATTAGGAGAAATACCTAATGTTGGTGATGGGTTGATGGGTGCAGCAAAACACCATGGCACATGTATACCTATGTAACAAAACTGCACGTTCTGCACATGTACCCCAGAACTTAAAGTATATATTAAAAAAAAAGATTATAATGGAGCTGAAAAATTCCTGCCATCTAGAGACGTGGTAGCCATCTCAAGGTAGTAGCATGTGTTACTCAGTTGTCAGTGATGATGCTGGTGTAGACAAACCTACTGCTCTTCCAGTCATATAAAATACAACACATAAAATATGGATAGTATGTAATTCTTGTTAATGATATACATGACTATGTTACCAGTGTAGGGGAAAGAAAGATAGATCAGACTGCTACTGTGTCTATGTAGAAAGAAGTAGACATAAGAAACTCCATTTTGTTCTGTACTAAGAAAAATTCTTCTGCCTTGAGATGCTGTTAATCTGTAACCCTAGCCCCAACCCTGTGCTCACAGAAACATGTGCTGTGTCGACTCATGTCCAAGGTCTAATGGATTTAGGGCTGTGCAGGCTGTGCTTTGTTAAAAAGTGTTTGCAGGCAGTATGCTTGGTAAAAGTCATCACCATTCTCCAGTCTCGAGTACCCAGGGACACAATGCATTGCAGAAGGCCACAAGGACCTCTGCCCAAGAAAGCCTGGGTATTGTCCAAAGTTTCTCCCTGCTGAGACAGCCTGAGATATGGACTCATGGGAAGGGAAAGACCTGACTATCCCCCAACACAACACCCATAAAGAGTCTGTGCCTAGGAAGATTAGTAAAAGAGGAAGGCCTCTTTGCAGTTAAGATAAGAAGAGGGCATCTGTCTCCTGCTCATCCCTGGGAATGGAATGTCTCAGTTTAAAACCCAATTGTACATTCTATTTACTGAGATAGGAGAAAACTGCCTTATGGCTGGAGGTGAGACATGCTGGCAGCAATACTGCTCTATACTACACTGAGATGCTTGTGTAAAGTCAAACATAAATCTGGCCTACGTGCACATCAAGGCACAGCACCTTTCCTTATTTATGACACAGAGAACTTTGTTCACATATTTTCCTGCTGACCCTCTCCCCACCATTACCCTATAGTCCTGCCACATCCCCCTCACCGAGATGGTAGAGATAGTGATCAATGAATACTGAGGAAACTCAGAGACCAGTGCTGGCAGGAGTCCTTCGTATGCTGAGTGCTGGTCCCCTGGGCCCACTGTTCTTTCTCTATACTTTGTCAGTGTGTCTTATTTCTTTTCTCAGTCTCTCATCCCACCAGATGAGAAATACCCACAGGTGTGGAGAGGCTGGCCCCCTTCATAAGGTTGTTGAGATTTATCTATGTTGGTGCATGCATCTATGATTTGTTTTTTATTATTGTTCAGTAGTATTCCAGGGTATGATTACACTGCAATTTGCTTATACATTCATGTACTGATGGACACTTGGACTGTTTCCTGTTCAGGGTATTATGCATAAAGGTGCTAAGAACATTCTTGTGAGTCTTTGTGAGGACATATCATTTCATTACTGTTGTATAAGTATCTAGGAGTGGAATTCCTGAGTCATAAGATTCTTGCTTTTATTTTGCAATTCTCCTAAGGAGTCATATAGTTCTGTAAAGCTTTTCACTCTTCACAGATTTGATATTTTAAGTAACACGGTATGTTTCTGAAATGGAGTTTGCATTTTGGGGCATTTTCTATAGATGTATCATGAAGGACACGTGAAAACTCTGTTATAAATATAAACACTCCACTGCATGCAGGAATTTCCTTCTCATTCTTCCAATGGAATTGTCTTAATTTAGGTTGGATCAGAATTAGAATTTACGTTATGATGACTATGTAAATAATATTTATAGGTCAGTCAGGTAGTATCCTATGATTACTTTTCTTGCACAACTTTTTTTTTTCTTTTTTCTTTTTTTCCTCATGAAGGGGTTGCCAAGGCTGTGTAGTGCAGTGGCTATTGATAGGTGCGATCATAGCTCACTGCAGCCTGGAACTCCTGGGCTCAAGCGATCTTCCTGCCTTGGTCTCCCCAGTAGCTGGGACTACACGTGTGCGCCATCGCGCCCGGGCTTGCACAACTTTTCATTCTCCCAGAGTCGCCTTATTTATTCCTTCCAGAATTTTAGGCACTTGGTTCTCCGAAAGCCCCGACGTTAAGATTGACTCCACCTACAGCAGAGGGAAGGCCCTTCTTCTCTCTTAAGGAAAATTCCCGCCTCCCGCATTGGATTCCTTTTCCGGTTGGCTGGTGGCTGCTCTCTTTACCTGCACTGGGCGGTGACCGTGTCCCTCAAATGTAAATGAGGTTCCAGGGGTCGCTGTTTTTTCACTTTCCGTTGACGGGGTGAACAATATCCTCGTACCTCGATTGCCTCTCCACACCCTTTTGGTCCTCAAAAATCTTCCTCTTGTCCTCCACATGTAGCTAGATGCGTTTTCGCGGTATATGACTCAGGGTGCGATTGCTCTTTTTCCTCTGTGGAGAAAGCGTTTTCACTTGTACGGACACCTAAGTGTTAAGATGGCCGCGCCCATTGTGTCATTCCCGTCATTCTTTGTGCAAAGCGGATGACTTTTCTCCCCAGCCCGCTAAGGTGCACGTAGCCATACCATGTTTGTCTTGGCTAAGCTCGACCCTCTGAAAATAAATGAAACTTGGGCGCAGGATTTAGGTGCCAAAATATGGAGTTCTTCACCGTCCCGCGCTATCCCTGAATACTTGGGCAGAAAAGGTCCACTTTACCTTCCGTACGTGCAGGATTCAAAGATGGCTGCCTCCAGTATCCGTGACGAGAGGACGCGAACTTACTACCTCCCAGTCGTCCGTGCTCCGTACACCTGCAACTTCAGACCTTCCTCGGCCGCCGTAGGCCGGCTTGGAGGCTGGGGGAGGGCCCAGAAGTGGAATAATTCAGGAAAGTGCAGGTTCTGGGAAGTCTCGGTGGGTTCCCCGCAAAATCAGGTCTGTGTGTGGGTCTGTCTGTCAGGATGAGGGGAGGAGGGTGTCTGTGGGCGTCCGTTTAGTGCGGAGCCGTGGAGTTTGTGGGGGAAGCGGGAGCAAGTGGGAGTCGGGGTATTGGGGTTGGGGCGTCTCCGGAGTCAGCCCTGAGGGATCCCAGTGGTCGGTGGTCAGAGTCTGTCCAGAGCAACACTTGGAAGTCCGTGATCAGGGTTTGGTGCCTTTGCGGGTCACTCTGTAGGGCTCGGTGATTGAGGACTGGAGTGAGGAGTGGTTTTTGTCAAGGAAAACTGTGTCTGCTTCGGATTCGGGGTTTTATTTTTTATTTTTGAGACAGGGTCTCGCTCTGTCACACAGGCTTGAGTGCAGTGGCGCAATCGTGGCTCACTGCAGCCTCCATCTCCCGGGGCTCAGGTGATTTTCCCACCTCAGCTTTCCCGAGTAGCTGGGACTACAGGTGAGCGCCACCACGCTATCTATCTATCTATCTATCTATCTAATCTGTCTAATCTAATCTATCTATCTATCTATCTATCTATCTAATTTATCTATCTAATCTATCTGTTTATTGCAGAGACGGGGGTCTCACTATGTTGCCCAGGCTGGTCTCCAACTCCTGGCCTCAAACGATCCTCTCACCTTGGCCTCCCAAAGTGCTGGGATTACGGGCGTGAGCCTTCGCTCCAGGCTGTAATCAGGATTTAATATGCGACTCAGTGAGGAGGAGCCCGGGTTCATGTGAACCTAGGTGTGTGGTCCAGGTTTTTGGATTAATCTAAGGGGGTGTGACCATGTTAGGGAGGTCTAGATGTGACAGTCGTGGAGAAGCTTGTGAAGGCTGAAGCCTTGGCAGCCAGGGCATCCTGATTGGTGTGTGTGTTCAGGTCCAACGGTACATTCCCTCTCAGTCCCTTTTAAGTTTCTCTGCAAGGACTGGTTTACAAATCTCATTTGACTTCTCACATCTCTCCTTTCTCTCATCCTGGTAAATAGGAAAGCTTTGGGGAAGATCAAAGATTAATCAAATCTAAAATGGTAAGGTGGCCTGGCGCGGTGGCTCACGCCTATATTCCCAGCATTTGGGAGGCCAAAGTGGGCGAATTGCTCGAGCCTAGAAGTTGGAGATCAGCCTGAACAACATAGCCTGTCTCTCCAAAAAATACAAATATTAACTGGGTGTGGTAACACACGCCTGTAGTCTCAGCTACTCGGGAGGCTGAGGTGGGACGATCACGTGACCCCGGGAGTTCTAGGCTGCAGTGAACTATGATTGAGCACTGCACTCCAGCCTGGGCAACAGAGTGAGACCCTGCCTCAAAAAAAAAAAAAAAAGAAAAGAAAAGGAGAAAAGAAAAAGGAAAAAACAAAACGAAGAAAATGATAAGGTTTCTATTAAAGATTTTCGTTCTTCTTCCTCAGGTTTACTGTGTGAATGTGTGTATACACACACGTAAATATTTTCTTTCAGGTTCTGACACAAGTAAAACATCTCTCTTATCCCAAAATGTGTTCCCCAGTAATGACTTTTGATAAGATTTTTGTATATTTCAATTTCAGTTTTCTATGCTTGATTTTCACAATGCAGATAAGCTGCTGAAACATTGGTATAATTTGCCGTATTTAATTTTACATTATGAACGTTCTTATAGTAAACATATCATCCATGTTTTTGTTTAAAAATTTTTTTTTAAGATTTCTGTAATAGTATACCATCAAGAGGCAAAACTGCACCACTGTGACTTGAATCACTAAGTGTATGGATATATTTAGATAGAATTTTAAGACTTAAAAAGTTCACTTATCACTTTTAAGAATGGGTTACAATTCTATGTTTACCCAAACATGTTTCTCCCTGACCCTCATCAGCACCTTAGTTTTTAATTTTTTTGCAATTGTAAATGGTGTGTTTTTAATTTTGACCTTTCTGTTCTCTTCTAATTTACTCTTACATAGAAGAGCAATTAGTTTAGAAAATATTTACATTGTTTTTGGTCACCTTACTGAACAAACTTCCCTGTTCTCCAGGTTACAAAAACTTTCAAACATATAACATGATTTAAAGAACTTTACAATTGAATACCTGTTTGCCTACCATCTGGATTTTATCATCATTTTATTGTGTTTCTTTTATTACATATCTATCTATATATCATCCTTCTACTCATCATTAATCCACCTTTTTTTCTTTTTATAGAGATGGCATCTCACTATGTTGCCCAGGCTGATCTTGAACTCCTGACCTCAAGTGATCCTCTCTCCTTGGCCTCCTAAAGTGCTGGGATTCCAGGTGTGAGCCACTTCACCCAGCCACATTTATCCATCTTGTAAAATATTGCTTTGTTTTTTGGTGCATTTCAAAGTAAGTTGCAGACATTCATACATTTGCCCCTGAATATTTCAGTAGGTTTATCATAATTAAGTTCTACTGACAGCTTTTCCTAATTACAGGTCTATTAGTCCCATACTGTATAATTCAGTGGCTTTTACTATGTGCGGCCATCACCAAAGTCAACTTTAGAACATTTTCATCACTTAAAAAGAAACCCTGTACCCTTTTGTTACCACTCCCTATGCCCTACCACTAAGTAATCTCTAATCTACTTTCTGTCTCTATAGATTTGCTTATTTTGACCTTTCTGTTTTCTTCTAATTTACTCTTATTTCATTTCATGTAAACGCTACAATATAATATGTGATCTTTTGTGACTGGTTTCTTTCACATAGCATAATTTTTTTTTTTTTGAGACAGAGTCTTACTCTGTCACCCAGGCTAGAATGCAGTGGCGTGATCTCAGCTCACTGCAACCACCACCTCCCAAGTTCAAGTGATTCTCCTGCCTCAGCCTCCCAAGTAGCTGAGATTACAGGTGCCTGCTACCATGCATGGCTAATTTTTGTATTTTTGGTAGAGACGGGGTTTTGCCACGTTGGCCAGGCTGGTCTCAAACTCCTGACCTCAGCTGATCCGCCCACCTCAGCCTCCCAAAGTGCTGAGATTACAGGCGTGAGCCACTGCGCCCAGCCAACATAGTATAATGTTTTCAAGGTTTGTCTGTGTCGTAGCATGTATCTGTACTTCATTCTTTTTTATGCCAGAATAGTATTTCATGGTATGGATATGGCATCTTGTATTTATCCTTTCATCAGTTGATGGACTTTTGGGTTATTTCCCCTTTTTGGCTATTATAAATAATATGCTATAAACATTTGTGTGTAAGTTTTTATTGTTTTTATTTCTCTTATATATAAGCCTAGAAATGGAGTTGTTGGGTTATATGGTATGTTTAGCCATTTGAGGGACTACCAGACTTTTCCAAAGTGGCTGCACCATTTAACATTTCCGCCAGCGATATTTGAGGGTGTCCATTGCCACCATGTACCTACCAACACTTGTTATTTTTAGTTTTTTATTACAGGCATTCTAGTGGGTGTTAGGTGGTTTCTCATGGTTTTGATTTGCATTTCTCTGGAGACTTATGTTGAGCCATTTTTCATGTACTTATGATATACATAACTGAGGTACATGTATTTTTACTAAATATGGAATTGTTAGTATTTTTAATAGCTAGATAGCTCCATTTCTGGATGTGTGTACTTCTAATCAGCCAGTTAATCCTGTTAATAGACCTAAATCCTTTACGTCAACTTTGCATGCATGTGTCGCTATTTCCTTTACAAAAATTTCCAAGGTGGATTTTTGGGTTCTAGTAATATCTCAAATGGAAGTATTCAATGCAAAGTGTTATTTCCAAAATTGTTTAGTCACTTAATACTGATAAAAAAGTATGTCTATTTTGGAATGCTTGCAACTTTTAGATATAAAATCATCAATCTGACTAAAAACTTATTTTTTGTATATGTTCAATTGAATCTATAAAACTGTCACTCTTCCTTAGTCATATAATTTATTTCCTCTTCTCTAATATTGATTATTTATACTTGATTCTTTATCAAACTAACTGGGTAGCCTTTCCAGAATAGTTAAAATAGTGATAATCATCCTGTTCATCTTCGATATTGCTCTTGACTTTAGAGAATGTACTTTTATAGTTTCATAGAACTTTTTTTTCTTCATTCCTAGAACTTCTGTAGGATGTATTTAATTTTTTAAAATGAGGTAAAATTCACAAGACATAAAATTAATCATTTTAAAGTCAACAGTGCAATCGTTCTTAGTACAGTCACAGTGTTGTACAACCACCACTTGCAGCCACTTCACATTCTCCCCTCCAGTAGACCCTGGCAACCAACTATGTGCTTTCCGTCTCTTTTTGTAGAGTGCCCGATTCTGTCGCTGTTTGGGGCGCCAGTTGTAACTGACCATGATTCCTGGTAGACTGAACAAAGCGGGGCAAACGAGGGAATAAAAGACAAAAACAAAAGAGTATATTTGGAAGAAGGGGTCAGGGGGCACCTTGCCTCTAGTGGATAAGGGCTCTGAGCTTTACACAGCTCTCCGTATTTATTAGGCAAAAGAGATAGAGAGAAGGGGGGGTGATTGTCGAGTAATTGTCAGTCGGCCTTTTGGTTCACAGCAGGCTTGTGAGATTGCATTCCTTGAGCAATAGCCTCTAGATGTCCCCATAGATAGCCTCCAGGAGCCCAGCGCCAGGGAATGGTGGCCCTCAGCAAAGCTGGGGCAGGTACAGAAGCGAGTTTGCCCACATTCTGTACTCGTGATAAACAGTTTGCTGTTTGATCATGTACTCTCCAGTGGAATGCTGAGTTGGTCACGATCCCTTTGGCCTTTTCGGCTCCCAACATCTTTTTTTTTTTTTTTTTTTTTTTTGAGACAGAGTTTCACTCTTGTTGCCCTGGCTAGAGTGCAATGGCTTGATCTCAGCTCACTGCAGCCTCTGCCTCCCGGGTTCAAGCAATTCTCCTGCCTCTGCTAGGATTACGGGCATGCGCCACCATGCCTGGCTAATTTTGTATTTTTTGTAGAGACCGGGTTTCTCCATGTTGGTCGGGCTAGTCTCGAACTCCCGATCTCAGGTGATCTGCCCGCCTCGGCCTCCCAAAGTCCTGGGATTACAGGCGTGAGCCACCGCACCAGGCCAGTGTGCTGTCTGTATGCATTTACCTAATCTGGGTATTTTATATAAATGAAATCATATAACGTGACATTTAGTGTCTGACATTTTCTTTTTTTTTTTGAGACAGGGTCTCACTCTATTGCCCAGGCTGGAGCGCATTGGCACACTCTTGGCTCACTGCAAACTCTGCCTCCTGGGCTCAAGCAATTCTCATACCTCAGCCACCCTAACAGCTGGGATTATAGGCATGCACCACCATGCCTGGCTAATTTTTGAACTTTTTGTAGAGATGGGGTTTCCTCATGTTGCCCTGGCTGGTCAAGAGTTTATCTTGAGCTCAAAGCAATCCTCCTGCCTTGGCCTCCCAAAGTGCTAGGATTACAGGTGTGAGCCACCACGCCTGAGTGTCTGACATTTTCACTTAGCATAATGTTTTTGTGGTTGTGGATTGTGTGCTGGGCTACTCCTTTAATGATTAGCCAGGGAATCTATAAACCTGCCTTACCGTTCACTTCCTGCTTGCACTGAACCTGTAGACATCAGCCAGAAGGAACGTTTTAGAGTCTTCTTAGGTCTTTTCTCAGCCAACATCCTCCCCTGTGCATGCGTGTGGCTTTTATATATTCCTCAGTCTATACGAGTGCTTTTGAATGGTATAATTTCCTCAAGACACTTTCCTCCTACCTTTTTCTCACAACCTTTCCTCTGTGACTCAAGTGTAATCTTTTGCCCCAGGCAGCTGAAGGTTGTTGTTCTGCTTCACAAAGTGTTTGAGAAATGCCCATTACTTTTCCTCCCTGAGTGAATTCCAAAACAGGAAGGGGCCTGTTGCATAGGTCCTTCAGGTAGTTAGAATAGACAACAAACAATTTTTTTATTTTTATTTTTGAGACAGGGTCTCACTCTGTCACCTAGGCTGGAGTACAGTGACGAGATCATGGCTCACCACAGACTCAAACTCCTGGGCTCAAGTGATCCTCCCACCTCAGCCTCCCAAAGTGCTGGTATTACAGGCATGAGCCACTGCACTCAGCTAAACAAAATTATTTGTGAATAAAGTCTATTCTGTTCCCTCCAGGGCCTGAATCCAGGTTCCCACGTTGGGAATGTTGGCCACAATCTTTAAGACCATCACTGAGCTGGGGAGGGGGTGGAGCAAAGACAGATAAAAATGGCACAGAACTTTCCTACTATTTTTAAGTCACCATTTTGTTGTTGTTGTTCTTGTTTGTTTTGTTTCTTTGAGATGGAGTCTAGCTCTGTCACCCAGACTGGAGTGCAGTGGTGTGATCTCAGCTCACTGCAACCTCCACCTGCCAGGTTCAAATGATTCTCCTGCCTCAGCCTCTTGAGTAGCTGGGACTACAGACATGTGCCACCACACCTGGCTACTTTTTGTAGTTTTAGTAGAGATGGGGTTTCACCATGTTGGCCTGGCTGGTCTTGAACTTCTGGCCTCAAGTGATCCTCTGGCCTCAGCCTCCCAAAGTGCTGGGATTATAGGCAAGCATGAGCCACCATGCCCGGCCAGTCACCTTTTTTTTGACTCAATATTTGTTCTGTTGTTGTAAACCTTTGACTATTTTTCAGAGTTCTGACCAAGTTTTTGTTTTTTGATTGTTTTTACTTGATTTTTTGATAGTTTTTTTACTTGAGTTTTTGATTTTTCGATAGAGGGACGGACCCTTGGACCTACCTACTCTGCCATTTTTACTCAATGAGATTTTCCTCCACAGTATATATGCTTTTGTTTTTTTTGTTGTTGGTACTTTTAAAAAAGAAATAAACTGATGCAAGTGCACCTTCAGTGATATCCTCTAATCCACCCCCTTTCCTCTCCTCCATCCCTAGGGATAACTATTCCCTTGAACTAATTTCATATAATGCATGTTTTATTAAATGTGTACATATTGAAAAATAATACATAGTCTTATTTTATGTTTTTTAATTTTTTAAATATACTTTTCTTTGTTGTTTCTTTCATATGATGATGATTTGTGAACACGTCCTGTTTGGTAGTGATGCTTTAGAATTTATGGAAATTTTCTTTATGGCTTCCTATACATACATGAGTTTTCAGGAAATATACTCCTCCAGGGAAAGGACTTAGCCACTGGAGCAAACAGGCGTGATTACATTCTCCAGAAAGCTCATAAGGGTCAAAAATGAAGTAGAAGCTCTTCAGCTATTCCTGGGAAAGGGGCTGTGGAAGCTCATGGGAAAGGAAGCCTTGCTGTTTGAAATACACACCCTGGATGTCACTGAAATGTTGCATCCACCACCTCCTGCCCAGGAATGTTAGATCATTTGGGTTCTGCACCTTTCCACTAGTGGCGTTCTAAGAAGAAAAGTGTGAAACATCTCTTGCCACAATTACGTGCTTCTGAGATTGCAGAGGGAAGGGGAGCATTTGCAGCTGTGGGTTAAAGGATGAGTCAGTGCAGACCCTGTGGGTTTGGAGCATGCAGGAGGGCCACCGGGAGCTTGTCACAATGATTCCACCCAGGTGGAAGGAAAGCTTAGGGTGACTCCATCCAGTTGATGCTCTCACCATGTGAGCCTCTTACTTGAGTTTTAGAATTGGGCATAAAAAAAGCCTCTGGGGCCGCCACTCTCTGACCTGCTGCTTTCAGGCCAAGGGTGTAGCGTGCAGTTTTTCCATTTGTCTTTGTGCCTGTGTCACTGTTGGCAGTGCTGATTTCAGAAGGTCAGATTATATGTCTATGACAGTGGCCATCTTCCATGATGAATGAAACTCCCTCAAGGTAGTAGCAAAGAGAGCTAAGATGTATGATGATGGTATGCAGTCCAAAGGTATTCAGCAGAGGCTAAGGTCATGTTCTTGGAGACAGGCTGTGTGGGTTCAGATTCTACTTCTGCTTTTGGACAATATAGTCAAATCTGTAAGCCTTAGGTCAATGTTGGAATGGGAAATAATGATTGATACTTTATAAGGATGTAACGCAGAAGGTAGTAATGAGAATTCAAATACAACAACCCCTCTGCTTGGCTTAATACATTTGTCTTCAAACTGAGGCATGCCTACATGTGAGGTGTATGATGACTTTTGACCAGGCATGTGGACACACGTGGTTTTAAAGAAATAAATATCCAATTCCTCACCTTCTCTGTCCTTTTTCTAAAACCTGATCTAAGAAGTTTCTTGGTGTTGCAGCATCATGTTGGTGCTGGTTCTCCTTTCCCATCTCCCCTCTCACAGTCACCTCACTTACATTTCACAGAAGAAAGACAGTTTGTAAATGTATTGGCCATACCTGTAGAATCTTATGTTTTGTTGCTCCAGGATTTGTTGTTGCCCCAGGGTGGGTTAAAACTTCTGGGGCCCCAAATAAAGGGACAGTTAGAGATGGCCTTGCATTAAGGTGAGAACACAGCAGCAGTGACAGCACCTGGGCCTGCAGGGAATGTACACTCAAATCAATTTACTCTTCAGCCCACAGGTCCTGACTTCAGGAGCAAGACACTTCAAGTGAGGTGAGGAGGAGGTTCCAGGACCTGGATACCATCCTTTGCAGGGATGTAATTCACCAGAGACCAAGATTTCTAGCCAGAAATTGAGGGCAGCTCAAGGAGAGACTACAGACACAGCATCCTACTTACTGGCTATTTCCCAGTAACAAAAGAAAATGATCAAGTCCCAGGTGACTTTTTGTTTGTTTTAGTCTTTCCTTCATCACATGATTGATTTCTGGAAGACTTTAAAAGTCAGTTGAATTAAGTCAAAAAGTATAATTTGGTAAACTAGGATTTGTGCATCAGTAAATTTAGATTGTAATTTCAACATCTAGGCAAAGTAGGATCAGGACTATATTGTTTACATGTGGTATCATAGAAAGATACTTGGTCTTTGTCTGGCATAGAGCTCCTAAAACCCTTGGAATTTCCTGAATGATAAGGGTCTTTTTTTTGTTTGAGACAGGGTCTCACTTTGTCACCCAGGCTGGAGTGCAGTGGTGCAATCTTGGCTCACTGCAACCTCGGCCTCCTGGGCTCAAGCGATCATCCCATCTCAGCCTCCTAACTAGCTGGGAGTGTGTGCCACCAGGCCCAGCTAACTTTTTGTATTTTTTTGTAGAGATGGGGTTTCACCATGTTGCACAGGCTGGTCTCTAACTCCTGAGCTGAAGCAATCTGTCTCCCTTGGCCTCCCAAAGTTCTGGGACTACAGTTGTGAGCCACTATGCCTGGTCCTCTTTTTTTGTAGTGAAACTACTCTCAGTGGACCCCTAGGTAGCTTCAGTATGGAGGCTGGTTGCCAGAAATAACAAGCCTTGATTAGAAGCTTGGAACTTTCAGTACTACCTCTAATCTCCAGGGAGCAGAGAGAGGCTGGAGATTGAGTTCAGTCACCAGTGGCCAATGATTTATTCAACCATGCCTGTGTAACATAAAAACCCCTAAACAGCAGGGTTTGGAGAGCTGGGTTGGTAAACACATTGAGGTGCTGGGAGGTTGGTGTGTGCAGAGAGAGCATGGAAATTTATGCCCATACACCACCATACTGTGCCCTGTGCAGCTTTTCCATTGGGTTATTCCTGGGTTGTAAATAAACCAGTAATAGTAAAGTGCTTTCCTGAGCTCTGTGAGTTGTTCTAGTAGATTATTGAACCTCAAGGTGGGTTGCAGAAATCCCCACATTTGTAGCCAAGGGACAAAAGTCTTTGTAACCTGGGGACCTCACACTTGTGACTGGTGTCTGAAGTGAGGTTGGTCTTGTGGGATTGAAACCTTAACCTATGGGTCTTCCAGGAGTTGGTGTCAGAATTGAATCTAATCGTTGGACACCTATTGGGTGTTAGAGAATTGGAGAATTGGTTGATGTGAGCAAAAACCCACACATTTGGTGTCAGAAATGTGAGTAAAAACAGCACAATGGAATTCACACAAAATGACTAATGTTGGAACCTAATGTGTGACCGGAGCATCCTGTGGGTTATAGTAGCTGTCACCTTCTGTCTAATGTCTCTGACTGTCATCACATCCAGAGAGTCCTTGGTCACAGGATATGCACTGACTCTCAGGAGAAAGCAGACCAGTTCCCGAGAGGTGTCACTATTAAATGCACTTAGGTCCCAGGACAGTTTTTAGATGGTTCTTCCTAGAGGTGGTGTGACAGATGATGTCTTTTTTCTTTTTTTTTTTTTTTTTTTTTTGAGATAGAGTCTCACTCTGTCATCCAGATTGGAGTGCAGTAGTGCCATCTTGGCCTACCACAACCTCTGCCTCCCAGGCTGAAGTGATTCTCCTGCCTCAGCCTCCCGAGTAGCTGAGATTACAGGCATGCACTACGACTGCCCGGCTAATTTTTGTATTTTTAGTAGAGACAGGGTTTCACCATGTTGGCCAGGCTGGTCTTGAACTCCTGACCTCAAATGATCCTCCCACCTCGGCCTCCCAAAGTGTTGAGATTACAGGCATGAGCCACCACGCCTGGCCCCGAATATAAATGCCATAAGCCCAGCCTTCTCATACATGCCAAAGCACAGGTCCTCAGAGACCTTTTTGGGAAGAGGCCAAAGGAACTCAGAGGACACAGTTCAGGGGTCCAAGGCAAGGTTACCCAAGGACCCAGTCTTATGGCTGGTAGGGTCATCCAGGAATAAAACCTGAAAGGCTGAGGAAAATGGAAAGATTGCACAACTTTCTTTTTTTATTCTTTTTCTAAATTTTTTTTTCATTTTTCTTCTTTTTCTTTTCTTTTGAGTTTCACATTGTCACCCAGGCTGGAGTGCAGTGGTGTGAACATGGCTCACTGCAACCTCGATTTCCTGGGCTCAAGAGATCCTTCTGCTTCAGCCCCTCAAGTAGCTAGGCATGTGCCACCACATCCAGCTGATGGTTGTATTTTTTGTAGAGATGGGGTTTTGCCATGTTGCCCAGGCTGGGATTGCATGACTTTCTAAGGTTCTCTGTATGAACAGGTGGCTGACTTACTGTTTGAGACAGGATTGGCAGTAGGGAGTTGAAAGTACTGTTGTCTGGTAAGGGAATGGGTTGTTGGGATCCAGAGGGTTTGCTTTACAACATCCCCCTGTGTAAGATTGTGCACATTCTTTTTCCATGTTCAAAGCCAGTTCTTACACCCTCATCCTTTAATACGTTAAAAAAAGTAAGTATATAAATGTACATGGATATATATATATATATATATATATATGTGCAATATGCTGTATAGGTTTATAGTCTGGGAGCAATAGGCTATACCGTAGAGCCTGGGCATGTAGTAGGCTGTATCATCTAGGTTTAAGTAAGTGCACTCTGTGATGGATGAACAACAGAATTGCCTAATGATGCATTTCTCAGAATGTATCCTTGTTATTAAATGACACATGAATAAATAAATATACATGTATACATGTTTGCATATATTTGTATGTATGTATATATATGTATATATATTTACAGACGTATCTGCCTTAGCCCTTAGATCTTTGGATAGTACCTTTCCATTATTGTATTTTCTCTTTCACAAACTAAATTGGTACATGCTAGACCTTACCTATCCTCTGTATTTATTAATCTGGTCTTTTATATATTGCATCATTCTGTCCTTTTGTTGCATTTTTGGTAGTTTTTTCAGATCTACTTACCAGTTCATTGACTATCTCTTCAGTTATGCTGCTTACACGCCTGATAACATAAATATAAATACTTCAAAACCCATATGTGTGTGTATGGTTTTTGAATAATATTTTGTATTTTCTTTTTTATTATTTATTTATTTATTTTATTTTTATTTATGTATTTATTTTGAGATGAAGTCTCGCTCTGTCACTCAGGCTGGAGTACAGTAGCATGATCTTGGCTCACTGCAACCTTTGCCTCCTGGGTTCAAGTGATTCTCCTGCCTCAGTCTCCCGAGTAGCTGGGATTACAGGCATGCACCACCATGCCTGGCTAATTTTTGTATTTTTAGTAAAGATAGGGATTTCACCATGTTGGGCAAGCTGGTCTCAAACTCCTGACCTCAGGTGATCCGCCCGCCTAGGCCTCCCAAAGTGCTGGGATTACAGGTGTGAGCCACCATGCCTGGCCTATTTATTTATTTTGTAAGCCAGTCACATTTAGCAGTAGGGGGTAATAATACTTAATTGTCTCTTGTTCTTTGGACATGTTTTGGAAAGAGTCTTTTACTCCTCCTAACATATAAAATATACTTATTTATTATGTAGTATCTTGTAGTGTTTGGGGTTTCTTCCTGGTTGATTCTGGTAGCGCACATGAAGATTCATTGAAGATTCATGATGAATAAAGAAGTATGCTTTATTCATCCTGATATTGCTAAAATATATTTAGTGCCTGGCAAATAGGTGCTCAAAAAAAAAAAGAGGATTAGCAAGAGGATTAAATGATTGGTTCTTATAGAAACTTCTGATTTGTTAAATGATAGATAATTACACAATTACAGAATATTTTGCTAGAGATAGATTTTGAATATAGATAGATTTTGGAGATGGATTTTTGCCTCTATGACAATGTATTTTTTTAAAAATCACAGCACCTAGATATATAGATGCAGACTATTTGGTAAAAATGAGCAGAACAATGTTCTTCACATTTCTTCCATATAAATGAGAGAAATACTTCATATTAAGCAGGACTCTCTTATTACAGGAATCACTGACCCTGGAGGATGTGGCTGTGGAGTTCACTTGGGAGGAGTGGCAGCTCCTCGGCCCTGCTCAGAAGGACCTGTACCGAGACGTGATGTTGGAGAACTATAGCAACCTCGTGTCAGTGGGTGAGGACAGCTGCCCTGTGTCACTCAGAGAGTACCCAGTCAAAGGCCTTTGCTTTCTCAGCTTTCAAAAGCTCTGGAGGGCCTGTGGTGCTCTGAAGTGGTAGATTCTGTACCCTCTCTGGCCCCAGATAAAAGAGTGTAATGTGCCCCCTTTAGAGGGAAAATCCCTTTGCTTTGCAGACACATAAATTACATAGTTCCTAAAACAGAACATGGTCCCATGTTGATAGACCACAGCTCAATTCAATGAGCCTAAGTTGTGTATCATTTCCTATGAACAGGGTATCAAGCCAGCAAACCAGATGCACTCTTCAAGTTGGAACAAGGAGAGCCATGGACAGTAGAAAATGAAATCCACAGCCAAATCTGTCCAGGTGAGTTCAGGGTGAGAGCCAGCAAGGAGGGTGGCTGAGCAAGTCACATGATAGTTGTTCAGCAGTGTCTGAGCTGTCAGGGCATCTGAGGCTGTGTGGACAGAGCCTCCATGTATCCCTCTCCCCACACAAAAGCTCTTTCTCCTTCGGGTATTTAGAGGAACATCTGCTTCGTTATCGCGTCTTGGATTTCATCACTGTTTATTTTTTATTTATTTTATTTTATTTATTTATTTTTTGAGATGGAGTCTCACTCTGTCACCCAGGCTAGAGCCCAGTGGTGCAATCTTGGCTCACTGCATCCTCTACCTCCCAGTTCAAGCGATTCTCCTGCCTCTGTCTTCCCAGTAGCTGGGATCACAGGCACCCGCCACTACGCCCAGCTAATTTTTTTGTATTTTCAGTGGAGACGGGGTTTCACCAAGTTGACCAAGATGGTCTCAAACTCCTGACCTCTGGTGATCCACCTGCTTTGGCCTCCCAAAGTGCTGGGATTACAGGTGTGAGCCACCACACCCGGCCTCATCACTCTTTATTTAATCTAGGTTTGATTTGTTTTTCTCAAGGTTTCTTCCTTTTTAGGATTCTCAAATCTCATCATTTCTTGTTCCCCCATCAGAGCATCACTACCTGTTCCTTCTACTTCTCTTGCTATGAAATTCCTCCTTCCATGTCTGTCTCCAAAGAGTGGTCTTGGATATCAGCACTCTCTCCTGACCACTATACCTTTCTGCCCCTTTAGATAATGTTGATTTTTTTTTTCCAAAGGTCTTCCCACCCTATCTTGGACTCTGTGCCCCCTTAGTAACCTGGTCTGTTGCTTTGCATATATTTGCTTCCTTAGCTTCTCTTTTTTCTCCCACTCTGAGGTCCTCCAGAGGTTCTGTTTCCCATTTATTTTGCTCTGTTCTCATATCCTTTAAAAGTTTCCTTCATTCTAATGACTTAAGTTCTTGTTCTCTATGGAGATTCTCAGATTGACATCTCCCTTAATATTTCCTAACTTACATGTTTGTACCTATTTTTTACCCACTTGCATGTCAACTCCTTGAGTCGATCCTGGCCACCACAGGGTTACCTTGAAACTTCCCTGCCTCCTCAGCTACCGTATTTAAAGTCTTTGCTCTTTCAATTGATTTTTGAAGTAGTCTCATTCTCTTTCCAACCCAAACCAGATTACTACACCTCATGCCTGCTTTGCTTCAATTTCCTTTTGGAATCATTAATTCTGCCTATTATTTAGTTTCTCTTAAATTATATTGCTGGACTTATTCCCTTAAAGCTTTTCTGTTCTTACCATAGTCTGATGGCACTGAGTCCCAGTGAATCATAGCAGTCATATAAGATGGAAATTTCTCATCTGTCAGGTGATATTCTAGTTGAATCACCATGATATGGTATCATCTTGCCTACACAGAGTTTGTTTTCCTTTTCCTTTTCATAAATTCAAAGCCAACTATATATAAAGCACTACATTTGAAGTAGTTTCCGCAGTGTGTCCCTTACTTTCCTTGTTTCATTGCCTTAAATATTTTTTGATAGACTATTACATATGGGCCCTGACAGCTGTGAACATCAATAACAACAACAAAATTCTTCTTGGAGATTACCTGCTAAAAGGAAGAGGCACAAAATTAATCAAAATGGATAAATGTCTTGTGGTGAAAAATGCTGGGAAGACCAATAACAAAGTATAATGAGGGATGCCGGGAGTGGGAATGGCTGTTTGGTCAGATGCCTTTGAGCAGCTGTATGACAGACATGAATACGTCCCCCTGGTGAATTACCTTCCAAGTAGACAAAATAGCAGGTCCAAAGGCCCAAGGCAGGTGTGTGTTTGAGGAACTTCAAGGAAGCCTGTGTGAATACAGAGGAGTGAACAAGAGGGGCAGTGGTCGGAGATAATACGGAAGTAAGGACAGTGTGGTGGGATCTGGAGTTTGGGGTAGACAGGTCATGTATGACCTTTCAAGGACATTTTAATGACTTGATTTTTTTTTTTTTTTTTGGCACAGAGTCTCTCTCTGTCTCCAGGCTGGAGTGCAGTGCTGTGATCTCAGCTCACTGCAACCTCTGCCTCCCTGGTTCAAGCGATTCTCCTGCTTCAGCCTCCCAAGTCGCTGGGACTACAGGCGTAAGCCACCGCTCCTGGCTACTTTTTGTATTTTTAGTAGAGACAGAGTTTCACCATGTTGGCCAGGATGGTCTTGATCTCCTGACCTCATGATCCACGTGCCTCGGCCTCCCAAAGTGCTGGGATTACAGGCGTGAGCCACTGCATCCGGCCATGACTTGATTTTTTAAAAAATTATGAGATGAGGAAACATGAGGGAGTTTTGAGTAGAAGAGTGACATGATGTCATTTATATTTAAAAGGATCACTTTGACTACTTTGTAGAAAGTATACAGGAGAAGGCAGAGGTTGAAGCCTGAAGTCCACTTGGGAGGCTATTGCTATAGTACCAGAAAGAGTGATTCTCTTCCATCTAGGTAGAAGGGGTGAGTGTTAGTGAGTTTCAGAATACAGGAGTCCCCTGTTATCCACAGTTTCTCTTTCTACAGTTTCAGCTACCTGTGGTCAACTATGGTCTGAAAATGTTAAATGGGAAATTCTAGAAATAAACAATTCTTAATTACATTGCTCACCATTCCAAGGAGCATGAAATCTTGCACCATCTTGCTCCATCCTGGAACAGGAATCATTTTTTGTCCAGCATATGCATGCTGTGTACCCTACCCACCTGTGTCACTTAGTAGCCATCTTGGTTATCAGATCAACTGTCAAGGTATCACAGTGCTTGTGTTCAAGTAACCTTTGTTTTACTTAATAATGCTTCCAAAGCTCAAGAGTGTGATGCTGGCCTATTGTTATAATTCTTCTATTTTATTATTTGTTATTGTTAATCTCTTGCTGTGCCTAGTTTGTAAACTTTATTATAGGTATGTATGCACTGTACAGGAAAAAACATAATGGATATAGGGTTAAGTATGATTCAGAGTTTCAGGCATCCATGGTGTGGGGGGTGTCTTGGAACATATCGCCCATAGATGAGGGATTACTGTATATTTATAAAAGACATAAGGAATTTACTACTGAAGTAGACAAAGGGTGTGAGACAAACATACAAATGAAAGATGATAGTAAGGTTTCTGGCATGAGTCCGAGCAGGAATTAACTTGCCATTTCCTGAGAAATTTACCTTGTTTATACACTGACTGCTTTTATTTTTTGTTTTCTTTGTTTAAATTATAATGGTTTATTCTTGTCCAAGTGACAATAGGCATATCTACTTGGAGTTTTTTAAACAGTGGAAATAGTGTGGTCAGTAGAGCCAGCCTGTACAAGACTGTTTGTGAAATAGTTCTATTCCATGCTCATGGAAAGATTTATTGTTCTCTTCTTTCCTAGAAATCAAGAAAGTTGACAATCATCTACAGATGCACTCACAAAAGCAAAGATGTCTGAAGAGAGTGGAACAATGCCATAAACATAATGCATTTGGAAACATCATTCATCAGAGGAAAAGTGATTTTCCTTTAAGGCAAAATCATGATACATTTGACTTACATGGGAAAATACTGAAATCAAATTTAAGTTTAGTCAACCAGAACAAAAGGTATGAAATCAAGAATTCTGTGGGGGTTAATGGAGATGGGAAATCCTTCCTTCATGCCAAGCATGAACAATTTCATAATGAAATGAACTTCCCCGAAGGTGGAAATTCTGTGAATACAAATTCACAATTCATTAAGCATCAGCGAACTCAAAACATAGATAAACCCCATGTATGCACTGAGTGTGGGAAGGCTTTCCTCAAGAAGTCTCGCCTCATCTATCATCAGAGAGTTCACACTGGGGAGAAACCTCATGGATGCAGTATATGTGGGAAAGCCTTCTCCAGAAAGTCCGGGCTCACTGAACACCAGAGAAACCACACAGGAGAGAAACCCTATGAATGCACTGAATGTGACAAAGCATTCCGCTGGAAATCACAGCTCAATGCACACCAGAAAATTCATACAGGAGAGAAGTCATATATATGCAGTGATTGTGGAAAAGGCTTCATCAAGAAGTCTCGGCTCATTAATCATCAGAGAGTTCATACAGGAGAGAAACCACATGGATGCAGCCTGTGTGGGAAGGCCTTCTCCAAAAGGTCCAGGCTCACTGAACACCAGAGAACTCATACAGGAGAGAAACCCTATGAATGCACTGAATGTGACAAAGCATTCCGCTGGAAATCACAGCTCAATGCACATCAGAAAGCTCACACAGGAGAGAAGTCATATATATGCCGTGATTGTGGAAAAGGCTTCATTCAGAAGGGAAATCTCATTGTACATCAGCGAATTCATACTGGAGAAAAACCCTATATATGCAATGAATGTGGAAAAGGCTTCATCCAAAAGGGCAACCTCCTTATTCATCGACGTACTCACACTGGAGAGAAACCCTATGTATGCAATGAATGTGGGAAAGGCTTCAGCCAGAAGACATGTTTAATATCCCATCAGAGATTTCACACAGGAAAGACACCCTTTGTATGTACTGAGTGTGGAAAATCCTGCTCACACAAGTCAGGTCTCATTAACCACCAGAGAATTCACACAGGAGAGAAACCCTATACATGCAGTGACTGTGGGAAAGCTTTCAGAGATAAATCATGTCTCAACAGACATCGGAGAACTCATACAGGGGAGAGACCGTATGGATGCTCTGATTGTGGGAAAGCTTTCTCCCACTTGTCATGCCTTGTTTATCATAAGGGAATGCTGCATGCAAGAGAGAAATGTGTAGGTTCAGTCAAATTGGAAAATCCTTGCTCAGAGAGTCATAGCTTATCACATACACGTGATCTCATACAGGATAAAGACTCTGTTAACATGGTGACTCTGCAGATGCCTTCTGTGGCAGCTCAGACCTCATTAACTAACAGTGCGTTCCAAGCAGAGAGCAAAGTAGCCATTGTGAGCCAGCCTGTTGCCAGAAGTTCAGTCTCAGCAGATAGTAGAATTTGCACAGAATAAAAACCATATGAATGCAGTGAATGTGGTAGTGCTTTCAGTGATCAATTACATCATATGTCACAAAAAACACAGAGGAACAAACTGATATATTCAAGGTGGAAAGCCCTTGAATAAAACCTTATGGCTAATAAGCATATACTCAGAGAAAAATAGTATGAAGTGGAGACTGGGAAATTCTTTTATGGGAAGATAGATCTTCTCATCAGTGACCATAGATCACATCTTCAGTGAGCTTATAGTTGGTAGAAATATAATGATCATGGAAAAGTCCTTGTTCAGAAACAGTACGCCAGTAGGTATCAGGGGGTTTACACAGGAGAGAAACTTTTGGAAGACCTTTGAAGGCTATGAATGTGGCAGGGTTGCTAGTGGTACATTCTGCCTTATCCTCAGAGGGAATCATATAGAAATAAAACTATGAAAATGTAACTAGAACATCTTCATCAAAATATGAAAGAACACACGAAGCAAATAAGCCCTGTGAAAAGGAGTATTTTAGAGATTTCGATCAGAAATCTAACATCATTATATGGCAGATAATATACAGGATGTGTATTTTAGGACAATATACCTTGAATCACTAGTTGATATGTCAATGACTAATTAAAAGGGGTTGTCAGTGTTACACATCATTGGTTAAATTTATAGCACAATGTACCTCTTCCCCCTTTTTTGATAAGAGTCTTCTATTCCCAACCAAGATCATTATATGATTAGCTCTTGTGTTTCTTTGATTCCAAATTTCTTCACTTGTTATTTCAGACTACTGAAGCTCTTCAAAAGGAAAAATGTATTTAATTTAATAATGTAACACAACAAGTTTGGATGTGTTTAACTTTATAAATAATCACCCCAGAGGAATGAAGTTCAAAACTTGTGAATAACCAATTGGCCATGCTCTTAATTTAGAAGGTAGTCCTCATCCTAACCCTGTGGTTTGTCTTATTGTTGGCATAAGCACCATTCAGAATAGTTTGAATGATCTATTTTCTTTACCTGAAACTATTTCCTTTATCTAGGAACCGTGGATGATGGCAGTGGGAAACAAAGCAAAATTGCAAGCCAGCATTTTTAAAAAGCTGGATTATATGCATGTAGCTATTTTACCCTCCAGCAGCTGTAGTTAAAAAATGCATATGCCTATATCAGTTGAAAGAGACATACAATATAAGATCAAATTGTCCTGATAATTTCTTATTCAAGGGACATATTTGGAGTGGGAAGGGGAAAGGACTCAATTTTCCTTACATAAAACAGGATATGAATACTTTTCTAAAAAGTGTTCATGTCTTCTCTCTACCTAAATTATAAATTCCTTGATAGTTTGTAGGCAATTGTATATACCCTAGCAGATACCAAAATAGAAATTAATTATATGTAGATTTGGAAGATGAATGAAGGTGCATGAATAACCCAGTGGACAATTATCAAAATTACTTTTGCCATTGAAGGAAAGGAACTACTGGCAAGAACTTCTAAGGATTAGTATTATTCTAAAAAAAACTTTAAAAAAATCTGAATAGAGACTCATTTCTGTCATAAGAGGGGCAGAAGAGAGAAGGAATAGGATTCACAGAATAAGCCCAATAAAAGAACAAAATAACTTCATTCTCTAAAAATAAAGGACAGCATGTAAGATGGGTAAAGGTGAGATCCTTTTGGATATCTTGGATAAGAACCCTTAAATTTATCTACAGACCTGTCACCTTGGAGAGCTGCTACTGTTTTAAAGATCCTGGCTCCTCTGTGGTATGCTGAATTGGAACATAAGATTTCTCTTCATCATTCCTTCTCACTTGGGGTTAAGACCCTTGTCCTCTCCTATACTCAGAGTTCCTTCCCTTGATCTAATAAAGATACATCCATGTTAGAAACAGTCCTGCTCACAAGGAAAAATAAAGTGGAAATTTGCCATAAAGTGGCTGCCTCACAGTGGAAACCCGAAGTCTGGGTTATCGGGTGATTACAACAAATAGTTTTTGAGCATCTGCACTGTGGTAGACACTTGTACACACAGGATACACTGAAGAACAAACATAAAGTAGTGGCCTGTAACAGGATGGATTCAGTACAGATGCTCTACAGTTAAGAGTATAAGAAATGAACTCTTCTTCAACCTGGACTTCAGATTCTCTCTACTTCTTGCCTTGTGAATCTGCACATCCTATCATAGCAGTCGTAGCATCTTACTCCCTGAACACATAAATCAGGGTGCGCTACTGGGCTTCCCAGGCCTGTCCTTGGGACCAGGTGTTGAAATCACCTTTCAGAAGTTGGCATCCCAGCTAAATAAATTTAACTGGATACTCAGTTCCAGGTTGCCTCTTTCAAAAGGCACATCACCCCATGCCTTCATAAAAATGGTAGCCGACATTTATTAAGCATGCGGTTTGCCAAATGGTAACTGCATTATTTAGTAATTTAAAAAAATTAAAGTTTGTTTTTGTTTTTGTTGTGTTTGAGACAGGGTCGTGCTCTGTCGCCCAGGCTGGAGTGCAGTGGCCTGATCATGGCTTACTGAAGTCTGGACCTCCTGGGCTAAAGCCATCCTCCCACCTCAGCCTCCAGAGTGGCCGGGACTACAGGTGCATGCCACCACACTCTGCTAATTTTTGTATTTTTGTATTTTTTCTGTAAAGGCAGTGTTTCACTATATTTCCCAGGCTGGTCTCCAACTCCTGGGCATAAGTGATCCTCCTGACTTAGCCTCCCAAATTGCTGAGATTACATGTTTGAGCCATGGCACCCGGCCTCTTTAGTTATTTAACACTCTTATATGCTCCATTTCCATCTTCAAGTGTTTCAGGGAAATATTTGATTAAATTTGAGGCCTCATTCCTTTTTCCTTATTACAGGTAACCACACACTGTATGCAGTTGCACGTGGGCATTGGTCCTCATAGAGATCGCTCCCGTATTTGGCCTCAAGACAATTCTCGGCTAGACTAGCCTTGCCCATTCTTTTCTGCATCCGTTGAAGGAGATTCAGAACATCCACAA
This sequence comes from Homo sapiens, assembly GCF_000001405.40. Lineage (NCBI taxonomy): Eukaryota > Metazoa > Chordata > Mammalia > Primates > Hominidae > Homo > Homo sapiens. The sequence goes on from NC_000019.10 coordinate 51,948,737, forward strand.
ATTTGGTCCACTCTGTGACCGCTGTCCCCCTATTCCCCTTCAGCCACTTCGCCTTTGGCACACCTTGTTGGTCCTGAAGAGGCCCTCAGAAATACTCCACATTCCGCCCTAAACTCCCAACAGATTGTATTTTCTACTGAATGGAAACTGACACCTCCTAAGATGAACTGCAGCCACGATGCTTCTTCCTAACGGCTCAATATGGGGTACAGCGCGCGGCCATCTTATTTTTTTGCTCAGGCTGTTAAAAGTTTTTATAATTTTCTGACAATTTATCCAGTTTGCGCAGTGACTGAGGTGCCCTGAAATTAATTCACTGTCTTCCAACGCCGTGGTAACAGCCCTTCCGGGTTCTCTGGTGGGAGTCGCCGAGATGGGCGTGGCCATGATACGTCACAATACGAGGCCGAGGGAGGAATTCTGTCGTCTGGGAACGGCTGGTTTCGCGGTCAGACGCCGAGGGCCCTCGAAGTCCCTAGCAACGGCTGCGGAGGGAGATGTAAGTCGTTTTGGACGCAGGCTCAGTGTTTGGTCCCAGCGTTCGGTGGAGTCCGGAGAGACTCAGGATCAGATGAGTCGGGGTCTGGATGTGGCTCCAAGTGAAAGGCCTGTGGGGGTCAGTGAAGGGGAGCCCCCTGTTCTGAGACCGTGTGGGACCCCGCGTCCTGGGGTTCTTTCTGGGTTTACTCAATGGAGAAGCCTGGCTTTGGTGATAGGGCGCCTGGCGGTCAGTAATTAAGAGACTGGAAGATATTAACGACCGACTGTCAAGGTTTATGGTCGTTGAGGGAATGCCGTGGGAATCAGTGGTTGAGAAACGGGGTAGGAAAGTGTGTATCAGTGAATGAACTTGGTGTCCATTCCGGGTTTGCAATTTAATGTGATAGAGAAGCTTGGGGCTGGAGAATGTTTTAGTGAAAGAGGTTTTAGTTTGCGGTTTCAGATTTAATTTGGAGTCAATGTTTGAGGAGGCCTGTACATGTCTGTGGTTTAGGGGCCTGAAGAGGCTGGAGCTTTGGAGGCCCAAGGGCCCTGGAGAGTGGATGGGTTGAGGCTTAATAATTGACTGCTGGTTACAGTTGTGATTAAACTACATTTACCTAGTGGATCTACATGCAGTTCAGTTCTTCAAGTCCAAGTCCGTCTTAAAAATAACAATGAAAAACATTTCCCTTCCTATATTCATATCATTGTCTACAAATTTCTGGACGAGGAAATTACGAGTTTGCTACTAAAGTCGAGCTTTTTTCCTCTCTAGTTCCCAACTTTACCATGTCGTTTTCATAAATATTTTCTTTCAGATTTATTCCAACACAAGAAAATAATCTCTGTTACCCACACTTCTGATTTTTATTTAGGAGCATTTTTTTTTTCGTTTCATCCTCACAGTTTTCACAATTGCAATACTTTGGGTAAATATTTGATTTCATCACTTAAATTCTCATCACAAACATACATACATGTATGTATATATAGTATATATATCTATATTTCTGTCTCTATATACATCTGTCTATGTATGTATGTATGTATCTATCTATCTATCTATCTATCTATCTATCTATCTATCTATCTATCTATCTTTCTATACAGAGAGAGTCAGTCTTGCCCTGTCTCCCAGGCTGGAGTACAATGGTGCCATCAGCTCACTCTAACCTTGAACTCCTGGGTTTAAGGGATCCTCCTGCCTCAGCCTCCCAAGTAGCTGGACTACATATAAAATTTTTCAATGGCAGTATCACATCAGAAGGTTGTACCAGTGGCTTAGTAAATGGAGTCACATTAAATGTTTGCCTTAATTAGGATGGAATTGACATGTATAAAATATTCAATTCTATTTCTATATTTTCTATCTATATATAACATTCTGATACTCCAATTACTCAAGTTCTTCTGTTCCCACCCCAAGATTTGTGATTCACTTTTTTATGTCCTAGATCTTATGGTTACATTTATTCTTAAGTGGCTTATACTGTTTTTTTTGATAATTCCTCTAGAAGAGGAAGTCATTTTTTAAAAATTGAGACAGAGTCTCACACCGTTGCCCAGGCTAGAGTGCAGTAGTATGATCTTGGCTCACTGCAACCTCCGCCTCCCAGACTCAAGGGATTCTCCCACTTCAGTAGCTGGGACTACAGGCACTCGCCACCATGCCCAGCTAATTTTTGTATTTTTTGTAGAAATGAGGTTTCACCATGTTGCCCAGGCTGGTCTTGAACTCCTGAGCCCAAGTGATCCACCTGATGCATTACCTGCCTCGGACTCCAAAGTGCTAGGATTACAGGCGTGAGCGACTGCTCCTAGCCAAGCGTTTCTTAAATCCAAATATTTGCTGGAGTATGCGTACCTAATGCATGTATGAAGGCCTATCCCTCTGAGAGTCTGGGTTGATAGATTTGGAGTACAATCCCTGCAGAGTGTTGATAAAATTCTCTATGGAATGCTGTTGTGACATACTTGGTAACTCACAGCCCTAATATATGCTAAAATGGATGGAATTTTGTGAGAAACAAGAAAATATCTTCTAGTAGTGATGATTTTTTGTAACAAATATATGAAATATCTGTATGTAATACAGGATTTAAACACAAGGTATTGTTAGAATTCTAGGTTGTGTGAAGTTACATGTCAAGATGTTACTGAAATGCCAAGGGTTCAGTCTAGGTCCCGTTGCTTGCCACACAGAAAGACAATCACTGAGACAATGAGTATTGCGAGAGAAGAAAGGCTTTTTTGGGTAACATCAGGTGGGAGAGGAAAATAAATATCAAATCTGTCTCCCCACAACCGACTAAAATTGGTGGCTTATATAACAGGCAAGGAATATAAAACAGGAATTAGGGAAGGGTAAGGAAGAGGAGTTGGCCAACAGGAATCAGGTGGTCGGTTAGGCAATCATGATGGATGAGGGGTCCACCATCGCATTGTCTAGATGCAGTGATCTGGTAAGTTTCAGTTCCTTGAACTATCTGGGAGGCCTGAATGGTTTCATGAGAAACGAACTCAGATAAAATGAATATAAGTTTCAAGCTTTAAGACTAGGAGAGTCAATTTCTATATTTATTCAAAAAGACTGTTAACATCATTTCTGTGGGGAAATCCAGCCAGTTTAAAAAATGATCAGCAAAGATAGGGAATATGGTAGAAATGTAAAGGAAATAGAGGTTAAAGTGATATATAGAGCATAGGGAATGATGGCATGATATGTAAAAGGCATGTCTAAATTTTGAATAAACATAATGAAGGGCAGAGAATGAAGGGATTAAATGGAAAATTTGTCAGGCCATGAGGGAGAATGCCAAAAGATTTGGTCCGAAGCCAACCATATGAAAGCCAATGTTAGAAGGTGTCTGTAGGGGAAGTAGTAGAATAGAAATGTGGATAAGTGGGGTAATCATAGCAACATTAACTTTTATTGCCAGGCCGAGTGGATTTTGTGTTAGTAATTGAGGTAGCATGGTAGAGGGTAGGTTTCTTTTGTATTTTTCTAGCCTATGGGTAGTCTTATCTTTCACCCAGTGACAGCAATGATGCAATAATAAGGAACAGCCAGAGTTTCATATATAAATAAATATATAAATTATATATATATATCTTTTGAGATGGAATCTTGCTCTTTCACCCAGGCTAGAGTGCAATGGTGTGATCTCAGCTCACTGCAACCTCCACCTCCTGGGTTCAAGCAATTCTCCCACCCCAGCCTCCCTAGTAGCTGGGATTACAGGCGCCCACCACCATGCCCAGCTAATTTTTTGTATTTTTAGTAGAGATGGGGCTTCACCATGTTGGCCAGGTTGGTCTCGAACTCCAGACCTCAGGTGATCCACCCGCCTCAGCCTCCTAAAGTGCTGGGATTACAGGCGTGAACCACCACCTTACATTCTGGCTGGGGAAAACAAAATAAAAACACAAGGAAACTAAAAAATGAGGTAGCTGCAAATTATGAGAGAAAACACACACTGCCTATATCCAATCAGGGAAATAAGCAGACACACTTGTTTTAAACAAATATCTTGGGAGAGGCAAGTCAGAATGTCAGATTTCGACTTCAACGTATCTGTGACACTCTTAGATGGTCATCCTGTTTTTAAAATGCATCCCTTAGGGAGGTGGGGGGGTCAGCCCCCCGCCCGGCCAGCCGCCCCGTCCGGGAGATGAGGGGCGCCTCTGCCCAGCCGCCCCTACTGGGAAGTGAGGAGCCCCTCTGCCCGGCCAGCCGCCCCATCCGGGAGGGAGGTGGGGGGGTCAGCCCCCCGCCCGGCCAGCCGCCCCGTCCGGGAGGGAGGTGGGGGGGTCAGCCCCCCGCCCGGCCAGCCGCCCCGTCCGGGAGGTGAGGGGCGCCTCTGCCTGGCCGCCCCTACTGGGAAGTGAGGAGCCCCTCTGCCCGGCCACCACCCCGTCTGGGAGGTGTACCTAACAGCTCATTGAGAACGGGCCATGATGACAATGGCGGTTTTGTGGAATAGAAAGGGGGGAAAGGTGGGGAAAAGATTGAGAAATCGGATGGTTGCGGTGTCTGTGTAGAAAGAGGTAGACATGGGAGACTTTTCATTTTGCTCTGTACTAAGAAAAATTCTTATCCTGTTGATCTGTGACCTTACCCCCAACCCTGTGCTCTCTGAAACATGTGCTGTGTCCACTCAGGGTTAAATGGATTAAGGGCGGTGCAAGATGTGCTTTGTTGAACAGATGCTTGAAGGCAGCATGCTCGTTAAGAGTCATCACCACTCCCTAATCTCAAGTACCCAGGGACACAAACACTGCAGAAGGCCGCAGGGTCCTCTGCCTAGGAAAACCAGAGACCTTTGTTCACTTGTTTATCTGCTGACCTTCCCTCCACTATTGTCCTATGACCCTGCCAAATCCCCCTCTGCGAGAAACACCCAAGAATGAACAATAAAAAAAAATAAAAATAAAAATAAAATGCATCCCTTTTCTTCATTCTGTATCATCAAACTAATTTTCCCAAAGCACCAATCTCACATTTAGAGAGAAACTTATTCTCAGTGTCCAACCTTTAGCCTCACTGTGGGCACATTCTCCTGTGCTTCTAAAGAAAGAGGGAAAGATGAGAAACAATGATCATTTGGAAAGTTTGCAACAGGCCAATGAACCATGTAGACCTCTCCAGAAGCAGATGTGCTTCTGAATAGGATAAGATGTGTTACTGAATGGGTGCTACTGCTGGTGCCCACATGTGTTGTCTGTCACCTTCAGTCACATTTGGCATGTAGTACCTACACAGATGTCAGATCTGAATTTTTCCCATTTCATTGTCCCTAATACACTGATCCCTTGTCATGTAACTAATAGCATCTTCTATAATTCTACAATTATGTCTTGGTTGGCATCACAAAAGGGGCCTAAGGGACCACCTTATTCCTTTTAAACCAAGACTCATGCCACCTTTACATATTTCTTAGAAAGGAGGATATATAATGGAGGAAGACAAGGCTCACCGATGAGTTCAAAACAAGGGGACGAAGAAAGTGAGGAATTAAGGTTTGCTCCTAAGTATTTTGCTTGAGTCAAGAGACTTTTTTTTTGAAAGATATATTTAACATTTTACATTATGTATATAATAGTCAAAAAGTCTTTTATCTCAGTCAATGAATATTTTATTTCAGTGAAAGGGTCTTATATATCGGGGACATCTGGCCTGGGATCTAGGAAACATGGAAGGAAATTAATCTGTAATAAAGTGTTAGTAATTAAGAGGTCAAGCTCTATGACTCAGTCTCCAAAGTCAACTTTCCTCAAGTCCTAATAACTTTTAGACGCCCCCAATATACAGACTATTTTCTTTTAGGCTCAACTTTCTTTACATAAGACATGTGAATCCACACGTCTATGCCTTCTACATTTTAGTGCAAGGATTAGTAAAAAGTAACTAATAGAGCGCTTTCCAGTTTGGTTAAAGGGAGTCCTTTAACCAAATATCATTTTAGATATCATTTCCAGTAGAAAAAAATCTCCTGGCTGAAGTTCATGGGTTTTAAGTTCTTTGTTTCCTGGGAGTTCACTATAAAAAGAGTCTTTTTTCAAATTATGATTTTTAGGTAGTTGTTTTATAAAGATGTCAGAAAAATTTAATATGTCTTCTTTTAGCATTATGGATTTATACTTTCCTGGGGATAGTTTCATGCATCTACCTGTTATTATCTCAATTAGGGAAAACTGATGTCTACCAAAAGGGGTGGATTTTAGGTTAAGGAAAACCAGTGGAAGGGCCCTTGGCCAAGACATGTGAAAAGCCTGGGTTAATTTTGCCAATTGAATTTTAATTATTTTGTTTATGCATTCTACTAATGCAGATGACTGAGGGGGATATGCAGAATGGAAGTGTTAAAGAATTGGCCATATTTTACGTAGTGACTGAATTACATGGGCAGTGAAATGAGTACCTCTGCCCCTATGAAGTTCTAGAGAGACTCCTCAAGTCTAAATAATTTTTCAAGGAGAATTTTACTTAATGTTAGGGCTGTTGCTCTTCTGCATGGAAATGCTTCTACCCAATGAAACTATACAGACTTTCATTACTAGAACATACTTGTATCCTTGTGATGGGGTAGTCGAATAAAATCTGCCACACCTCAAAGGGGGCCTCAGGTAAAGAAAAATGTTCTTAGGAACTATGTAAAGGTTTCCCTGGATTATATTTTGGGCAAATATGGCAGCAACTAAATGCTTTATGAGCTATAGTTGAAGAAACTTTTCAAAATACTATTTTTCTCAATAACCACTTTATCAGGGCTCCGGTGAATTAAATCAGTCCGTAGGGTTGAAAATGATGATTGTAATTCAGTAGGAAGTATAGGCAAGTTGTTTAGTCCACACCATATTTCACCTTTTTGTTTTATATTTTCTAATTCTGTTTTTAGAGCTCTGGATTGGGTTAATTTATGTCAAATTTGGGGGCTTCTTTCAAAGTTAATATGAATTGTTTTTATTGCCTAGATGTATTTAGGCAGTCCTCATTGTAACCTTATGAGCTAGCTGACTTCCTTCACTTTCTGGAGTATCTGATTTGGAATTTTTTGGAGTATCTGATTTGGATTTTAATAATAGGTAGTGAGTTTTATAATAATGTTTTTTTAATAATAAAGAGATAAGGTATCCATTTTTTATGGACTGGCCGGAAGAGGTTCAAGACCCTCTTTATTTATTTTCACAGTATTACAAAGTCACGAATGACTTCAAAGGTATATCTGTTGCCTGTATATAAATTAGCAGTTGTTCATTTTGCCAACTGACAAGCTCTAATTAGTGCTGTCAATTTGGCTTGTTCAGCAGAGATTGCTTCTAGAAGATAAGCACTTTCTATTTTTTCCCTTGGGATATTATAACATAACCTGCTTGTAAATTTGAGATTAATCTTTAAGTAAGATCTGTCTGTAAATCAAACCACACCAGTGTTACTAAGATGAGTTTCTTGCAGGTTTGTCCTAGGAGAGAAAAGCTGACCAGTTAAGGTTATGCAATCATGAGGCATTTCATCCAAATTTAGGGGGAGAAGAGTAGCAGAATTTAGGTTATTACATGTAGACATTGTCATATGAGGTCCAGAAAGAAGTAAGACTTCTAAAGGGACTAGCTTGCTAACTAAGTAATTCTGAGCATGAAGTGAATTTAGAAGTGCTTCCAGGCTGGCATGCTGGCTCATGCCTGTAATTCTAGCACTTTGGGAGGCCAAGGTGGGTAGATTCCTTGAACTCAGAAGTTCAAGACCAGCCTGGGCAACATGGTGAAACCCCATCTCTACTTAAAATACAAAAATTAGTCAGGGGTGGTGGCAGGCACCTATAGTCCCTGCTACTCAGAGGCTGAGGTGGGAGGATGGCTTGAGCCCAGGAGGCGGAGGTTGCAGTGAGCCAAAATCACACCACTGCAGTCCAGCCTGGGCAATAGAGCCAGACCCTGTCTCAAAAAAAAAAAAAAAAAAAAAAAAGATTATGCAATCACGAGGCATTTCATTCAAATTTAGGGGCAGTTTCATATGAGGTGAAGAAAGAAGTAGGACTTCTAAAGGGACCAGCCTGCTAACTAAATATTTCTGAGTATGGAGTGAATTTAGAAGTGCTTCCAGGCTGGGTGTGGTTGCTTATGCCTATAATCCTAGCACATTGCGAGGCTGAGGCAAGAGGCTCTCTTGAGCTCGGGAATTTGAGACCAGCCTGGGAAACATAAGGAGACACCCCTGCCTCCAGAAAAAAAATTTAAAACTTAGCCAGGCATGTTGGCATGCACCTGAAGTCCCACCTAGGTAGGAGGCTGAGGTGGGAAGATTGCTTGAGCCCAGGAGGTTTACCAGTAGGGTGATTGCTGTATTAACCCCATGCAGGCTGGTAGTCCTCTAGCCACTGAATCCAACTGCTGACTGTTGTATTATATAGGTCTCTTTTGAGCCCCATGTTTTTGGGTCATAATGCCTAGGGTATTTTCTTGATCTTCCTGTACAAACAACGTAAACAAAATAATTTGGATTTCCTAGTACTGGGGCATCTATAAGATCCTTTAAATTGTTCCTAACATTAATTGATTTTTCTCTGTCCAATCCAGAGAGTCTGCTTGTCTCATTTTAAAAGGGTATAGAAAGGTAAGCTTTTAATGAAAAATTCAGAATCTAATTTCTGCAATAATTTTCCAGTTCCAGAAATCCTCTTAGGTGTTTTCTTAGTTTTTAGGGTAAGCAAGGAAAATATTTGTTTTATTCTATTTGCATCAATAAAAAGGCTTTTCTTGGACAATAGATAACTCTAAATATTTTACTCATTGTAGACAGAACTCAAGATTTTTTATTGGAGACCCCATGTCTCTTTGAAAGCAATTTTTGTAACAAGTGAATCCCATCTTTTTGTAGCAGCTTTCTCATCTTCTGAACAAAGAAGGAAATCATCCACATATTGTATTAAAGTATAGTTTTCAAAAATGCAGCATATAAGACATTTGGTTTCAATATTTCTGAGAAATAAGTTGGACTCTGAGTATATTCCTGAGGCACAATCATCCATGTCCATTGTTTGTCTTTCCATGTGAAGCCAGTAGTGTGGGGGAAAGCAAGAGAGATCAGACTATTACTATATCTATGTAGAAAGAAAAAGACGTAACAAACTCCATTTTATTCCGTACTAAGAAAAATTCTTCTGCCTTGAGATGCTGTTAATCTGTAACCCTAGCCCCAACCTTGTGCTTGCAGAGACATGTGCTGTGTTGACTCAAGGTTTAATGGATTTAGGGCTGTGCAGGACGTGCTTTGTTAAAAATGTGTTTGAAGGTAGTATGCTTGGTAAAAGTCATCGCCATTCTCCAGTCTCAAGTACCCAGGGACACAATGCATTGCAGAAGGCCACAGGGACCTCTGCCCTAGAAAGCCTGGGTATTGTCCAAGGTTTCTCTCCACTGAGACAGCCTGAGATATGGCCTCATGGGAAGGGAAAGACCTGGCCATCCCCCAGCCTGACACCCATAAAGGGTCTGGGCTGAGGAGGATTCGTGAAAGAGGAAGATCTCTTTGCAGTTGAGATAAGAGGAAGGCATCTGTCTCCTGCTCATCCCTGGGAATGGAATATCTCAGTGTAAAACTTGATCATACATTCTATTTACTGAGATAGGAGAAAACTGCCTTATGGCTGGAGGTGAGATATGCTGGGGGCAATACTGCTCTTTACTGCACTGAGATGCTTGTGTAAAGTCAAACATAAATCTGGCCTACGTGCACATCAAGGCACACACAGCACCTTTCCTTAAACTTATTTATGACACAGAGTCCTTTGCTCACGTGTTTTCCTGCTGACCCTCTCCCCACCATTACCCTATAGTCCTGCCACATCCCCCTCACCGAGATTGTAAAGATAGTGATCAATAAATACTGAAGAAACTCAGAGACCAGTGCTGGCGTGGGTCCTCCATACGCTGAGTGCTGGTCCTCTGGGCCCACTGTTCTTTCTCTATACTTTGTCTCTGTGTCTTATTTCTTTTCTCAGTCTCTCATCCTACCTGACGAGAAACACCCACAGGTGTGGAGGGGCTGGCCCCCTTCAGCTGTACACAAGCAAACACCAGATTCTCCATTCTCAGGTTCCATTACTCTATGCTGTACATTTGATTCTTATTCCGCCCCTTCTGAGGTATCTTGTGGTCTTATACGCTACCAGGAATTTGCAAGTACTTTCCCTTCTTGTGAAGTGTTTGGCACACAGGAAAACATGAGGGAATATTAGTTACTATACTTGTCCTTTCATGAATCATTTGAAATGTCACTTCTTCAGACAGCATTCTGGGATGCCTCTCAGTTTTGTCTTATTTATAATAATGCAATCATTAAATATAAAATTGCAACTCTTAAGTGGGGCTAAGGAAGGGAACTATAGAAGGCATTCAATAGGGAAATAGAGGAAGCATCTCTCTTCCGGGAATAATTGAAGATCATTTTTCCTGATCATCATCATCTGCTCACTTAACTGCTGTTCAGAATGGACTGTGAGTTCCACAAAGGCAGAAGTCTATAATTTATTTTTAGCCCCAGTGCTCAGAACAAAAACTGGAACACAGCACTTCAATAATAAGACTATTGAACAAATAACCATATTTGGCTGACAGGCTACAGTCTTTCCTTCTTCACTTACCCTCAAGGTGCTGTGCTGCTGCTCAGTGATAATTAAACATAGAAAAGATGCAGCTGGGCGCGGTGCCTCACACCTGTAGTCCCAGCACTTTGGGAGGCCGAGGCGGTGTATCACGAGGTCAGGAGATAGAGACCATCCTGGCCAACATGGTGAAACCCCATCTCTATGAAAAATACAAAATAGTTGGCTGTGGTGGCACGTGCCTGTAGTCCCAGCTACTCAGGAGTCTGAGGCAGGAGAATCACTTGAACCTGGGAGGCGGAGGTTGCAGTGAGCTGAGATCGCACCACTGCACTCCAGCCTGGCAACAGAGCAAGACTCCGTCACAAACAAAACATAGAAAAGATGCAAAAGAGTGTATGCTGTATGCCACCTTTTGAAAAAAGGACAAATAAATAATATATACTTGTATTATAAAAAGAAACACTGGACGGATTCACAGTAAACATGTTTACCTGTAAAAGCTAGAAGGTCAGGGGAAAACTAGGATTGAGAACAGGATAAGATATTCACAAATGTGCTTTTTTGTACAGCTTTAAGTTTTGAATCGCATGACTATGTGACCTAGTCAAACTATTTCAGAGTAAAAATAAACAGCCAGTAGAGTCTCTATCGCCCTAGGAGTGGAGGCTGATCACAGGGTAATCTAAGGATGAGATCATAAAATAAAACAAACCCTCCAAGCAAAAAAAAAAAAAAAAAGTTTTAGATGCCAGAAAACATTTGAATCTACAGCCTGCCACTTGGCAGCTAAGTAGCTTGAAAGCTGTTGGAGCAACACTCCTTAATTCAACCAAATACTGTCTCAGCATCTGCGAGGTGCCTGATCTAGTGCCCAATGTTGGAGGTGAAATGATGAGGAAAAAACAGACCTGCTCTCTTGAAGGGGGCCAGCCCTTCCACCCCTGTGGATATTTCTCATCAGGTGGGATGAGAGACTGAGAAAAGAAAGAAGACACAGAGACAAAGTATAGAGAAAGAACAGTGGGCCCAGGGGACCGGCGCTCAGCATACAGAGGACCCACACCAGCACTGGTCTCTGAGTTCCCTCAGTATTTATTGATCACTATCTCTACCATCTCGGTGAGGGGGATATGGCAGGACTATAGGGTGATGGTGGGGAGAGGGTCAGCAGGAAAACATGTGAGCAAAGGACTCTGTGTCATAAATAAGTTTAAGGAAAGGTGCTGTGTGTGCCTTGTTGTGCACATAGGCCAGATTTATGTTTGACTTTACACAAACATCTCAGTGCAGTAAAGATCAGTATTGCCCCCAGCATGTCTCACCTCCGGCCATAAGGCGGTTTTCTCCTATCTCAGTAAACAAAATTTACGATTGGGTTTTACACTGAGACATTCCATTCCCAAGGACGAGCAGGAGACAGATGGCTTCCTCTTATCTCAACTGCAAAGAGGCCTTCCTGTTTTACTAATCCTCCAGGGCCCAAACCCTTTATGGGTGTCGGGCTGGGGGAGGGTCAAGTCTTTCCCTTCCCAAGAGGCCATATCTCAGGCTGTCTCAGTGGGGAGAAACCTTGGACAATACCCAGGCTTTCTAGGGCAGAGGTCCCTGTGGCCTTCCGCAGTGCATTGTGTCCCTGGGTACTCGAGACTGGGGAATGGTGATGACTTTTACCAAGCATACTGCCTGCAAACACATTTTAACAAAGCACATCCTGCACAGCCCTAAATCCATTAAACCTTGAGTCAACACAGCACATGTTTCTGTGAGCACAAGGTTGGGGCTAGGGTTACAGATTAACAGCATCTCAAGGCAGAAGAATTTCTTAGTACAGAACAAAATGGAGTTCCTTATGTCTACTTTCTTCATAGACACAGTAACAGTCTGATCTCTCTTTCTTTTCCCCACACTCTCTGCCTTCAGGAAGTTTAGAATCCAGATGGGGAATGCACATGGAAATCTACAAAATGTTAAACTGCAGTTCCCCTAAGTGCTAGGAAGAAGAGGAACACGATCCTATGGAAGGCCAGACTGGTGAGGGAAAGTTGCTCTGAATTAGTGATGTTTGAAGATCCTGAAGGAGGAAAAATGCAGAAAATGGGGGGAAAGAAAAGTTCAGGCAGAAGAAAGAGCATGCACAGAGGCCTGAAGGTGATGAAAGGATGTCAGCAGCATATGAGGGGCCAAAAGAGGGCCAGTGTGTCAGAACAGGGAGAGCAAGGTGGAGTATGGGAGAGGGAAGAAAGAACCGGAACATGCAGACTTGATGGCCATTTTAAGGATGTTTGCCATTGTCCAGACCCCAAGCAGAACAGTCATTGCAAGTTTCAAAGTTTAAAGCTAGAGAGTTTCATAATCACAGCTCTATTAAGCTTAAAAAGTATGCTATATGAGGAATCCTTGGCTCAGTGCGTGGCAACCTTTTTGTCATCAAGTCACAGTTTTGATTAAGTTCAGGCACACCTATACTCTTGATTCCTCCTCTTCCCCTCACTGGGACTAATAACATTACTTGTATTAATTGTGTTTCTTGCTAGACACTGTTTTAAGGACTTTACATTTACTTCTCACAACAAACCTGAGGCAGATATTTTAAAGCTAAAGTCAAGACCTTGGTAAATTAGTTGCTCTATGGCACATGGCTTGGGCATGGCAGGGCAGGATTCAAACTAAGCAGTGTGACTTCAGGATACATTCCAAATCACTATGCAGGACTGCCTCTTGGCCCAGGAGGGACTGAGGTCATGGGAGCAGATGAAGGGTGATCTTCAGTGAAACTATAAGGATCTTGGGTTTGGGAGCAGACATGATGTGTACCAAGCTTAGGTATGCACTGAGCCTCCTTCATCTGGGAGGTCAAGCTCTGAAAGGTACGTTAAGCAATTGCTCAGGGTAGGCCTGGCCAACTCATCCTTAGACCCTGATAGAGCATAAGCAACCTGACCTTACCATGGAAGGATGTGCAGATTCACAAAGGCCAGATGTGGATAGGGCCTGGTTGGTGGAGCGCCCATTTCTGATTCTTTGCTGGAGAGTATCTGCTCTGAATCTATCCCATTATAATGTGGGGGTAATGATGGGGCACTAATCCAGGATTTAGGGCAAAGATGCACAAAATTAGGTGTGCACCAGAAAGCCCTCATTACAAATGCAGAGTGCCAGGTTCCAGCCCCAGAGGATCTGGTTTAGGAAGTCTAGGGGTGACTCAGGGATTTGCATCTTTTTAAATTTCTGAGAGACTTGCGGCAAGAAGCTCACAGACAATTACAAATACTCCTGGAGTATTCTGTGCTTACAAATGCTGTAACAGGCTCTCCTCAGTACACTTAGGTCTTGGCTCAAATTACATCCAGAAAAGCCTTCCCTTGGAGAAAAAAAATAACATATTTTTAAAAGCCCCCATCACTACGTATGCATTAGTATCCACTACTAGTCTTTTTCTCCTTCCTAACATCGTACAATCTGTTTCTCTGCCTCACTCAATGGTAAAGTTTATAAAGGTTATTCCTTTGCCTGTATTGTTCACCGATCCATCCTACTGTATCTAAAACAGTGCCTTGCACAGTGATGATATATAAAAGTTACTTAGTGGCCAGGCGCAGTGGCTCATGCCTGTAATCCCAGCATTTGGGAGGCCGAAGTGGGTGAATCACGAGGTCAGGAGTTTGAGACCAGCCTGGCAAACATGGTGAAAGTCCATCTCTACTACAAATACAAAAAATTAGCTGGGCGTGGTGGCAGGCACCTGTAATCCCAGCTACTCGGGAGGCTAAGGCAGGAGAATCGCTTGATCCCGGGAGGCAAAGTTTGCAGTGAGCTGAGTTCGTGCCACTGCATTCCATCCTGGGCGACAGAGCAAGGCTCCATCTCAAAAAAAAGGTTACCTAGTAACCCAGGATTTCTGTTGAATTCTGACCTAGCCACAAGGCAAATTTCCATTTATTTTCCTATGAGCAGCACTTACTGTAACTTGGACAGTGTATCCATATGGGATGAAGGTTAAAAAACCAGATAAAGAAGGCCAAGAGACCTACTCCCAGAAAAGTGAGAATGATGAAGATAAATCATGTCTCAAAAAAAAAAAAAAGAAAAGAAAAATCACATCTCAGTTCAGCAGGTCACAGAGAAGCTGGGATCTCTGAAATGGTAACCCTAGCGGGTGATAGGTCTTATGGACAAATAAAAGCGTCATCTCTAAGACGTCCCAAAAGAAACCCACCTCCTCCCATCTGTTACAGTCTCATCCATTCTCAGAGACTAAGATTTTCCTCCTCCTTTGTGTTCTACTTATTCTAAGAGTCCTTTTCCTTTTCTGCTCTGCCCCTTTTATATTTGGCTAAGTCTTTCTAATCACACAAAAGTTGTGAGTGACAATTCTATTCTTTACAACTGTCATTCCCTTCAATGACAAAATACGCTTCTCTTTCCAAATCATTCTCTCTCCAAATCAATACATAATTAGTTTTTGTTTTTCTATGTGTTGGGAAATATTAGATCATGCAAAGCAGCCTCTCCAGCATAACTTTCTGGGATGTTGGAAATAATGACAAAGAGTCCTCATTGTCTGAAAGTTCTGTTCACTCTGCTGTCCAGTTTAGTAGCCTCTACTCACATATACAGCTCTTGAGCAGTGAGGGAACTGAATTTTTAAATTTTGTGTTCAGTTTCTTTAATTCTAAAATTTAAGTAGCTACAAAACTTAGCAGGGAATTTGTAATCTCTTGGAGAGATAAGACACGGGCAAAAACAAACAAACAAAAAGCCCTCCTTTTTGTACTAAGGTGCTTAAGTACCATTAACAGCAGTCCTTCTGCTACTCCTTGAACAATAAATTATCGCGTCCCCTGGACACAGTTACTCCATGTCCATTTCACCTAATGTAGATATTTGCACCGCCTGACTAGATTGCCTGAGTGTAATGATACCACTTAAAATTAACCCCACAAACTCTCCAGGAGACCACAAACTTTTTCTTCTTTGACCTCAGCTCCTGGAACAGGACAAGGTACAAAGGAAATAATTTTAAAATATTTGTTTAATGAAACAAATTGACTAGTTTCACAGATCCCTCTGCATAATACAAAGTTCTGAAAGTTTATGGTCCTGGTTTTCAATTAATCCTCCACACTGGCACTGGTCTAAGGAAACTGAATTGACACATATGTGTCCCACATTCCACCATTACAGTATTAGCCCTTTCCCACCAACTGCCCCTTATGAAGCTTTTCAGTCACTGCAACACTCCCGACACCAATTATCTCATCTGTTTTAAAAATTCACAGTACTTCATTTCCTCCACTTAAAAGTACTTGGGCTTCCTTTACTCATTTAATTGACACAGTCGAGCAATTGCTGTGTATGTGCTTAGGTTAACATCAAATTTGCCTGTGTATCACAGCATACATTTTAATAGGATGAGTTTATCAGGCTATCTCAGCCTTATACATGTTCTCTCAGTGTATGCTTTTCGGCCACATAATGAACTACAAATTTTTGCTCAACCCTTTTCCACATAGATCTGAGTTTTCTTCCTATGGGTTTTCTGTAACATAAAATAAGACATAATTGATCACGGAAGGCACAACCACATTCACTGCATTCACAAGGTTTCTGTCCTGTGCAAATCCTCTGTTATCTCCTGAGGCTGCACATCTGACCACTGGCTGTCCCACAAGGACTACGTTCCTGTTTGCGAGGAGGCCGCTGATGTTTAATGATGTCTGAGGGGCCACAGAAGGCACTTGTGTAGTCGCCCCGTTAGCAGAGTTTTTCTCCTGCATGACATCACTGGTGTGTAATGAGCTGTGCCTCTCTGCAGGAGGATTTTCCACCTTGGCTGCCTCTTGTTTCTCCCTTGTGTGTATTCTCTTATGCTTAACCAGACACGACATATACGCAAACGCTTTCCCACACTCGTTACAGCCATAGGGTCTCTCTCCTGTATGAGTCCTTTGATGGACAATGAGCTTTTGCTTTGTGCTAAAGGCTTTCCCACATTCACTACATTCAAAGGGTTTCTCTCCTGTGTGAATTCTTTGATGTTTAATGAGACCTGATTTCTGAGAACAGGATTTTCCACATTCACTGCACACAAAGGGCGTCTTTCCTGTGTGAAATCTCTGATGTGCTATGAGACACGTCTTCTGAATGAAGCCTTTTCCACATTCATTGCATATATAAGGTTTCTCACCTGTATGAATTCGCTGGTGTACAATGAGATTTCCTTTCTGGATGAAGCCTTTTCCACATTCACTGCATATATAGGGTTTCTCTCCGGTATGTGTTTTCTGATGTATGTTGAGCCGTGATTTCTTGAGAAAGGCTTTGCCACATTCAGGGCATTCATAAGGTTTTTCTCCTGTATGAGTTCGCTGATGTTCAGTAAGCATGAACTTTCTGGAGAAGGCTTTCTCACATAGACTACATCTGTGGGGTTTCTCTCCTGTATGCATTACCTGGTGATCAGTTAGCCAAGACTTCTTGATGAAGGCTTTCCCACATTCACTGCACACATGATGCTTCTCTAATTTTCGTGTTTTCTGATGCTTGGGACTGATGAATTGGGACTTAGTGCTGATGAGTTTTTGACTTGCAGGGAATTTAATTGCAGTATGAAGTCGTTCATGGTTAGCATGAAGAAAGGAGTCCCCATTTCCAGTAAACTCAACAGAGTTCTTTATTTCATAGCCTTTGCTCTGGTTAACTAAAGTTAAATTGGATTTCAAACTTTTTCCACGTAAGTCAAATATATCATGATTTTGCCCTAACAGAAACTGACTTTTGCTGCAATGAACAATATTTTCAAATGCATCATGTTCATGACATGGTTTCCTTCTGTTCACCAGGCTTTCACTCTGCAAGCGCTCCAGCACATGATCAACTTTCCATATGTCTAGAAAGAAAAGAACAAAGATTTCTATCATTTAGATTTGGGGTAAAAGTTTGTTGTGGTTTTTTTGTTTTTTTTGTTTTTTTTTTTAAGATGGAGTTTTACTCCGTTGTCCAGGCTGGAGTGCAATGCTGCGATCTCAGCTCACTGCAACCTCTGCTTCCCGGGTTCAAGGGATTCTCCTGCCTCAGCCTCCCAAGTTGCTGGGATTACAGGTGCCTGCTACCATGCCCGGCTAATTTTTGTAGTTTTACTACAGACGGGGTCTCACCATGTTGGCCAGGCTGGTCTCGAACTCCTGACCTCAGGTGAGCCATTGTGCTCAGCCAAAGTATTTTTTGTTTTGTTTTGTTTTTGGGAGACGGAGTCTCACTCTGTCGCCCAGGCTGGAGTGCAGTGGTACAATCCCGGCTCACAGCCAAAGTATTTTTTGTTGTTTTTTTTTTGTTTTTTGGGGACGGAGTCTCACTCTGTAGCCCAGGCTGGAGTGCAGTGACATGATCCCGGCTCACTGCAACCTCCACCTCCTGAGTTCAAGCGATTCTCCTGCCTCAGCCTCCCGAGTAGCTGGGATTACAGGCATGCACCACCGCACCCAGCTAATTCTGTATATTTAGTAGAGACGGCGTTTCACCATGTTAGCCAGGCTGATCTCGAACTCCCGACCTCAGGTGATCTGCCCGCTTCAGTCTCCCAAAGTTCTGGGATTACAGGTGTGAGCCGCTGCACCCGGCCCCAAAGTATTCTTTTTTTTAATGCCTTGATGTGAGGTGTCTCTTAGTAATAACCCTATGACCTGAGTGTAAATAAAACTCCATGTTTAATGTTCCTTGCACATTGGCAAAAAGTAATAGTATAAACAAACTAAAAGGTGAAAGCAGTTAGCATAAAACAAGGTTAGATCACTAATAATAAAGACAGATTTGGCTGCTTTCTAAATGTGCCTTGCAAAACAGACCTTAAAATACAAGCAATTCACTGTGACCAGCAGACCAGAGGCTGGAGGCCCATTTCGTCCAAAGAACAGATTCATTCATTCCACATACTCTTACTGAATGATCACCGTGTGCCAGGTATGGTGCTGGTGTTGGGGATAGGCACAAGAATCGCTTGAATCCAGGAGGTGGAGGTTGCGGTGAGCCAAGTTCACACCATTGCGCTCCAGCCTGGGCACAGAGCAAGACTCTGTCTTAAAAAAAAAATAAATTAATAAAAATAAATAATAATAATGAATAATTTTTAAGGGAATGAGTCAGGGAAGTAATCATATGTGTGGAACACACCAGGCAGGGTTTAGGAAAGAGGATGGAAATCTCTTTGTGAGCAAGATGGTATTATATCACAGAGATCACTGAAATGAGAAATTTGACAGGTAACATGGTTTACTGGGACTTGGTGTCATCAGAATACGATGGGGAAAAAAACGAAAGCAAATTATTAAATACAGAAAGGAACCAAATGGAAGTAGGCGGGAGTTGAGAATGTAGGATGTTAAAAAAATGACTTTTTTACTTAGAGATGCATCATGACTAGCAGAGACCTTTAAAGAAGAGAGCTCTTCAGGCAGGTAATACCCAGATGGCCAAGATTCAGGATGTACAGGAACAAACGAAAATCCAAACTTAATGGTTTTCTTGGAGGAAAGATGATTCTAGTTCCTTGCAGTTACTAGGAACTCAGGGGAGAGTTGCCATGAAGTAAATTACACAGAACTAAAATCTGTGTTAGATAACAACAGGGAGATGTCAGTTTGGGACTCTCCTCCAGGGAGCGGAAGGAGTTTAAACTTACTAGAATGAAGGCAATTTTGAAGAGTGAAGGGCACAGATGAGAAAATGGAGAACGGGACCTTTGGAGAACCTAAGAATAAGGAAAAAGAGAAGCGAAGGAAGCCAAGGCACAGCGAAAGTCCAGTTTACCCTGAGGAAGCCACATCCATCACAGGGGAGGTGTTAGGAGGGGAGGTCAGCATTAGCCAAGGGGCACAAAGGGGTGGGAGTCCGAAAACAGTGAGGACTTCAAAGTTTCCTCTTTGGAAAGAGGCCTGGAAGGTGGAATTTCGTAACAAGAGAGGTGGAACAACATGAAGAAGGGAAATACTTGAAACCCGAGGAAGAAGAAAATTATGCAGGCAAACAAACAATATGTAGATAAAATAATCAGATCTCTGAGGAGATAAAGAGTTTTTGTTTTGTTTTGTTTTTTTTTAACTCTAAATTCCTACAAAGAAAAACTGGTCTCACACTGGGAGACAGATGAGTAGAGGAACTGTTTACATATCCTCAAACCCCCTTCACAGCTGTGCTGCCTTCTCTGACTGTCTAGAATGTGACTTCCATAGCCTTCTGTCTTGTGGGTTCTCTCACCTGAACAGGCTCCACTGTGGATTCCATCTTCAATTGTCCACAGTTGTTCTCCTTGTTCCAACTTGAAGAGTGCATCCGGTTTGCTGGCTTGATACCCTGTTCATGGAAAATGATAGAGGACTTAGACATATCAAATTGGGCTGGCAATGTCAAGAAGGAAGAATGTTACATTTCAAGAAACTTGAGTTTCTTAAAATACCCAAAATTTAGTTTCTTATCTGAAACTATGAAAGTTTCGTTTCATATCTGTAACATCAAGGTTTTTCTCTTACAAGAGGGTAGATTACACCGTCTTGTGTGGGAGCAAGAGAAGGATCTGAGAATCTACCACTTCAGAGTACTGCAGGCATTCCAAAGAGGTAGGCATCTGAGAAAGGAAGGCCACTGACTAGGCACCCTCTGAGTGACACAGGGCAGCTGTCCTCACCCACTGCCACCAGGTTGCTGTAGTTCTCCAACATCACATCCCGGTACAGGTCCTTCTGAGCAGCGCCCAGGAGTTGCCACTCCTCCCAAGTGAAGTCCACAGCCACATCCTCCAGTGTTATGGATTCCTGTAATAACAGTCCTGTTTAATAAAGTGATGTCTTTTTGATGATGTGGAAGAAATGCTAAAGTTTTTCTGCTCATTTCCACTCTACAGGCTGTGTGCATATACCAAATAGTTTTTTTTTTAATACAATGTGGAAGAAGTAAAGTCCTAATATAATATTCTGTAACTGTATATTCAGTCATCCTCCATTCACCCAATTGGAAGTTTCTATAAAGTGTAGAAGTTAAATCTTGCTAACCTAAAAACAATATATTTATACATTTTATATATGTAAATATATATGAATATATGTACATATATTTATTTTAGATACATGCAAATGAAAGACATATATACAGCCATCCTTTAGTATCTGTAGGGTATTGGTTCCAGGACCTCCTGAGGATACTGAGGTGTCTGATATAAAATGGCACAGTATTGGTCAGGCACAGTAGATCACACCTGTAATCCCAGCACTTTCGGAGGCCAAGGCAGGAGGGTCACTCGAGCCCAGGAGTTCAAGACCAGCCTGGGCAACATGAGACCCCATCTGTACAAAAAATTAAAAAATTAGCTAGGCACAGTGGTGAGTGCCTGTGGTCCCAGCTACTTGGGAGGCTGAGGCAGGAGGCTCATTTGAGCCTAGGAGTTAGAGACTACACTGAGTTATGACCATGCTACTGCACTGCAGCCTAAGCAACAGAGCAAGACTGTCTCTAATAAAATAAAATAAAATGGAATAGTACTTGCAGATTTGCATGTAACCCATGCACATCCTCCCATATACATTTCTGTTTTTTTGAAATGGAGACTCACTCTCTTTCCCAGGCTGGGGTGCAGTGGCATAATCTCAGCTCACTGCAACCTCCGCCTCCCAGGAGCAGGCAATTCTTCTGCCCCAGCCTCCCAAGTAGCTAGGACTACAGGCATGTGACACTACGCCTGGCTAATTTTTTTTTTTTTTTTTTTGAGACGGAGTTTTGCTCCTCTTTCCCAGGCTGGAGTGCAATGGTACAATCTTGGCTCACTGCAACCTCCGCCTCCCAGGTTCAAGCGATTCTCCTGCCTCAGCCTCCCGAGTAGCTAGGATTACAGGTGCCCGCCACCACAACCAGCTAATTTTTTGTATTTTTAGTAGAGATGGGGTTTCACTATGTTGGCCAGGCTGTTCTCAAACTCCTGACCTTAGACGATCCACCCACCTCAGCCTCCCAAAGTGCTGGAGTTACAGGAGTGAGCCACCGTGCCCAGCCCCATATACTTTAAATTATCTTTAGATTACTTATAATATCTAATACAATGTAAATGGTATGTTAACAGTTGTTATACTATATTGTTTAGGGAATCATGACAATAAAAAAGTCTGTATGTGCTCAGTTCAGATGCTTAAAAAATATATATTTTCAATCCTCAGTTGGTTGAATCCATGGATGTGGAAGCCATGGATATGGAGGGCCAACCATATATCACAAATCCAGGCCTCCTATTTTTCTGATGGACTAATTATAAACTGAGGGTTCCTATGACCTCCTTGAGTTTGATAATTTCTCAAGAAGAAGGAGAAAATCAAGTAATGGAGAAACAATATCCAAAGATCTAACACTGAAAATTTTTCAGAACTGATTAAACACTCCAAAATTCAAACTCAAGAAATCCAACAACTTTTCAAGCAAGAAGTCTACACGTAGGCACAACAGATTGAAACTAAATTACACCAGATACAAAGGGAGACTATAAAAAAATCCAAAGACCAATGACAGGTTACCTACAAAGGAGACAAAATTTTCTGACAGCTGACTGCTCCACAGAAATCATTATAGCCAATAAATATTGGAACAATAAATGTAAGGTCCTCAGCTCTTGGACAACACAGCCCAACCTTGAAGACCATTTAGGACTGAAAGGCATGGCTGGCAAAGGACCTACAGCCCTGTAATAGTGACAATTAAGACTACTTATCAATGAATTGTCAATCTCTTGTCTCAGGATGCAGGATGGCTTTAAAGGATACTGCTGGTGGGAAATTGAGTCATTGAAGACCCAGGGAACAGCAGAAGGTACACTCTATACTCATTTTATTACAGAGGCCAGTGAACACACTTGGTAGATGATACAAGTACTTAATCCTGGTTGGTTTACCCATTCTAAATTATTTATGTGAGATAGCTATCTATTTGGAAAAAAGTAAAGTGAAAGTCTTACCTCAATCCACACTCAAAAATAGTTTACTATATGACAGATCTATGGCAGGCAGATTTGATGGCTCAATGAACTCCACCCTCCCAGTGTTCACACCTTTATGTAGTTCCCACTTACAGGGAGCCAAAGGTCCGTGGGACGTGACCAACTCAGCATTCCACTGGAGGCTATATGATCAAACAGCAAACTGTTTATCATGAATGCAGGATGTGAGCAAACTCACCATTGCTCCTGCCGACAGAAGGTTTTCTGGAGGCAATCACTCCCTGGTGCTGAGGTTATCTACTGCAACATTTAGAGAATGTAGTCTTGCAAGCCTCCTCTGGACTGAGCAGCTGACCCCTACTTCCACTGCACCCCCCCAACTATCTCTTTTGCCTAATAAATGCAGAGGGCTGTGTAAAGCTCAGGGCCCTTGTCCACTAGAGGCAAGGTACCCCCTGACCCCTTCCTCCGAATATACTTTTGTCTCTTGTCTTTTATTCCTGTGTTCACCCCACTGTGTTCAGTCCCCCTAGGTCTGTGCGGGTTACAAGTGGCGCCCAAACAGGGACAGAATTGGGTGCTCTACACCCTCTCCTTGAGCAGGGACTGGCCTAGTGACTTACCTCTATTCAGAATATGGCAAAGGCGTTGGAATCTCACCTCCTTAATTAAGCTATACATGTTTAAAAAAATTATTCAATGAGAATTGTTAAAGCACAGTAAGGAAGACTTTATTCAGGGCCATTATGACAGGTATATAGACAAATGTAATGGGATTTTGCAGTGGTAGAGGGTGAATGGACTTAACTCCAAATATCAGCATAAGCAAGTGGGAATTTATAGCCAAGGAGCAGAGTATGGGTCAGTAATACAAAATTACCAAGAGGGCCAGGCACAATGGCTTATGCCTGTAATCCCAGCACTTTGGGAGGCAGGAGGATTGCTTGAGCCCAGGAGTTCAAGAGCAGCCTGGGCAACATGACAAGACCCCATCTCAATTAAAAAAAAAAAAAAAAGGAAAAAAGAAAAAAAGCAGAAAAGTAAAAGTAAAAAATAAACTCATAGTCAACCCACCCCCGCCACACACACACACACAAAACCTTTATGATCTTTTATCATTTTTCAGATTAAATACTTGATTCTCTCCTAACCCCCAATGGTGACAAATGCATTTTTTTCAAGTATAGCTATAAACTGATGGAATTTTATATAATTAATGTTCTTCAATCATTTGCAATCATTGGTCTTTGGATGTTCAAAGTGTAGCATCTTCGGCCAATGAAGAGTCCCTTCAAGTTGGCTGCTATGTTCTTTGAAATATGATTCTATCATGTAAAATATATATATGTGTATATCATAATGAATATATATATCTACAGATAGATTCATATATACTCACACTTTTATTAATACATATATAGACATAGATCCACAAACAGATACAGTGACAGGAAGTAAATATTACCAACCATTTACAGAAGTGGATTAGGAAGAAAATATGTGAAAAGAAAACTTTTTCTCTTTTCTTCAATTTTACTAAATATAGACAAGGTCTCACTAGATTGCCCAGGCTAGTCTCAAACTCCTGGGCTCAAGGAATCCTCCTGCCTAAGCCTCCCAAAGTAGGCATAAGCCACTGCACTCAGCCAGAAACTTTTTTTTTTTTTTTTTTTGAGATGGAGTCTCTCTGTCACCCAGGCTGGAGTGCAGTGGCACCATTTCGGCTCACTGCAATTTCCGTCTCCTGGGTTCACGCCATTCTCCTGCCTCAGCCTCCCGAGTAGCTGGGACTACAGGCACCTGCCACCACACCCGACCAATTTTTTGTATTTTTAGTAGAGACAGGGTTTCACGGTGTGAGCCAGGATGGTCTCGATCTCCAGACCTCGTGATCCACCCACCTCGGTCTCCCAAAGTGCTGGATTACAGCCATGAGCCACCGCGCCCAGCCGAAATTTATTTTTTGATATGTGTACTTTCTTACTTTACTGGGACACAATCACAGATGACCTATGTGGCTGATCTTAGGTCCACACCCTCCCAGAAGTCAGGTTTTAACTTTAGCCTCTAGTTCTGGAAGTTTCTGGCCTATCATAGATCACAGATCTATCATAGTTCGTATTTTTAGGCTGTCCAGTGGCCAAAGGACCCAAGCAAACAAAGACACTACCATTAGCAAGATATTCCAGAAGCCCAGAGCTCACCCTCCATTAGCTTGAACACAAAGGCCAAAACTCCCTTTGTTCAATTATTTACTATACAATAAGGACTTGGCATTTTCTACAAGGTGAAAGTCTAAAGGAAATCTGT
The DNA here is from genome assembly GCF_000001405.40 of Homo sapiens. NCBI lineage: Eukaryota > Metazoa > Chordata > Mammalia > Primates > Hominidae > Homo > Homo sapiens. The sequence goes on from NC_000019.10 coordinate 51,973,604, forward strand.
AAACTCCAATCCAAGTCCTGTTCAGACAATATCACTTTCAACTCCCTGTCTCCAAATCTATATTCAAACACCAGTTCAGCTATCTGTTCATTGAGAACCATTTGAAAGTCCTGGAATCCTGCCATATTCCCAGGATGTCTAGGTTTTATTCCAAGTTAAATCCAGACTGCCACAAGGCTGAAATTAACTTGTGTTGGTCCCTGTGTTTACTGTTTGCTTAGTCTATTCCGTAACAGTATATAAGGAGTCCTTCAAGAAACAGCCACAGGAAACCTGCATCTGAATTTATGAGAAGGCTGCTATTCTGGACACCATCCACCACATCAACTCTAGGAAGAACCACTGAAGAAATTTCCTGAGACCAAAGTGCCATGAAATAATGGCAACCCCCAGGAAGTAATCTGTTTTATCTTCAAAAACAGGACATACCATGTAAATTATGATTTTCTTGTGACATTGGCTGTCAGAGATATTAGATGCAAGCTGACAGCTAATATAATCCACAGGATCCTCCAGCCATGCATGGTGTCACAAAATTCATAATTTAGTGTTAATGCTATGAACATTATATTCCTTATCCTACTATTTTGCATGATATTGAGTTTAAAAACTAAGCTTACTTCTCTCCAGATCCTGCTTTTTGAAATTTATACTTTTTATATTAGTGAAATTGATGTTTATAGGCTTCTACAAATCTATTATGGAACAAAGGAAAGAATAAAACAAACCAAAAGTCAGTTACCTGGGCCTGGATCATTTTCTTCTGTTCTTGGAAGACAGCATTCAACTGGGATGGTCTGTCTTTGTATCTTCTGGCCTTCTCTTCAGAAGTCTCAGTTTTCAATCAAGTGTGCCCCAAGAAATGGTGAACCCCAAATCCACTTCCTCCCTCTTCAGGTTATGTTTTTTGCTCCTGAGGAGTCAGAACCTGTGGGTTGAAGAGCAAATTCAATGTAAGTGGTACATTTTTTCCAGGCCCAGATACTGTCACTGCTGCTAGGCACTCATCTTAAAGCAATGCCCCCAATATAGTTAACTATATACCTTTGTTTGGAGCCCCAGCGGATTTTATACCTGTGGCCAATAATGTCTAGGATTCTTAATGTGGTGGAGGTATGCCTTTCCTCTGTGACGTTTCCGTGGAAGGACTGTGAAGGCAGGTAGGAAATGAGACCCACCATAGCACCAGCCTCAGGAGATGGTGAACTCTTAGGCAGATTAGTTTTAGAAAAGAGACAATCAGCAAGGAGAGGACCTGGTCTTTGTTTTCCTTTAAATCATGTGTGCTCCCACACCTCTTCAAAAGTCTTTGTACATACACCCTGTGAAGACATGTACTTCAGTTTGAAAGCCAATGTACTGGGCAAATCATAAGCATTGTCATAAAAACAGTACTGACAATATTTTAGGAGGTTTTAAATACATAAAAAGCTAAAATACACAATAATTTACTGGATAATTAGGTGGTGAATAAAGTTGACGTGCTCTAAGGTTTCTGTAGAATGGAAAAGTGCCAATTAGCAGAAGAATATGACAAAGGTTGCACACTACATGTAATCTCTAGTTACAATTAACACTAGTAAGTCCAGGCACAGTGGCTCACGCCTGTAATCCCAGCACTTTGGGATGCCGAGGCGGGTGGATCACCTGACATCAGGAGTCCGAGACCGGCCTAGCCAACATGGTGAAACCCCATCTCTATAAAAATACAGTTATTCCAGAAGCTGAGGCAGAAGAATTGCTTGAATCCGGGAGATGGAGGTTGCAGTGAGACAAGCCTGTGCCATTGTACTCCAGTCTGGTCAAAAAGAGCGAAACCTCGTCTTAAAAAAAAAAAAAAAAAAAAAAACTAGTAATTGTTTTAAAGTACGTAAGTTCCATGCCAACAAAAGGGGGAAATGTAATAACAAGAAATTCATCCAAAAGAAGAGAATCAAAAACAGAGCAAAAAGAGCAAATACAATGCATTTAGATAGCTGTTTTAAAATAAAATGTACTAAGAAAATTACATTACATTAAGTATTTTATGCTAAGTAAAAACAGAGCATGGATCCCAGTTAATTACATTAAATATAAATGCCTCAAAACTGTCAGAATGGATTAAAAATTAAAATCCAATAACATCTGGGGTTTATTTTATTTTATTTTAATTTTTGAGATGGAGTCTCACTCTGTCGCCCAGGCTGGAGTGCAATGGTGTGATCTCGGCCTCCCGGGTTCAAGCAATTCTCTGCCTTAGCCTCCCGAGTAGCTGAGTTTACAGGCACCTGCTGCAGGGAGCCGAAGGCTCGTGGCCCGTGGGACGTGACCAACTCAGCATTCCACTGGAGGCTACAGATCAAACAGCAAACTGTTTATCATGAATGCAGGATGTCAGCAAACTCATGACTGCTCCGGCTGATGAAGGTTTGCTGGAGGCAATCACTCCCTGGCGCCGTTATCTACTGCGACATCTAGAGAATGCAGTCTTGCAAGACTACTCTGGACCCCTGGCGCCGTTATCTACTGCGACATCTAGAGAATGCAGTCTTGCAAGACTACTCTGGACCCCTGGCGCCGTTATCTACTGCGACATCTAGAGAATGCAGTCTTGCAAGACTACTCTGGACCGAGCAGCTGACCCCTTCTTCCACCTCCCCTTCTCACTGTCTCTTTTGCCTAATAAATATGAAGGGCTGTGTAAAGCTCAGGGCCCTTGTCCCCTAGAGGCAAAGCGCCCCCGATCCCTTCTTCCAAATACACTCTTTTGTCTCATCTTTATTCCCGTGTTCACCCCACTTTGTTTAGTCCACCTAGGTCCGTGCAGGTTACAAATGGCAACCAGAACAGGGACTCCAAGCACGCCCAACTAGCAGCATCCAAACATGGGACTTCAAGGACGTGAATGAAGAAGGTCTGCTGGAGCAGAGGAACTGAAATTGACAAGGCGAAAGGGGACCCTGGGAAGAGTCTGCCGGCAGCAGATATAAGGTCAGTGCCCTAAAGAGGTACTGGGAGCAGTGCTTTAAAGAAGTACTGGGAAGTTTTCTGACTCAGGGTAACAAGGGAAAGAATTTGTCTATTGAAGAAAAACATTATGTGCAGTTGCTTAAAGTTCTGTTGAGACAGTCTGCAGCTCAGGTTAATTCGCAGACACTAACCTCCTGCAGAAGCCACAAAAGGTTATTACACATAACCCATCGTTTCCACAGGCAGGCACTCTTGATGTGGAAAATTGGGATACAGCAGGAGAAGGATTAAAACAGGCTCATCAAAAAGGTCTTAAAGTCGATTCTTCTGTTTTCTCCACTTGGAGTTTAGTTCGTACTGTACTTCTGCCATTATCTCATTATTATTCTGCAGGACAGCAAGCTGAATCTAAAAATCTGAAAGAATTTGTTGACCCACCCACAGCTCCAATTAAAAATAAAAAACAGGAGAGGGAGGATAAAAATTGGCCTATACTGCCTCCTTCAGTTGCAGAAACATCTGTACTGCCTCCTTCGGTGGCAGAAATAGAAACCCTAATACAAAGAATTTAATGCTCTGCTGCCATAGCTGGAGAGCCCTTAGGACATTGTGCTTTTCCTATTTCCATCAGGCCTGATCCAAAAAATCCACAGCAGGTTATTCATGAACACACCCCACTAGAGTTTAAGTTGTTGAAGGAATTAAAAGCAAGAGTGGTAAATGATGGCATACAGAGCCCATTCACCTTAGGATTGCTAGAATCTGTGTTTGGTGCTATGCGTTTTTTACCCTTTGATGTGAGACACTTGGCGCGAACTTGCTTGTCTGCTAGTGCATATCTGACATGGAATTTAAATTGGCAAGAAATGTGTGCAGACCAGGCTAAACAGAACCATGCTGCTGGACACGGAGACATTACAGAGGATATGCTGTTAGGTCATGGCCCTTATTCAGATGTAGAACGTCAAATGGCACTCCCAGATGCTGCTTATCAGCAGTGTACACAGGCCGCTAAATGCGCCTGGGCCACAATCCTGAAGAGGGAGTCCCTGTACAATCCTTTTTACATATCATGCAAGGGTTGCAGGAACCCTATGCACAATTTCTTGCAAGATTACATGAGGCACTGAAGCGTCAGATTCCTCATACTGTGGCTGCAGAAATGCTAACCTTAACTTTAGCTTTTGAGAATGCAAACGTGTACTGTAAACGTGCACTGGCACCAGTGAGGTGTACAAAAAACTTGGGAAATTTTCTCAGAGCTTGTCAGGATGTAGGAACTGAGATTCATCGATCTGCAAAGTTAGCATAAGCAATGGCTAATTTAGCAGTTGACAAATCTAAAAGGAGCCAAGGGTCAAACCCTAAAGTGGGAAAATGTTGTAATTGTGGAAAAACTGGACATCTAAAAAAGGAATGCCGCCAGATCTCAGGACAGAAAGGATATTACAATGCAGTTCACTCCCTAGCAGAAAAAACAGCAGGACTCTGTACTCGCCATAACAAAGGAAATCACTGGGCTACCCAGTGCTGCTCAAAATTTCATCAGAATGGCACCCCATTGGTAAATGAGATGGGGGCCTGCACCCGGGCCCCTCAAACAATGAGGGCATTCCCAATGCAGACCACAACCCCACTTCAGGGATGGGTTCCTGGAGGCACATTGATTCCCTCAACCCAGGAACACCAGGAAGTGCAGGATTAGATCTACCCACCAGAGAAAGAATCACATTAGTTAGGGGAGACAAACCTATTTGGGTATTTGGGGACCTTTACCGACAGGATACACAGGACTAATTTTAGGTAAAAGCTGCCTTAACTTGCAAGGCATCACTGTAGTCCTAGGAATGACTGACTCCGATTATGAAGGAGAAATTCAAGTAGTTTTAATGTCACAAAATCTTTGGGTTTTTGAACTGGGAGAATATATTGCTCAATTATTGCTTATTCCCTGTGAATTACACCCTTCCCCATGAAAAGAGAAATGAGGAAATAAAGGGTTTGGGAGCACAACTACATGGGAAATCTATCTTTCCCAACCCATAGCCTCTAATAGACCTACCTGTGTAGTACACATTAAAGGAAAGAAATTTTATGGGCTTATGGACATGGGAGCTGATGTGTCAGTCATATCTATAGGATGGGCACATCAAACATTACAACGCATGTTGAAAAAACAAAAAGGGGGTATAGGAGGCCAACTACCACCTCAATCAAAACTACATTTAGCCTTATTTACTTTAAATTTTCTGACTCCCGGTATGGATGGTAAGACTCCAGCAGAAAGACATTGGCAAGTGTTAGAGGAAAAAAGCAAAGTTTATCTGAAAGTGTTATGGAAATCCCCAGAAGGACAACAATGGAAAGGCCCGGTAGATTTACTGACCTGGGGAAGAGGGTATGCTTGTGTGTTTACAGGAGATGGGACAAGCCATGTGGGTGCCCTCAAGGTGCATGCGACCATGGAATGGGAGACTGGAGGAACCCAGGGTGGCCAACCATGGGCCCAGTCCCTCCTGTACGAGCTATGAGTCAGCTGAGCCTGAGTGCAAAGATGGAGAGAAGGCCAACCAGAGTCATGATGACATCAACCCCCATAACCTGGGGACAACTCAAGAAAACCACACAGGAAGCTGAGAAACTACTGGAGTGTCAGGGACAGGCAAAACCCCTGATTCCATGCTCTTGGCCATGTTAGCCATAATGTCCTGTGCACTACGTTTTCCCTGTGCACAGGCAAAAACATATTGGGCATATGTTCCCAATCCCCCAGCAGTATGGCCTATACTTTGGAGCTCACTCCTCCTGAGATTTATCACGATCAGGGAGAGTGGGCTCCAGGACCCCTAACTCCCCGTGACATAGAAAAGTTAGACTCTCAGAACAATGTCATTAATTATACCACTCCACTGGAAGGACTCCCTTTGTTTATCACCACAAAGACGTCGCTCAGCCATAGCTGTCTTGCAATTCAAGCTCAAACATGGTTGAGTCACTATGGAAAAATTATGTACTTATTAGGTCTTGGTTCTATTAATGTAACTGGTGTGCTAACCAATCATTCCCAGTCCAGTCACCCTAATTGTGCTGATTATACAGAATGGATTCCATTCAATAGTTCCTACCCCACTCTGTGGACCCAGTGTCTTGATCCACTGGCTAGTAAACAATATATGTCAACTGAAGACACTGTGGATTGGGAACCTAAAGGTCAATTAGATGGAAAAGGTGAAAGTCAGAAATCATGGCACAAACTTCACTGGCATTGGCGGCAAGCTTTTAATGCTTCTTCTTTATACAACAGCAGAATCCAATCCCAGTCTGCTGCTCAGATTGCTTGGCATGGAGCAGGCTTTAGCCCACCTCTTCCTCAGTTGCATTATCTGGGGAGGAAAGGACCAATTCAAGAAACTATATGGAAGGCAGCACTCCCATTTATGAATGGCAACATCTGGATTGGAACACTGTCTAATAATAGCAATAGTAAGCAACACAGTCTTAATGTTGCATTTGTAAAGAATATCACCACTCAGTTTACAGTTTGTGTTTTTAATCCTTATGCCTTTTTGGCAGCTAAGAAGAACCAGCTTCAGGTAAACAATACCCAATTGACCTGTAAATCTTGCCAGTTATATCACACTGCATTAATCATAGCACATTACGAACACATAATATCTCTACTTTGATAATGTTGGGTTGCATCCCTGGGCTATGGATTCTTGTTAATCTGTCTGAGCCTTGGGCTGCCACACCTGCTTTGCATTTTTGTAACACTTCTTCTAACTCAGCTTACTCACTGTGTCCATAGAGCCTTAGGCATAATTTTTGCTATTGTTTCCTTGGTCAAACTAATAACTTCTGTTGTGATATCTTCTGTAACTCTGCATAATTCTATTCAAACATCTCAGTAGGTGGAGAACTGGACACGCACAGCTGACCAAGCGAGGCTACTTCAGAATAAAATTAACACTGAGTTACAAACTGAAGTGGCAATGTTGAAATCCATGGTTCTGTGGTTAGGAGAACAGGTACAAAGCTTGCAGTTGCAGCAGCAATTGCGTCATCATTTTAATCACATTCATATTTGCGTAACTAACTCAGAATATAACCAAAGTGAGTATCCGTGGGACCTTGTGAAAGCCCATTTGCAAGGAGCTTTCACATCCAACATCACCTTTGATATTGGTGAATTACAAAACAAAATTATTGATTTAAATAGGCAAACTCAAGAATTTCAGCCTTCTTTAGAAGACTGGACCGAATTCCAGGAAGGCCTGGAGAGCCTCAACCCTTGGACCTATCTAAGGCACCACATTAACATCTTATATGTAGTTCTTGGAATAATGTTGTTTTGTCTCTGTCTTCGGTTTATAGTCTGTAAAATCGGATGGACCACCAATTGGAGAATGAGAGCCTCCCAGCCCAGCCTTACATTCTTTCAATTAATACATAAACAGAAAGGGGGATATGCAGGGAGCCAAAGGCCTGTGGGACGTGACCAACTCAGCATTCTGCTGGAGGCTATATGATCAAACAGCAAACTGTTTATCATGAATACAGGATGTGAGCAAACTCAGGACTGCTCCTGCCAACATAAGGTTTGCTGGAGGCAATCACTCCCTGGCACCGAGGTTATCTACTGCGACATCTAGAGAATGCAGTCTTGCAAGCCTACTCTGAACTGAGCAGCCGACCCCTTCTTCCACCCCCCCACCCTCCTATCTCTTTTGCCTAATAAATACGGAGGGCTGTGTAAAGCTCAGGGCCCTTGTCCACTAGAGGTAAGGTGCTCCCTGACCCCTTCTCCCAAATATACTCTTTTGTCTCCTGTCTTTATTCCCACGTTCACCCCCATTTGTGCAGTCCCATGGGTCCATGTGGGTTACGGCCCGCCACCGCGCCTGGCTGATTTTTGTATTTTTAGTAGAGATCGGATTTCAGCATCTTGGTCAGGCTGGCCTTCAACTCCGGATCTCATCACACACCCGCCTCAGCCTCCCCACATGCGGTTATTATAGTTGATATGTCTGAACCAAAATGATATGGGAAGCTTGAGAATAAAAGGTTGGAGACAATATGCCACAGAGAGAGTAACCAAAGATAATCTGTTATAACTATATCTCAGACAAAACTGACCAGAAATCCTAAAGAATTAACAGAGAGAAAGAGAAACAATGCTCACTGAAAAGAGGTGAAATTTGGCTCTTCATTCATAGAAATACACCATATGTATACCCCTAACAACAGTCTTGAAATGTATACAGCAAAAAATAGAACCAAAAACAAGAAATAGAAAATTCAGACTAAAGACTTTAACAGACCTTTCCTAGTAACTGACAGAACAGACCATCAACAAACAAAATAAAATTTATAAATGAGAAAGAAATGAATCTTTTATCTGAGGAATGTGACTCCCTTTAAATTATCAGGTCTAGAGAGGCATTAAAATGTGACAGCAGTCTTTCTGATAGGGGTTCCCCTGAAAAAAAGAAAAAAGAAAAAATTAAAAACTAAAAAAAAAATTTAATGTGACAATAGTCACATCTCATTTCCCCCTCAAGCTAAATAATTATCTCTTAAAGCCACTTGCTATGTAGGCTCTAGACTAACTCACACTGAGTAGCCATAAAATGCCATTCACTGGACATCCTAACTCATAAAACCCCATAGTTAACAATGTACAGCCAATTGTTAATTGATATTATTTCTGTAAACCAATGAGAATTCTTGCCAAACAACTTTATGTCAGCTCACGGTTTGTTCCCTTTTGACTTTAAAACCTGTTTCTAACAAAATCCTAACAGAGCACTTAACCAAGGCAACCTGAAAGTATTTTCCCAGGCAGCTGTCCTCATTTTGGCTCAAGTAAACTCTTTAAAATTGTATTTTGTGCAGTTTCCTCTTTTAGGCTGACATAAACGATATCATTTAGAAGAACTCGAATATATTTTTAAAATTAGATTTACTGAGATAAATTTTAACAGTTTTAAATAAATGCAAAGATGTACTATAAAGATGGGCTGGAAAACAAAGCATTTTAAAAATGTCAAGTCTCCCAAATCTACAGATTCAATGAAATCACAGTCACAATCCCAAACTGATACTGAAAAGTTTAAATAGCTATAAACTTTTTTTTAAAGTTTGAAAAAAAAGTTAGAAGACTTGCCATATCAGTTATGAGGACTTATAAAGCTACTTTAATTAGGACAGCACAATATTAGTACAATAACAGGCAAATAGGACAAAGGAACAGAATAAAATCCTTATAAGCAGAATTAAGCACATATAGAGACTCAATGGCAATGATAGCACTACAGGGAAGTAGATAAAAGCTGTCTTTTCAATAAATGGAACTAAGGGCGCCGTGGCTCACGCCTGTAATCCTAGCACTTTGGGAAGCTGAGGAAGGTGTGGGGGAAAGAGAGATCAGACTGTTACTGTGTCTATATAGAAAGAGGAAGACATAAGAAACTCCATTTTAATCTGTACAAAGAAAAGTTCCTCTGTCTTGAGATACTGTTAATCTGTAACCCTAGCCCCAACCCTGTGCTCAGAAACGTGTGCTGTGTTGGCTCAAGGTTTAATGGATTTAGGGCTGTGCAGGACGTGCTTTGTTAAAATGTGTTTGCAGGCAGTATGCTTGGTAAAAGTCATCACCATTCTCCAGTCTCAAGTACCCAGGGACACAATGCACTGCGGAAGGCCGCAGGGACCTCTGCCCAAGAAAGCCTGGGTATTGTCCAAGGTTTCCTCCCACTGATACAGCCTGAGATATGGTCTCGTGGGAAGGGAAAAACCTGACCATCTCCCAGCCCAACACTCGTAAAGGGTCTGTGCTGAGGAGGATTAGTGAAAGAGGAAGACCTCTTTACAGTTAAAATAAGAGAAAGCCATCTGTCTCCTGCTCCTCCCTGGGAATGGAATGTCCCGGTATAAAACCCAATCATACATTCTATTTACTAAGATAGGAGAAAACCACCTTATAACTAAAGGTGAGACATACTGGCGGCAATACTACTCTTTACTACACTAAGATGTCTGTGTAAAGTCAAACATAAATCTGGCCTACGTACACATCAAGGCACAGGACCTTTCCTTAAACTTATTTATAACACAGAGTCCTTTACTCACATGTTTTCCTACTGACCCTCTCCCCACCATTACCCTATAGTCCTGCCACACCCCCCTCACCAAGATGGTAAAAATAGTAATCAATAAATACTAACAAAACTCAGAGACCAGTGCCGGTGTGGGTCCCCCATATGCTGAACACCAGTCCCCTGGGCCCACTTTTCTTCCTCTGTACTTTCTCTCTGTGTCTGATTTCTTTTCTCAGTCTCTCATTTCCACCTTGCAAAAAATACCCACAGGTGTGGAGGGGCAGGCCCCCTTCAGGCAGGTGGACCACTTGAGCCAGAGTTGGAGACCAGCCTGGCCATCATGGTGAAACCCCATCTCTACTAAAAATACAAAAATTAGCCAGGCAAGGTGGCACCTGCTGGTAATTCCAGCTACTCGGGAGGCCGTGGCACAAGAATCACTTGAGCCCAGAAGGCAGAGGTTGCAGTTGAGCCAAGCACGCCACTACACTCCAGCCTGGGCGACGAGAGCAAGACTCTATCTAAAAAAATTAAAAAAAAAAAAAAAAATCAATAAATGGTACTGGGGATGGGGACAGAAAGTTAAAACCCCCCTCACAACATACACAAAAACCATTTTAGAATCAACTGTCAATTTCAATGGTAGAAACATATCAATAAAGCTTTAAAGAACATTAATATAGGAGAATCTCTCAATGTTATTAGGGTATGGCCAGATATTTTAAAGAGGCCACATAAAGCACCCTATAAAGCAAACTATATCCTGCTAGGGGAACTGTAAGTGGTACAACCACTTTAGAAAACAGTTTGACATCTATTTAGACGGAGTTTATACACACTCTATGAAGCAGCAATTTTCCTCCGAGGTGCACATCTAGATATACATCTCTGCCTCCCCCATATGAGAGCACATATGAACCAAAAGACATTTACACAAATTTTCACACATGCATTATTCTTAATAATACAAGCTTTAGGTAATACAAATGTAATTAATAATAGAAAAAACTGCTATATTTTACATAATGGAATGTGATAGAAAACCTATTATACCTTTGGTCCAGCCTGCAAGAATGCTTTTTACATTTTTGAAAGACTGTAAAACAAAAAGCAAATTAGCATATGCAAGAGACCATATGTAGCCTGCAAGCCCTAAAATATTTACTGTAAATTCGCCTGATCCTTGTCATTGAGCAAAGAAAATATACTCAGATGCAACAGGAAAGACCCTCACCAATAATGAGCAAAAGAAGGCTGACACAAAAAAAGAGTGATGTACAATTCCACTGATATACAGAGTTTAAAATAGGCAAAACTGTATTAACTACAATGATAAATAATGATTAATTATATAAAGAAAAGCCTAAAATACTTTTCGGTGTGAGAATGGAAAAAGACTCACAGAACACCACTGGTGTGCTGACCATATTCTATTTCTTGACCTGGGCAATGACTGCTTATACATATATTGCCTCCATGATAATTAAATTGTACATTTAAAATATATAAATGTAGAAAAATTAACAAAGTAAAGGAAGAGATCAACCATACCAAACAGTTTACCTCCAGGAAAGGTGTTAACTCCAGACAACACAACGGGTGAATTTTACAGGTGGGTAATAAAACAAGAACGTCCACTAACACCCTATTTTCCTACTTTATACTGGAAAGTTGAGCCAATGCATTAAGATAAGAATGAATTATAAGCATTACAAAGTAAGACAGAAAATTAATGTTATTTTCAGGCGATATCATCACGAACATGGAAAAAGAGATTCAAGAAATTACATATTTAAAAAAGAAAATGCTCCCTCAGAAACTCCCAGGCAGATTTTCACATACATAGTTGGCTAGAATTGCACCATACGCCTAAGCTCATTTCCATGTCAAACCTATCACTAGCAATGGCAATTGGAACCAGCAAGATTGGCTAAGACCAACAAGGCCTTACTAAGAAACTGGGATTTGGGTCGCCTTGCCACAGGGATGAATACTTCACGAAATGGAGATTCTGTTAAGAAAGTGTGAATATAAGGCGGGCAAGCAACACTCACTATATATTAAGAAGTGAAGGCCGGGCGCGGTGGCTCACGCCTGTAATCCCAGCACTTTGGAAAGCCAAGGTGGGCGGATCACCTGAGGTCAGGAGTTCGAGACCAACCTGCCCAACGTGGTAAAACCCTGTCTCTACTAAAAATACAAAAACTAGCCGGGCGTGGTGGCGTGGGCCTGTAGTCCCAGCTACTCAGGAGGCTGAGGCAGGAGAATCGCTTGAACCCGGGAGGCGGAGATTGCAGTGAGCCGAGATCGCGCCATTGCACTCCAGTCTGGGAGACAAAAGTGAAACTCCGTCTCAAAAAATAAAAAAAATAAATAAAAAATAAAAGAAGTGAATGCAGAGGTTGGCAACATTTTCGATTTTGCCGGCCACGAGGTCTCTGTCACAACAACTCAACCGCTGCCTTTGCAGCCATAGACAATATATAATCGGAGGGTATGACTGAACTTGACCCCCCGATCTGTAAATAGCCACCCCAAGGATCAGAAGAGTAGATATATGGTTTCGAACTAATGCTGGGGGCTGTGTCGCCTTTTGCCCCAGTAACCGAGGTTCGAACCTCAACCCAGGACCCAGGGCTCCAAAGTCTCGAAAGCTTCAGCCCTCACAAGCCTTTGTACCACAGACACTGGCCCCATGCCTCTTACTCATCCGAACCACGGACCAGACACTCTACAGCGATGGACATCCTCCCAGACTCCAACATCACTGAGTTCCAAATTAAATCCTGAACCCGAAGCAGACGCCGCATCGATCCTAATCGCCACCTCCATCCTTTACAAGCAGAGTGATCCATACCTTGACAGTTAGGACACGGCCGTTGATCACTACAGACCCTTAGTCACTGTACTCACACCAAAGGCACGCGGACCACAGACAGGGGGATCACAGACTCCCACCAGGTACCTCCCAAATGCCTATACCCCGGCGCTCCCCAGTCTTCCTGCCAAAAACTATGTGGTCCAGGGTACACCACGTCCTCAGATCTCCCAAACCTTCCACTGAGACAAAACCTGAACTAGGACAAAAAACTTTCAGGGACAAAACCACACACTGACCTCTATTTTCTCCAGATACACAAGAAGGGCCTCAACGTTACACTTCCGTAAACTGCTCCTACTTCTGGAGTCCTCGCACGGGTTTATGGTCCACCTACGGCGGCCGAGGAGAACCTAAAATGTTTAAAAGAGCAAGGACAAGCGCATTTACGGCATTTCCTACTCTGTAAAATGGCCGCGCCCATAGCCGTGGCTCCTGACGGCAGCCATGTTTGAAAATTGGACGCACAGAAGGCAGTGGCAGGTTTTTGAGCCAGGAGCCAGGGAAGAAGAGAAGTCACTGAAATCGCCTCGTTTCCTGGCACTTAAAGTCTTGCGAAAGGGGGCAGATTTTCAGAGACTCAGGCTTTATCAGGCAAATATGGGGCAAGCTAAATTGCCTTTAGCGCTTTTCCATCCACTTTGTTAAATTTAAAAAAAAAGGTTTTGAAAAAGACAAGTAACAGTGCAGCCAGGTGTAGGTATCCCAGAGAATGAATTGGAAATGGAAAAGGTAACAGATCAGGTAGAAAGGGAAAAGGCAACACATCAGGTAGGCAGACACCCACGGGAAAGCGTCTGGCGAAAATTAGCTTGCAGGAAGCGGTTTTTAAGAACAGAAAAATAGCAGGTATTCGGGGGGGCGGGTGGTGAAGAAAGAAAAAAATTATAATTTTTTTTGAGACGGAGTCTTGCTCTGTCGCCAGGCTGGAGTGCAGTGGCGAGATCTGGGCTCACTGCAACCTCTGCCTCCCTGGTTCAAGCGATTCTCCTGCCTTAGCCTCCCAAGTAGCTGGGACTACAGGCACGCGCCACCACGCCCAGCTAATTTTTGTATTTTTAGTAGAGACTGGCTTTCACCATGTTGGCCAAGATGATCTCGACCTCCTGACCTCGTGATCTGCCTGTCTCGGCCTCCCAAAGTGCTGGGATTACAGGTGTGAGCCACCGCGCCTGGCCTCGAAAAAATGATTATTATTTACAAAAAAGAAGAAGAAGAAGGAGGAAGAGGAGGAGGAGAAGGAAGAGAAAAGAGGAGAAAAGAAGAGAAAAGAGGAGAGGAGAGGAGAGAAAAGAGATTTTGAGAATGAATTACGATGTGAGCCTGGCCACGACAGACTAAAGGAATTGGGCCTCCTAGAAAGGCCACTTTTAGTAAAGGTGCCAATGGGAAGAGCAGAGCCAGAATTGAGAGTATAAAAATATTGTTAAGAGTTTTTGACAAAAGTGCCAAGACAATTCAATAAGAATAGTCTTTTCAACAAGCGGCACTGGGATAATTGGATATCCACATCCAGAAAAATGAGTTAGGACCCTCAAACCATACACAAAAGTTAACTCAAAATAGATCATAGATCTAAGTTTAAGAGAAAGTATAAAACTTAGAGAAGGAAAAGGGAGATAATCCTCATGGACGTGAGTTAATTCTGAGAGGAGAGTAAAGGATGACCCACAAAACAAAATAAAATTAATAAAGTGGACTTGATTTTTTTTTAAGTTTGTGCTTCTAAACACAACATTTAAGAAAGTGAAGTGGGGCACGGTGGCTCACACCTGTAATCCCAGCACTTTGGGAGGCCGAGGCAGGCGGATCATCTGAGGTCAGGAGTTCCAGACCAGCCTGGCCAACAAAGCGAAACCAGTCTCTACTAAAAATACAAAAATTACCCGGACGCGGTGGCGCGCGCCTGTAATCCCAGCTACTCGGGAGCCTGAGGCAGGAGAATCGCTTGAATCCGGGAGGCGGAGGTTGCAGTAAGCCGAGATCGCGCCACTGCACCCCAGCCTGGGCGACAGAGCAAGACTCCTCGGTAAAGACACCACTTCGTCACCCTGAATTACTCTGATTTTTATGGGTACAATGAGAATAGTGGACCTAGGAAGAAAAAGTTTTTAAATAGAAACCTTCAGGACAGATTTGGACTTGAAAGACTGACAGGAAGTGTTTCCAGCATCCAGTTAGTCTCAAAGCAACCACTAACCTTCAACTGCACACCTGAAAGCCTCCAGCCTCATTACATTCTCAAACACAGACAAGCCCCGTCTTCCTCTAAATAAAATTGCCTTCAAATTCAATTTAAAACTTACCACAGAGGCACTCCTTTGACACTCCTCCCCCTAGACCTTTCATTCACGCCACTCCTCTTCCTAGCTCGGGCTTCTCTGTATCTGAGCCCCATATTAAATTGCAAATCTGAGCAAAAAACAGCATTCACTGAGACACACTTTCCCCAGTTTTCTATTACTGAGACTCATGAAAAGTGAACATATAGACCTCAAGCTCTGTCCGTGGGACCCTCAGTCATTAAACTCTTAAAACTAAGCCTTAACCTTTGACATCCCAAGGGTCTCTTTCTCACACCCATATTCCTCGGTGACTAAACTGAAATAAAACCCCTGAACACGGACATTCACATGCGTTTCCACTTCATGGTCGTCCCCACAAGCTCCCCATCCGGATTCACACGCAGCATCAGGCTTTCAAGGCTACAGTAGCAGCTGCCAAAGGCTGAACACGTATCAGAACCTACTTCCGATTCTGGAATTCTGGTGCTGCAACCCCATCCTTCGCCATCTCTAAGAACACCGAGAGACTGGGAGGCGGGCTTCCGGAGAGGGATATGGGACATTTCCCAAAGTCCAGGTTCTGGCTTTGAACATTTTATATGAGGTAACATAGCTGTTTTACCTCATAGAGCATATTATGTCATTTCTGATGGGAGTGACCGTAGATTATTAGTGGAGTGATAGACACGCACATCAACAGAATAGAGTCAAGAAATGGACACAAGAACAGGCAACTGATTTTTACAAATGTTCAAAATCAATTTAATGGAAAGAGGACAGTGTTTTCAATACTGTTGAATCAACTGGGCAACCATAGGCTGAACTTTAAATTAACCCTTACCCTATATACAAAGATGAATTTAAATGGATATTGCTAAATATTAAAAAGCAAAACTGGCTGGGCGTGGTGTCTCACGCCTGCAATCCCAGCACTTTGGGAGGCTGAGGTGGCCAGATCACGAGGTCAGGAGATCAAGACCATCTTGGCCAACATGGTGAAACCCCGTCTCTACTAAAAATACAAAAATTAGCTGAGCATGCCGGTGCGTGCCTGTAATCCTAGCTACTTGGGAGGCTGAGGCAGGAGAATCACCTAAACCCAGGAGGCGGAGGTTGCAGTGAGCCAAGATCATGCCATTGAACTCCAGCCTGGGTGAGAGAGTGAGACTCTGTCTCAAAAAAAAAAAAAAAAAAAAAAAAAAAAAGAAGCAAAACTACATTATTTTGTCAAAGGAAGTGGAAAAAGAATTATCAATTACAGTAAGGAAGGAATACTTAGATGTAATGCCAAAACCCCACAATCCATTAAAAAAAAAAAGGCTGGGTGCAATGGCTCACACCTGTAATCCCAGCACTTTGGGAGGCCATGGTGGACAGATCACCTGAGGTCAGGAGTTTGAGCCCAGTTTGGCCAACACGGTGAAACCCCAATCTCTACAAAAGTACAAAAATTAGTGGGACATGATGGCAGGTGCCTGTAATCCCAGCTACTCGGGAGGCTGAGGCAGAAGAATCACTTGAACCTGGGAGGCAGAGGTTGCAGTGAGCCGAGATCATGCCATTGCACTCCAGCCTGGGCAAGACAGCAAGATTCCATCTCAAAAAAAAAAGTTGGACTTCATCATAATTAAAATCTTTTTCTCTGAGAGAAAAAAAGAAAGAACCACATCTATGGAAAAATATTTGCAAGTGATATAAAACCTTTATCCAGCTGGATAAAATCTTTATCCAGCATTAATAAACAATGCTCTAAGCAGCGCACAGTGGCAAATGCCTGCAGTCCCAGCTACTCTGGAGGCTGGGACAGAAAACTTCTCAAGACCAGGAGTTTGAGACTGTAGTGTGCTATAATGGTGCCTGTGAATAGCCACTGCACTCCAGCCTGAGCAACATAGTGAGACCTTGTCTCTTAAAAAAAAAAAAAAAAAAGCCTTTAGGGAGGTGCAAATGGAAGGCCACATACAATTGGTATGTTTGTATTCATACCAATACACACACAATAGAATAGGTAAAATAAAACATTCCAGTCCTGCGTGGTGGCTCACGCCTGTAATCCCAGCACTTCAGGAGGCTGAGGCGGGTGGATCACAAGGTCAGGAGTTCGAGACCAGCCTGGCCAAGATGATGAAACCCCGTCACTACTAAAAATACAAAAATTAGCCAGGCGCAGTGGCAGGCACCTGTAATCCCAGCTACTCAGGAGGCTGAAGCAGGAGAATCACTTGAACCCCGGAGGCAGAGGGTGCAGCAAGCCAAGATCGTGCCACTGCACTCTAGCCTGGTCAACAGAGCAAGACTACATCTCAAAACAAAACAATACAAAACAAAAAAAATACTGACAGCATCAAGTGGAAGAATGTGGAGCAACTGAACCTTTCTATATATTGTTGGTGAGCAATGAAACACCACTCTGGTTAGTATCTTACAAAGGTAAACATACACTTACCTTATGACCCATGAATCATACTCTGCAGTAATTATCCTAGAGAAGTAAAAAATTGTGCTCACACAAAGCCTGTGTGTACAAATGTTCATAGGATTTTTATTTGTAACAGTAAGAAAAACCGGGAACAAAACTAATGTCCTTCAGTGGGTGAATAAACAAATAGTGGTATATTCGTATCATAGATTATTAGTGGCCAATAAAAACAGAACAATGATATGCAGAACAACTTGGATGGATTTCAGGTTAATCTGCTTTAGTTGAAATAGCCAATACCAAAAGGGTACATGCTGTATGATTCCATTTTTATAACATGCTACTAATGACAAAACTAAAGATGAAAAGATTTCTGATTGCCAAGGGTTAGGGCTGAGGAGAGGTTGTGACTATAAACAAGGAGCATGAGGGAGTTTGCATTGATGCAACATTCTGAATCTCGATTACGGTGGTGGTGACATGAATCAATATATGTGTTAAGATTTCTTAAAGCTACATATAAAAAACAAACAAAAATGCATGCATGTTAAAACTGGTGATTTCCAAATAAATTCTGTAGTTAACAGTATTGTAACAATTTCACTTTCCTGTATTTGGTAATGAACTATGCTTATGTAAGTTGTTATCTTTGGAAGAAGCTGGGTTAAGGGCAAGAACTCTGGAATATTTTGGTAAGATTTTGTGAATCTAAACTTATTTCAAAATAAAAACTTACAAAAACATCTTATTTATATTAATTTCATAACACCTGATGTTACTTATAAACTTAAACATATTCAAGTATGGTCAATTACACTTATGAACTGAATATACTGTATCCAGTTTCATTCTGAAGTACTTTAGTTATTCTGAAATAACACAAACTTAGAACCAAAGAAATGCAGGAGCTAATCATATAATAAAATGAGGCAGGCATAAAATACTCCGGTATTATATACAATATTAAATTTTAGTTCGTGATTAGAGGAAGTCACAATTTAAAATGTATAAAATCAGTGACAAGGCAACTAGGAATATGGCTCAAGCTATCCTGTTCCCAAATGCACATGAGGCATATTATCTGTTAAGGTTAGAATTGTGACAGAAAGCTCTCATCCATCATTTTGCCAAGGCTTCTTTCCTTCATTAAATTCTCTGATATTTTCCTAAAAGTCTTCTACATTGAATGTTTTCATAAGTTTTTTCTGCATTATTTCCTAGCACACGATGAGGCAAAACATTTTACTGAAAACCCTGCCACAGGGGTTTGCCAGAGGAAAGTATTTCTCCAGTGTGAACTCTCTCAATCTGTTGAAGTTTTATTTTTGGGCAAAGACGTTCCTATAATTATTACATTTCCACGAATTAGTAGTTTATTCATGATCTATGATCACTTCTGAGGGGGTTTATCTTCCCACCAAAGGCTTTTATAGTCTGCCACATTCATAGGATTTTTCTCAGTATACAATTTTTAGACATAATGTCCTAAAATATTTTCTCAAATGTTTTGTACATGTTTTCTCTGACACAAAACATGAAGTAACTGATCACTAAATAAACAACCATGTAGTCTGCATTCATGAAATTACTCTTCTTTGCAGATATCTTAAGGGCCTACATCTGGCAAGAGGCTTTCCCAAAATGACTACCTGTGAATTCTCCTGTGTTTAACAAGGATAGACAAGTGCGCAAAAGCTTTCCCACAATCACTACATCCATAGGGCCTCTCTCCTGTATGTTTTCTTTGATGAACATTGAGCCCTGATTTTGTAGTGAAGGCTTTCCCGCAGTCACTGCATTTGTACGGTTTCTCTCCTGTGTGAATTCTCTGATGTGTAATAAGATCATTTTTGCGCAAAGAGAATTTTCCACATTCAGTACATGCAAAGGAAGTCTTTCCTGTGTGAAATCGCTGATGTTGTATGAGGCATGTCTTCTTCCTGAAGGTTTTATCACATTCATTGCATTTGTATGGCTTCTCTCCAGTATGAGTTTGCTGATGTATACTGAGAGTACTCTTCATGGTGAAGCCCTTTCCACATTCATTGCATATATAAGGTTTCTCCCCAGTATGAGTTCGCTGATGTGCAATGAGCATGCTTTTCCCAGTTAAGCCTTTGCCACATTCACTGCATACATAGGGTTTCTCTCCTGTATGAGTGCGCCGATGTACATTGAGATGACTCTTCTCAGTGAAGCCTTTTCCACACTCATTGCAAATATAAGGTTTCTCTCCTGTATGAGTTCGTTGATGTCCCATTAGCCGGATCTTTGCTGGAAAGCCTTTTCCACACTCACCACATACATAGGGTTTTTCTCCAGTATGAGTTCGCTGATGCACAATAAGGCGGCTCTTCACAGTGAAGCCTTTTCCACAATCATTGCATATATATGGCTTCTCTGCAGTATGAGTTCGCTGATGTACAATGAGGTCACTCTTCATGGTGAAACCTTTTCGACATTCGGTGCATACATAGGGTTTCTCTCCAGTATGTGTTCGCTGATGTCTGATGAGTGGGCTCTTCAAAGCGAAGCCCTTTCCACACTCATTGCATTTATAAGGTTTCTCTCCAGTATGAGTTCGTTGATGTACCATGAGACAGTGCTTCATTGAAAAGCCTTTTCCACATTCACTACATGTATATAATTTCTCTCCTGTATGAGTTTGCTGATGTGTGATAAGACTGTTCTTCAAGGTGAAGCCTTTCCCACATTTATTGCATATAAAGGGTTTCTCACCAGTATGAGTTCGATGATGTGCAGTAAGACGCCTCTTCTCAATGAAGCCTTTTCCACATTCACTACATATATAAGGTTTTTCTCCTGTATGAGTTTTCTGATGTGTAGTGAGACTGAACTTTGTAGAGAAGGCCTTCCCACATACACTGCATCCATGGGGTTTCTCTCCTGTATGAGTTCGTTGATGATAAATGAGCCGACACTTCTTGATGAAGGCTTTCCCACATTGGCTACATGTGTAAGGTTTCCCTCCCATATGAGTTTTCTGATGTATATTGAGCTGTGATTTCTTGAGGAAGGTTTTGTCACATTCAGTGCATTCATAATGTTTCAGTTCTGTATGAGTTCTCTGATGGTCCATTAGTCTGGATTTTCTGGAGAAAGCTTTCCCACACATACTGCATACATGAGGTTTTTCTCCAGTGTGAACTCTCTGATGATCAATAAACTGAGACAACTTGAGGAAGGCTTTCCCACATTCACTGCATACATGGGCATTCTCTATGTTGTGAGTTCTCTGTTGCTTAATGAACTGGGACTTATTAATAGGTTTTGCAATTGCAGGAAACTTCATTTCAGTATAAAATTGTTTATGGTTAGCATGAAAAAGGGATTTCCCATCTCTATTAAACTCAGCAGAGTTCTTTAGGCCAGAGCTCCTTTTCTGGTTTTCAAAACTTAAATTTGATTTTAAAGGTTTTTCATGTAAGTCAAACGTATCACAATCTTGCTTCAGCAGGAAATGACCTTTGTTCTGATTAACAATATTTCCAAACATATTCTGTTCATGGCACTGTTTCACACTCTTCTGAATACTTTGATTTTGCAAGTGATGCTGCAGAGGATCATCAATTTTCCTGATTTCTAGGAAAGAAGAGAACAGTCAATCACTCCATCATCTTGTTTTGAAATAAACTATTTAAACTATTTTTTAAAACTGCCTTGGTGTGAGGTGACTCTTTAGTGAAAACCCTATTTTATTTATTTATTTTTTTGTGAGCAATAAAGCTTTTTAATCACCTGGGTGCAGGCGGACTGAGTCCGAAAAAGGAGTCAGAAAAGGGTGATAAGGGGAGGGCAGTTTTATAGCATTTGGGTAGGTAGTGGAAAATTACAGCTAAAGGGGGTTGAAAACCCTATTTTAGTATAAAGGAAACTCCATGTATAAATATCCCTCATCTCTTACACATTGGGAGAGATGTGTAAGATTCCTTTTATCTCTTACACATAAAGGAAATTCCATGTATAAATATCCTTCATTTCTTACAAATAAAACACAATAATATAAACACACCGAAAAGTAAAAGCAACTGTACAAACAAGGCTAGATAATTCACAATGTATATAGATTTGGCTGCTTTCTAAATAGGTCTTTATACAATACACACATAGTCAAATATAAACAGGTCACTTTTTGCAGGGAACCCCAAAATTTGGCAGGATACCAGACCACAGAAATAAAGAGAAATATCAGACCACACAGGTTGATCCCAAATGACAAAGGCTGTATTAATTTATTCTACAAATGTTTGCTGAATGACATCTATGTGTAAGTCACTATGCTCATGTTTGGGATATACAAACACCTTCCTTTTTTTTTTTTTTTTTTTTTGAGACAGGGTCTCTGTCACCAAGGCTGGAGTGCAGTGGCACAATCTCAGCTTACTTGCAACTATAACCTCTCCCTCCCAGGCTCAAGTGATCCTCCCACCTCAGCCTCTTGATTAGCTGGGACCACAGGCATGTGCCACCACACCCAGCTAATTTTTTGTATTTTTGGTAGAGATGGGTTTTTGCTGTGTTATCTAGGCTGGTCTCACAAGCTCAAGAAGATCCACCTCCCTCCGCCTCCCAAAGTGCTGGGATTACAGACATGAGCCACTGCACTCAGCCAATTTTCACGAAGGTTTAATTTTAGTTAGGAAAAAATGAAATCACAAGGAAGCAAAAAAATAAAGAAGGTAATTGCATTTTGTGAAATGTGGTTAATGGAACAATGGAGATATAAGAGGTGGAGAAAATCAAGATATAGTTAAAGAAATGACAAGGTTCACTAATAGGTTCAATGGGACGAGTGAAAGAGGGTTAATGGAAGTGAGGACTCAAAGATTATTCCAAAAATTATATGGTTTCAGGCTGGATACAGTGGCTCACACCTGTAGTCCCAGCACTTTGGGAGGACAAAGCGGGTAGATCACATGAGGCCAGGAGTTCAAGACCAGCCTGGCCAACATAGTGAAACTGTGTCTCTACTAAAAATACAAAAATTAGGCATGGTGGCACATGCCCGTAGTCCCGGCTACTTGGGAGGCTGAGGCACAAGAATCGCTTGAACCCAGGAGGTGGAGGTTGCAGTGGGCTGAAATCACACCACTGCACTCCAGCTGGGGTGACACAGCAAGACTCTGTCTCAAAAAAAAAAAAAAAAAAAAAAACGCAAAACTATATGGCTTCAGCCATTGGATAGGAAGAAAAAACCTCATGATGAAAATAGGAATATTACTATCTGGAATGAAGGGAAAAATTTAGCATGCCTTGTGAAACACATAAAGTTTAAGACCATTACCACATATCCAAGTACAAACATGAAGAAATTGGTTGAATATATAAATCTCGAAAAGGCCTTATCTGGAAACAGCAATGTAGATGACATCCAACATTTACAAATTATTCAAAGAAAGAGTACTGGATGAGACTTTAGTTGGAAACATGTAGAAAAAAAGAATGAAGGCACAGGGCCAGGGATCTTGTCAATCCAACATGTAGAGTTTGGGAATTCGTTAAGTCCACTGAAATGAACCATACGCTGACTATTATGATCAGGTGCACAAGTGGAGACCCAGGTGTACAAAACAAACATCTAGGAGTGGTAAGAATGTAATAGCCTCTTGAAAATTGCTAAAATAGATTTTAAGTGTTCTCACAAAAAAAGTAAGTACGTGAGGTAGTATATACATTAATTTGTTCAATTTAGCCATTCCACAATGTACACATATTTCAAAACAACATGTTTTACATGATAAATATATGTATTTTTTATTTAGGAATTAAAAAGTAATCATGTCCTGGTGTGGTGGTTCATGTCTGTAATCCCAGCACTTTGGTAGGGTGAGGCAAAGAGGATCACTTGAGCCCAGAAATTTGAGACCAGCCTGGGCAACATAGTGAGACCTTTCTCTATAAAAAATACAGAAATTAGCTGGGTGTGGTGGCATGTAGTCCCAGCTAGGCTAAAGTGGGAGGATCACTTGAGCCCAGGAGATTGAGGCTGCAGTGAGCCATGATTGTGCCACTGCACTCCAGCCTGGGTAACAGAGTAGAAAAATAAAGAAAAGAAATCATAAATTTAAAAAACAGAAGAATGTGAGATCCTCAGCATTTGATTTAAAGTGTCACATGCTGAGTGATTATCACATTCCCCAAACTTGCTATTCTTCTTCATTCTATGTACCACCATTAAACTAATTTTCCCAAAGCACAATCTCAAGTTTAGATGAAAGGTTCTATACTTAAGACTCCAACTAATGACCTAACTGGATCATACTATCCCGTGTTGCTACAGAAAGAGGGAACAATGATTTGCAGCAAAGTGTTAACTCAGCAGGCCTGGGCTATTCCATCCCTACACATTCCAAAGAAAGAACTCGTCTTAACTGCCTTCTAAAAGATAACCTCTGAGCCCCTGGAATATTCTGCCTGCTAAGGGTATCTTTTAATGCCTGAGGCCTTGGGTCATATCAGATAGTTTATGCTAGCAATGTGATTTATGGTGGACACCTGGTTTTGCATGTCTCAGGCTTTGGGCCACATTTGTATTGTTTTGACTCTGGGTGGCTACAGACACTGGGCTTAGATGAGCTTCCCTAGTTGGCAATAACTTCACATGTGTTGACAAACACTGTTGCAGGGAAAATTCAGCACTTTGTGCAACTCCACTAGAACAGGAGAACTGAAAGCTTGCACCCAGTTTCTCCTGGATTCTTCTTTCTATACTTTTTATCTTTGATGATTTTAATTTGTATTATTTCACTGTCACAAACTGTAATCATGAGTGTAGCAGTTCCCTCTCCTCCCCATTAACGTCTACCTTCTACGTAGCAGGCAAAGTAATCTATCAAATAAATTAGTTATATCATGTCACTTCTCTACTCAAAACTCCCTACTGTGTTCTCAACTCATTTGGAATAAAATCAAGGTCATGAATGCCCTTGACAGGCAGTATGTGACCTCTGTACCAAAACTTCCAACTATGCCCCCACTGTTCTTATTTCCAGACAGTTTTGCTTTTGCTCACTCTACTCTATCCATTCAAGCTTCCTAGAAGTTCCTCAAACACACTCCAGGGTCATTTTTCAACTTCTCATTGTCTCACACCTGGAACACTCTTCATCCAGGGAGCCTACACGTGTTCATCATCTATCTGCTCAAAGGCACCTTAACAAAGAGCTGTTCCCACCCTACAAGCACAGTGCCAACTCCTAACACTTACTGTTCCACCAGCTGCTTTAACTTTCCTTATAGCAATTTTTACTCCAAGATATGTTATTTATATATCTGCTTATTACTGGTTATATGGTTACTTCTAAGAGAACAAAAGCATTGTGAAGAATAAGGACATGGTATGTTTTTTCTTTCTTATTTGTACTGCTGATAGCGTTGGAATATAGTAGGCTATCAAAACACAAGTTTTGGGTGTGTGGTGGAGGCAGGGGGGTTTGTCATCCAGCCTGGAGTGCAGTGGCATGAACTTGGCTCATTGCAATGTCTGCCTCCAGGGTTCAGGCGATTCTCCCACCTCAGCCTCCTGAGTAGCTGGGATTATAGGCACATACCACCACACCCGGCTAATTTTTGTATTTTTAGTAGAAACGGGGTTTCACCATGTTGGCCAGGCTGGTC
Organism: Homo sapiens; assembly: GCF_000001405.40. NCBI lineage: Eukaryota > Metazoa > Chordata > Mammalia > Primates > Hominidae > Homo > Homo sapiens. The sequence continues at coordinate 51,998,873 of NC_000019.10, forward strand.
TCGAACTCCTGAACTCAAGTGATCCATCTGCCTTGGCCTCCCAAAATGCTGGGATTACAGGCATGAGCCACCGCGCCCAGCCCAAAACACAAGTTTTAAAGGAAGGAATCATATGACAAGAAACATGATTAACTGGGACTAGGTGTCATCAAAATATGATAGAAAAGTAATTAATGTTATTTCTATATTCTAGCAATGAATAATCTGAAAATGTAATCAAGAAAACAATTCCATTAACTGCAGAAACAAAAAGAAAACTATACTTAGGAATATACTTAGCAAAGGAAGTACCAAATTTATATTCTGAAAGTGATAATGCATTGTCGAAAGAAGTCAAAGACCTAACAGGATATAAAACTGTCCAGTGTTCATGGATCAGAATACTTAATATGATGAAAATGGGAATACTCCCCAAAATTGTTACACAGACTCAGTGCAGTACCTACCAAAATCCTAGCCACTCTTTTTGTAGAAATTTACAACTGATTCTAAACTTCAAATGGAAATTCAAAGGACTCAGAATAGTCAAAACAACCTTCAAAGCAAAGAACAAAGATGGAGGACTCACACTTCCCAATTTCAAAACTTACTATAGAACCATAATCATCAAGACTATTTGATAATATATATTTATACATAGTATATGTTCCAAAATTGATTGTGGTATGGTTACACAACTAGGTGAATAGATTAAAAACCACTGGCTTATACACCTTAAATGGGTGAAATCATGTGATATGTGCATTGTATCTCAATAATAGTTTACAAATATGATGAAAAAAGCAAAAGCTATACAGAAATGAATGCAGTCAAAACATCTAACATGAATTAAAGAAAGTTCAGAATTAGCAAAACTATGAAGGAAGTAATTTGCAGCAGGCATAAATGTCTGATGGTTTGGGCTAGAAATAATATACGATATTAAAAGATCTTTTCTAATTAATCAAAACATTATCTTAAAGTAGAGAACTTTAAGAGAGTTCAGCATGTAGAAAACACTTAAGGTAATGCCAGAATTTAAGATGTGCAGTAATGAAAGAGACCCTGGATTTAAACAGGACAGCCTGCAGCACGATTCACAACAGCAAAGACATGGAATCAACCTAGGTTCCCATCAATGGTGAACAGGATAACTGTGGTATATATACACCATGGAATACTACAAAGCCATAAAAAAGAACTAAAGCATGTCATTTGCAGCAACATGGATGCAGCTGGAAGCCATTACCCTAAGTGAAATAACTCAGAAACAGAAAACCAAATACTGTGTATTCTCACTTGTAGGCAAGAGCTAAACATTGGGAACACAGGGACATCAAGACAGGAACAATAGACACTGGGGACTCCAAGAGGAAGAAGGGAGGAAGGCAAGGGTTGAAGAACCACCTATTTGGTACTATGTTCACTACTTGGGTGACAGGATTGAGCTTCTAGTGAATCCTCGGCATCAGGCAATATATCCATGAGACAAACCTGCATATGCACCTCCTGATGCACCTCCTGAATCTAAAATAAAAACATAAAAGATAAAATAAAATTAAAAAAATAAAATTATATAAGGATAGCCAAAAGCATTATTCTTAGAGGGAAGATGATTCTTGTTCCTCATACACAAAATGGGAAGTTACAGGCTAGTTGTCATGAAGACAAGTAAAATACATGGAAATAAAGTATACATTAGATAATATTAAGGCAGAAGTTAATTTGGTAGTCTCTTCCAGAGAATGAAGAGTTAATTCACGGGAATGAAAAAAACTTTTAAAAGTTATGAGAACAGTAAAGAAAATGGAAGAAGGATGGGCTGGGCACGGAGGCTCACGCTGTAATCCCAGCACTTTGGGAGGCCAAGGCTGACAGATTACTTGAGCCAAGGAGTTCAAGACCAGCCTAGGCAACATGACAAAACCCCACCTCTATAAGAAATACAAAAATCAGCTGAGCATGGTGATGTGTGCCTGTAGTCCCAGCCACTTAAGAGGCTGAGGTGGGAGGATCGCTTGAGCCGAGGAGGTCAAGGCTACAGTGAGCCTGGGTGACAGATGAGACCTTCTTTCCAAAAAAAAAAAGTATGGAGAAACTCAGGATTCAGTATAAGAGGAATAAGAGAACTTAAGAAACACATAAATGCCAATCAGAGACCAGGTTATCATGGGCACAGCATCCAGAGTGGAGAAAATGAGGGAAAATAATGATTCCCAGAGTGGGAATAATGAAGGAAAATTATTATTTTCCTACTAGGGCAGGAAGATGCAGTAGTCAGAAAAAAGTAATGAGTTCAAAGGTCTCTCTTTCCGGAGAGGCCTGGAAAATGGAATTTCATAGCAAGAGAGGTAATACACAAGCAGAGACACTGTGACAGTGGACAAGAAAAGGCAGATTTGAAAATCCTAAGAAGATAATTATGTAGACAAAAACAAGATGTGCATAAAATAAACAAAGATGAAATCTCAAGGAAAAAAAGTGGGGGCCGGGCGCAGTGGCTCAAGCCTGTAATCTCAGCACTTTGGGAGGCCAAGGTGGGCAGATCACAAGGTCAAGAGATCAAGACCATCCTGGCCAATATGGTGAAACCCCGTTTCTACTAAAAATACAAAAATTAGCTGGGCGTGGTGGTACGCACCTGTAGTCCCAGCTACTCAGGAGGCTGAGGCAGGAGAATCCCTTGAACCCGGGAGGCGGAGGTTGCAGTGAGCCAAGATTGCGCTACTGCTCTCCAGCCTGGTGACAGAGCAAGACTCCATCTCAAAAAAAAAAAAAAAAAAAGAAAAGAAAGTGGGGCATATTTTCCATACTATAACAAAAAAGAGCTCTTCCTTGGGAAGAAGGAGTGATGGAGGGGCTGTTGCTGTGTCCTCAGATGCCCTCACTGCTTTGACGCCTGCTCTGTGTGGGCAGAACATGGTGTCTGTGGCTGTCCACCTGGCTGCTCCTCTCACTCACCAGAACAGATTCGAGAGTAGATTTCATCTTCTGTTGTGCAAGTTTCTTCTCCTCGTTCCAATTTGGAGAGTGCATCTGGTTTGCTGGCTTGATACCCTGTTCATGGGAAATGACAGAAGATTTAGACAAATCAAACGGGGCTGGCAATATTGAAAAAGGAGAGTTACATTTTAAGGACTACATAGGTATCAGATCTGTAACAAGAAGGTAGATTATACTCTCTTGTGTGGGGCAAGAGAATGATGTGAGAATCTACCACTTCAGAGTACTGCAGGTAAGCAGCTGAGAAAGGAAGGCCACTGACTGGGCACCCTCTGAGTGACACAGGGCAGCTGTCCTCACCCACTGCCACCAGGTTGCTGTAGTTCTCCAACATCACGTCCCGGTACAGGTCCTTCTGAGCAGGGCTCAGGAACTGCCACTCCTCCCAGGTGAAGTCCACAGCCACATCCTCCAGTGTTAGGGATTCCTGTAATAACACACTTCTGTTTAATGAAGTCATATTCTTTTGGTGATAGGAAAAGAATGTCAAGGAAGTCATTCCGCTCATTTTCACCACATAGGAAGCTGGTGGGGTTTTTTTCTTAGTACATTTTGACAGAATAAGAATTCCAGTAAAATATTCTGTAACTGTGCGGTCATCCATTCATTCAACAATGTTGAAAAGTCAAAGAAATGTCTGTAATACACAGCTATCCAATCCTCTTGCTAATGAAAGAACATCTATAACATGTAGCATCTATTTCCCAATACCAAACTAGTCATAAGTATATGCCAGTTACAAGTAGACGAATAATTCAGATTCTTAAATTCACTATGAGCTTTCAGGCCAATATCAAACTCTGTAATGAAGACATGGCAGATGCTAGTATCACAAGACAATGCATTCTAAATAACTATGGTTAACATAGTTAACCATATTATTATTTTATTCTGAATGAAATAAAAGAGACTATATAAAACATGTATAAAGCACAAAGATTATTAGATGATTAAACAAATCTGTTTTTTTGCTTGCTTGTTTTTTTTTTTGAGATGGAGTCTTGCTCTGTTGCCCAGGCTGGAGTGCAGTGGCACAATCTCGGCTCACTGCAACTTCTGCCTCCCGGGTTCAAGCAATTCTCCTGCCTCAGCCTCCCTAGTAGCTGGGATTACAGGCGCACGCCACCACACCTGGCTAATTTTTGTATTTTTAGTAGAGATGAGGTTTCACCACGTTGGCCAGGCTGGTCTCACACTCCTGACCTCAGGTGATCCACCCGCCTTGGCCTTCCAAAGTGCTGGGATTACAGGTGTGAGCCACAGCGCCTGGCCATGATTAAGCAAATTTGGAAAAAAAAATCCTTAGAATATATATGCAGACACATGTATGCACACAGACAAATTCATATATATGTGTATGTTATTAGACAGCGTTAATAACATTAAATACAATGAAGAAACAGCTAAAAGAAATCTACTTTTGCATTTATGAGAAGGCTACAGTTAAGAACACCACCTACCATAACACCTCCGTGAAGAACTATCAAAGATGTATTTGAGCCTCAGAATTATAAGCCATGAAACATTAACATCCCTCAAGAAACTGGTCTGCTTTCTCACAGTTGATATAACTTATCATGTTTCTCTTGTATAGCTTGTCAGAGATACTAGAGGCAAGTTTACAGCAAATGTAACCTACGGGGTCCCACACAGTCACAAATTCCAACATGAATCATGTAGTATGAATCCTATGAATAATATATCCCTGATCCTTCTTTGCCCAGATTTCTCCAGGTCCTGATATTTCCAATTTATACTTTTCTGATTAATTACCCTGATTTTTACAGGACTTTAAAAATACATTGGAGAATAAAGGAAAGAATAAAACAAACCAAAAGTCACCTGGGCCTGCATCATTGTCTCCTAAATTTGGGAAATGACTGCTAACTTGGACGTTCTGTATTTGTCTCTTCTGAATCAGCTCTAAATTTCGGTTCAAAAACTTCAATCTCCAATCAAGGATGTCCCCAGAAATGATGACACCCAAGTCTTGGAAACTCCGCCTCCTTCCTTCACTTGATTTCTCTTGTTCTCAGCACCTGTGGGCTGAAGAGCAAATTACTCTGAGTGGTACATTCTTTTTAGGCCCAGATGTTGTCACTGTTCCTATATGCTCACCTTAAATCAAGGCCCCCAAATATCTCTCTGTTCTTTTATTTAGTGCTCCAGAAGCTTTTATATCTGGGCTAGTAAAATATAACATTCTGAATATATGGGAGGTACAGCACCCTTCTATATAAAGTTGACGTGGTATGACTACTGCTAGTAAGTGAAAGAGAATGTGGGGAAAAGAATCGTCACAACGTGATGCCCAGCAGCTGGGCAATCCTCAGGCAGACCAGTTTTAGGAAAGAGGTCACATAGACAGTTAAGATGCACACATTTTTTCTTTAAAACCATGTGTACCCATCTACCTTTTCAGAGGTCTTTTTACATTCTAGGATACTGCAATCTGAGAACACTGTCCTAAGCAAATAATAAGCACTATCTTATTTAAATTATTCATTACCATCCACATCTTTGACTTTTTTTCTTTTTTTTTTGAGACTGAGTTTCACTCACTCTGTTGCCCAGGCTGGAGTGAGTAAGACTCCAGTGGCGTGATCTCTGTTCACTGCAACCTCCATCTCCTGGGTTCAAGCGATTCTCCTGCTTCAGCCGCCTGAGAAGCTGGGATTACAGGTGAACGCCACATGCGCTGCTAATTTTTGTACTTTTAGTAGAAACGGGGTTTCACCATGTTGGCCAGGCTGGTCTTGAACTCCTGAGCTCAACTGATCCACCCATCTCAGCCTCCCAAAGTGCTGGGACTACAGGCATGAGCCACTGCACCCGGCCGCCATCCACATCTTGATACTTGCAAAGTATTCTAAGTATAAATGTATAAAGGATACTCAGCAAAAATATCCTTGAGGAATTACATATTACAGCAAATCCTAACGGATATTCTTCAAGCAAAAGAAAGATGACTCCAGTGTAAGCAGAGGAGCAAGGTCTGAAGAGGAACAAAACGGTAAGTAATTAATAAAGCCTAAATCAGTATTGACTGGAAAAATAATACTGATAATAATATATCAGGAAGTTTTAATATATATAGTGTTAAAATATTCCATAAGAACATATAGGCCGGGTGCGGTGGCTCACGCCTGTAATCCCAACACTTTGGGAGGCCGAGGTGGGCAGATCACGAGGTCAGGAGTTCGAGATCAGCCTGACCAACATGGTGAAACCCCGTCTCTACTAAAAATACAAAAATTAGCTGGGCATGGTAGCGCGTGCCTATAATCCCAGCTACTCAGGAGGCTGAGGCAGGAGAATTGCTTGAACCCAGGAAGCGGAGGGTGCAGTGAGCCAAGATTGTGCCATTGCACTCCAGCCTGGGTGACAGAGTGAGATTCTATCTCAAAACAACAACAACAAAAAAGAACATATAAAGTAGGAGGATGGCAAATGAAAACGTATTTTAAGATATCTGCATAGCAGAAGAGTATAAAATACTAATTACCATAACATTAACAAATAAGTTTATATGTTGTTTGTAATCAATAGTGTCAGCAATAAAACTAATTTTTAAAAAATTATTTCCATGTTAAAAGAGAGGTCTATGGTTTCCGTGGCAGCTACTCAACTCTACTGTTGTAGCTCAAAAATGCCCACATACAAAAAAATAGACAAATGATTGTGGCCAGGTCCCAACAAAACTTTATTAACAGAAACAGGTGCTGGGAGATTTAGTCCATGGGCTCTAGTTGCCCAACTGTGAATTTGTGCAGAAAAGCCATATGGTCACCTAAATCAAGAGTCAGTAATATAGTATCCAGGACCTGGACCACCTGTTTTGTAAATAAAGTCTTATAAGAACACAGCTACATGCATTCCATGACATTTCATCTCAGGCTATTATCACATTACAATGGCAGAGTTGAGAATTTGGGTCTAGAATGTCACTCAGTAGAATGCAGTATAAAAAAATAATCAAAGATGACTTTTGAATATAAGGGGCAAATTATCAGTATTTGCCTAATACGTCTGTATTCCTTTAGTCAGGTGGCTGGATACAAAATTTAAATAGAAAAATCCTATATCCTCCTAAAGCATATACAGATCGAGTCAGTATTAAGAGCAGAACCTTTCTTGGGAACAATTTAACATTCTATTGAAAATTGCCAATAAAGGTATACCTGGTAACCCAAAACCCCATTCCTAAAACTTTCTTAAAAGGTAATATTGGCAAAAGTGTGCTATCTGACAGGTCATTTTTACTTTCTTCACTTGATTTTTCATAGGGAAAACACAGGTTTACATCAGAAAAATATTAGCATTCTACATTTAAAATAAAATTGCTGATGGTAGTTCAGTAATATAAGTTTACGGCTTTAAATGTTTTCATTAATAGAAAAAAGAGAGAAACCAGGCGGGAGGAAGGGAGAGAAAAAAATGAATATAAATACAAATTTTACAAAAGACAAAACCAAAAATAATCCTCAGAGATAATCGTGAGGAAAAGATGTTTAACTCCTCTTTTGGCCAACAAGTAAAGCGACACAAGTTATGCCAATCACACAATGAGCAAGAAGCAGAATCAGGGCTGAAAATCCACTTTTGTTTCACTTCAAAATCCACTTTTACTCTACTTTATACCGAACCAAAATTATCTGTAAATCAGATGCCTCCCTATTAAGTAAATAAATAAAGCAATTAAAGGGCTATTAGTAGAATTCTAGTTAATCATATACAGAATTATTTAGAGGAATGGTACTTATGTCTGTAACTTACTTTGAAATATACCAAAATCGACAACAAATAAGGAATGATTCACAAACAGAGGAATGGATGAATACTTAGAAAACCAGTAGAGCTGATCTAATACAATGTTAATGGTAAAAGCTAGGTGGTAGGCATATTGGTATTAACATTAAACTTCTTTCAATATTTCCATAGGTTCAAAAATTTTCACAAAATAATATGTTAGGCAGAGAGAAAAATATTGTAATACTAAGAATTAAGATGACCAAATATAAAATAAATATTTAAAATTAATTTATCTTTTGTTATAGATTATAAGGAAAGGGGAGTCAGAAAGCAATACACTGCAATAAAAGTAATAGTCTAGATTGAAGATTAAAGGCAGGAAAAACAAAATTCATGGATAAATGGATAATCATAAAATGTTCCTAAAAATAATACCTAAACATTTTAAAACATTTCACTTCTATCCAAATGTACGCATAAACTTAATGTGAATGCACTTATAGTACCACCGGCTCAAACAGTAAAAACAACTTCTAAATGTTTATTACATAATATAAAGCGAAAAAGATAATAGTACCATTTACATAATTTATCTGAATTATGAATATTAAGCACATAACATACACGTCTAAAATTGAAATATTCTGAAAATTTGACAAAGGTTATCTTTGAGTAACCGAGCTTACCATGGCAGAGATGTTATCTTACTTGTGTCAGAAAGAACCTGAAAAGAAATATCCAAGAGGATACGCTGGAAACTTGCAGGACAAAGGGTAGAAGCCGCATCTTAAATATAAAACATACTACTTTTAGGTATGCTAGATGACTGATCTCGCCAAAAACTTCCATTTCTGAGGATTCAAGACCAAGGGGTGATGGAAGGTGCCAAAGGGGATTTAAAAACCAGTCGTGGAGAAGGGTCTTGGGCAGAAGGGGAATGCTAATGAGCATCAATTCTGTTCCAGCAGCCAGGGCTGGGGCTAACCCATCACCTGCCATGGTTCCCAGGCCTCCAGAGCTGCAGCCCACATCGGAATCTGTGGCGCTACCACCACCGCCACCGGGATTAATTCCAAAACCTGGATCAGAAACCTCCGTACCTTAACCCCCAAGACAGTTCCTCAATCATTTAGTCCCAAACAAAACCTGAACCATAAACCGATTCGCTGACAAAACAAACCCTCCAGTTCGCAATCACTGAGCCCCGCCAAAGGACAACACCAAAGACACCAGAATGTGACTTGGGCACTCAGTAGCGGATCTCTAGAGATCTTTAACCACAAACTACACGAGGACCCTGTGACTGGTCCCAGAGGTACCCCGATCACACACACACACACCCTATCACGGACCTCTTGTAGTTCCCCTGCGATAGGAATCGGACCCACGCTAAGCTCCTGAAAGAATTCCACTGGCGTCGCCAAACGCTGGCGCCGACAGATACCAGTCCATCACCACTGTCCACGAACACGCCCAGCCACGGACAGAATTTCCTCCCCCGTCACCACAGCGACCACCCAGTGACTGAACTTACTTCCCAGAACTTGGTGGGCTCCGGCCTCATCTCTCGGCCTCCTCAGTGCCTGACGGCGACTATCCAGGGTCGGAGGCGTTCCCAGCGTTTGCGCAGATGCAAGATGGCCGCGCCCTCGTCGCCTTGGCTCCATGGGGGCCGCCATCTTTGAGTATCTGACGTACACAAGGCAAAGGGCGCGTTTTGGCGCTGGTGACCGGGGGTGACCGGGGGTGACCGGGGATGGCCGGGAAGATGAAAGAGCACTGAAACTGTCCCATTTCCTGGCACCTCAACCCTTCATAAATACGGGTCCATATACAGAGGCTCCAGTTTACACAAGACAAAAATGGCGTGGAGGTAAATCCCTTTCAGCAGCTGAATAGAAGGCTAAGATGGCCGCGACGTTTACACTTTGTACAAAGGTTAGGAAACAGTTCCTTGTGAGGGAAAAGGAGAACCGGCCGAGAGGGGACACTTCGGCCAAAGCCAGATTTCTAACAAAGTAGCTTGAAGCGCCTTTTGAACGCAGAAGAGGGCTGTTAGCTACGCTGACGGAACAGGGGTAGCAGTCACAGACTAGGTAATGAAAACGGTTGGAACGTGCCAAAATTATGTTGGGTGAAAGGCATGGGGAAAAGCCAGTAAAAGCCAGAAAGTATAGTTCCCAAGGCGGAGGGGAGAGCCTGGGACCCAGGTGGAGCCAAATATGAGGGCTGGACTCAGGAGAAGTGGCCAGAAATTAAGGGAACAGGACCACTTCAGTGAGAAAAAAAAGGTTGGGAAAGAGGCCGGGCGCGGTGGCTCACGCCTGTAATCCCAGCACTTTGGGAGGCCGAGGTGGGCGGATCACCTGAGAGCGGGAGTTCGAGACCAGCCTGACCAACATGGAGAAACCCTGTCTCTACTAAAAATACAAAATTAGCCAGGCATGGTGGCGCATGCCTGTAATCCCAGCTACTCGGGAGGCTGAGGCAGGAGAATCGCTTGAACCCGGGAGGCGGAGGTTGCTGTGGGCCAAGATGGCGTCATTGCACTCCAGCCTGGGCAACAGGAGCAAAACTCCATCTCAAAAAAAAAACAAAAGAAAGAAAGGTTAAGAAGGAGATCACGTTATACTACGTGTGCCAACCGCGAATAGTATGTGCAAAGTCATGGCAATGCTGAACTGTAAATATAAATCCAACCAAACTTCCTATATTAGAAGAATGAGAGAAAGGAAATGCCTGTGTGAATCTATGTGTGTGATATAGGTATCAGTATATAAATATACAGAGAAATTGTCAAACTATTTTTCAGAGTCAAGTTCGTGTTCCATTTGCTCTTCTCACCCTTGGTATATGAGAGTTTTTCTTTTTTTTTGTTTTTTTTTTGTCTCTTTTTGAGGCAAGGTCCACTCTGTTGCCCAGTCTGGAGTGCCTGGGGAGATCACAGCTCACTGTAACTTGGAACTCCTGGGCTCCTGAATAGCTGGGACTACAGGTGGGCACCACCACACCTGGCTAATTTTTTAATTTTCTGTAGAGACAAGGGTCTCACTATGATGCCCAGCTGGTCTTGAACTGGCCTCAAGCAGTCCTCCCACTTCATCCTCCAAAAGTGCTGGGATTACAGGTGTGAGCCACTTCACCCTTCACCCGGCCTATAAAGAGATCTGAAAAGAAATAAGAAAAAAGATGGGCGCGGTGGCTCATGCCTGTAATCCTAACACTTTGGGAGGCCAAAGCGGGAGGATTGCCTGAGTTCAGGAGTTTGAGATCAGCCTGGCCAACATGGCGAAACCCCATAGCTACTAAAATACAAAAAAAATTAGCTGGGCATGGTGTCTCAGGCCTGTAGTCCCATTTACTTGGAAGGCTGAGGCACGAGAATCGCTTGAACCCAGGAGGCAGAGGTTGCAGTGAGCCAAGATCATGCCACTGCACCCCAGCCTGAGAGACAGAGTGAGACTCTTGTCTCAAAAAAAAAAATAAATAAAAATAAGGAAAAGATGATCAACTTAAAAGCTCCCTAAAATTTTCTATAAATACATGAAGGAAATAAACAGGACACTTTTTTTAATGTAAATGATCCTAAACAATTTAAAAAATACCAGTTTTACTAATATTCAAACAAATGCAAAGTAAACGTGAAATATAAATGTTTTAACCCTTATTAAGATTTGTAAAGATTGAATGACAAATCATATTTAGATTATAAGGCCATGGAACAAAGGCATTCTGTTATGCTAAGCCTCTTTAAGTCTTCTTTTTCTGCATGGTAGGTAATAATGTTGTCAATTACATACTGCTTTAAATGAATTGAGATATTATCATACTGGTCATAATTCGAAGTTCTTAAGCATTACATTATTTCTAGGTATAGGATTGTGTTTCTATATAAATTCGTAAAATGTTTTTGTAGTACAGTCTGTTATTACCCAGTTTAAACTTTTCCTTCTCCTTGAGCCATGAATTTTAAGAATTGATTCAATAGAACTTTTCTTTGTGAGAACAAATATGTGCAAGGATATTTATGGTATTGATCTGACAATTATAAGGAAACAAATACTTTTGTGGTTATTGCATAAATTTATTCTTGCATCTCTATATTCACATCTTTGGATAGTATTCTCCATAGTGACTGACTAATGTGTCCAATAGGACAGTAGCAAGTGTAACACAAATGGAGGTGAGAAATAAGCTTGCTCATCAAGGCTTGCTTGTCTCTTAGAGATCTTCCAACACATTGTAAGAAAGCCCAGACTAGCCTCTTGTTGACTGTGTAAATAAAGGCCTCATCCATTCCAGCAGAAGCCCAAATATGTGAAAAAAGCTATTTAGACCATGCAGCCCCAGTCAAAATCCAACCACTAGAGCCTCCGGCCCAGCAGTCCCAATTGTTACTAAACTCTGTGGACAAACATAATGCCATGAGTGGGTGGGGGTCACCTAATCTGCCATCCAAGTGCTTATCCCTGCTCCTAGCCAAGCAGGACTTGCCAGCTTGGGTGGTGTCCAAGTAGGGAGGGGCCCTCACTCTTGGATCACCATAAGAGTTGAGACAGCTGGGTCTGCAGGACATTGGAAAAGTCGGGTGTGCCTTCCTCTGTAGGGCCACCTGGGAAGGATACAGCTGTCTGCAAACCATGATGTCTGCCTGAGGGAGCCCCATGAGCAGAGGATGCCCAAGGCCTTGGGAACCCACGCCTTGCACTAGATTTAATGACTACCCTGCTGGGTTTTGAACTTGCATGGAACCTATAGCCCTTTCTTGTGGCTTTCTCCCTTTTGGAATGGGAATGTTTACCCAACGTCTATGCCCCCATTGTATCTTGGAAGCAAATAACTTTTTATTTTACAGGCTCATAGGTAGAAGAGACTTGCCTTGTCTCAGATAAGACTTTGGACTTTTGAGTTAATGCTGGAATGAGTTAAGACTTTGGGGACTCTTAGGAAGGCATGATGGTATTTTACAATGTGAGGACATGAGATTTGTTGGGGAGGGAGACCAGGGGCTGAATGATATAGTTTGGATATTTGTCCCTGTCCAAATCTCATGTTGAAATGTAATTCCCAATGTCAGCCGGGCGTGGTGGCTCACACCTGTAATCTCAGCACTTTGGGAGGCCGAGGCAGGTGGATCACAAGACCAGGAGATAGAGACCATCCTGGCTAACATGGTGAAACCCTGTCTCTACTAAAAATACAAAAAAAAAATTAGCTGGGCATGGTGGCGGGCGCCTGTAGTCCCAGCCACTCGGGAGGCTGAGGCAGGAGAATGGTGTGAACCCAGGAGGCAGAGCTTGCAGTGAGCCGAGATCGTCCCACTGCACTCCAGCCTGGGAGACAGAGCGAGACTCCATCTCAAAAAAAAAAAAAAAAAAAGGAAATGTAATCCCCAATGTTGAAGGTGGGGCCTGGTGGGAGGTGTCTCAGTCATGGGGGCAGATCCCTCATGGCTTGATGCTGCCCTTGCAATAGTGAGTGAGTACTAGCAAGATCTAGCTATTTGAGTGTGCAGCACCTACCCCCTCCACTCTGTCTTACTCCTGCTCCCTCTTCACCTTCCACCATGATTGTAAGCTTCCTGAGGCCTCCCCAGGACCAGATGCCAGTGCTATGCTTCCTGTACAGCCTGTAGAATCATAAGCCAATTAAACCTCTTTTCTTATAAATTATCCAGCCTCAAGTATTTATTTATAGCAATGCAAGAATGGCCTAAAACATGCTGTCTCTACAAAAAAAAAAAAAAAAAAAAAAAAAGCCAGGCATGAGGGTGCACACACATAGTCCCACCTACATGGGAGGCTGACGCAGGAGGAACACTTGAACCCAGGAGTTTGAGGCTGCAGTGAGCTATAATCGCACCACTGCACTCCAGCCTAGGCAACAGAGACTCTTTTTTTTGTTGTTTTTGTTTGTTTTTCAGACAGAGCCTATTCCGTTGCCCAGGCCTGGAGTGCAGTGGCAGGATCTCAGCTCACTGCAACCTCTGCCTCCCAGGTTCAAGTGATTCCTGCCTCAGCCTCACAAGTAATTGGGATTACAGGCGCCAACTGTAGAGCGCCCGATCCTGTCACTGTTTGGGGCGCCACTACGTAACCCACAAGGACCTAGGGGGACTGAAAAAAGTGGGGGAAACGGGAATAAAAGAGACAAAAGAGTATATTTGGAAGAAGGGATCAGGGGACACCTTGCCTCTAGTGGACAAGGGCCCTGAGCTTTACACAGCCCTCCATATTTATTAGGCAAAAGAGATAGTGAGAAGGCGGGTGGAAGAAGGGGTCAGCTACTCAGTCCAGAGTAGGGTTTGCAAGATGGCATTCTCTAGATGTCCCAGTAGATAACCTCAAGGAGCTCAGCACCAGGAAGCGATTGCCCTCAGCAAACCTTCTGGCAGCGGAAGCAGTCATGAGTTTGCCCACATCGTGCATTCATGATAAAGTTTGCTGTTTGATCATATAGCCTCCAGTGGAATGCTGAGTTGGTCACATCCCATGGGCCTTCGGCTCCCAACAGCCCAGCACCATACCCAGCTAATTTTTTGTGTGTATTTTTAGTAGACACAGGGTTTCGCCACGTTGGCCAGGCTGGTCTTGAACTTCTGACCTCAAGTGATCCGCCTGCCTCGGCCTCTCAAGAGACCCTGTCTCTTAAAAAAGAAAAAAAAGAGGTTAAGATTGTAAATCCTAAAAAAAAAAAAGCAAAAGCAAAAGCTGTATGTAGATTTCACAGCATCTTTATTTATAGCACTTAAAACCAGGAAAACAGTGCAAATATATCTCATAGGTGAATGGATAAACTACTACATCAAATATGTATACTACTCTCAAATATAAACAACTTTCATCTGGTTAGATACATGGTGGTAAAAAAAAATAATAAAACAACTATTCATCAACTCATATAAACCTTAGGAGTAATTTGCTGAGTGACAAAAATGCCAAAAGCTTACATACTCTCTATCAATAAAAATTCATATAACTTATTTATATAAAATTTATAAAAACCATTTACAAAAACAATTTTATTTTTATCATATTCATGAAATGATGAAATTATACTGATAGGAGAAAAGTGGTTGGCAGAGTTAGGTTTGGATGGAGTGTAAGCATAAAAAGGTAGCATGAGGGACTTTGTGTTCATTAGTTTTATGTGGTTGCAGTGGTTACACGAATCTGTACATGTAATACAACTTCTTAGAGTACAAACTAAAAAAGAAAAAAACATGTAAAAATTCGTCAAATCCAAAATAAGATTAGTACTTTATAGTATCCTACCAATGTTGTTTTTCTGGTTTTGATAATTATGGTTATATAGGATATTTTTACTAGAAATTGGTTGAAGGATACTAGCAAAGCCTCTAGACTGCTTTTGCAATTTCGAGTTCAAATTTATTTAAGTTGAAGGTGGTTTTATAAACTGATCATCTCTATAATCTTAGTTAAGCAAGTCCAAATATGTTGTTAATATATTTAACATATTCAGTTTCTTTTCTACTTAAGTTTGCTTAATGTACAATTAAGCTCAGAGCCAAAGAAAGGAAAAGAGCTAATCATAATATGGGGTGGTTGTTCTGGAGTATTTTCTGACACAAATAAATTCTCTAATTCTCCCACACCAATTGGGTGTTCTACAATTCAATTCTGAACAACTGGGTGTTCTATAATTCAATTCTGACACTAACTTCTCCAAGTTAGTGCAGACTCCACAAGTTAGTGCAGTCCAAGTTAGTGCAGTGCAAGTTAGTTAGTGCAGTCTAAATTAGTGCAGACTCCACAAGTTAAGGGGCTCAGTCCAAGACTTCCCCCACATCAGATGCCACTCACAAGGACAACCTGCAGTTCTGAATGGTGATAAATTCCGAGTTCCCACTGCCCTACTCAGGTTTGATAATTTGCTACAGGGCTCACAAAACTCAAGAAAACAGCGTACTTTGTTTTACTGGTTATAAAGGACGCAAATGAACACTCAAATGAAGAGGTACATAGAGTAAAGCCTAAAAAGGGTTCTCCTAATCTCAGGAGCCTCTACCCCTATGAAGTTGGGGGTGCACCACCCTCTTGGGCTATTTGGAGTTCTCTTAATCTCATTGTCTAATCTAATCTCCAGCACCCCTCCCCTTCCAGGAGGTGGGAGAAATGGGGCACAAAGTCTCCATCCTCTAGTTACTTGATCTTCCTAGAGAACAGCCCCATTCTGAGGCTGTCTAGGGGAGCAACCATAAGTCACTTCAGTAGTATAATCAGGTGTAATTAAAAGGGCAGTGCTATGAATAACAACAACAGCAAAAACAAAACAAAACCAAAAAACTCTTATCACTCATGAAATTCTAAGCGTTTTAGGAGCTCTATGCCAGGAACCAGGAACAAAGACCAAATGTATTTCTCATTATACCACAATTTTACACAACAGTAAAAATAAACAGTAATGAGACAGTATATTATGGAATCATTGGCAAGGCAACTAGAAATGAGGATTAAGGTATCCTGACTGAAAATGCACACCAGGTGTATTAGCTGATGTTTAAGGTTATACTTATTAAGAAAAAGCACTCAAATATTCATCATTTTCACCACATTTCATGCCTTCATGAGCTGTTGATAGTTTGCTAAAGGTGTTCCACATTTATTTGATAGCATGTTCGGAACAATTTTACTTTCTATGTGATCTCCTGACAAATGATGAAGCAGAGTGCGTCGCTGAAATCCTGCCATCAATACTGTCACCTTAAAGTTATTTTCCAGTGTAAACTTTGACACTCACTGAGGTCATATTTCTGAGTAAAGACTTTGTCATGGTCATCATGTTTCTATCAACAATAAGCTCACTTACGTTGAAATCTATGATGAAACCTGATAATAAAGTCTATCTTTCCACAGAAGACTTTTCTTAGTCTTTGTATTCACAGAATTTATCTCTGTATACTTTTCAGACATATGAGCAGAAATTATTGCTCAAAACATCTCCACATTAATATAGTTTATTCAACGTATTTTCATTGACAGAAAATATGAGGTAAAAGACCACTAAAGGCACTACCTTATTTACTGTATTCATCAAATTGATCTCTAGGGCAAATTATTTCACCTCCTGAGGACAGACACACATCTGTCAACAGGCAGCACCATGTTTATGTTCCAATTGGCTAGAAACACACTGATGTTTAATGAAGTCTGAGTTGCCACAAAAGGCATTTCCATAGTCACGGCACTAGTAGGGTTTTCTTCTGCATGAGTTCACTTATAAGGAAGGAGCTGTGACTCTCCATTACAGGAGTTTTCAACTTGACTGATTCTACCCATTTCTCTTGTGTGCATTTTCTTATGTTTGACAAGGTTTGATAAGTGGGAGAAGGCTTTCTCACAATCACTGCATCCATACGGCCTCTCTCCTGTATGCGTTCTTTGATGTACATTGAGTACTGACTTTGTGGTGAAGGCTTTTCCACATTCATTGCACTCATAAGGTTTCTCTCCTGTGTGAATTCTCTGATGGGTAATGAGGCCATATTTGTGTGAATAGGATTTTCCGCACTCGGTACATACAAAGGGAGTCTTTCCTGTATGACATCTCTCATGTTGTATGAGGCATATTTTCTGGCTGAAGGCTTTACCACATTCATTGCATTCATAGGGTTTTTCTCCTGTATGAGTTCGCTGATGTATAATAAGAGTGCGCTTTGTGGTGAAGCCTTTACCACATTCATTGCATATGTAAGATTTCTCTCCTGTATGAGTTCGCTGATGTATAACGAGAGTGCGTTTGACAGTGAAGCCTTTTCCACATTCGCTGCATATGTAAGATTTTTCTCCTGTGTGGGAGCGCTGATGTACAATGAGATTGCTCTTCACGGTAAAGCCTTTTCCACATTCACTGCACATATAGGGTTTCTCTCCAGTATGAGTTCGCTGATGTACAACAAGATAGCGCTTCATGGTGAAGCCTTTTCCACATTCACTGCATATATAGGGTTTCTCCCCTGTATGAGTTCGCTGATGTACAATGAGATTGCTCTTCACAGTGAAACCTTTTCCACATTCTTTGCACACATAAGGTTTCTCTCCACTATGAGTTCGCTGATGAGCAATTAGATAGCGCTTCATTGTAAAGCCCTTTCCACACTCACTGCACATATAGGATTTCTCTTCTGTATGGGTTTGTTGATGTGTAATGAGACTACTCTTCACAGTAGAGCCTTTTCTATATTCATTGGGTATACAGATTTTGTCTGTTGTATTAGTTTTCAGATGCTTAGTGAACAGGACACTTCTGGATAATTTCTCACATTGACCACTTCCAGGATTCTCTTGTATACAAATGTTCTCATGGTAAATGAGCTGAGACTTCCTAAGGAAGGTTTGCTCACATTCAATGCATGCATGGGGTTTCTCAATTTTCTGAGTCCTCTGATGCTTGAAGACTTGGAATTTAGTATGGATACATTTTGCATTTTCAGAAAATCTAGTTTTAGTATGCGTACGTTCATGCTTACCATGTAGAAGTGTTTTCTCACCTCCAATAAACTCAACAGGGTTATTTATTCCATGTCTTCTCTTCTGGTTGATTAAACTTAAACTTGATTTCAAATTTTTTCTGTACAAGTCAAATGTATCATGATTTTGCACTATAGGAAAATGTGTCTTGCTGAGATGTACAATATTTCTAAGTGTATTCTGTCCATTGCATTGCTGCACGCTCTTCAGAAGTCTTTGGTTTGGAGAGTGCTCTTGCAGATGACTGTCAACTTTCCCGATTCCTAAGAAAGAACAGAGTAACAAATTCTTCCATGAGAATTGTATGAGATAAAAATGCTTATGAGGCCGGGCACGGTGGCTCATGCCTGCAATCCCAGCACTTGGGGAGGCTGAGGCGGGCAGATCACGAGGTCAGGAGTTCAAGACCAGCCTGACCAATGTGGTGAAACCCCGTCTCTACTAAAATTACAAAATTAGCCGGGCGTGGTGGCACATGCCTGTAATCCCAGCTATTCAGGAGGCTGAGGCAGGAGAATCACTTGATCCCAGGAGGACGAGGTTGCAGCAAGCCGAGATTGGGCCATTGCACTCCAGCCTGGGTGATAGAGCGAGACTCAGTCTAAAAAAAAAAAAAAAAAATCTTAGCTTATGAGATGATTTGCTGGGGGCTGGCTCTTTATTGTCAACTCTACGATCCCAGTATAAAAGGAAATTATGAAGATATAAGCTGAAATATATCCAAGAAATCAGATCCAAGAAAAGACAAAAAGTCTTTAAAGCTATAACAGCATTAAAAAAGTTATCAGATGGGGAGATGAATATATAGTGGAGCTGCTTAGGTACCCTCAGATACTTCATATATGTGACACCTTTCCTTAATGACTACAATAAGACTCCTATAGCCACTGTCCTTGCTGGTTCTCACTTACCTGGACAATTTTTATTCTGAATTTTAGCATCTGTTGTCCATGGTTCTTGTCCATGTGCCAACTTGGAGAGTACATCTGGTTTGCTAGTTTGATACCCTGTTCATGAGGAAAGACAAACACAAACATCCTGAATTGGAGTCCAGTATGTCAAGATGGAAAAATAATACATTCGATGAAGAAAACAATTTCAAAGTAAGCATTCTGTCTTAGAAGAGATTATACCACTTTGGGGTCAGAGAGGGGACTGAAAATGTAACTCTTCCAAACACCACAGTGACTGTAAAGCTTTGATTAGGTGAGCATAGGACGGTGTCTGGGCATTGTAGGCACCTCTAGGTGACACAGGGAAACTATTCTTACCCAGTGATACTAGGTGGTTATAGTTCTCCACCATCACATCCCGGTACAGGTTCTTCTGAGCAGTGTCCAGGAGCTGCCACTCCTCCCAGCTGAATTCCACAGCCACATCCTCCAGGGTCAGTGATTCCTGTAATTACAAAGTCCTATTCAATATGATATAAACTCCTATTGTTAATATAGAAGTATAAGATAATTTTTTAAAAATTTTCACAATACAGCCTGCATCTATATTCCTTTCTCAAATATACTTTGGTAGGAGCAAAATCCTCTATCTATACATTTTAGCGCCTATTTCTAAATATTAAACGTAGGCAAATGACATCAGGACAAATAAAACATCCCTACATTACCAATGACTTCACAACCAATATAAGGATCTGTCATGAATAGACTTCACATCTTGAATTCATAAAATAGTGCTTTTAAATAAATGTAAGAGAAAAGATGAAACTATATCTGTATAAAGCACAAAAGGCCCCTAAAGTTGATTAGATTTTTATTTATTTTTTAATTTTTAAAGAGAGATGGTCTTGCTCTGTAGCCCCAAATGGAGTGCAGTGTCACAGTAATAGCTCAATGCAACCTTGAACTCCTAAGCTCAAGCGACCTTCCCACCTCAGCCTCTCAAGTAACTAGGACTACAGGTGGATGCTACTACCAATTTTTGTAGTGACAGGGTCTTGTTATGTTGACCAGGCTGGTCTTGAAGTCCTGGCCTCAAGAGATCCTCCTGCCTCGGCCTTCCAAAGTGCTGGGATTACAGGTGTGTGCCACTGCGCCCAGCAAAAAAAAACTTCTAACAGAAAAACATATATACATATGTGTATTAATGGACAGATTAACAGCATATTAGATACATTGAAGATTATTGGTGAATTGGAATATATAAGTGGAAATGGCAGAAAATGCAGTACAGAGAAAAAAGATAAATCATAACAAAGAAGTTAATAAATATGAAATACAGAGTTGCAAGACCTAGTGTATGCCCACTTATGGTTTCTAAAAGGGAAAATAGTGTAATAGAGAAGCAATATCTATTAATAAATATCCAAAACCTAAAATATTTCAGAACTAAATACCTCAAATCTCAAATTCAGAAATCCCAACAAGTTCAGAGCAGGAAGTCACAACTGGTGTGACACATCAGACTGAAACTACCATACATCAAATGCAAAGGGAAAACTATAGAATCATCAAGAGACAAAAGACAGATTACCTACAAAGAAATAACAAAATATACTGATGGCTGACATTTCAATAATAGAATCCAGAAACGTATGGAATACAATCTTCAAAGTCCTAATTCTTGCAACAAAAAAGGCCAATTTTGGAAGGCCATTTGGGATTAAAACACATGGCTAGCAGATGACTTGCTGTCTTACAACCATGATATCAAGGACCTGTTTGTCAACTAAACTGTCATTCTCCTGCTTCACAATAACTTTTCAGAGAACTGCAGAGTGTGAAGTAGAGGTAACTAAGATCCAAGGAAATACTGATAAGAGAATCTATGCTATATTACTGTGTGGGATGCTGCATAGTCAAGAAAGTAGACTCATGAGAGTGCGCAAGTGCTCAAGCCTGGTCAGTTTATCTCATTCCAAAATCTTTATGTGAGATGTCTATCGACTGGGTAAGTGTAAAGTTAAATTTCTACCTCACTCCACAGTCCAAAAGAATTTATTACTGGATGGAAATCTTGCAGGCCAACTCTAAGGTGTCCTCTGATAATCTCATTCTCTAGCTGCAGTGACTTCTGACATCAACTACCTGGGTTAGGCCAAACTTCCCAGGTTAAAAGCACAATCCTCCACAAGACTGCCCTCACTTCAGACACAAGCTGCAAGCTTAAGGCTACACAGACCACCCTCAACTCCAGCGAGCTGGCTACAAATGTGTGGAGCTACCATGACTCCCTCAGGTTTAATAACTTGATAGAACAACTCAGAGAACCCAAGAAAGTGCTGTGTTTACAATTAGCACTTTACTATTGCAAAATGACACAAATCAGAATCAGCTAAAGGAAAATATGCACAGGGTGAGGTCTGGGAAGGTTCCAAACACAAAGCTGCTGACTGTCCTCTCCTCATGGAATCCTTGGTGGCATTACATCTTCCTGACTACATTGTGTAACAATATTCAAGAGTACTTGCCAGCCAGCGAGGCGCACCTAAACTTTGATGTCCAGAGATTTTATTGAGACTTCATGATGTAGGCACAGTTTATTGAAGCATTGCCCATGTAGCTGAGTTCAGTCTCCAGTTCCCTCCCCTTCCTGACTGGTATTACATGGCTCAAAGCCACAACTCTCTAATCACTTAGTGCGCTTTTTGGCATGGGCAGCCCCTATCCAGAGTCATGTCATTGCCATAAATTATCTAGGGATCTACTATGAGTCACCACTATACATATAGATATAAACTATCAAATATGAGTGGCCCACCATGAATGACAGAGACACTCATAACTTGGGTAATTACAAGGGTTTAGAGGTTACCTCCCAGGAACGAAAACAAAGGCTAGCCAAATTCTTTATTACACTCTAGGTGTTCCTGCCCCTGTGCAGTACCATCCTCCTGAGTATGAAGTGGCCTAAAAGCTTGTTTCTAAAGAAAAGAATACAGCAAAAGTGACAAGATGCCACTTTAAGATTACACTCTATATGACTTCCATCTTGCTAGCAGAATCTGTCATTTTCTAGCTTTGATTAAACAATTTGGCACATAGGGGAGGTGCATGTGACAAAAAACTAAAAGTGGGCTTTGACAAACAGACAGGTAGAAACTGAGGACCTCAACTAAACTACCTCATTTCTCATTCTGGAAATGAATCCTCCCAACAACCACATAAGTGAGCTTAGAACTGCATCTTTCCCCATTTCAGCCTTCAGATCAGATTCCAACCCAGCTAACACCTTGACGACAACCCCCATGAGAGACTGTGAATCAAAGTAGCCAGGTAAGCCATGCCCTTATTCCTGAGCCACAGAAAGTGTGAGATTTTTTTTTTTAAGTGTTGTTTCAAGTCACTACCTTTTGGAGTAATTTCTTAGGTATTAATAGACAATGAATATAAGATGTAAACTTAAGAAGAACTTATGAGGCCAGGAGTGGGGCACACATCTGTAATTACAGTACTTCCAGAGGAGAGTTTGAGCCCAGGAGTTTGAGACCAACCTGAGCAACATAGTGAGACTCTGTCTCTATTCTCTACAAAGAACAAAAAATTAGCTGGGTGTGGTAGTGGATGCCTGTGGTCTCAGCTATTCAGGAGGCTAAGGCAGGCAGATGGTGGTTGAGGCTGCAGTGAGCCATAATTGTGCTACTGCACTCCATCCTGGGGAAGAGGGCGAGTCCCTGTCTCAAATAAAGAAAAAAAAAAAAGGAATAAATGAAAACATGTTCATGATATAAGTAAAAAGCTTTAAAAAAAATGACTTCTGCATGGGAAAAAATATTTTGAACAAGCTAAAAGAGAAGTAAGACTCTAGAAAAATATTTGCAACATATAAAAGAATCAATATCCAGTCAAGATAAACAATTATAAATCAGTAAGACCACAAAAAAATTAAATGAACAAAGACTAAAGACACTTTATGACAGAATAAATAATCCAAAGAAACAACAAAGAGATGAGAAGGATCTGAACCTCACTGGTGAATGGGAAAATGCAAAATAAGGCAAAATAATACTGGATCATCTAGATCATGGAAAATACACAATTTGATAACATAGTAAGTGTTGGCAAGATTTGCAGCACTGAATGTTTTTGTGCAGTGTTTTCCAACACTAACAACCAATTCTCCAATTATCTAAACATAAACTAGATGTCCAACAATTCAATTCAATTCTGACACTATCTTTGTCAGAATCCACAGATTTAAGGGTTCAATCCTACAAGACTGCCTCCTCTTGAGTTCCTCTGCCCGGCCGCCCCACTGTCTGGGAAGTGAGAAGCGCCTCTGCCTAGCCGCCCACCATCTGGGAAGTGAGGAGCACCTCTGCCCGGCCGCCCCACACCACCGCCGCCATCTGGGAAGTGAGGAGTGCCTCTGCCTGGCCCCCGCAACGTCTGGGAAGTGAGGAGCGCCTTTGCGCGGCTGCTGTGCGACCCTCCAAGTGTGAAGTGACAGCCTTGTGTGTGATCTTTCTGCCCTCCCCAAGTTTGCATTTTCGACATTAAAGTTTACTTTTCAATTAAAATTTTTAAATTGGAGAATATATAATTTAAAAAAAAAAAAAAAAGACTGCCTCCTCTTAAGATGCCAGTCACAAGTCCTGGGCTACCAGTATTTCTGACTAACTGGCTATAAATTAGAGGCTCCCACAAACCCCTCCTCAGGTTTGATAATTTACTAGAACAGCTCATAGAACTCAGGAAACACTTTACCTATGGTACCTAGTTAATAATAGAGGATATAACTGAGGAACAGCCAGACTGAAGAAATGCATAGGGCAAGATATGGAAGAGGGTGTGCCAAGCTTCCATTCCTCTCTGCGTGTGGCATCCTCCCAGCACCCTGGTATGTTCACAAACCTGAAGCTTGTTCAAGAGTACAAAAAATTAGCCGGGTGTGGTGGTGGGTGCCTGTAGTCCCAGCTACTCAGGAGGCTGAGGCAGGAGAATGGCATGAATCCGGAGGCGGAGCTTGCAGTGAGCCAAGATCATGCCAGTGCCCGCCAGCCTGGGCATCAGAGTGAGACGCCATCTCAAAAAAAAAAAAAGAAAAAAAAAAAAAGAAAAAAACTCACAGCCTGGGCGACAGAGCGAGACTCTGTCTCAAAACAATAATAATAATAAATAAAATTTTTTTTTTTTTGAGATGGAGTATCGCTCTGTCACCCAGGCTGGAGTGCAGTGGCACGATCTCAGTTCACTGCAACCTCCACCTCCCGGGTTCAAGGGATTCTCCTGCCTCAGCCTCCTGAGTAGCTGGGACTATAGGCACGTGCCACCACGCCCAGCTAATTTTTGTATTTTTAGTAGAGACGGGCTTTCACCATGTAGGCCAGGATGGTCTCGATCTCTTGACCTCATGATCCGCTCGGGATTACAGGCGCGAGCCCCCATGCCCAGCCTGTTCAAGAGTTTTTATAGAACTTACTCTCCAGTCCATTCCTCCTTTCAGTTCCAATCCTCTAATTGCTTGGTCTTTCTGGGGACCAGTCTCATCCTGACACTATCTAGAGGTCTCATGAGTAGTCACCTCATGAGCAGAAATTCAGGTGTATCACAGGGTTTCCTTATGAATAACAAAAGACACACCTATTTCTCAGGAAGAAATTCCAAGGGTTTTAAGCATACTGTGCCATGAACTGGGAACAATGACCAAATATACTTATCCGTGTCACTTTCTATATACCAGACTGTGAAAAATAAATATACATTTGGTCTCTGCCCTCCAAATCTTTGGAATTGCTGAAGTGTCTTTTATATGCTATTGAGATGACTGGTGCCTGGGGCTCTTCCATGGCCTCAGGAAGGGAGCTGGTTGCCAGGGGAACCAACCTTGTGACAGACAGTTGGAACTTTCAGTCTCACCTCTCCAACCAACCCCTGACCTCTGTGGAAGGGAGAGGTGATGGAAATTGAGCTTACCACCAATAGTTAATGAATTAATAAATTATGCCTATGTAATGAACCCACCAAAACAATAAAAGGATGAGGTTGAGAGCTTCCAGGCTGCTGAACATAGGGTAGTCCTGGGAGGGTAGAATACCCAGAAAGGGCATGGAAGCCCTGAGGCCCTTCCCCATTACCTGACCTATGCATCTTTTCCAACTGGCCATTCCTGAGTTGTACCCTTTCATAATAAGCCAGTAATCTAGTAAGTAAACTGTCTTCCTGCATTTTTTGAGCCTTCTAGCAGATGAATAGATCTGAGAAGGGGGTTGTGGGGACATCCAATTGGTAGCCAAGTCCAAAAGAACTTGTGAGTAACCTGGGGACCCAGCACTTTTCAGGGGGGCAGTATTGTGGGACTGAGCCCTCAACCTGTGGAGTCTGTCCTAAGTCTAGACAATTAGTGTCAGAATTGAGTAAATTTTAGAATACCTAATAGGTATGGAGAATTGAATTGATGTGTGGGAAAAACCCCACATATCTGGTGTCAGATGTGGGGAAAAGAAAGAGAGATCAGACTGTTACTGTGTCTATGTAGAAAGAAGTAGACGTAAGAGACTTCATTTTGTTCTGTACTAAGAGAAATTCTTCTGCCTTGAGATGCTGTTAATCTGTAACCGTAGCCCTAACCCTGTGCTCGCAGAAATATGTGCTGTGTTGACTCAAGGTTTAATGGATTTAGGGCTATGCAGAATGTCCTTTGTTAAAAAAGCACTTGAAGGCAGTATGCTTGTTAAAAGTCATCACCATTCTCTAATCTCAAGTACCCAGGGACACAACACACTGCAGAAGGCCACAGGGGCCTCTGCCTAGGAAAGCCAGGTATTGTCCAAGGTTTCTTCCCAAGTGATAGCCTGAGATATGGCCTCGTGGGAAGGGAAAGACCTGACCGTCCCCCAGCATGACACCGGGGGATACCCGTAAAGGGTCTGTGCTGAGGAGGATTAGAAAAAGAGGAAGGCCTTTTTGCAGTTGAGATAAGAGGAAGGCATCTGTCTCCTGCCAACTACTTGGGAGGCTGAGGCAAGAGAATGGCGTGAACCTGGGAGGCAGAGCTTGCAGTGAGCCAAGACTGCGCCACTGCACTCCAGCCTGGGCAACAGAGCAAGACTCTGTCTCAAAATAAATAAATAAATAAATTAGTAATTTTAAAAAAGTTGGTTGGCAGGCACCAGCATGCAAAGAATGCCAATATTCCAAAAATGGTCTGGAGTATGTACATTAAAATGACAACCATAGTTCCTTCTTGAGTGGTGGGTGATTCATGTATCATTGTAATGGTCAAAAGTTGAACTACCAACAAAGCATGGATTCTTTCATATTGAGTCTACTTTTTTTTCCTTCTTTTTGAGACAGGGTCTTACTTTGTCACCCAGGTTGGAGTGCGGTGGTGCAAACATGGCTCACTGTAGCCTCGTCCTCCTGAGCTCTAGCAATTCTTCTCCCACCTTAGCCTCCCGAGTAGCTGGGATTACAGGTGTGCACCACCACACCCAGCTAATTTTTGTATTTTTTGTAGAGACGGGGTTTCACCATGTTGCCCAGGCTGGTCTTGAACTCCTGAGCTCAAGCGATCCAGAATCTACTTCTTAAGGCAGAATGAACCCCCACCTCTACTCCCAAAAGCAATGTAAGTTAATTTCTCCCTAGAACACAATTATCCCAGTATATACTTCCTTAAGTTCAACTGACTTCTTCAGGCCACCATAAATCTATCAAAAAATCAAAGGGAAAATATCACCTGGGTCTTGATCATTTTCTTCTGTGCTCAGAAAATAGTGGATAACATGGACTATACGTCTTTGTCTCTTCTGCATTTGCCATGAAGTTTTTGAAGTTTTCCTAGTCAGAAATATTAGTGTCCACTTAAAGTTGTCCCCAGAAATTATGATATCCAAGGCCAGCAACCTCCTTCTTCTTCCTTCATTGCTTCACTTGAGTTATTTTGCTTCTGGGAGCCAGGACCTGAGGACTGATAAACAAAATGGCTTTCAGTGTACATTAACCCTGGGTCCAGACATTGTCACTGCTGCTCTGCACTTACCTTAAATAAAAGACCCTAATATTTCTAACAGTTCCTTTATTTGCTGCCTCAGAGGTTTTCATGGTTCTAAATGTGTGAAATCTATGCCTTTCTTTTGTGAAGTAGAAGTGGCATGACTATTATAGAGAAGGTGGGAAAGCAGAACCAGCACAGCACAATGCCTCAGAGGCAGGTGTCTGGGGAAAAGAAAGAGAGATCAGACTGTTACTGTGTCTATGCAGAAAGAAGTAGACATAAGAGGCTCCATTTTGTTCTGTACTAAGAGAAATTCTTCTGCCTTGAGATGCTGTTAATCTGTAACCCTAGCTCCAACCCTATGCTAGCAGAGACATGTGCTGTGTTGACTCAAGGTTTAATGGATTTAGGGCTGTGCAGGATGTGCTTTGTTAAAAACGTGCTTGAAGGCAGTATGCTTGGTAAAAGTCATCACCATTCTCTAATCTCAACTACCCAGAGACACAATACACTGCGGAAGGCCGCGGGGACCTCTGCCTAGGAAAACCAGGTATTGTCCAAGGTTTCTCCCCATATGATAGCCTGAGATATGGCCTCGTGGGAAGGGAAAGACCTGACCGTCCCCTACCCCGACACCTGTAAAGGGTCTCTGCTGAGGAGGATCAGTAAAAGAGGAAGGCCTCTTTGCGGTTGAGATAAGAGAAAGGCATCTGTCTCCTCCTCGTCCCTGGGAATGGAATGTCTCCGTGTAAAACCCCATTGTCTGTTCTATTTACTGAGATAGGAGAAAACCGCCTTAGGGCTGGAGGTGAGACATGCTGGTGGCAATACTGCTCTTTATTGTACCGAAATGTTTGTGTGCGTGCACATCAAGGCACAGCACGTTTCCTTAAACTTATTTATGACACAGAGACCTTTGTTCACATGTTTTCCTGCTGACCCTCTCCCCACTATTACCTTATTGTCCTGCCACATCCCCCTCTCCGAGGTGGTAGAGATAGTGATCAATAAATACTGAGGGAACTCAGAGACCAGTGCCAGCGTGGGTCCTCCGTATGCTGAGTGCTGGTCTCCTGGGCCCACTTTTCTTTCTCTATACTTTGTCTCTTATTTCTTTTCTCAGTCTCTCATCCCACCTGACAAGAAACACCCACAGGTTGTGGAGGGGTGGCCCCCTTCAAGGTGAATTCTCAGACAGATCAATTTTAGGAAAGAGAACACATGGAAGGCTCCAAGAATGTCTTTAAAAACCACGTGTGCCCATGTACTGGTTCGAAAGTCTCTGTAAGCTCTTTGGGTATACATACCTCGTGTCAAGACCAATGTACTAAGCAAATCACAAGAACTGTCTCATTTCACATTATGCGCTAAAGGAGTAACTTTACCCAAGAGAGCTTTGTCCTTTGCCCACAGTTCCTATGAGGCAAACTCTAAGCCTTTGGAATACGCTGCTTGATAAAACTGTCTTTGGTTATCAGGGCAATTTAAGCCATGCCAAATTGTCTATCCTAATAATGTGATTTACTGTGGGAGACCTTGGACCACGTGGTATTAGTTTGATATCTGGAGGAGCTGGAGATTGAAGTCAGCCTCATAGGCAGTCAATTGTGTGTGTGTGTGTTAACTGATATCCAATAAAACTCTGGACACCAAGGCCTAGGTGAGTGGCAACAATGGTTACAATGGCTGGCAATAATAATATAAGGGTGTATATATAAGAATATGATAATTTAAAAACGTATGAAGCAAAACAGAATGAGAGAGGATTAGACAATTCAACAATAATAATTGAAGACTACATTACCCTACTTGCAATAATAAAGAAAACAAATAGAAACTCAGCAAGGATACCGAAAACTTGAACAACATTATCAACCAACTAGACTTAACGAACATTTAACACTGCACTCAACAGCAGTAAAATAAACATTTTTTTCAAGAGCACATGTTATATTCTTCAGGAAAGATAATATCCCATGTGATAGCCTGAGATAGGGCCTCATGGGAAGGGAAAGACCTGACCGTCCCCCAGCCCAACACCCGTAAAGGGTGACTCACAAGGGCCCCAGACCCAGACAGAGTCGGACTCGTCGCTGATTTCCTCAGACTCTTCATCCCTACAGCCAAAGGACCCGTCATTAACGCCCCGCTTCCTCAGCGACTGCGTTCAAATACAGCCCCAATCAGGACGCTCCACGCACCATCGGTACACAGACCCACAGGCCGCGAGTCCATGCCCAGAACTCGACTCACCCGAGCCCGAACCTCTCCAGACACCACTGGCAGCGACAAAACGCCGCATCCACGTCCGAAAACGCTTCCTATTCAGACGCGCTCCTGCGCGGACTCCGGGAAGCTGAGCGGTAAAGACCGTGAAGCGAGGCGAGGACCACGGAGCCTGCCCGGGATCGCGAGTTCAGACTGCGGGCGCCGCTCTATGAGGTCACAGGGCTGCGCCCATCGCAGCGTTTCTGACAGGAGCGGCCATAATGGCTGTGGGAATCACTCTTAGTCACCTCAGTGCCTTTCTCTCTTCGTTGCAAGGGACACTCAAGAGTCGGGTGCCCAGCCAAGGCCAACACGGCGCAGTGGCATTCTATTCAGCCTGCTGTGGAAAAAAGATGGCGGCGCCCTTTGTGCCCATTATAGCTGAGAGTGGAGCCTTAGCTGGAGCACCATGGGCACGGCCATCTTAGAGGAAGGCAGCAGCCGTACGGCAGAGAAGATGCT
Source organism: Homo sapiens (assembly GCF_000001405.40). Classification (NCBI taxonomy): domain Eukaryota; kingdom Metazoa; phylum Chordata; class Mammalia; order Primates; family Hominidae; genus Homo; species Homo sapiens. The sequence continues at coordinate 52,028,719 of NC_000019.10, forward strand.
CATATCCAGGACAATTTGGAAAAATAAACAAGGTTTGAAGAAGTCACGGTGCTGGCCAGGAAGCGGTCACAGAGTTGCCAAAACCAGTGGTCACTGAAAGTGTTAGATTTGGGGATAGGGCGGGGGTTCTGGGCTGGGTAAGGCTTTTGTGGGTTAGATTAGACTCTGACTGAATGGACGAAGCCGAGAACAGGAGTGATGCTCCATTAAATGCTAATACCCACATGGGGCTTGCTATTAAAACCACTGCCAGTGGGGAAGGGGATGAGGAGGTGAAGGTGCAACTGTGTTAATATCTACATGTTTCCTTCCAGAAGTAAAGGAAGATGACAGTGGGGCACTTAAGAATATGAAATTATTAGAATGCGATCATCCTACTTTGCAATGTTTCCAGATTTTTTAAAAAGTCACACTTAAAAAATATTAGTTCTATTTTTGCAGATGTTGGCGTTGTAACTGTAGAAGATTTAAGTAAATATTGTATTTTTGGAAGGCAACCTAGAGCCAATTTAATTTTTTCGTTTTCTTTGACACAGCAATTCTAAAAGCTATCTAGGCAAATCTGTCTTAATATTAACCACAACTTTTGTAATTTACAAAAAAAGGGAATTACAATGAGAGATGAATACTTTGGTAAATTATGGAACATCTGCTGAACTGTAAGAGTATATATCAATTTAAAAGAATATGCTACAATTGTTTTATAAAAAAGAAAACTTTGTCAGAGGACAAAAAAATGATCTGCAGGATAGTATATATTTTATGGTCTTGTTATTGGAAGAAATCATAAACATCTTTTGGAAAATTGTGATTGGTTAAACAAGACATTTAGTTTGAATTAATATTGTTTGTGTTCATAGGTAGAGAATGCCATGTTTTTACTTGAAAAATATTCCCAATTTATACTTAATTTTACTATCTTTGTACCATAATCATGAATATATTATAAAACATGTTGATCTTAGAAAATAGGTATGATGATGTATAATAAGTTCATGGCATGATAAATGCAAAATAGGCTGTTTTCTTTCAGAAAATAAATATGCTCATGCATTTGAAAAATTCTGGAGAATATACTAACAATATTTGACTGTTCCGTACAATTATGGTGACTTAAAATTTCTTCATTTTACTTACGTTTTGTAATTTCTAGAGAATAAGAATTTCATGTTCGTATTTCTTGAGTGTTATAACATATTCCATCCAGGATTAAATTTCAGCCCCGTTCATCTGGAATGTTAATCTCTGGTAGGTAAGTTTAGCACCTGGTCCACAGGACTATGAGCAGCCCATGATGGGACCTTCACTGATCATTTCCAGGAGTGGGCTGATAAAACTTTGCCGTGGCAGGCTGTGCTGATTCACGGGACAAGGAAGGTGATTCAAGGGCCTGGTTGGTGGAGCACTTTTGTCTGATTCATTGCTGGAGACAATCTGCCCTGAATCCATCCTGTTACAGTGTGGGAATGGTGATGGGAGCACCAATCCACAATTTAGGGCAGAGATGTTCAAATTTAAGAAGGCTCTTTTTATAAATGCAGAGTCCGAACCCCATCCCCAGAAATTCTAGCTTGGAATGTCTGGGGAGTGACTCAAGAATTTGCCTTCTTTTACAAGCTTCTCAGAGAATGCTGAGGCAGGAACCCCAAAGAAAACACTTAGAAAGTTCTATAGTGTTCTGGACTTAAAAATATGATGGCTGTGTCCCCACAGTATATTTAGGCTTTGGTTCAAATTATATCTGCACAGAAAAGCCTATCCTGAAAACTCTTCCTAAAATAACTCAGGTTACAATCTATGAACTTACCAGGCTTTATATTTCTTCCTAGCACTTAACTGAATTCGATTTTGTATTTATCTTACTCAGTCTCCTTCACCAGACTGTATGTCATATCAAAGCCAGCACTTTGCCTGTTTTGTTCATTGATGTGTCTCCATTGCCTACAACATGCCTGCCATGGTGTAGAAGCTCAAAAAATATTTTCAAAGAAGTAAATTACTCAATATGGAGTCAGGGATTGAATTCTGCCACAATACTATATGGCAAATGTCTATTACTTTTATAAAGAGAACTCACCATTTATAAACTGGATTAAATCTCATTAGATCAAGGGAAATAACTCTGGATAGAGAAAACAGGAACCCTGTTTCTAGGGAAACTAATAATTTTTTGCCACCAGGCCTGCTCAAAGAGAAATGATTAAGGAAGTTCGCACAAAAAGGAAATAACTAAAGGAAATATTACATCAGGAATGAAGAAAAAGGAACAGAAAGGGTAAATATATTATAAAATATAATATTCTTTTGAGTTTTAAACATTGGGTTTGCTGGTTGGAAGCAAAAGTTACAATTTTACTTGATATGGTTCTCAGTGGATGTAGAGATGCTTAATATCATTTTGTGTTAGGGGTGTGTAAGTTGAGGCCATGATCATATACCACCACACACCTAATAGGAAAGCTAAAGCACACTGGCAATGCCAAGAGCTAGAAAGGGCATGGAATGCTTACACATTGGTGGTGGGAATGTAAACTAGTACAGCCACTCTGGGAAAGAGTTTGGCCATTTCTTATAAAGTTAAACACATTTACCATATTCGCCAGCAGTCATGCCCCCAGTGTCTATCCCAAATATATAAAAACTTAACGTTCGCACAATATCGGGTACACAAATAGTCACAGCATCTTTATTTATAACAGCAAAACACTGGAAACAACCCAAATGTCCATCAACAGTGAATGGATACACAAACCCTGGTGCATCCATTTAAAAGAATACTAACTCAGTAACAAAAATTAAAACTATTTAGACACCTAACAACTTGGATAGATCTTAAGGGTAATTTGCTGAGTGAACAAAGCCCTATCTCAAAGCTTGCGTACCTTACGATTCCATTTTAATAGCATTCTTGAAATAACAAAATTAGGGTAATGGGATCAGTGGCTACCATGGGTCATATTGGGAGGACAGTGTGAGTATAAAGAGGTAGCAAGAGGAGGCCAGGCGTGGTGGCTCATGCCTGTAATCCCAGCACTTTGGGAGGCTGAGGCGGGTGGACCGCCCGGGGTCGAGAGTTCAAGGCCAGCCTGGCCAACACAGTGAAACCCCGTCTCTACTAAAAATACAAAAATTAGTCGAGCGTGGTCGTGGGTGCCTGTAATCCCAGCTACTTAGGAGGCTGAGGCAGGAAAATCTCTTGAACCTGGGAGGCGGGGTTGCAGTGAGCCAAGATCGTGCTATTACACTCCAACCTGGGCAACAAGAGCAGAACTCCGTGGTTTTTATTATTATGGTTATGTAAGATAACATTGATGATGCTAAGCAAAGAATACTCAGGAAACTTTTGTATATTTTGTAATCTCTTGTGAATCTAGAATTATTTCAAAACAAATTTTAGAAAAATAACATTTAAGGCATTTTTGTAAACTACATAATGGTACCTAGTAACTTGGATAAACACATCCAAATATACTGAATTACATTTATCAGTAAATTGAAAAAAATAAATTTGGGGCCTATAATATGTAAGAACTAATAAATAACACCAGATTGGCACAGAAAACACCTGTGTTATATATAGGATTAAAATTTAATCAGTGATAAGAACAGCCCGCTTTACAATTATGGAATCATTGATAATATGATGCAAGGTATGCTGTCACAGAATAGATATCAAGTGTATCATGAGTTTAGATTTGTGACAGTCCTCAAATATGGTTTTTTTTTTTTTTTTTTGAGGCAGAGTTTCGCTCTTGTTGCCCAGGCTGGAATGCAATGGCGCAATCTTGGCTCACTGAAACCTCTGCCTCCCAGGTTCAAGTGATTCTCCAGCTTAGCCTCCAGAGTAGCTGGGATTACAAGCGTGAGCCACCATGCTCGGCTAATTTTGTATTTTTAGTAGAGAGGGGGGCTTCACCATGTTGGTCAGGCTGGTCTCGAACTCCCGACCTCAAGTGATCCACCCACCTTGGCCTCCCAAAGTGCTGGGATTACAGGTGCAAGCCACCATGCCCGGCATTATGTATCATTTTCATGAGACTTTTTTACTTCATGAATTTCCTGATCCTTTTTAAAGTTACTCTTCATATAAGTTTTATTTCTGTATGAAGTAATGATGATGAGGCAGCATGTATCACTGAAATCCTCGTGTATTCACTGCCATCTGAAACTTGTTCTCCAGTATGAAATATATCTGCCAACTGTTAAGGTTTTATTTCTGGGCAAAGGCTTTCCCATGATAATGCTGCTAGTATGTGTAAGTTCATTGATGATCTATTATGATCACTGAAGAGATAGGGTCTTTCTTCCCATAGAAGGCTTTCCTAGCCTACTCCTTTGTAAGATTTATCTCAGTAAATACTTTTCAAGACATAGTTACTTAGAAAATTTTCAAGACTTTTCTGCATTGGATGTATCAAGTTTATTTCCTACATGTTTATTGTGACATAAAATATGAGGTAATTAATCACCGAAGGCACTAGTGCATTCTCTGCATTCATTAAAATTCGCTCCTGGAAATTGCATTGTCTTCCAAGGGTGAAAATCTAGCAACAGGCTGCTCTACACTGCCTATATGCATGTATGCTAGGAGCACACTGCTGTTTAATCAGTTCACATTACTAACGTGGTTTTCTCTCTGCATGAATTTGTTTGTATGTAATCAGTTCAGATTCTCTGCAAAAGGACTATGTACCTTACACATTTGTCATGTGGACGTTGTCATAGTTTTAATGAAGGTTGACAAATGAAAGGTTACCCCCAATCCACAGACTCTCTCTCAGATGAGTAATTTTCTATACATTGGTACATCAAAGAATTCAGAGCCTGAATTCATGTTGAAGCCTTTCTGACATTGATAGCATTCATCCTAGTGAATAACACTGGATTTTGAAATATGATTTTTCATACTCAGTACACATGTAGAAAATCTATACTGTGAAATCTCTGATGTTGTACAAGGCAGATTTTCTTCCCAAAGGCATGAACATGTCCACTGCATTGTCAGGGTTTGTTTCCATTATGAGTTCGCTGATGTACAATGAGATTTCTCTTTGAGGAGAAGGCTTTTCTACATTCACTGCATACAAAGGGTTTCTCTCCTGTATGAGTTCGTTGATGAACAATTAGACGGCTCTTCATAGTGAAGCCTTTACCACATTCATTACATCCATAAGGTTTTTCTCCAGTATGAACTTGCTTATGTAAAGCAAGCTCTGTTTCCTTGGCAAAGCCTCTTCCACATTCACTACATATACAAGATTTCTCTTCTGTATGAATTTGCTGATGTACAATGAGATAGCGTTTCATGGTGAAGCCTTTTCCACATTCACTGCACATAAAGGGTTTCTCTCCAGTATGAGTTCGCTGGTGTACAACAAGATTGCTCTTAAAGGCAAAACCTTTTCCACATTCATTGCATATGTACGGTTTCTCTCCAGTATGAGTTCGCTGATGTAACATCAGTCCGCTATTCACAATGAAACCTTTCCCACATTCACTGCACCTGTAAGGTTTCTCTCCAGTATGAGTTCGCTGATGTACAATCAGCCGACTCTTCAAGGGGAAGCCTTTCCCACATTCACTGCATGTGTAGGGCTTCTCTCCTGTATGAGTTCGCTGATGTATGATGAGCATGCTTTTCACAGTAAAACCTTTTCCACATTCACTACATAGATATGACTTCTCTACTGTATGATTTCTCTGATGTACAATAAGATTACTCTTCCTGGGAAAGCCTTTTCCACATTCACTGCATATGTAGGGTTTCTCTCCTGTATGAGTTCGTTGATGTTCGATCATACGGCTCTTCATGGTGAAGCCTTTCCCACATTCATTGCATATATATGGTTTCTCTCCTGTATGATTTCGTTGATGTATGATGACATAGTGTTTTGTGGTGAAGCCTTTCCCACATTCACTACAGATGTAGGGCTTCTCTCCTGTATGAGTTCGCTGATGTATAATAAGCATGCTCTTCCCAGTGAAGCCTTTTCCACATTCACTACATATATAGGATTTCTCTCCAGTATGATTTCGCTGATGTACAATGAGATTACGCTTGCCTGGGAAGCCTTTTCCACATTCATTGCATATGTAGGGTTTCTCTCCAGTATGAGTTCGCTGATGTTCAATCAGACGGCTCTTCATAGTGAAGACTTTTCCACATTCACTGCATATAAAAGATTTCTCTCTTTTATGAATTCTTTGATGTTCATTTAGCCTGGACTTTCTGGAGAACACTTTTGCACACAAAGTACATCCATAAGGTTTTTCTCCTGTATGAACTCTCTCATGATCAGTGAGCTGAGACTTCTTGACAAACGCTTTCCCACATTCACTGCATACGTGGTTTTTTTCTATTTCATGAGTTCTCTGATGCTTACTGACTTGGGATTTAGTGCTATTGGCTTTTGTACTTACAGAGAATTTAGCTGCAGAATAAAGTTCTTCATAGTTACCATGAAGAAATGATTTCCCATCTCCACTAAATTTAGTAGAGTTGTTAATTTCACAGCTTTTGTTCTGGTTGACTAAACTTAAATTTGATTTCAAAGTTTTTATATATAACTCAAATGTATCATGATTTTCCCTGAAAAGACAAAGGCTTTTGGTTTGAGAGGCAGTATTTCCAAATGCATTATGTTCATGGTATTGTTCCACACTCTTCAGCATCCTTTGATTTTCCAAGTGATCCTGCAGATGATCATCAACTTCGTTGTTTTCTAGGAAAGAAGAGAACAATGAATCCTTTTATAATCTTGTTGGGGATAAAACTGTCTTCTTAGAAAAAAAAATCCTTGGTGTTTTATTTTGTTTATTATTATTATTTTTTGAGACAGAGTCTCGCTCTGTTACCCAGGCTGGAGTGCAGTGGTATGATCTCAGCTCACTGCAACCTCCGCCTCCTGGGTTCAACCAATTCTCCTGCCTCAGCCTCCCAAGTAGCTGGGATTACAGGCATGTGCCATCATGCCTAGCTAATTTTTGTATTTTTAGTAGAGACAGGGTTTCAATATGTTGGCCAGGCTGGTCTTGAACTCCTGACCTCCAGTGATACCCCTACGTCGGCCTCTCAAAATGCTGGGATTACAGGCATGAGCTACCACACCTGGCCAGGTGTTTTTAAATATCGCTATTTAATGACAATACTACAATAATAGTATAAAAGCAACTTCATGTATACACTTTGGTAAAAACATAATAATATAAACAAACCAAAAAGTAAAAGCAGTCTGTGTGCAAATAAGGTGAGGCAGTTGACAATCTATATCGATTTGACAGCTTTCTAAACAGGACCTTGCAAAACATGCGGACACAGTAAAATACAAGCAAGTCATTATTACAAGCAAACAACAGGGCTTGGAGGAACACCATTCCACAAAATTTTGGGAGACACCAGACCACAAAGGTGGAAAAGGCAACTGATTCACAATTCTGAGGGTTGTATTTATTCACTCCACTAGTTATTTGTCAAATGACTCCTATGGACAAGGCACTCTGCTGGCATTTGGGATACACAAAATATGCCTTCTTTTCACTCATGCTGAATTCTAATTAGGAAAAACAATACGAAGGAACAAAAAAAGAAGGGAGTTGGTGATGTTAAGTGTGGTTTGATGGAGCAGTGTAGATGATGAGAGTTGGAGAAAAGCAGGATATTTTTGTATAAAGAAAAGACAAGGTTAAATGATGAATTCAATGGGGAGAGTGAGGAAAGTGAGGGCTCAAAGATTACTAACTATATGGCTTGAGCCACTGGGTAGATGACAGCATCTGATAATGAGATGGCAAATATTACTGCAGTCCAGCACATGTAAAGTATATACTGTGAAACACACTTTGAAATGGTTATCAAATATGTAACACAGACATCAAGAATCTGGTTGGAGGTATAAATGGAGAAGGCAGCATGGAAATAATCAGTACATACATATTATTTGAGAAAAAAGGACTGAATGACTTTTTTTTTTTTGAGACAGGGTCTCACTGTCACCCAGGCTGGCATGCAGTGGCACAATCTTGCATCACTGCAACCTCCACCTCCCAGGCTCAAGCAATTCTCCCACCTCAGCCTCCTGAGTAGCCGGGACTACAGGCACATGCAACCATGCCTGATTGATTTTTGTATTGTTTGTAGAGATGGAGTCTTGCCATATTGCCCAAGCTGGTCTTGAACTCTTGGGCTCAAGTGATCTGCCCACCTCTGCTTCCCAAAGTGCTGGGACTATAGGTGTGAGCCAAGGCACTGAGCCAGGATACCATGTTGAGAAGACATGTAGAATGAAAGATGAAGGTACAGAACCAAGGTTGTAGACATTCCAACATGTGGTTTTGGGATTATTTAAGCCCTGTTAGAGGAACCAAACTGTGAATACAAAGATCAGGGTAATATGCTTACTGAGATATATAGAATAAATACATTCACGTACATGTTGCCTGGCAAGTAAGAATTGGAAATCTCCATCTGTTGAAATTAAGTCAACTGAGATAGACTCTTGTGTGGTAATTGTTACTAAATTTGCCCCTCTTCAATCTGTAGACTACCATCTAACTTTCCAAAAACATCCATCACGTTTAATGAACAACTCCTATAGTCAACACTCCACCCTTTGGTTTAGCTGTGTTGCGTTATCATATGTTTCATTAATTATGAAACAGGAAAACAATGATAGGGAATTTTGCAACTGGCCAGTGTACCATGTAGTTGCCTTCAGAAGAAAATGTGCTGCTGCATGGGATATGAAAACTGTCATTTTCTTCAATCACATTCTGCATGCAGTAGAAAAGTCGTATCAAGGCCAGGCACGGTGGCTCACACCTGTAATCCCAGCACTTTAGGAGGTCAAGGTGGGCAGATCACTTGAGCTCTGGAGTTCCAGACCAGCCTGGGCAACATGGTGAAACACAAAATACAAAAATTAGCCAGGCATGCATGGTGATATGCGCCTGTAGTTTCAGCTACTTGGGATGTTGAGGTGGGAGGATCGCTTGAGCCCAGGAGGTTGAGGCTGCAGTGAGCCAAAATCGTGCCACTGCACTCCAGCCTGAGCAACAAAGTGAGACTCTACCTTAAAAAAAAAAAAAAAAAAAGGTCATATCCAATTTTTCCCATTTCAATGTCCCTGATACACTGTTTCCTCATCTGCCACCAATAACATCTACTTCAGTAAGCTACATTTATGTCTCAGCATCAGTTAAGTTGTACTAAAGGATAAACTTCTTCTAGACAAAGGTTGTGGCATCTTCACCTTCAGTTTTTCTTAAGATATTTAGCTGTTTCTTATTATTGCTACACTGCTGTCATCCAAGTGAAAGGTCAAGACTAGCAACATATTTTATGAAAAGACAAAAATATAAAATTAACCAACCCTCAACCATGCTACCTCAATTACTCATATATACAATCAAAAGTCATCTTGATAAAAAAAAGTTTACATTACCATGAATATTACCATGTTTCTGCTCCACGATTTCTCCAACAAGCAGCTTCTATCACTGACCTGTATTTGGCCAACTTGAAGCCAATCTTTTGATAGTCAGGCCCATGGCCTTGCACAATTCCTATTTCATGCCTTCATTCTTTTTTTTGAGATGGAGTTGTGCTCTTGTTGCCCAGGCTGGAGTGCAATGGCACAATCTTGGCTCACCACAACCTCTGCCTCCTGGGTTCAAGCAATTCTCCTGCCTCAGCCTTCCTGAGTAGCTGGGATTACAGGCATGTGCCACCATGCCCGGCTAATTTTGTATTTTTAGTAGAGAAGGGGATTCTCCATGTTGGTGAGGCTGGTCTCAAACTCCCGACCTCAGGTGTTCCCCCCACCTAGGCCTCCCAAAGTGCTGGGATTACAGGCATGAGCCACCGCACCTGACCCATGCCTTCATTCTTAATTCATGTCACCATCTTCCTAATTCAAAATCTAGATATGCCTTGTGCACATCATACTCTTGCTGCAATTCTGACTATCCTGCCATATGCTCTATGTTCTCTGTATTCCTTAATTAACCCCTTTATTGTTAATTTTTATGGTAATCTTCTGTGTAGTGAGGATCTAGCTCTAACCTCATCCAAACAGAGATCTAGCATTTGTTCTTAGCTATTAGGAAATGATCTCTAGGCCCCTGGAATGTCCTGGCCCATAGGAGTGTCTTTGTTTGCCTGGTGGCTTTAGCCACTGGACAGTTTAACAATATGATTTGTGATAGGGGCTTTGGCCCATGCCATATCACTTCCAGCCTTTGGAAAAACTGGACACTCTAGGTATTAGCCTGACTTCCAGGAGAGGCTGAAGACTAAAAGTCAGCCATGTGGGCTGTATGTGACTGAAACCTAATCAAAACTCTGGCCACCAAAGGCTCAAGTGAACTTCCCTAGTTGTCAATACTCTGTACTGTCACACACTGTGTGGCTGGGAAGAGATGTAACATCCACAGTGAGAGGAGGACCAGAGAAGTACTGTACTTGGACCCCCTCCTGGACTACAAATGACCTGGCAATTCTACTCCTAGGTGAAGGCTCAAGAAAAATGAAAACATACGTTCCTAAAAAAGTTGTACATGAACGTTCATAGCAGCATGATTCATAAAAGCCAAAAAGTAGAAATAACCCAAATGTCAATGCAATAGATGAATTGATAAATAAAATGTGGTATATCCATACAATGGAATATTATTCAACAATAAAAAGAAATTAAGCACTGATACATGCTAAAGAATGGAAGAATTTCAAAAACATTATGCTAAATGAAAGAAGCCGGACACAAAAGACCATATATTTCATGATTCTATTTATATAAAATGTCCAGAACAGGCAAATCTATAGGGATAAAAAGTAGAGGCCAGGCACGGTGGCTCACACCTGTAATCCCAGCACTTTGGGAGGCCGAGGCAGGTGGGTCACGAGGTCAGGAGTACGAGACCAAACTGGCCAACATGGTGAAACCCTGTCTCTACAAAAACACAAATTAGCTGGGCATGATGGTGCGCGCCTGTAATCCCAGCTACTTGGGAGCCTGAGGCAGGAGAATCGCTTGAACCCGGGAGGTGGAGGTTGCAGTGAGCCGAGATCACACCATTGCACTCCAGCCTGGGTGACAGAGTGAGACTCCATCTCAAAAAAAAAAAAAAAAAAGAAAAGAAAAGAAAAAGAAAGTAGATTAGTGATTGCCTAGGGCTGGGGGCTTGGAAACAATTTTTTTTTTTAAGTGATACTTTGAAAATCTTCCAAAATTGACTATGGTGATGGTTACATAACTGTTCATACACTACAAAGCACTGAAAAATAAACTTTAAATTGGAAAATTGTATGGTATGTAAATTATCTAAGCTGTTGAAAAAACAAATCTATAATGGGAAAAACACATTAGGGAAATGAATACAATGCTACCGTCTAAGATGAACTAAAGGAAAAGTAGAAATCAAATGTACAAAGGAAGTACTCTGAGACAGACATAAGTTATGACCTGGTTTGGTCTAGAACTGATGTAGGACATAAAACAGTCCTTTCTAGGTAAACAGTAAACAAAAATAGTAGAGACTTTTAAGAAGAGAACTCCATAGGTAGAGGACATTCAATACAACACCAGCACAGACAGGACAGATGTATGGTACTAAAGGAGAATGCAACCTTAAAATAAGATGGGAAGGGTTTCTTGTGGAGGGAAAACGATTCCCATTCCTAATGTAGGCACTGCTTCTGTGTCCTCAGACACCCACAGAGCCTTCTTTCACTGACTATAATATTACTTACGCATCTTGCTGCTTCTCACATACCTGGACAGATTCGACTGTGCCTTTCATCTTCCATTGTCCATGGTTCTTCTCCTCGTTCCAACTTGGAGAGTGCATCTGGTTTGCTGACTTGATAACCTGTTTACGGGAAATAATAGAAGACAGACACACTGGATTGGGCTGGGGTATGTAATGTGAGAGAATGTTACATTTAAGTAACTAGACAGTTTTCACATCTGAAAGTAGAGGCTTCTCTCTCAGGAAAGGGCAGATTACAGTCAGACCTTAATATCTGAAAATTTCACATCCAGGGATTCAACCAACCATGGATTGAAAATATTTTTTAAAAAACAATAAAAAATACAATAATAAAAAAAAATACAAAGTGCAGTGGCTCTTGCCTATAATCCGAGCACTATGGGAGGCTGACATGAAACCAACATTTGAAGCCAGGAGTGGGAGACCAGCCTGGGCAACATAGACTCCATCTCTACAAAAAAAAAAAAAAATTAGCCAAGCATGGTGGTTTGCACCTGTAGGCATAGTTCCTCAGGAGGCTGAGGCAGGAGGAACACTTGAACCCAGTTCAAGGCTGCAGCGAGCCATGAAGGCACCACTACATTCCAGCCTGAGTGAAAGACCGAGACACTGTCTCTAAAGAAAAAATAAATAAATAAATTAATTAAAACATATAGTATAACAACTATGTACATAGCATTTACATTGTATTAAGTATCAGGCATAATTTGGAGATGATTTAAAGTATTCAGGAGGAGGTGTGTGTAGGTTATATGCAAATACAATGCCATTTTATATGAGACTTGAGCATCTGTGGATTTCATATCCATGGAAAGTTGTGAAACCAATCCCTCTTGGACACTGAGGGGTGACGGTATATCCTTTTATCAGAAGCCAGAGGATGTGCCAAAAATCTAATATTCAGAGCACTGCAGTAACTTCCAAGGGTAAGCAACTGAGAAAGCAAAGGCCACAGACTGGGCACCCTCCAGGTGACACAGAGCAGCTGTCCTCACCCATTGATAGCAGGTTGCTGTAGATCTCCAACATCACATCCCGGTACAAATCCTTCTGAAAAGGGCCCAGGAGCTGCCACTCCTCCCAGGTGAACTCCACAGTAACATCCTCCAGTGTCAGCAATTCCTGTAAGAAAACAGAGCCTTGCTTAATAGGAAGTGTTTCTCTTTTACTGACATGAAAAGAAAGTGAAGGGAAGTTGTCCCGCTCACATTAAACATATAGACTGCATCCATCTATAAGTCTATTGTATTTTTTAATATTGCCAGAGAATCTCCAAGTATTCTATAATTGCACAGTGCCCCATTTGCTCAACAAAAATTAAGGTTTTATATCAAATCCTCTCAGTAAAAGCGGGTTTTATGTATAAATTTTAATTTTGGTATCTATTGACCAGTCAAGAAAGTATATGCTACTGACATCTAGATATCTGATATAAATTGTTTCATTCACTGTTAAGCCTTCCCAGCTAATACTAGCATAAGACATAGAGAGACTTCAGATGCTAGAACCACAGGATACTACATTCATGTTTAATTGTTAAATGGATTAAAAAATAGAAATGTACAGAAAACATGAGAAACTATTAAAGAGTAACCAAATTGGGAAAACTTATTCTTGGAAACATACATTAAATATATATGTATGCACACATACATATAAATATATGTTTATGTATATATACGTATACAGTCACAGGTATATGTGTCTATTAACAGAAAGGTTATATTAAATACACTGAAGAGATAATTAGTGAGTTGGAATTCACAGTAAAAAAAATAACAGGGCCAGGTGTGGTGGCTCACACCTGTAATCCCAGCACTTTGGGAGGCTGAGGCAGGCGGATAGCTTGAGCTCAGGAGTTCAAGACCAGCCTGGGAAACATGGTGAAATCCTATCTCTACCAAAAAGACAAAAATTAACCAGGTGCGGTGGCACACACCTGTGATCCCAGCTACTTGGGAGGGTGAGGTGGGAGGATTGCTGGAGCCCAGGAAGTTGAGGCTGCAGTGAGCTGTGATCATGCCACTGTACTCCAGCCTGGGTGACAGAGTGAGACCCTATCTCAAAAAATTAAAATAACTGAAAAATGAAGCAGAGACACAAAGTGACAGAAAGTATGAAGGAGACTTTACTAAATATGGAAGACAGAGTGAGGCCTAACATATGCCTATACATAGTTTTTGAAATATTATATTCAAATAAGAGAAGCAATTTCCAAATATCTGACTGAGAAATTTTCAGAACTGATTAAATATCCTATAACTCAAATTTAATAAATCAACAAAGCCAAGCAGAAAATCTGCATCTAGACACATCAGACTGAAACTATTGAACATCAGATGCACATATAACATTATGCAAACAACTGTTAATAGAAGGAAAAGATGCATTACCATCAAAAGAAAAATAAAATGTCCTAACAACTGACTTCCACAGAAACAAAAGAAGCAAGAAAAGTGCAGAATAATGTCTTCAATGTCCTGATTCTGTGGCAATTGGCAAATTGTATGGTATGGCCTAGCCCTGAATGCCACTGGAAAATAAATTGAGACCCTCTTGTCAACTAAACTGCCACTCTCCTGTCTCAACATGACTTATAATCACATGGTAGTAGGAACTTGAGGCAGGAAAGAGCTAGGTGCAAATTTGTGGGGAAAAGCAAGAGAGATCAGATTGTTACTGTGTCTGTACAGAAAGAAGTAGACATAGGAGACTCCATTTTGTTCTGTACTAAGAAAAATTCTTCTGCCTTGAGATTCTGTTAATCTATGACCTTACCCCCAACCCCGTGCTCTCGGAAACATGTGCTGTGTCAAACTCAGGGTTAAATGGATTAAGGGCGGTGCAAGATGTGCTTTGTTAAACAGATGCTTAAAGGCAGCATGCTCCTTAAGAGTCATCACCACTCCCTAATCTCAAGTACCCAGGGACACAAACACTGCGGAAGGCCGCAGGGACCTCTGCCTAGGAAAGCCAGGTATTGTCCAAGGTTTCTCCCCATGTGATAGTCTGAAATATGGCCTCGTGGGAAGGGAAAGACCTGACCGTCCCCCAGCCCGACACCCGTAAAGGGTCTGTGCTGAGGAGGATTAGTATAAGAGGAAGGCATGCCTCTTGCAGTTGAGACAAGAGGAAGGCATCTGTCTCCTGCCCGTCCCTGGGCAATGGAATGTCTCGGTATAAAACCCGATTGTATGCTCCATCTACTGAGATAGGGGAAAACCGCCTTAGGGCTGGAGGTGGGACATTCGGGCAGCAATACTGCTTTGTAAAGCACTGAGATGTTTATGTGTATGCGTATCTAAAAGCACAGCACTTAATCCTTTACCTTGTCTATGATGCAAAGACCTTTGTTCACGTGTTTGTCTGCTGACCCTCTCCCCACTATTGTCTTGTGACCCTGCCACATCCCCCTCTCGGAGAAACACCCATGAATGATCAATAAATACTAAGGGAACTCAGAGGCTGGCGGGATCCTCCATATGCTGAACGCTGGTTCCCCGGGTCCCCTTATTTCTTTCTCTATACTTTGTCTCTGTGTCTTTTTCTTTTCCAAGTCTCTCGTTCCACCTTACGAGAAACACCCACAAGTGTGGAGGGGCAACCCACCCCTTCACAAATTGATGGGATAATCTATCCCCATATAATCACAGAGATTAATACACAGAGAAAAGAACAGACTTGCTGAAGTCTGCAAATTCTTAATGCTGCTGATCTCATCACATTCGGGAATTATTTCACACGAGAAATAAATCTGTTTGAAAAAAAATGTAGGTTTCTACCTAATTTCATACTCAAAAATAAGTTTTTCCTGTTTAAAGTCCTTACCAGAAAGCAAAAGAACCTGTGGAAGCAGAAGCAAATACGAAATATATTCATGTTAAAAGCCATAAAGGAAAAAAAAGGGACAAATTTTATGAGAAAAAAAATTTAATTTCTACATTGAAAAACAGATCATAAACAAAGCTGAAAGAAAAATGACAGGCTAAAAAAAACTTTGCAATAAACAAAAGATCAATATATAGTAGATATAAGCAACTCATTAGCCAGTAAGAAAAAAGTTTTTTTAATGTAAAAATCATAAAGTCAGGCATTTCACAAGAGAAAAAAATCCAGTTGGCCAAGAAATACACAAGAAGGCTTTCAACCTCACCTGTGATGAGGAAAATGCAAAATAAGACAAAAGAATATTGGATCATTGAAAATTGTATAATTTGATAATGTCATATTTTTAAGTATTGGCAAAGATTTAAGGCACAAAGGACTCCATGTATCAGTTTCTATGTGGCAGGCACTCATCTAAATACTTTACATAGTTTAACAATGTTTTCATGTATGACTTTAGACAAATGGAATTTTATACAGTCAATATTCTTCAATTAATTGCAGTGATTATTCCTTTATATTCTAAAACTACACCACCTAAGGTAGGGGTGTCCAATCTTTTGGCTTCCCTGGGCCACACTGGAAGAAGAAATGCGTTGGGCCATGCATAAAATACACTAACACTAACGATAGCTGGAAAAAAATGCAAAAAATTCTCATTATAAGAAAATTTACAAATTTGTGTTGGGCCACATTCAAAGCCATCCTGAGCTGCATGCAGCCCACAGGCCACAGGTTGTACAAGCTTGATCTAAGGTGACCAACAGGTGGAATGTGATTCCACTGAAGCAAAAGAAGTCATAATAAATGTGTTTATATATGCAGACACATACATAAAACACATGGATTTATAAATACACATATATACAGAGATGCACACATTTCAGTGACAGCAAGTATGTGCTACCAAACATTTGTTGAAGCAGTATAAGAGGATTAGGAAGAAAGTTATGAAGAGGGAATCTACTTTTACTTTTTTTACCTTTTTTTTTTTTTTTTTTTTCGAGACGGAGTTTCGCTCTTGTTGCCCAGGCTGGAGTGCAATGGCATGATCTCGGCTCACCACAACCTCCACCTCCCGGATTCAAGCGATTCTCCTGTCTCAGTCTCCTGAGTAGCTGGGATTACAGGCATGCGCCACCACACCCAGTTAATTTTGTGTTTTTAGTAGAGATACGGTTTCTCCATGTTGGTCAGGCTGGTCTTGAACTCCCGACCTCAGGTGACCCGCCTGGTTGGCCTCCAAAAGTGCTGGGATTACAGGCGTGAGCCACTGTGCCCGGCCCGGAAATTTACTTTTTTAACCAGTGTGTACTTCATCATCAGAATTTATTTCCCTGTGAGGCCAGGTGCAGTGGCTCACGCCTGTAATCCCAGCACTTTGGGAGGCCGAGGCGGGTGGATCACCTGAGGTCAGGAGTTCGAGACCAGCCTGGCCAAGATGGCAAAACCCCATCTCTACTAAAAATACAAAAACTAGCCAGGCATGCAAGTGCACACCTGTAATCCCAGCTACTCAGGAAGCTGAGGCAGAAGAATCCCTTGAACCCAGGACGTGGAGGTTGCAGTAAGCCAAGATCACGCACTGCACTCCGGCTTGGGCAACAGAGTGAGATTCCATCTCAAAAAACAAAAACCAAAAAAAAAAAAAAAAAAAGAATTTTTTCCCTTTGGATTCCATGAGTAATTTATGTAATTACAAAAAATAAAAGCAATATAAGTATGCAAGAATTGGAGGTGAAAATGCAGAAGGATATTGTATATTCTGAGATGAGGTGAAGTTATCAAACATGGCACCCAACGACTCAAGACCTTATCAGACAACTCCCTAATGCCAAATCTGCAGTTAATGCCAGTTCAGCCACATGTTCAGGAAAATGGAAGCTATGCACACCTTCCATTTTCCTAGGTCACTTAGATTTTATTCCTAAATAAGCTCACACAGACACGCAAGACTTGAGTGTGTGGCCTTGCTTTCGTCCCCTAAAAAAACTGTTTCCACTGAGTTTGCCTGGTCTATTTCCATAGGAGTCTCTGAGGAACCGTGTAATAAACAGCAGTAAGAAATCTTCTGCCTTTATTAGAAAGCTAGTTCAAAACACTGTTCACCATATCACCTCTGGGAAGAATAGCAAATTTTTCTTGAGATCTAAGTGCCATGAAATAATAATCTCCTGAGGAACCTGTCTGCTTTCTCCCCACAGTCACTGTATAACTTAGTGTGACTTTCTTGTACTGGCTGTCAGAGACATCAGATGCAAACTGAGAGCTAAGGTAATGGAAAGGATCTTCTAGTCAGGCATTATTTTCCAACATCAGTCATTTTGTAGGAATCACATAAACACTATATTCCTGATCTTACTTTGCCATGATGTTGGAGTTAGATTTAAAGTTTATTTCTCTCTAGATTCTGAAATGATTTCTTACGGGTCTCTACAAATCCACTATGGAATAAAGGAGAGAATAAAATAGAGAAAAAGTCACCTGGGCATTGATCATTTTCTTCTGTTGTGGGAAATGGCCAGCACCTGGGATACTCTGTCTTTGTCTCCTCTGGATCTGCCTTAAATTTCTATTTAGAAACTTCAGTCACCAGTGAAGGGTGTCCACAGAAATCATATCTAGGTCCTGGAATCTTCCTCTTTCTTCATTTACTTCTTGTCTCTTCCCAGGGTAGCCAGGACCTGTGGACTGAAGAGCAAAACAACTTTCAGGGGTACATTCACCTTAACACGTGGCCCTGAATATTTGTCTCTTTATTTGGTTCTCTCAAACCAAGGAAACACAAGACCCTCAATGTAGGCCAAATGCCTTTCTTCGGTGAAGTGTGGAAGTAACATGAAGATGAAAGGGGAGGTCACAAAGGAGAATCCACATAGCATCATGCCTAAGCAGTAGGTAATTCTCATATCAGTTTTTTAAATCAGGCCATATGGATGGTGAGAAACTACATTTTTTCCTTTATACAATGTTACTCTCACACCTCTTTAAAAGTCTTTATATATATTTAAAAGTGTTTATATACGGCCAGGCATGATGGCTTACACCTGTAATCCCAGCACTTTGGGAGGCCGAGATGGGCAGATCACCTGAGGTCAGGAGTTCGAGACCAGCCTTGTCAACATGGTGAAACACTGTCTCTACTAAAAATAGAAAAAATTAGCCAGGCATGGTGGCAGGCACCTGTAATCCCAGCTACTCGGAGACTGAGGCAGGAGAATGGCTTGAACGCAGGAGGCGAAGTTTGCAGTGAGCCCAGCCATTGCACTCAAGCCTGGGCGACAAAAGCAAGACTCCATCTCAAAAAAAAAAAAAAAATGTTTATATACACACTTCAATATGAAGAACAAGAAACACATAGAAAAAAAGAGGGAGACAGAGAAAAGGAATACGAGTTATAAATACAAATTTAGAAAACAATTCAAAAATATAAATACTGGGAAAATAGCCGCCTTTATATACTAACATACAAAACCTGAAACACCCATAAAAATATGCAGTACATTTGCAAGAGGAAGGATAAAAATAGGCTCTTGTTAATTTGTGCGCAGTAATTTAAAAACATAATGTTAAATAGAAAGCCTATTCATCCGCCCCCCTTCACCCCCAAAAAACTTTCATTTTCTGCAGGTTCAAGAGCATGGGTTGTTGTGGAAAGCCAGAGGATTAGAAAACTCATTGTGGAGGAGGTACTCGGACCTGAAACTTTTAGGAAATGTTAACGTTCATCAAGTCTGTTCCAGCCAAAGTTTGAGCTCAACACACACACACACACACACACACACACACACACACACACACACACACACACACAAAACCAGCCAGGGCTCTTGTGAAAAGACTTCGGCTTTCACTTGTCTCTAGACAAAAGACCACCACCCCGCCAGATAAAATAGGAAAACCTGGAATAGACACACACGTACACTGGATTCCCTTAATGATTCATCAATCACTAAGCCTCAGATTAATCCAGAATGTGAAACAGAAGTCACATTCGTTGACAAAAGCCACCCCATCGATTCTCAATCACTGAGCCCCACTGGGGAGTGACCCGCGAGGACCACAATCCCTGACCTCAGTACTCTTGGTCGTTGATCTATTCAGGCCTTTAATCACTGACCACCAGAGCCTCCATGAGGGACCCCAAAGATATCCTATCACAGACACCCACCAGGGACTCCTACCAGCTCCCCTCCAAAAGGAAACACCCGCCCCCGCCTCCCCCAACCCCCGCGCTACCTCCACCATATAGCGCCACCAACAACGCAGACGCCCTCAGAAAGCTCCCTCCCACCACGTTTCCACGCCCTGACCCACACACTGACCTGACTCTCCTTGGAATCGCCGCGACCTCTTAAAAGCTGAACTTACTTCCCTAAACTTCTTCCACTTCTGGGCCCCTCGCCCAACTCCCTCCCCCTCTAAACCTCCAGAGACGGTCAGCCGCGTTTCCATGGAGAGCGGAATGCGGCCTTCCGGCTTTTCCTCAGGAGGAGACGCGTCCGCGCCGGCGTCGCCTCGCCGCTCTGGGGGCGGCCATCTTTGAGTACGTGACGTACAGAAGGCACAGCGGCCGGGAGACGCGGTGGACGGAGGCCTCTTAAACTGTCCGATTTCCAGACACCTCAGCCCTGGCAGAAAATGGAGAGCTTATCAGAGGCTTGAGTTCACACAGGCAGACACGGCGTGGGGGTAAAGTCCTCTGAACAGACACGGAACAGAAATAAGTTAGTCTTCTCCTCGCAGGGGACAGTGAACGGCGCAAACTTCTCAAAGGCCAGAACCCATTATTACCACAAAGGCGCGGCATCCCTTCTTAGCGGTTATGATGGCTGTGACGTCTCAGCTCAATGGAAAATTAAAGTCACCTCTGGGCACCTCAGTCACTATTGTAAATGCGAAGCGTTTTAGAAGCCGTATAAAAACTGAAGCAAGAGAGACTAGAACAAAAAATAAGCGAGCGGTGCGTTGCAGGTAACGGAGCCAGAGCCCTTAGGGGAGAGCATCATGGGGGCGGCCATCTTAGGGGACGTTCGGTGTCCGTACGGCAGAACATATTCTCTCTGAGAAGCTTGCGGTGGAACTGGCCCATGGAAATGTCTTTAGAAGAGAAGAACCACCTGGCTCTGTTCTTGACTCTGGAAAAGAATCCTTTTCTAGAATTATTTAGGTTGTTGCCAGATTAATTTCCTTTAGAGAGTTTCCTTGCCCCCACGACTTCCTATCTTTAAAGCCAACAATAGTATGTGAAATCCCTTTCATATTTGAAACCACTGACTATTGCTGCTGCATCTCTCCGGTTTCTCCTATTCTTAAGTGCTTGGGCAATCCAGAATAATCTCCCAATGCTAAAGTCAGCTGATTAATAAACTTAATTACAATGCAGAGTCCTTTTTGCCATGTAACATAACCATGGGAATTACTCTGGGGTTGTAGATCTGGCTATGATATGATGACACTAATGAATATTTTGCAATAAAAACATACTATTTTAAAATATATATATACATATATCTTTATATATGTATATTTCTACAGAATTATTACAAGTTATGTCTTATGATGGTTTCTTATAAGAAGCAAGGAGGAAAAGGTCCTTAACATTTTCAATTGTGTTTTTTTTAATAATAAAGCATGCATTCTAATTTACAAAAACCACAATAAAGGTACTTTCATCATGTCAGTCTTGAGGCTGAACAACACTTAACATTCTTTTTCCTTTTACCTGTCTGCCTTCTCCCTTCCCCTACACTCTCTATACCCCACCCTCCAGGCTCTCTGTTCCATCATCTTATGCGTATGGCCCCTTTCCCCTGTGCCCTCTTATTACTTCCATCTATCACGCAGACACACACTGTCACTCCCCTAAACACTCTAGTGTTAAACAATTGCTGCTGATTGTTTTTTGACAAGTGCCCTATGGGTAGGAGTGTTCACATAAATAAAGTCAAGCCAAATAGAGAAATACTATGAGAATAGACCTATTCAGCAGGCTGCAAAGCAGGCTTAGTAGTGAACATTCTGTGGGGATGGAGGCTTTTGGGTGTTTCAGAGCCATTTCTGCCATTTTCAGAGCCATTTCTACCTCCTCAAGTGCAGATATTCTGCTAGGGTGCAGATATTCACTGTTACTGTTGTTAAAAGGTGGTTGCTTTTCAAGGCTACCTTGAAGCTGAGGATATGGGGATAGGATTAGGGCAAGCTAAATACCACAAGCTCACTGTGGCCGGCATTGTAGACTTAATTGGCCATTCTAGAAGAGGAACTAACTGGCTTCTAGCCAGGGCCTAAAAACTAGATCTAGATAGCCAAAAAGATTACATTAAACTTCCTCTAGTGTCCCATCTATCAGATTCCAATCCTGAAGGACCAAGTCAATCTCTCTTCTATTTCATCTCCTTTCTCCCATCTTATAAAAGATCTTTGGAAAACTCTGTTTATTTCATATATAACAGAGCTGATATTTGTATGTTTTGTGGAGATGATGTTTCATCATGTTGCCCAGGCTGGTCTTGAACTTTTGGGCTCAAGCAATCCTCCCACCTCGACCTTCCAAAGTGCCAGGATTACAGGCATAAGCCACCATGCCTGTCTTAACATTTAATCTTTTCAAATTACTTCACTATGTATTCTTTTTTGTTGTTGTTCTTTTTTTCTGTTTACTTCACTGTGTATTCTAAGCACAAATAAGAAATTCTTATTTCCTAATTATTGTTTATTTCCATATATATAATATATTTTTTTAATAAGTTTTTTTTTAGACTGCATCTCACTCTGTCACCCAGGTTGGTGCGCAGTGGTGCAATCTCAGCTCACTGCAAACTCTGTCTCCCGGGTTCAAGCAATTCTTCTGCCTCAGCCTCCCAAATAGCTGGGATTACAGGTGTACCACCACACCCAGCTAATTTTTGTATTTTTAGTACAGACATGGTTTCACCATGTTGTTCATGCTGGTCTCAAACTTCTGAACTCATGTGATCCACCTGCCTTGGCCTCCGAAAGTGCTGGGATTACAGGAATGAGCTCCAACACCTGGCCCATTTCCTAATATTTGTATACACTTGCTATATTTTTATTTTTACCACACATAAAAATCAAGGCAAATGCAAGCCATGGATCTTATACATACAAAGGCATGTAGAACTATAATCATATAGTGAATATTCATGCATACTGAGGCAGGTTTTTAGATGCTCAGAGTCTGAAATTGCACTGCATGGTATTTCCATAAAATGTCCTGGGGCATACTCGGACAGAATAGCTCAAGTGCAAATTATAAGCATATATTCCCCAAATTGTATCCTGTTTGAATTCATCAAAGTTGAAATGAAGGAAAAAATAATAAGGGCAGCTGTGGGGAAAAGAAAGAGAGATCAGACTGTTAACTTGTCTATGTAGAAAGAAGTAGACAAAAGAGACTCCATTTTGTTCTATACTAAGAGAAATTCTTCTGCCTTGAGATGCTGTTAATCTGTAACCCTAGCTCCAACCCAGTGCTTGCAGAGACATGTGTTGTGTTGACAGAAGGTTTAATGGTTTTAGGGCTGCGCAGGATGTGCTTTGTTTAAAAAGTGCTTGAAGGCAGTATGCTTGGTAAAAGTCATCACCATTCTCCAATCTCAAGTACCCAGAGACACAATACACTGCACAAGCCCACAGGGACCTCTGCCTAGGAAAGCCAGGTATTGCCCCAGGTTTCTCCCCATGTGATAGCCTGAGATATGGCCTCATGGGAAGGGAAAGACCTGACTGTCCCCCAGCCCAACACCCATAAAGGGTCTGTGCTGAGGAGGATCAGTAAAAGAGGAAAGCCTCTTTGCAGTTGAGATAAGAGGAAGGCATCTGTCTCCTGCTCATCCCTGGGAATAGAATGTCTCGGTGTAAAACCTGACTGTATGTTCTGTTTACTGAGATAGGAGAAAACCACCTTAGGGCTGCAGGTGAGACATGCTGGCAGCAATACTGCTCTTTATTGCACCGAAATGTTTGTGCTCGTGCACATCAAGGCACAGCAGCTTTCCTTAAACTTATTTATGACACAGAGACCTTTGTTCACATGTTCTCCTGCTGACCCTCTCCCCACTATTACCCTATTGTCCTGCCACATCCCCCTCTCCGAGATGGTAGAGATAATGATCAATAAATACTGAGGGAACTCAGAGACCAGGGCCAGCTGCGCAGGTCCTCCATATGCAGAGCGCCAGTCCCTGGGGCCCCCTTTTCTTTCTCTATACTTTGTCTCTGTCTCTTATTTCTTTTCCTGGTCTCTCGTCCCACCTGACGAGAAACACCCACAGGCTGTGGAGGGGGTGGCCCCCTTCAGGCAGCCAGAGAGAAAGGTCGGCTTACCCACAAAGGGAAGCCCATGTGACTAACAGCAGATCTCTCAGCAGAAACCCTACAAGCCAGAAGAGAGTGGGGGCCAATATTCAACATTCTTAAAGAAAAGAACTTTCATCCTAGAATTTCATATCCAGCCAAACTAAGCTTCCTATATGAAGGAAAAATAAAATTCTTTACAGACAAGCAAATGCTGAGAGATTTTGTCACCACCAGGCCTGCCTTACAAGAGCTCCTGAAGGAAGCACTAAACATGGAAAGGAACGACCGGTACCAGCCACCACAAAAACATGCCAAATTATAAAGACCATAGATGCTAGGAAGAAACCACATCAACTAACGAGCAAAATAACCAGCTAACATCATAATGACAGGATCAAATTCACACATAACAATATTAACCTTAAATGTAAATGGGCTAAATGCTCCAATTAAAAGACACAGACTGGCAAATTGGATAGAGTCAGGACCCATCAGTGTGCTGTATTCAGGAGACCCATCTCACGTGCAGACACACACATATGCTCAAAAAAAAAAAAAGGGATGGAGGAAGATCTACCAAGCAAATGGAAAACAAAAAAAAGCAGGGGTTGCAATCCTAGTCTCTGAGAAAACAGACTTTAAACCAACAAAGATCAAAAGAGACAAAGAAGGCCATTACATAATGGTAAAGGGATCAATTCAACAAGAAGAGCTAACTATCCTAAATATATATGCACCCAATACTGGAGCACCCAGATTCATAAAGCAAGTCCTTAGAGACCTATAAAGAGACTTAGACTCCCACACAATAATAATGGGAGACTTTAACTTGCCACTGTAAACATTAGACAGATCAACGAGACAGAAAGATAACAAGGATATCCAGGAATTGAACTCAGCTCTGCACCAAGTGGACCTAATAGACATCTACCGAACTCTCCACCTCAAATCAACAGAATATACATTTTTCCTAGCACCACATTGCACTTATTCCAAAATTGACCACATAGTTGGAAGTTAAGCACTCCTCAGCAAATGTAAAAGAACAGAACTTATAACAAACTGTCTCTCAGACCACAGTGCAATCAAACTAGAGCTCAGGATTAAGAAACTCACTCAAAACCGCTCAACTACATGGAAACTGAACAACCTGCTCCTGAATGACTACTGGGTACATAACGAAATGAAGGCAGAAATAAAGATGTTCTTTGAAACCAATGAGAACAAAGACACAACATACCAGAATCTCTTGACACAGTTAAAGCAGTGTATAGAGGGAAATTTATAGCACTAAATGCCCACAAGAGAAAGCAGAAAAGATCTAAAATTGACACCCTAACATCACAATTAAAAGAACTGGAGAAGCAAGAGCAAACACATTCAAAAGCTAGCAGAAGGCAAGAAATAACTAAGATCAGAGCAGAACTGACGGAGATACAGACATAAAAAACACTTCAAAAAATCAATGAATCCAGGAGCTGGTTTTTGAAAAGATCAACAAAATTGATAGACTGCTAGCAAAACTAATAAAGAAGAAAAGAGAGAAGAATCAAATAGACACAATAAAAAATGATAAAGGGGATATCACCACCGATCTCCAGAAATACAAACTACCATCAGAGAATACTATAAACACCTCTACGCAAATAAACTAGAAAACCTAGAAGAAATGGATAAATTCCTGGACACATACACCCTCCCAAGACTAAACCAGGAAGAAGTTGAATCCCTGAATAGACCAATAACAGGCTCTGAAATTGAGGCAATAATTAATAGCCTACCAACCAAAAAAAGTCCAGGACCAGACAGATTTACAGCTGAATTCTACCAGAGGTACAAAGAAGAGCTGGTACCATTCCTTCTGAAACTATTCCAATAAATAGAAAAAGAGGGAATCCTCCCTAACTCATTTTATGAGGCCAGCATCATCCTGATACCAAAGGCTGGCAGAGACACAACATAAAAATAGAATTTTAAACCAATATCCCTGATGAACATCGATGCAAAAATCCTCAATAAAATACTGGCAAATCAAATCCAGCAATACATCAAAAAGCTTATCCACCAAGATCAAGTTGGTGTCATCCCTGGGATGCAAGGCTGGTTCAACATACACAAATCAATAAACATAATCCATCACATAAACAGAACAAAAGGCAAAAACCACATGATTATCTCAATAGATGCAAAAAAGGCATTCGACAAAATTCAACAGCACTTCATGCTAAAAACTCTCAATAAACTAGGTATTGATGGGATGTATCTCAAAATAATAAGAGCTACTTATGACAAACCCACAGCCAATATCATACTGAATGGGCAAAAACTGGAAGCATTCCCTTTGAAAACTGGCACAAGACAGGGATGCCCTCTCTCACCACTCCTATTCAACATAGTGTTGGAAGTTCTGGCCAGGACAATCAAGCAGGAGAAAGAAATAAAGGGTATTCAATTAGGAAAAGAGGAAGTCAAATTGTCCCTGTTTGCAGATGACAAGATTGTATATTTAGAAATCCCATCGTCTCAGCCCAAAATCTCCTTAAGCTGATAAGCAACTTCAGCAATGTCTCAGGATACAAAATCAATGTGAAAAATCACAAGCATTCCTATACACCAACAACAGACAAACAGCCAAATCATGAGTGAACTCTCATTCATAATTGTTACAAAGAGAATAAAATACCTAGGAATCCAACTTATAAGGGATGTGAAGGACCTCTTCAAGGAGAACTACAAACCACTGCTCAACGAAATAAAAGAGGACACAAACAAATGGAAGAACATTCCATGCTCATGGATAGGAAGAATCAAGATCGTGAAAATGGCCATACTGCCCAAAGTAATTTATAGATTCAATACCATCCCCATCAAGCTACCAATGACTTTCTTCACAGAATTGGAAAAAACTACTTTAAAGTTCATATGGAACCAAAAAAGAGCCCATATTGCCAAGACAATCCTAAGCCAAAAGAACAAAGCTGGAGGCATCACGCTACCTGACTTCAAACTATACTACAAGGCTACAGTAACCAAAAGAGCACGATACTGGTACCAAAACAGAGATATAGACCAATGGAACAGAACAGAGCCCCCAGAAATAGTACCACACATGTACAACCATCTGATCTTTGACAAACATGACAAAAACAAGAAATGGGGAAAGGATTTCCTATTTAATAAATGGTGCTGGGAAAACTGGCTAGCCATATATAGAAAGCTGAAACTGGATCCCTTCCTTACACCTTATACAAAAATTAATTCAAGATGGATTAAAGACTTAAATGTTAGACCTAAAACCATAAAAACCCTAGAAAAAAACCTAGGCAATACCATTCAGGCCACAGGCATGGGCATGGACTTCATGACTAAAACACCAAAAGCAATGGCAACAAAAGCCAAAATTGACAAATGGGATCTAATTAAACTAAAGAGCTTCTGCACAGTAAAAGAGACTACCATCAGAGTGAACAGGCAACCTACAGAATGGGAGAAAATTTTTACAACCTACCCATCTGACAAAGGGCTAATATCTAGAATCTACAAAGAACTTAAACAAATTTACAAGAAAAAATCAAACAACCCTATCAAAAAGTGGGTGAAGGATATGAACAGACCCTTCTCAAAAGAAGACATTTATGCAGCCAACAGACACATGAAAAAATGCTCATCATCACTGGCCATCAGAGAAATGCAAATCAAAACCACAATGTGTTACAGGAAGGCAGGGACCCCAAACAGAGAGACCAGATGGAGCTGCGGCAAAGGAACATAAATTGTGAAGATTTCACTTTAATATGGACATTTATCAGTTCTCAAATAATACTTTTATAATTTCTTATGCCTGTCTTTACTGTAATATCTTAATCCTGTTATCTTCATAAGCTGAGGATGTACGTCACCTCAGGACCACTGTGATAATTGTGTTAACAGTGGTTCTGCTTTTGCCCTTTGCCCTGTGATCTTTGTTGGACCCATATCAGTGGTTCTACTTTTGCCCTTTGCCCTTTTCCCTCAGAAAGATGTAATCTTTGTTAGACCCTTATCAGTGGTTCTGCTTTTTGCTCTTTGAAGCATGTGATCTTTGTACCTACTCTCTGTTCTTACACCCCCTCCCCTTTTGAAACCCTTAAAAAAAAAACTTACTGGTCTGAGACTCAGGCGGGCATCACAGTCCTACCGATATGTGATGTCACCCCTGGAGGCCCAGCTGTAAAATTCCTCTCTTTGTATTGTCTTTATTTCTCAGCCGGCTGACACTTATGGAAAATAGAAAGAAACTACATTGAAATATTGGGGGCAGGTTCCCCCAATAACAACGAGATACCATCTCACACCAGTTAAAATGGTGATCATTAAAAAGTCAGGAAACAACAGGTGCTGGAGAGGATGTGGAGAAATATGAACACTTTTACACTGTTTGTGGGACTGTAAACTAGTTCAACCATTGTGGAAGACAGTGTGGCGATTCCTCAAGGATCTAGAACTAGAAATACCACTTGACCCAGCCATCCCATTACTGGGTATATACCCAAAGGATTATAAATCATGCTGCTATAAAGACACATGTCCATGTATGTTTATCGCGGCACTATTCACAATAGCAAAGACTTGGAACCAACCCAAATGTCCATCAATGATAGACTGGATTAAGAAAATGTGGCACATATACACCATGGAATACTATGCAGCCATAAGAAAGGATGAGTTCATATCCTTTGTAGGGACATGGATGAAGCTGGAAACCATCATTCTGAACAAACTATCACAAGGACAGAAAGCCAAACACCACAGGTTCTCACTCGTAAGTGAGAACTGAACAATGAGAACACTTGGACACAGGGTGGAGAACATCACATACCAGGGCCTGTCGTGGGGTGAGGGGAGTGGGGAGGGATAGCATTAGGAAAGATACCTAATGTAAATGACGAGTTAGTGGGTGCAGCACACCAACATGGCAAATGTATACATATGTAACAAACCTGTACATTGTGCACATGTACCCTAGAACTTAAAGTATAATAAAAAAAATTAAAAAATAAAAGATTAATGGGCCAGGGTTGTGGCTCATGTCTGTAATCCCAGCACTTTGGGAGGCTGAGGCAGGTGGATCAACTGGGGTCAGTAGTTCAAGACCATCATGGCCAACATGGCAAAACGTGGTCTCTACTAAAAATACAAAATTTAGCCAGATGTGGTGGTGCACACCTGTACACACTTGTAATCTCAACTACTCAAGAGGCTGAGGCATAAGAATCGCTTGAACCCGGTAGGCAGAGGTTACAGTGAACCGAGATCATGCCACTGCACTCCAGCCCTGGGCCACACAGCAAGACTTCGTCTCAAAAAAAAAAAAAAGAAAACAAGATTAATGTTCCCTCTGAAGAATAAACATACATAGTGGGGTATTCTGCAGGGTGAGTAAAGTAGAAACTTTATATATTCAACCCAAAGCATATTTTGTTAATTAGCACTGTGGCCACTCCACTAGAACAGAGTGGAACCCCACCCACACTTTGATTTGGATGCTGGGACTGATGACGTCACATAGTGAAGTATCATGAGAATATTTGTTACATAATGAGACTCTGGAAAGAGCAGGAGACTTCCCAAGCTGGTTCAAAAGTGGCTTGTGAGAGCAGGAAAATGTGTTGTGACTATGGTTAAGGAGTAGGGCAAGGGTAAAGGTACCCAGGCATGTCTTGAACTTCCAGCATATACCAAAGAAGGGAGCACTCAGGCTTTATTATCAACTTGCCCAAATAGTGTGGCTTAAAAGATGTCAGTAATCAATCAAAAAATAGATTCAGATTCTTTAATTCAACACTGAATGTTTACTCTTGAAACTCCTGACTTCTAGGTTGAGAAAGACTTAATTTCCTCATGCTAAAAACCTTATACATGTCCTTTCTTCAAGCATAAATAGGACCCTTTACATAACTGTTGAAAGTGCTTCCGAAATACTGCTTAGACAAATTGTCTACAATATTTTTACACTAGTCTTGTGAAAATTAATGTTTATAAGACTATAAAAATTGAATAACAAAAAAGCCATTTTTCAAAAAGCTGTAAAAATTTCTGTATGAGGTTATCATAATAAGCATGGCATTCTATAATTTCTCAACTATAGCAAAACTTCATTTCTATTATTTATTTATTTATTATTTATTTATTTATTTTGAGACACAGTTTCACTCCAGCCTGGGTGACAGAGACTCTGTCTCAAAAAAATAATTGTTATTATTATTATACACTTTCCTAGAAATCATTTAACCCAATTTATAGATTTACATTTGTTCCCTTGTACTTCAGTGAAAAACTTGGAGGATCCATAAATCAAGGTGGTATTTTCAGATTTGTGTGGCAAAAAATTTGTACAGAGAGGCTGGGAGCGGTGGCTCACACCTGTAATCCCAGCACTTTGGGAGGCCGAGGTGGGCAGAGCACGAAGAGATCGAGACCATCCTGGCTAACATGGTGAAACCCTGTCTCTACTAAAAATACAAAAAAAATTAGCCAGGCGTGGTGGTGGGCGCCTATAGTCCCAGCGACTTGGGAGGCTGAGGCAGGAGAATGGCAAGAACCCGAGAGGTGGAGCTTGAAGTGAGCTGAGATCGCGCCGCTGCACTCCAGCCTGGGCGACAGAGCGAGACTCTGTCTAAAAAAAAAAAAAAAAAAAAAAATATATATATATATATATATACACACACACACACACACACAGAGAAATGACAGATGCAAAGCATGTGTTCTATCAATATGTAGAAGGTCCCTTACATTTTAAGTTCAGTGAAATAATTAGAATGATACAAGATACTGAACTGAAATTGTACAATGTGGAAGCAAAAGCTCTGTTACTAATGTGCAAGTATATCAACAGGATTTTTAAAACACAACATGCTAATTATACCTTAAAATATATTTCTCCCAGTCTGGGCAACATGACGAAACCTCATCTCTACAAAAAATACAAAAATTAGCCAGGCATGGTGGCGTGAGCCTGTGATCCTGAGGCAGGAGAACATGGTCTGGAGGCAGGAAACCTAAGGCTGTTTCACGCTAACGTCCTTAAGCTAAATTGATGGGAAAACCCTAACTTTCCACACCTAAGTAACAAAAGGACCAGAGACTACTCCCTTTGCAAACCTCTACCTTTTCTGCCTGGCAGATGGGAAATTAAAAGTACCTCTGATTGGTTGCTTTTTGCAACCAATCAGATATTTGCGTAGGAGTGTGACTTTTGTAACTTTACTTCAGCCTCTGATTGGTTGACTGACTGCAGGCCACCATTTCATTTACATTAGGTCAGCACCAAGCAGCCAACGGGAAACCTCTAGTAGTCATTTGGACCCAAGAAGATTCTGTATCTGGGCCACTGCTTGGGCCTGTTCCCACACTGTGGAGTGTACTTTCATTTTCAATAAATTCCTGTTTTCATTCTTTTGATGCTGCATTCTTTCATTGCTTTGCTGGGTGTTTCTTCCAAGTCTTTGTTCAAAATGCCAAGAACCTAAACAACTTGCAGTCAAGACCCTCTACTGGTAACATATTCTGGTGAGCTAGCCAGGAGAGAAGGTAGGCCCAAAGTTTGGGATTTCTTTTTCTCCTTTCCCCTTTTACATACAGGGAAATCTTCCTCTCTCCATCTTTTCCTTTCCAACTGAGGACCCTCAGTGGACAGCACCTAAGCACAAAGACACTTGCAAGTTTCTGGCCAGGGCCATTCTCTGGTGAAACTGGAAGGTTTCCGTGTGGAAGTGCCTAACTGCCACCGCTTGGTTAAGGTGAGGAACCTGAGTCCTTTTCCTCGTTTTTGTTTTTCTGAGTCCTATTCCTTTTTTTTTTTTTCTGAGTTATTTTCCTTTTCTCCTTTTTCAGTCTTTCAGCGGCCGTTTCCTAGTAGCTCGTTGGTAATTGAGGGGAACTGACTGGGGCCACTCTCTGGTATCCTCTGAAGGCCAAGGAGTGAACAGGGATGGCTGCCCTGCCCAGAAAGGGAAAAGACTCATTTCTGTCCTTTTCAGTTATAATCCCTGATCCCTATGTGTGATGCAGTTAGCAGCAGCAGCTCGTCCAGGGCAAACTCACAGGTTTCAGGTGACTTATGCTGCTTTTATTTATGCTAAATTCTTCCCTTCTCCCACCCAACTGGCAAAGGACAGAAAACCCACCTAGCTATGCACAAAAGGTTACACAAGTCAGAGGGTCCGGGCATGTGGTCTGTGTGGTGCATGGTGGTGGAGGGAATTCATGAAAAGGAATTTATTATTGCCTAAGTTGAGAGCGTTAAAGGGTTGTTTTAAGTGAGATAGAAAAACTTTAAGTCAGGTCCTCAGTGATGGAGGGAACCATTCCAAAGTGGTGCCAGCACCCATCTAAGGTCAGAGATGTCTGACAGACTAAGTTGGGGCCCTAAAGGGGGGATGCCCCAGGTAAAATTTGGGTCACCTAATGAGCCCTCCACTTTTCAAAGTCCTCTTCTCTTTTCCAAACCACTATGGGCAACTCTCCACCTATTCCACCTGATTCCACACTTGGCTACATCCTCAACCATGGAAATCAATTTGACCCTGACACTCTAAAGATAAAATGTAAAATTTTTTTTGCACTATTGTCTGCCCCCATTATGAACTGCCCAGCCTGGAACAATGGGCAGTCTTGGTAGCCTTAATTATGACACCATCCTGCCATTAGACCTATTTTGCAAGAGGCAGGGCAAATGGTCAGAAATCCCATATGCACAGGATTTTATGACCTTATACCAAAACCTAGCAATCTGTCAAACTCCCAGAACCCACCCCCACCACCAAAGGAAAGTTCTAAGGTAGAATTAGATATTATAGATGATCCCCCCCACTCTTACTTTTTCTTTTTTGAGACAGAGTTTTGCTCTCATCGCCCAGGCTGGAGTGCAATGGCTTGATCTCCGCTCACTGCAACCTCCACCTCCCAGGTTCAAGCAATTCTCCTGCCTCAGCCTCCCAGGTGGCTGGGATTACAGGCACACACCACCATGCCCATCTAATTTTGTATTTTTAGTAGAGACG
This sequence comes from Homo sapiens, assembly GCF_000001405.40. NCBI lineage: Eukaryota > Metazoa > Chordata > Mammalia > Primates > Hominidae > Homo > Homo sapiens. The sequence continues at coordinate 52,061,736 of NC_000019.10, forward strand.
GGGTTTCTCCATGTTGGTCAGGCTGGTCTCGAACTCCCGACCTCAGGTGATCTGCCCAGCTCGGCCTCCCAAAGTGCTGGGATTACAGGCGTGAGCCACCGTGCCAAACCAGATGACCCCCTTTTACAAGAGCCACTTGTCTCTAAGGGTGAAGAGCGACCATCCCTATAGCCCCCTTACCAAGTGCTCCTGAGGCTAAAACCAGGAGCAAACACTGGGGACCCTACTAAGTCCCCCAAACACTCAGTGGGGAACACCATATTCTACTCTCCCTCCAGCCTTGCTACCCCGTAGGGAAGCAGCAGGAGCCGAATGGCCAGTCCTATTGCAGGTCCCCTTCTCTATAACTGATATACAGCAATGTAAGGAAAAGCTAGGAAGCTACTCTAAAAATCCTAGGAAATTTGCAGAAGGGTTCCAAAAGTTGACCTTATTACTATTGCACTCCAGCCTGGGCAACAGGGTGGTGACATGATAATAATGTCAATTTACAAAGATGATTTGAGAATCTTGTCTGTATGCACTTAAAACCAGCTGCAAAACATGTGAAGCAACAAGTGACAGAAGTGAAAAGAATGTACAAATCTAGGTGGAGCACAGATTTTTAGGTTAGTGAAACATACTCCGTATGTTTCCCATATCCCAAAGCAACACTGTATTTGTCAAAGGACACTCTGAACACAACAAGCTCAGTGACTTACATTGTAAATTTACATCATTCTCCACCATATTCCATGCTGCTTAACTCACACAGTACAGTGACCTTAATCTTCCAGAAAACATGGATATGAAGGAACCACACCTAATGAAGCAGGCCCTCTCACCTTACTGATTTATTCCCAGAGACCACAATGAAAGATGTGTAGGAAAGGCAAGACTTCATACTTTAGGATGAAGGTCACAAATAGTCAACTAGCCTTTTTAAGAAATGTCAAAGTGAATACAATTATTTTATATACTGAATTGGCCATTTCCACACACGCTCTTGATCCTTTGATGTACATATTACCTGGGGTTTTAACAAATTTTGTCTTGTGGTTATTTTACCGTATGTATCATTCCAGGTCAATCCTGGATGGAGAAGCAGACTTAGTTATCCATAGTATGATTTACCTAACATGGAATCTGTTGAGAAATTTTTTTTTTTTTTTTTTTTTTGAGACGGAGTCTTGCTCTGTCGCCCAGGCTGGAGTGCAGTGGTGCAATCTCGGCTCACTGCAAGCTCAGCCTCCCGGGTTCAAACAATTCTCATGCCTCAGCCTCCTAAGTAGCTGGGACTGCAGGCACGTGCCACCACGCCTGGCTAATTATTTGTATTTTTAGTAGAGACGGGGTTTCACCGTGTTAGCCAGGATGGTCTCGATTTCCTGACCTCGTGATCTGCCTGCCTCGGCCTCCCAAAGTGCTGGGATTACAGGCGTGAGCCACCGCATCTGGCTGAGAAATGGTTTAAAATTTTACCACGTTAATTACATTTGCAAGGTTTCTATCCAGTATGAATAATTTGGTAAAGCCTGAAGACACACTACTGATTAAAGGTCCTTCCATGTTAAGCACACTGATATGACTTTTTTCCTGTATAAATTCTCTCAAACTCCAAAAACATGAACATTTGATTTTTTTATTTTTTTGAGACAGAGTCTCACTCTTGTCACCCAGGCTGGAGTACAATGGCGCAATCTCGGCTTACAGCAACCTCCACATCCTGGATTCAAGTGATTCTTCTGCCTCAGCCTCCCAAGTAGCGGGATTACAGGTGCCCACCACTGCCCAGCTAATTTTTGTATTTTTTAGTAGAGATGGGGTTTCACCATGCTGGCCAGGCCGGTCTCAAACTCCTGACATCAGATGATCCACCCACCTCGGCCTCCCAAAGTGCTGGGATTACAGGTGTGAGCCACCATACCCAGCCCATTTGATTTTTAAAAAGGCTTACCACATTCGTTACATTTGTAAGACTGTTCTCCAGTATGAATACTCTGATGTTTCCATTTGGATGTTCGGGTAAAAAGTCTTAGCACACACATTACATTTGTCAAAGATGTATATTCTGAGGTCTAGTGAGTTCAGACACCTCGGGGAAGCCTCTAGCACATACATTTATACGATTTCTTTCCAATATAAACTCTCAAGTAGTGACTGAACTCTGGTGAAGCTTCTGCCACCCTCATTTCATTTGTAAAGCATATCTGCACTTTGAGTTATAGATCCACAAGTTTTGACCTTTAAGTAGTATTCTTGCCACATATACTACACTTCTGTGATTTCTCTCCAGGATGTATATTCTTATGCCTAGTGAACACTTGCTTAAAACTTAGCTATATTCTGGCCGGGCGCAGTGGCTCACGCCTGTAATCCCAGCACTTTGGGAGGCCGAGGCGGGTGGATCATGAGGTCAGGAGATCGAGACCATCCTGGCTAACAAGGTGAAACCCCGTCTCTACTAAAAATACAAAAAAAATTAGCCGGGCGCGGTGGCGAGCGCCTGTAGTCCCAGCTACTCGGGAGGCTGAGGCAGGAGAATGGCGTGAACCCAGGAAGCAGAGCTTGCAGTGAGCCGAGATTGCGCCACTGCAGTCCGCAGTCCCGCCTGGGCGACAGAGCGAGACTCCGTCTCCAAAAAAAAAAAAAAAAAAAAAAAAAAAAAAAAAAAACTTAGCTATATTCACTCCATGTGTAAATATATTAGGCCATAATTGCATGGCTAGACAGAAATACCTGAGGCTAGGTAATGTATAAAGAGGTTTAATTGACTCACAATTTTGCAGGCTTTATAGGAAACATGGCGCTGACGTCTGTTCACCCTCTCGGGAAACCTGAGGAAGGTTAAAATGATGGTGGGAGGTGAAGGGCATGTCACATGGCCAGAAGAACAAACAAGAGGGAGGTGCCATTCACTTTCGTGCGTGCGTGTGCGTGATGGAGTCTCACTCTGTCACCCAGGCTAGAGTGCAGTGGCGCGATCTCGGCTCACTGCAACCTCCGCCTCCAGGGTTCAAGCAATTCTCCTGACTCAGCCTCTCGAGTAGCTGGTACTACCAGTACCCGCCACGAAGCCCAGCTAATTTTTGTATTTTTGGCAGAAACAGGGTTTCACCATGTTGGCCAGGCTGCTCTTGAACTCCTGACCTCAAGTGATCCGCCCACCTCAGCCTCCCAAAGTGCTGGGATTACAGGCATGAGCCAGACCTCATGAGAACTATCACAAGGACAGCAACAAGGGGATGGTACTAAAACTTTCTTGAGAAAGCCACCCCCATCATCCAATCACCTCCCACTAGGCTCCACCTCCAATACTGGAGATTACTACAATTCCACATGAGACTTCAAAGGGAAAGGACAAATATACAAGCTATATGAGTAAGTATAAATTATTTGGGGATCCCAGAGGTTAGGACAACATCTAACGGCCTTTCCACATTGAGTTTAGTTGTAAGGTTCTCTCCAGCATGTTTTATCTGATGTTTAGTGAGGCCTGAGCGACTAATGTAAGATTTGCCACACTCATTACATTTATAAGGTTTTTCACTAGAATGAATTCGTTGGTGTTTAGTGAGGCAAGACCGCCGCCCAAACGCCTTGCCACATTCCATACATTTGTATGGCTTCTCTCCAGTATGGTTTCTCTGATGGTAAACCAAGTTTGACCTTTCGATAAAAGCTTTACCACATTCATTACATTTATAAGGTTTCTCTCCAGTATGCATCATCTGATGATTAAGCAGAATTGAACGTACTCTAAAGGCTTTGCCACACTCATTACATTTGTAAGGTTTCTCTCCAGTATGAATACTCCAATGACGTGCGAGGCCTGAGCGATAACGGAAGACCTTGCCACATTCATTACATTTGTAAGGTTTCTCTCCAGTATGAATTCTCCGATGCCTTGCCAGGGTTGTAGTGGAGTTAAAGACTTTCCCACATTCAATACATTTGTATGGCATCTCTCCAGTATGTCTTCTCTGATGGTACACCAGACTTGTTTTATGACTAAAAGTTCTACCACATTCACTACATTTGTGTGGTTTCTCCCCAGTAGGATTTCTGTGATATCTTGCAAGTTTTGAACTTTGGATAAAAGCCTCACCAAATTCATTACAGTGGTAAGGGTTCTCTCCAGTATGAATTACCAGATGTTTAGTGAGGCTTGAACGCTGAGTATAGGCTTTGCCACAATCATTACATTTATAAGGTTTCTCTCCGGTATGAATTTTCCGATGACGTGCTAGGCATGAGTAGTAACTGAAGACCTTGCCGCATTCGTTACACTGGAAAGGTTTCTCTCCGGTATGACTTCGCCTATGAATTGAAAGGTTTCCACTGTCAATGAAGACCTTGCCACACACATTACATTTGTAAGGTTTCTCTCCGGTATGCATTCTTTGATGACGTGCTAGGCATGAATAGTAAGTGAAGACCATGCCACATTTATTACAATGGAGAGGTTTCTCTCCAGTATGACATCTCATATGAACCGAAAGGTATCCACCGTAATTAAAGACCTTGCCACACACATTACATTTGTAAGGTTTCTCTCCGGTATGAATTCTCTGATGTACAGTTAGTAATGAGCCCCAATTAAAGGCTTTGCCACATTCATTACATTTGTAAGGTTTCTCTCCAGTATGAACTCTCTGATGCACTGCAAGATGTGAATGTTGACTGAAGACCTTGCCACATTCATTACATTTGTAGGGTTTCTCTCCAGTATGAATTCTCCGGTGCCCTGCAAGACGTGAACGTTGAAAGAAGACCTTGCCACATTCATTACATTTGTAAGGTGTCTCTCCAGTATGAATTATCTGGTGCCTTACAAGTTGTGAATTCTGATAAAAGACCTTGCCACATACATCACATGTATATGGTTTCTTTCCTGCATGGATTATATGATGTGCAGTGAGGCTTGAGTTCCGTTTAAAGGTTTTGCCACATTCATTACATTTGTAGGGTTTGTCTCCAGTATGAACTGTCTGATGAGTTGCAAGAGAGGAACTTTGACTAAAGCACTTCCCACATCGATTACATTTGTAAGGTTTCTCTCCAGTATGAATTCTCTGATGAACTGCAAGGTGGGAACTTTTACTAAAGGACTTGCCACATTCATTACATATGTAGGGTTTGTCTCCAGTGTGACTTCTCCGGTGATTTACAAGATCTGAATTTTGTCTGAAGATCCTGCCACATACATCACATTGGTATGGTTTCCCTCTTGTATGGACTATCTGATGTACTGTTAGTAGTGAGCCCCGATGAAAGGCTTTACCAGACTCATTGCATCTGTAAGGTTTCTCTGTAGTATGTATCATCTGATGATTAATAAGACTTGAAGACACTCTGAAGGCTTTGCCACACTCATTACCTATGTAAGGTTTTTCCCTAATATGTGTTTTCTCGTCTTGTGTAGGTAACGAAAGTTGCAAAAAATCATTCCCATATTTCCTAGAAATGTTGGTTTGGACACCAGGAAAAATTCTTTGAAGTGGTGAAGCTAAAAAACAATTATTAACTGTCCTCTCAATTTGATTACATCCATAAATTTTCTCTGCAGTTTGAAATTTCTGCAATTCACCCAGACCGGACTGAAACCTTAATATAAGCTGATTTTCCATATGCTTGTTTTCTACGTCCCCTTGACTATGTCGAACTCTTTGACCAGTAAGATTGTTTTTATGGGTCATCGGCCCTTCTTTATAATTTATTTCACCATCTTTCCATTGAAAGTCAACTTCCTGTAGATTTTTCCGGATTTCCCTGAAGTAAAAATTTTCAGTGTCATAGCTTTCATGTCCTTCCAACATCACTGCTTGGAATTTTTCTCCTGTGTTACTGTTCTGTATTGGTGGTAATTCCTTGATCACACATTTAGGAGAGATACCTGCAAAATATAATGAACATGGGGTTTTAAAATAACTATTATTGGTAAATATTATTTTATACTGAAAACACACTACGCTAAACATAATGTTTATACTAGCAAGTTGTGAAACTTTTCTACCATGATCTTCTATTTGTAGAAATGCAAAATGAATAGAATTCTATAGTAAAGAAAAAGTGATTACATGTAATTTAAATCAATTTTAGGAAAGCCTAGTTTCAAACATCCTTCGACCAAAAGACTCATGTTATGCAAACATATATGAGCACCAAAACAAGTATTTTGCAATCGCTGACCCCAAATGACACACCAATTGGCAGTAAACATATGGCTCCCTCATAATAGGAGAGAAAAAAAGTTACATATATTTATTTCATACAAATGAATGCCAAGCAACAGCAAGATATACTGTAATGGTAAATATTAACTAATAAATAATCATAATATAAATTAATTAATAAAACATTCTAATAGCCTGTGATAAAACCAGCAGGTAAATAATGAACAACCACAAAATACAAATCTATAGTATGAAATTCTAAACAATTCTCCATCAATAATAAGCAAGAATTTATATTCTAGAGGCAGTATATAACTAGAAAATATGTTGAGATCACTGGCTTTTAAAGATAAAAGAAAGGTAAATATGTCTATGGCCATACCACCGTGAATGCATCTGATCTTGTCTGATCTCAGAAACTAAGCAGTGTCAGAACTGGTTAGTACTTGGATGAGAGAAAGGTAAATATATAAAATAATAAAGAATAAAAATTGGGGACAGGTCAGCCGGGCACGGTGGCTCAAGCCTGTAATCCCAGCACTTTGGGAGGCCGAGGTGGGTGGATCACGAGGTCAGGAGTTCAAGACTAGCTTGGCCAACATGGTGAAATCTCGTCTGTACTAAAAGTAAAAAAAATCAGCCGGGTGTGGTGGCACGTGCCTGTAATCCCAGCTACTCCGGAGCCTGAGACAGGAGAATCATTGGAACCCAGGAGGCGGAGGTTGCAGTGAGCCAAGATTTCGCCACTGCACTCCAGCCTGGGCGACAGAGCAGTCTCAAAAAAAAAAAAAAAAATGGAGACAGGTATGGTGGCTCAGACCTATAATCCCAGCATTTTGAGAGGCCAAGGTGGGCAGATCACTTGAGGCCAAGAGTTTGAGACTAGCCAGGCCAACATGGTGAAACCTCATCTCTACTAAAAATATAAAACATTAGCCAAGCGTGGTGATGCATGCCTGTAATCCCAACTACTCAGGAGGCTGAAGCACGAGAATCACATAAACCTGTAAGGGGGAGGTTGCAGTCAGCCAAGATCACGACACTGCACTTCAGCCTGGGCAACAGAGCGAGACTGCCTCAAAAAAAGAATAAAACTTGGGAAAGGAAATCAGAAATCTCAGTTATGATTTCATGCCTACAACTATGTAACAAACAACAGAGCAAGTCCCTATGTATTCATTGTCTTTTTTTGCTTTTGGCTGAGATGGAGTCTCACTCTGTCACCCAGGCTGGAGTACAGTGGCATGATCCCACCTCACTGCAACCTCCAACTCACAGGCTCAAGCGATCCTCCCACCTCAGCCTCCTGAGAGCTGGGACCACAGATGCATGCCATCATGCCCGGTTAATTTTTTTGTAGTTTTGGTAGAGATGAGGTTTTGCCATGTTGCCCAGGCTGGTCTGGAACTCCTAAGCTCAAACAATCTGCCCACCTCTGCCTCCCAAAGTGCTGGGATTATAGGCATGAGCCACCGTGCCCAGTCCTATTCACTGTCTTTATTATCCAGTTCCTTGGCCACAAAATATATATGATACAGAGATTGTACTTGGAAAATGCATGAACTGAGATAAAAGACAACACCGTTTGGACCAAACTGCAAAATGAAAACTTACAGATACAATGTAGACTGCTCTGATATAAAGACTTATGTCTGCCAAAATTCCTATGTTAAGGCCCCATCCTCAATGTGATAGTATTTGGAAGTGTGGTCTTTGGAAGGCAATTAGGTCAGGATGGTGCATAGAACTTCAGGAATGCAATTAGCAGAAACGTGAAAAAGCCTCTGCTTTTTGCATGACAATCTCTCTGCCACATGAGAACACAGAGTCAGCCATGGCACACCAGAAAAAAGTCCACACCAAGAACCAAAGTGGCTGGCTCTGACATGTTGAACTTTGCACCACCCAGATCTGTGAAAAGTCCATTTCTGCTGTTTAAACCACCCTATCTATGGTATCTGATATAGCTAGTCATGCTGACTAAGGTAAAGCCAATATGCTATCTCATTATAAACATGAAACAATGTTGATACACGTTATTAAACAAATTTGTGAGTCTGTACTATAAAACATGCAATATTCTAAGCTAGCTAACAGCATTAACTTGTTTAAAAAGTCTTTAGGTAAATTATCACTATTTAACAAACAAGCACACTAAATATGCCCACAGGATTTATGTATCTATACCCAATTTACAAAGAAAGTAAGACACAAGAACCTGGGTTTGCAAGATCAAACATGTTTTTTAAAAACAACTTCCCAAACAAGCAGTGCAGATAACAGGTCAACCCAAATATCAAGAGTGTAGAAATACTTCAAGAGCCATTTTGTGTAGAGCACCTGATTCTGTCGCTGTTCAGGGTGCCACTATGTAACCCACATGGACCTAGGAGGACTGAACAAAGGGGGCGAATGCGGGAATAAAAGACAAGAGACAAAAGAGTATATTTGGAAGAAGGGGTCAGGGGCACCTTGCCTGTAGTGGACAAGGGCCCTGAGCTTTACACAGCCGTCCGTATTTATTAGGCAAGAGAGATAGTGAGAAGGATGGTGGAAGAAGGGGTCAGCTGCGCAGTCCAGAGTAGGCTTGCAAGACTGCATTCCTCAAACAACAGGCTCTAGATATGGCAGTAGATAACCCTGGCACCAGGAAGTGATTGCCTCCAGCAAACCTTCTGTCAGCAGGAGCAGTCATGAGTTTGCCCACATCCTGCATTCATGATAAACAGTTTGCTGTTTGATCATATAGCCTCCAGTGGAATGCTGAGTTGGTCACGTCCCACAGGCTTTGGCTCCCTGCAATGCTGTGTTGCCAAAAGCATTATTCAGCCATCCGTCATGAATAACGAACGGTATCTGAGTCATCATCCCCTGCACATATTGATTTACGCAGTGTTATCAGACAGTGGTCAAGTGAATGAGTAGGGGTCACCCCTTACAGAGTGAGAGTAGCATGGGAGGTGAGGGAGTTCTGCAATAATGGGAGTATAAAATTAATATGCTAGTCAGTAACTGGGTAGTCCATCTGGACAAAGTAATATGTTAGGAAAGGCCCAGGAGGACAAAGGGCAAGAGGGGAGATCAAGGAGTAATGAGCATGGAGCAGCAGGGTTTGTGCTTGAAGAGCTGTGGGAATAGAATTGCACAAGAAACAGCTAAAATCCTGGCTTTGGAAGAAAAGAGAAACTAATGTAGAGGTAGTATTGTACTGACTAATACTTAAACATGAGAATTATACTATGGGTGCAGGACAACAAGGGAAGACAATTAAAAAGGAGGCGGTGTGATGATATGGGAAGAAAACAGATTTATGTCTCTATAATATTTGCTATGAAATTTATCAAACTGAATGTCCCATAAGTTCTATTTCCAGGTATATGCTCAACAACCCTACATATCAAGAGATATGTGAAAGACTGTTCTTACAATTCAATCCTTAAGAAAAAACCTGAAAATGGCCACGAAGAGGAGATGGATGAATTCATTTTGTACACACACAAAGACACCACAAAACTTTACTGATAGTACAAGAACGTTAAGGAGACGGGGTGCAGAATGAGGACCCGTAGCACAACAGGCAAAGATTTGAGAAAACAAAGAAAGCAGGAGACTCTTGTCAAGGTTTAAATATATGTTAATGGAGACACAGTATATACGATGAAAGTATCCTGGGATATCAAAAACACAACATGGAAGCAGATCTGTAAAAAGTCATTTCTGTATGTAATTGAAGTTAAGCTGTTATTAGTTTAAAATAGGATGTTATAAATCTAAAGTGTTTTCTGTAATTGCAACGGTAACCACAGAGAATGTATAGAAGACACACACAATGGAAATAAAACTATTTCAGGAAAAAAAAATCAACTATATAAAAACGAAGGCAGTAAGACAAACAGAACAAAAAAATCTAAAAGAGATATAGAAAGCACTTAACACAATGGCAATATAAGTCCTTTTCTATCAGTAATTACATTAAATGTAAGTGTTTATACTCCACAGTCAAAAGACAGAGACTGGCTGAATAAATTTTTAAAACTGGCTTCAGCTGCACACTATCCAGAAAATACTCATTTTAATTCAAAGGACACACATAGGCTGAACTGAAGGGATGAAAAAAGATATGCCCTCAAAATGTTAACCGAAAGACATCAGAGGTGGCTAAACTGATGTCAGCCAAAATAGACTTTATGTCAAAACTGGTACAAGAGACAAAGAAGGGCATTATATAATGATTAAAAGGTTAATTCACTAGGAGGATATAACAATATGTGCCTATATAGAGATCCTCAATATGTGAAGCAAAATTAACGTAACTAAAGGGAGAAGTAGTTCCACAGTAATAATAAGAGACTTCAATGGCCTATTTTTACTTATAAATAGGACAATCAGACAGAAGAAAAACAAGGAACTAGAGAACCTAAACTATATATCAAGTTGAACCTAACCTATATATGCATAACACATCACCCAAAAACAGTGCAATACAAATTTTTCAGAACTGCACATGAAACATTTTTCAAAAGAAATATCGGAAAAGAAAAAAAATTTTAAACTTTTTAAAGACTAAAATCGTAAAGCATAACTTATCCCATCATAATAAAATAAAACTAGAGATCAACAGCAGAAGAAAATTAGATTATCAACAAATATGTGGAAACAACATACTCTTAGGCCGGTGTGGTGGCTCACGCCTGTAATCCCAGCAATTTGGGTGGCTGAGGCAGGTGGATCACCTGAGGTCAGGAGTTCGAGACCAGCCTGGCCAACATAGTGAAACCCTCAGCCAAGCATGGTGGCAGATGCCTGTAATCCCAGCTACTCGGGAGGCTGAGGCAGGAGAATCGCTTGAACCCAGGAAGTGGAGGTTGCAGTGAGCCGAGATTGCACCACTGCACTCCAGCCTGGACAACAAGAGCGTAACTCCGTCTCAAAAAACAAAAACAAACAAACAAGGACCATACTCTTAAACAGCCAATATGTCAAATTAGAAATCACAAGGGAAATTTTAAAAATCTCAAAACAAAGGAAAATGAAAATAGAACATACCAAAACTTGTGAATGCAGGAAAAACAGTGCTAAGATAGAAAATCTGCAGATATAAATGCTAACATTAAAACAGAAGATATCCAATGGAACAGAATAGGAAACCCAGAAATACAGCCACACACCTACAACCAACTGATCCTTGATAGTCAAAAAAAAATTGGGAAAAGACATTCTATTCAATAAAGGGTGCTAGAAAAACTGGCTAGCCATATATAGAAGAATGAAACTGGACTCCTATCTCTTGTCATATACAAAAATTAATTCAAGATGAATAACGACTTACATTAAGTCTTCAAGCTACAAAAATTCTAGAAGAAAATCTAGGAAAAACTTTTCTGGACAAAATACAAGTTGTTGTTTTTTTTTCTTTTTTTTTTTTAGAGACAGGGTCTTGCTCTGTCGCCCAGGCTGAAGTACAGCAGTGTGATCTCAGCTCAATGCAACCTCTGCCTACTGGCTTCAAGCAATTCTCTTGTCTCAGCCTCCCAAGTAGCTGAGATTACATGCATGTGCCACCACACCCGGCTAATTTTTTTGTATTTTTAGTAGAAACAGGGATTCACCATGTTGGTCAGGCTGGTCTCGAACTCCTGACCTCAGACCTCAAAATGATCCGCCTGCCTCAGCCTCCCAAAGTGCTGGGATTACAGGCATGAGCCATTGCTCCTGGCCCAATACCAGTTTTTTAAGAGAATTTATTCTTCATTGCTTGAGCATCACGAAAAAAATATATAGGTTTTATAAATAGTAGAGAAGTCCCTGAAGTGTAAGAAATGGGCTAAGTTTAAAATAAAGTTAGATTTTTAAATAATGATTCAGTATAACATGATGGACATGAATGTAGATAGGAGAATAGTTATTATAATACAGCATTTGTTCCAAGAAAGAAAAAAACAGTGCAATTTGAACAAAACCCAGCAAGCTATATTTAGGAAACTGAAACTTACTACAGAAAAGCAATGTATGTTATATAACAAAGAACGATCAATCTATTAAATGGTATTTCCACAATTAAGATAGTAACTTAAAAAATTATGCTCAAGATATTAAAAATTTCCAACTTAAAAACTGTAATCAATTTAACCGACAAATATATACTTTCATAGTAGGAATTAAGTCAGGTGAAACAGAAGTAAAAGGAATAACTGATACTATCAATACAACATTATGGAGTTTCTGTAAGTTTTAGGGAAACTGCTGCTGAGCTATACCATCTGTACTAAAGAAGGAAATCTTGTAAAATACATAAAACAATATGCATTCCCCAACACAACACTACCACAATAGAAACATAAAACAAAGAAAACTGAGTATCCTCAAAAATATGGAACTGATTAAATAAATAAAAACAAAGTTCATTTATAATACATGAAAATGCATCAGATGAAAGCAATGGTTGCTTAAAACGAATTTTGTGGACTTAAAAAAGATAAGCCTCATTCAACTTCATTAGCTTCCTCAAGATCAAAGTCGTACTCACTATAAACAAAAATACTGGGGAAGAAAAGTGTGGCATGAGCAGTGGTTCAGGCAACAGCCCTGCAGAGATGAAGCTGTGAACCTGGACAATGTTCTTCCCGGGAGAAATTTTTTTTTTTGAGACAAAGTCTCGCTCTTGTTCCCCAGGCTAGAGTGCATGGCGCAATCTCAGCTCACTACAACCTCCGCCTCCCAGATTTGAGAGATTCTCCTGCCTCAGCCCCCCGAGTAGCTGGGATTACAGGTGCCTGCCACCACGCCCGGCTAACTTTTGTATTTTTAGTAGAGACGGGGTTTCACCAAGTTGGCCAGGCTGGTCTAGAACTCCTAACCTCAGGTGATCCACCCGCCTCAGCCTCCCAAAGTGCTGGGATTACAGGCGTTGAGCCACCGTGCCCGGCATGGGAGAAATTCCTACACCATTCACTGCTAGCTCAAAAAAGAGGACCATTAGTATATGAGATCAACATTGCCACAGTACCCTTGAAAGATACTTTTGTGACATTTCTCAGAAACCAGGCTCTTGTGATGGTCTCTATCTGAATATCATGACAAATGCTGATCATTCTACTCTGGCTTTAATAGTTACCTCTGTATGTAGCAAGATGATGTTAAAACTCATTACTCAAAGTGCTCTCCTTCAAAAATTTTCTCTTACCCAGTAAACTCACTCCATACAATAGTCCACAAGATATTCATAACCCCAAGATGGGTTATCACAGCAGGAAAAAAGCATAAAATGTCCGACCCTAGAAATGCATTTATCCAAAGCAAGTCTCAGAGGCAAAAAATCACACAAACATAAAAGAGAATGCAAGATCAGAAAGAGCCAAGGCATAAACAAGACAGAGAAAAACACAGGAATTGGATTGTGAGGGATCTTGAAATGAGACAGTGCTCTGTCCACAGATCCCAAACTAAGAGTGTGAAGACAGAGATACGCTCCCTGTGTAGGACTAAGAATAAAGAGAGGACCTTTGTGTCAACTGTCTTTACAATTCTTATATGTAACAATCTCAGGAGACCCAACTCATTCCCGTGTCACAAACCCAAGAAGAGTGTCCAAAGAAGAACTAAGAAAATGGCTGAGGGACCTGAACAGGCAGAGAGGGCTGAAGATAGTCCAGTTCTAGGACCCCAGCTTCAAAGGAAGGGCAACCAATGTTTCCTCATCTCCTGACCAGCACTTTCAAGTATAGGAAATGGGGTGGAACCAGAAAAGTTCCAGGCACCAGGACTATGGAGCCCTCAGCTCCAATCTATATGGATCAGAGAACTGAGGATCAGATGGAATCAAGAACAGGAGGAGAGACCACACGGGAAAGAGACTTCTTTGAAAAGGCCCTTCCCATGCCACAGAGTCAAAGCATCAGAGTTCACACAATACAGATGACACTGTGGTCCATCATAACAGTCTTGTACTTTGCTCTGTTTGAGCTGCAGCAACCCCTGGAGAGTGAAAGGTAAAGTTATACGTGTCTGGAAAGCAAAGTGATAAGCAGGAAAGAAGAAAACTTCTGGAGCTCACAGAAAATCAAATTTGTTTCCCCACAGAACTCTCCCACTTGCAGAGTCTTACGCACACAATTTCATGGTACCGCTTCCATTGTGCCCATCTGAGCTCTTACCGGTGATCACGCCTTTCATGCATTCCCCACAGTTTGGGTTCCTCGCTATTTTCACTTGGCTCACCACAGTCCAGGGCTCTTTCCCTTGCTCCAACATGGAGATAATATTCAGGTCAGGAAGACAGAGTCCTGCTTATAAAAAAAGAAAGAAGATGTCCCACGGTTTTTCCAGAACCCAGCCTAATGTCTAGGTAGAAGAGAAAACACTGCAGTTGAATCTACAAAATATTTCACAAACTCATCCATTGATTGCCTCCTTCTGAATGCTTAGTGAACACTGTAAGATGAAGATATCTAGCTCTCTCCCAAGAAATACTGAATCAAAAACACAGGGATAGGCCAAGCATACTGGCTCAAGCCTGTAATCTCAGCACTTTGGGAGGCCAAGACGGGAAGATGACTTGAGCACAGGAGTTCAAGATCAGCCTAGGCAACAGAGTGAAACCCTGTCTCTACCTGGGCATGGTGTTGCACACCCACAGTCCCAGCTACTTGGAAGGCTAAGGTGGGAGGATGGCTTTATCCCAAGAAGCTAAGGTTGCAGTGTGCCAAGATCACAAGATCACACCACTGCACTCCAGCCTGGGTGACAGACTGAGACTGTGTCAAAAAAAAAAAAAAAAAGCACAAGGATAGAAAACAGGAAGAACAGGGAATTGGATATATTAACTCCGCCATAAGGTTTTACACGTACCTCAGCTCTGGAGTCACCACTAATGTACAAAGAAGGAAGCAGAATATCCATAGAAATGGGACAGTTAAAGGCCAGATGCAGCATTATGAAGCTTTTTATTTGTGAATCAACAAGGCTTCAGTCTCTGTCAAATAATGTAGGGCCTCACAAGAAACACAATAAGGAAAGTACAAAAATGCACAAGGGAAGATCCTAACTTCTGGAGGAAAACTATCCTCACCCAGGAAGCCGAGGTTCCTGTAGTTCTCCAACATCACGTCCCTGTACAAAGCTTTCTGAACAGGGTCCAGGCATTTCCACTCCTCCTGAGAGAATTCTACAGCCACATCCCTGAATGTCAAAGATCCCTGAAATGAAAAACACATTTCAATATGAGCAGTGGGTGAGCTCTTATCTTTACATAAAATGAGAAGAGGAGAGAACTGTCACATCAATTTGATTGAAGTGTGTTTTGACATATCCATTAAAAGTATCTGTGAGATAATTACGTCTCCCTGATTTTGGGTTTTATAAAATTCAATAGGAGATTAGGATATTATCTAAATCGGTGCACATTTCTCACTTTTGTGGACAAAATAAGAAATAAACACATGGTTATCCCTATGAAAGTTTTAGATATTACATTTGTTACACCAAGTGAGGTGTCCAGATGAGCTAGAATACAAGTGGTGTCTTCAGAGATGACAATGTTCTTAGTGGCTTTAAAGAAAGGTCAGAAACTAAAAACAGCGATGACAAGAGCAACAGCAAGAACTAAAGTTTTGGAACACTCCCCATGTACCGGGCATTACTTCAAAGGATTTACGTGTTCTAACTCAAATGATGACATAATCACCTATGACAGAAATATTTCTTCCCATCTTACTAGAAGACAACTGTGTCACAGACAGGCTAAGAAAGTCACCTAGGTCAACAACCTGCAAACAGCAGAGCAAGCACCTGAACCCAGATGTCTAAAAATTAGAGTTGAATCAACAGAATCCGACAGTTATATTACAGAGTATGTCCTAGTCTTTCTGTGTGGCTATAACGAAATAAGAGAGACTAACTAACTTATGAACAACAGAAATGTATTTCTCATGATTCTGCTGGCTGGGGAATCCAAGATCAAGGTGTCAGCAGGACTGATGTCGCTGAGGGCTAATCCCTGCTTCGAAGATGGTCTTGTTGCTGCATAGGGGACGAATGCTACAGTATACTGACAGAGGGTTGCCTGAGAAAACTTGAAGCAAGTTCAAGATTAACTTGGAACCGCATAAAGGATCATTATATAGGCTAGGCGTGGTGGCTCACACCTCCATCTTAGCACCTTGGGAGGCCAAGATGGGTGGATCATGAGGTCAAGAGATCGAGATCATCCTGGCCAATATGGTGAAACCCCATCTCTACTAAAAATACAAAAATTAGCTGGGCGTGGTGGTGTGCACCTGTAGTCCCAGCTACTGGGGAGGCTGACACAGAATTACTTGAACCTGGGAGGTGGAGGTTGCAGTGGGCCGAGATCATGCCACTGCACTCCAGCCTGGAGACAGAGTGAGACCCCATCTCAAAAACAAAGAAAAAAAAGATCATCATATAAGCACACAGAAGCACACACATAATACATTACTATTCATAAAACTAATCCATTCACATGATAATATAGAAGGCAATTTTAAAAATTAAGCAAATCACTGGGACAAAGAAATATGTAAAAAAGTTTTTATAATCCCAGCACTTTGGGAGGCCGAGGTGGGCGGATCACAAGGTCAGGAGATCGAGACCATCCTGGCTAACACGGTGAAACCCTGTCTCTACTAAAAATACAAAAAATTAGCCGGGTGTGGTGGCCGGCGCCTGTAATCCCAGCTACTCGGGAGGCTGAGGCAGGAGAATGGCATGAACCCGGGAAGCAGGGCTTGCAGTGAGCCGAGATCGCACCACTGCACTCCAGCCTGGGTGACAGAGCAAGACTCCATCTCGGAAAAAAAAAAAAAAAAAGTTTTTAAAGAAAAAACATTTTAAGGCCATAGAAACATTTAAGATATAATTTTCAATAGTGTTCCCAAGCCTGTATCTTATGTAGAGAAAAGAAAAAAATTAAAATAAAACCAAGTAAATAATTTCAACTGTGAAAAGATAATAGGCTGATTTATGAAATGATGATGTTGTAAATAAAAACCAAAGCATACAAACATTTAAATTAACTGAAATAAGACGCTATCTCTCAATGACATATTTTTTGGATGACTTTTTAAATCATTATTCTTAGACATGTATGTTTTAGCATGCTTGGGACAATGAAAATGTATAAATTGTATTTCATTTACTTTGTACTTAGTACTTCATTTACTTATTTACTTAGTACTTCATTTACTTATTTATTTTGTACTTATTCAATACTAGGCTGGAGAAAATGGTACAAAATTTTAAAAGTATATAAACTTTTATTACAATTACTATTAAATGCCTATATTTAAATATCTAAGTGCAATTTTATCCAGTTAAATTTAGCTACTTATGCATTAACAAAAGCCAAATGGAGTTTATTCGTTTATTCCACCAATAAATAAAACAGTGATTCAAGATTAGGTGGTTTATAAGTGTAATACATTAAAATTTAACAGATTAAGATAGAAACAATATGTATTGCAGCAGTATATGCTTGCATAAATTATTAGAAAATTTAAAAATCATGTTGCAAAGGAAATCTGTAAAAAAAAAAAAAAAAAAAAAACCCAAAAACTGTTAAGGAAAAATATTTCACCCAACAAGTGAAACACTGGATTCATTTCCTCTAAATTAAGTAAGAGAAAAGGGGGTTTTTCATTTCCTCTAAATTAAGAGAAAAGGGGGTTGGCCAGACCTCCTGTCATTCACCACTGCACTGGATGTCTGAGCAGCAGCAAAGAGAAAAGGTGGGAGGGAAAAAGGCAAGGAGGGGGTAGAGCCAAAGAGTTAGATCTACTAAAATTAAGAGATAACATGATTGTGGCCGGGCACGGTGGCTCATACCTGTAATTCCAGCACTTTGGGAGGCCAAGGCGGGAGGATCACCTGAGGTTGGGAGTTCAAGACCAGCCTGACCAACATGGAGAAATCCCGTCTCTACTAAAAATACAAAATTAGCCGAGCATGGTGGCACATGCCTGTAATCCCAGCTACTAGGGAGGCTGAGCCAGGAGGATCGCTTGAACCTGGGAGGCGGAGGTTGCGGTGAGCTGAGATCGCACTATTGTACTCCAGCCTGGGCAACAAGAGCGAAACTCCATCTCAGGGAAAAAAAAAAAAAAAAAAAGAGATAACATGATTGCAACCCAGAAAAAGAATGTTTAAGTATACAAGCTAACAATGCTAACAATGTACTGAAATAATCTTCCTACTTTAGTAACACTAATTTAAAAACAACACACACACTTCTAAATTTTCATTAGCATATATACCATGGCACTTAAGTACAATACATTTTCAGAATTATGTGAACAAATTATAAAACTACACTGAGTGATGTCGGCAAGATAAAGGAACAGGAATCCCCAAACTCTCCAGTCACCACAGTGAAATGATTTTAACAACAATTCATGGACTAATTGCCTCGGGGATAAATCCAGAAAACAGTTAGGAGGTTTCTACACCTCAGGCTGACATAAAGCAAACAGTATAGAAGCTCTGAAGGAAAATTTGAAGCATCCACTTGACAGAGATCCAGCCCCTGCCATGCACTGGGGTAACAGAAAAGAAACCCACAACTCCCAAGATCATCTAGGGGATGGAAAGGAGCAGAATATCTGTCCAACTTCCTGACTTTTCAGATGACCAACTGATGGGCTGGTTTCTCTCTTCCTGAATATAAGCACTGACAAGAACAAGGTGAAAGGTTAGGGGCCACTGAGAAAAAGGATGATTTACATAAACCAGTGTGTGCAGTAACACAGACAAACGCTAAGTGCATATCTAGTACTACAGCTTACTGTAGCACCAAAGTCTGCAATATCAAAGACAGACAACAGGGGAGCTTCTGGGTAGAAACTAGCAAACATTTTCAATGAAGAGATGACAAGCAAAGGCCCAGAGAGGACAAAATCCCCAGCCAGAAAAGGTGTGGAAGGTCTCCACAATCTAGCTGAGTTGACTCCAGAGTGTCCTCCCTGAACAAAGCAACCACCCAAAACTGGGGAGGTAGATGATTTTTAAAATAGGGAAGTGCCAAAAGAAGATAATAAAACTTACAAAGAAATAGGAAAATACAGTCCATAAAAAGAAACCAATTAAGTCTCTACAAACCTACACTAAAGAAATGGTGATTTAAATCTTGGCTTTGAAGAACTAAAAGGAAATGGGGATCACCCTCAGTATATGCAGAGGATTGGTTCCAAGATTCCCTAAGGGGACCAAAATCTATGGATACTGAAGTCCCTTATATAAAAAGGCATAGTATTTGCATATAACCTACCTATATCTTCCCATATGATTTAAATCATCTCTACATTACTTATAATAGCTAATACAATGTAAATGCTACATAAGTAGTTGTTATACTGCATTGTTTAGGAAATAATGACAAGAAAAAAAGGACCATACGTGTTCAACACAGATGAAACCATCCATTTTTTTCTGGCTATTTGTAGTTCATAGTTGGCTCCATCTATGGCTGCACGAGCCATGAATACAGAGGGCTGACTATATGTGAATTACCAAAGAATTTGAAATAGCAGCCACAAGAATGCTCAATGAGTTAAAAGATAGCACACACAGACAAGCTCACGAAATCAGGAAAACTATATGAACTATGCATGCAAAGAAGAATATCAACAGAAATAGAAGCTATAAAGAAAAATCAAAAAGAAATTCTAAGGCTGGGCACCGTGGCTCACGCCTGTAATTCCAACACTCTGGGAGCCCAAGATGGGGTAATTGCTTAAGCCCAGGAGTTCTGAGACCAGCCAGGGCAACATGGCAAAATCCCATCTCTACAAAGAGTACAAAAATTAGGCAGGTGTGATGGTGCATGCCTGTAGTCCCAGCTACTCAGGAGGCTGAAGTGGGAGGTTCATTTGAACCCGGGAGGCAGAGGATACAGTGATCCAAGATCGTGCCACTGCACTCCAGCCTGGGAAAGAGTGAAACCCTGCCTGAAAACAAAACAAAAGAAAGAAAAAAAGTCGAGTTAAAAATACAATAACTGAGTTGAAAAATTCGCTAGATGAATTCAACAGCTGACTTAATGAGGCAGAAGAAGGAATCAGTGAACTCAAAGGGGATTTTGACACGGAGGAAAACAAAAACTATAAAAAATAAAGAAAAATAAAGAGAGTCTAAAGGGCTCATGGGGAAACCATCAAGCATCAAGAACGTATGTATCCTGAAAGCCCAATAAATAATGTGAATATACCTAACATTACTAAACTGTAAGCAAACAAACAAGCTTTACTGAAAGACATAATAAAGATATGATCACTGACTGACAAACTCAATTCTTATAGGAAGATGTGATGGTGACAAGACCTGCGACTGTAAAAATTCATGGCCATTCAAACACAAACAAAATATGTGGGAATTTAATAAAATGTGACTGTTGTATAAAAAAAGAACCAACAAAATTTTGGAAAGAAAATGGAGAGGTTTGCCAATCTTCATATGAACCTATTATGACATTTATAATCTGAAACTTTAAAAGCAATCAAATATAATCTACAAAAAGATATACACAAAAATTCAAATTAAAGATTCAATCAAAAAAATTCATGCAAAGAAAATGTAAGCAAGAAACATGAGATTTTAAAGAAACTTCATATTTTATAATCACACCGTGAGCCAGGCCTTCCAGAAGATAAAACAAACATTTACTTATTTTTGCTTTTGTGGTATACCATCCTAAAAGAAGCAATCATTCTTTGAACTGCCATTGAAGTAACCCTCAGACACTTGTGGTGAAGACAGCATGCACAGAGGAAGCCACAGTGACATTCTTTGCAAAAATGAAAAATTGTAAAAGATCCATATGTCTTCATTTAGAAATTGCTCCAAAGAGGATGCAAAATACGCTATTAGTGTTTATTAACATAAAAACATGTACATTTCAGGCTGGGCACGGTGGCTGACACCTGTAATCCCAGCACTTTGGGAGGCTGAGGCAGGCGGATCACTAGGTCAGGAGATCGAGACCATCCTGGTTAACACGGTGAAACCCCATCTCAACTAAAAATACAAAAAATTAACTGGGCACAGTGGTAGGTGCCTGTAGTCCCAGCTACTCAGGAGGCTGAGGCAGGAGAATGGTGTGAACCCGGGAGGCGGAGTTTGCAGTGAGCTGAGATTGCGTCACTGCACTCCAGCCTGGGCGACAGAGCAAGACTCCGTCTCAAAAAAAAAAAAAAAATGTACATTTCAAAAACTTGCAAAATACAGCAGAACATTCACTTAAGAATTGTTTTCTAAAATCTCATAATGACGTGTAAATGCATCTTGACACCTCTCACTGACTCTTGCCACAGAACTTACAATAGTAGCTCCTCAATGAAACATGAGGCATGGTGGAGAATGTGACAGGGAAAAGGAACCTGGGTTCCTCTGGGTGGGTAATTGAAAGAGTGATTGCCTCTTCTAGGATGGTGCATTTCCTATTTTGGTGAATCTGGCAAGATTCCCCACTACCCCAAGTTCAAGGGTGCCCCCTCCCACCAATGACACATGACATGTCCCACTCTTTAAAAAAAAAAAAAAAAATACTACTATGTTCTTTTTTCTCTTTGAGGATCTAAAAAAAATAAAAATTCTTTGTATTTCCATTTTCCAATTCCTTGGACTGTGAGGACATTTCATTATTTTGTGGAAATCAAAATAAAATAATTTTCATTTTATGCTCAATTTTCTTTTACTGCATTCTAGGAGCTATTTCATGTTCTGTAGTTAAAAGTTTTTAAATATATATGCCTTGATGTTCTTTTTTTAGGTTATGAAGGGTGTTCTTGATGCCCTGTTTTTTACTTGTTTGCTTACAAATTTTATTGTGTATATTTAAGGTACACAATATAGCAAGGTATAGATAGTAAAAAACTCACGACAGTTTAACAAATTAGTATATCCGTATCTCATAGTTACCTTTTTTTTTTTTTTGCTTTTGTGGCAAAAACAGCTAAAATCTCATTTAGCATAAATTTCACATATAATAACACGTTATTCCCTACCATCCTTATGTTGCATCACCTTCTTAATGTCTAAATTCCATCTCTGCTTGGACTTTTACCACAAAACAAATATATATATCATGTGATGTTTAAAATAAATGTAATATTTAATAATAATTGGTGGAATGACAGAATTTGGCTCCATCTTCTCTGACATCAAAAAAGTTTGGCTCTTACATCTGAGCAAAATTATAACCGTTTTACAAAAAACAACTGCCGGTAAGAGTCCCAGCAGGAACACCACATTCTCTGTGGGATGGATATGCTGAGAATGGCTAAATTAATCTGACATTCAGGTTGATTTCATATTTTAAAATCAATGATGGAATAAAACAACCTCTATCACTGATGTCTGTACCTAGTTTTCCATTCCATTCCCGGTCATTAAGATTGTGGAGTTAGAAAGAGTGACTGATTCATTATAGCTTCAAATGTGGTATAAAATCAGGCAGAAAAGATCTCCCCTTAGAGGCATCTTTTCAAGAATTTATGAGGTATTTTTGCATATTAACATGTGACTTCCACATACAGCTTCTCTACTCCTGGTCTACTGAGAGCTGACAGTGCATTCAGATGTTGCCCCTAAACAATCTCTGCTGCCCAAAAGCTGACACCACAGAACTCACACCCTGTCTCCATCCATGTCTGGGTGTGAGCCCTTCCCAGGACCATGCCCAGTGGAGCCTCTTCCCAAGCTCATGTCACTGAGTCACTGTGAGATCTGGAATCTAAGTGCAGAAGAGAGGGACTGAAGGAAGGCATGGGTGAGTGCGAGCAAATGTGTCAGGCAGGATACTTCAGACTCAGAGAAGATTTGCAGCTCCAATGCCCTGCATTTCAAAAAGGGAGGAGACAGAACAATCCACCAAGATTATCACTTTACCTGAGGAAGAGCCATCCCTGGCTCCTTTTCTTTCTTCTTTCTCTCCTGGGCCTCTCTCTCAGTCAATATAATTAATTCTTTAAAAGTCAAATCTGAAAGTCAAAAATATGTTGTTTAATCCTTGGAAACAACACATTCCTTTCTGTGCCACAACCATGCCCACAGGGAAGGCCTCAGCATGTGGAGAGACAGCCCAGTGCACCAGGGGGATGCAAGCATAATAAACTCCTACACAAAGACCAAGTAAGTTTTTCACCCTTTTCTTCAGAACTTGTTCCCCTCCCAGAGAAGCCCCCACACACCCTGCAACAGTGGGGAGCTGGGCTGGACTATGCTTCCCTTCAGGACACAGACCCATCCCTGATCAAACCCCATACAGAGCACAGCCCCCTCACCTCCCTGTGGATCACAGGCTGAGCTCAGCTCTCAGAAACAGAAGACACAAAGGCTGGACGCTCAATGCTGGATACAAATTAGAATCAATTTGGGTACTTTAAACAATATGGAGGTTGAGTCCATCCTACCTACTGGAAGTGGAATCTATGGTAAAAGGGCACAAAACGTGTATTTGCAAACTGCCTCAGCACGCTAATGTGAAGCCAGGGTTGAACACATCTTAAAGGGGGCAAGACTAGCACAGCCCCATCCTCCCAGCTCTGCTGTCCCCTTGGGGCTTCACTGTTACCAGTTTGTAGACAGTAGAACACAATGGACCAGAAACACAGAGACACATAATATGCACCAGGGGTGGGGTGAGGGTGTGGCTGGAGTGTTAAATGGTGAGAGGAGGGTGAGGCACAGAAGTCCCAATGGAGAAGGTGATATCAGAACAAAGACCTCAAGAAGGAAGGATGTTTGCACCTGCAGCTGAGGGGCCAGACAGCCCAGGTAGAGGCCCTGAGGCAGGAGCAACCTCAGCCCAGGGAACAGGAAAGAGGCCTGTGTGGCTGGAGCAGAGGGAGCAGGAAGGACACAGGGAGGAGATGAGGTCAGAGAGGTTCTGGGGAGCAGATTAGGTAGAGATGAGGTATTCAAACATCTTTCTCCCACAGCTCACAGTAATTTCAGAAACTATGCATTTCCTCACCCTTTTTAAGTAAACATAACTTTTCTTTATCACATGAATTAAAGCACTTCTTTTTAATGTCATGTTTTCTCTGTTTCAAATATATGCTGACATGTAAAGCTAAAGCCAGGAAGTACAGGGTCACCATCATCTGAGATGTGCAGGAGTGCAGGGGAATGTACTTGGTGAGTTCAGGCAATCACTTTTGGTGGAGATACCTGTTAGATGGCTAAGCAGAGAGAGGAGAGGACAAAAGGACACAGAATTCTAGAGTTCAGGGGACAGGTCTGCAGGGGACATGGAGACGTGTAGGTGGGTAGGTGGGTGATATGGATCAGCTCTGTGTCCCTGGCCCAAATCTCACACTGAATTGTAATCCCCACTGTTACTGGTGGGGCCTGGTGGGAGGTGGATGGATCATGGGGGTGGATTTGTGATGAATGGTTTCACACCACCCCTTGGTGCTGTTCTTATCATAGTGAGTTCTCACGACATCTGGTTGTTTAGAAGTGTGTAGCGCCTCCCCCCTCACTCTCTCTTGCTCCTGCTCCCGCCATGTGAGACGCCTGTTCCTCCTTCACCTGCCATGACTGGAATCTTCTTGCAGCCTCCCCAGAAGCAGATGTCGCCATGCTTCCTGTGCAGCCTGCAGAACTGTGAGCCAATTAAACCTGTTTTCTTTATAAATTACCCAGTCTCCAGTATTTCATTATAGCAATTCAAGAATGGACTAATACAGTGGGGTTTAAATTCATAAGATGAGATGATGAGGAAAGACAGTGGGTGTGGACAGAAACAAGAAGAGGTTCAAGGACTAAGCCATGAGTCATTCCCACATTGGGAAACATTCAGAGTCAGGACACAGCAGCAGAGGAAAGTGTGAAATGGTCAGGGAGGTGACAAGAAAATCAAATAGCTCCTGACAGGCAAAGAAAGAGTAAAGCAGGAAATGAAATACATTGGATTTAGAAATGGGGAGGTCACTGGTGACTCTGAAAAATAAAGTTATCAGTGGAATGGTGGATATGAAAGTTTCATCCAATGCATTCAAGACACAATTGGAGGCAACAAGTGAAGACAGAGACTCTGAACAAGATTGTATTGTATTATGGTCTTAAATGAAGCACAGAAGAGGGGTACTCACTACAGGCAGAAACACAGTTAATGGTATGTTTTGTTTTAATTAGGGCACAGTGGAAGGAAACTAGAGGCTTTAGGGTCTGTGTGTGTGCATGCATTTAATGGGCAATACACCACCATCAGTAAACACTGTTTAAAGTAATTCTGTAGAAGTAAAAATGAATGACACAGTTAAACAAATTTTATGGAAGCCCAAAGTATTTTCGTTGTTTTCTTTTTAACTTATATTTTAAGTTCAGGGGTACATGTGCAGGACGTGCAGGCTGGTTACATAGGTAAATGGGTCATGGGGATGTGTTGTACACATTATTTCATCATCCGGGTATTAAGCCTAGTATTCATAAGTTATTTTTCCTGATCATCTCCCTCCTCCCACCTTCCACTCTCAGGTAGATCCCAGTGTGTGTTGTTTCCCTCTATGTGTCCAAGTATTCTCATCATTTACCTCCCACTTGTAAGTGAGAACATGCAGTATTTGGTTTTCTGTTCCCGTGTTAGTTTGCTAAGGATAATGGCCTCCAGCTCCATCCATGTCCTGGGAAAGGACATGATCTCATTGTTTTTTATGGGAAGGCTGTTGTTTTGGACTAGCCTCCCGAACTACCAGACCAAGCCAGAATGAAGTCTCTTGTGCTGAGTGCCACATTATCAAACTGAACCTTGAAATGGGCCAGGTTTAGGGGAAAAAAAACTCCAAAAAATAAACAGAGAGGCCCGGCGCGGTGGCTCACACTTGTAATCCCAGCACTTTGGGAGGCTGAGGTGGGCAAATCACCTGAGGTCAGGAGATTGAGACCAGCCTGGCCAACGTGGTGAAACCCCGTCTCTACTAAAAATACAAAAATTAGCTGGGCACGGTGGTCCATGCCTGTAATGACCCCACCCCCGAATACTGGCACCACTATCTACTAAAACAGATATCTTCAATGATGCACACATGCCCCAATGAGACCCCAACATCTTCCAAGGAAACTCTCCATATTGACATTTAGATAATGCATCCAAAATGCATCTATAACCATCTTAACGTGCAGCCCAAAATACTCCAAAAAAAAAAAAAAAAACAAAGGTAGCCCCCCTAAATGATCTCTGTGATTTTCCAGATAATACTTCGGTAAGTTGCATGATTCCTGCACTCCCAAAAGACCCCGCAGAAGTCACCATGAAAAGTGCTTATGGCAGTACAGTTCTGGGTTCCACGCTCTCAAGACCAACGAACCAACCCTCCAGCTGCCCAACCTCCCTGTGGACTCCACTTAGGCCTTGCTTCTCACTTCAGTTGACGATAGAACAATATGAGTTTGGATTGTATGGGTCCATTTATAAAAGAATTTACTTCAATAAACATCTGAAAAATATTTTGAAGACTTGCAACAATTTGAAAAAACTCACAGATGAACCATGTACCCTAATTAAGAAAAAGGTATGCCAGAAATGCATAAAATATATGTAACTATTAGTCTATTTTATCACTTAGTACCATAAAACACACACAAATCTATTCTAAGTTAAAATGTACCAAATTTATATAAACACCTCTAGACTGTATATGGTTCCATCTACAGTCAAAATAAATGTAAAAAAATGTAAAGACGCAGTATTCAATCATAACTGCATTAATGAACTGTACTACATACTGAACTTCTATAATAATTTCATAGCCACCTCCCATTGCTATTGTGGTGAGCTCAGGTACCTGCTTAATGTGCCCCGTGATGTTAATCATCTCCATGTGAACTGTTAATCTCTCTAGTAAATTGCAGACCGCAGTAAAAATTGATCTCTGTGGTTCTGGCACATTTTTCATTGTTTGGTGCAATACGATAAACTCTGAATAACAACACAGGACCCATCTGAAGTGCCACTAGTGATGCTGGAAGTGCTCCCAAGAAGTAGAGAAAAGCCATGACATTATAAGAACATGTTGACTTGCTTAATACGTACCATAGATTGAGGTGTGCGATTCAGTTGCCCGCCATTTCAAGATAAATTAATCTGGTGTAAGGACCACTGTTAAAAGAGAAAATTCATGAAGCCGTCACTGCAGCTACACCAGTAGGCACGAAAACAATGTACTTTTTGCTAAATACCTTTTTTATCTCATATTGAAAATGCAGCTTTATACAGGGGCAAAATCACTATAATGAAGGCATACCTGTAGACTCTAATATGATTTGAGAAAAAGGGAAGTTATTTTATGACAACTTTAGGAAGGTAAAGGATCTAAAGCTGGAGAGTTTGATGCCAGCAAAATATGGACTGATAATTTAAGAAGTTTGGCTTAAAAAATGTCAAGATAACAGAAGCAGCCACTCCAACCAAGAGGCAGTAGATGGGGTCCCAAATGCTATGAAGAAAATCATTAATGAGCCAGGCATGATTGCTCACCCCTGTAATCCCAGCACTGTGGAAGGCCAAGGTGGGCAGGTCACTAGAGCCCAGAAGTTCCAGACCAGACTGGGCAACATGGCAAAACCCCGAGTCTACTAAAAAATACAAAAAAAAACAGCCGGACATGGTGACACACGCTTGTAGTTTCAGCTACTCGGGAGGCTGAGGTGAGAGGATGCCTTCAGCCCGGGAGGCGGACATTACAGTGAGCCGAGGTCACATCACTGCACTCCAGCCTGAGCAACCGAGCAAAAAATAAAGAAACTGTGGCATTCCAAAATGATCCATGCACAACCACTCATAATCCCACTTCCAAGTGCTTCTGCCAGACCTAAGAAATTCCTTTCCAAGAGTTCCACATACCCCTTGCTCTTATAACCACACTTGGGACAGGTGCACACACCATACCATGGCTCATCTGAAGGCCCACCCTTGCTTTCTGGAGCCTTCTATGGACTCCCCTCCATTTTCCCCCATTTTTCTACCTCTCCTCCATGCATGCATGAACAAACTAGGCTAAAAGGTACAGGATCTCTGGGCACATGCAACACAGCAGGAGTGTACACAAACTGCAAACTGAAGGACCCTGGGCCTTCAGTATGAAGACCACAAAGTTGGGCCTGCTGAGAAAACTTGCCAGCAAGTGCTGACAATATTAAGTCTAGTTTAAAGGCAGCTGGGCATTGGCTAGATTAAGTTCAGTGAGGATGTCTCAGAAGAGGGGCCCTAAATCTTTCTATACACTAAAGACAAAATATCTGAAAAAAGAAATAAAGAAAACAGTCCTATTTGTAATAGCATCAAAAGGAATAAAATACTTAGGAACAGATTTAACCAGTGAAGTAAAAGATCTGTACACTGAAAGCTCTTAAGACACTGATAAAAGATATTGAAGAGGCCAGGAAAGTGGCTCATGCCTGTAATCCCAGTGCTTTGGGAGGCTGAGGTGGGAGGATTGCTTGAGGTCAGGAGTTTGAGACCAGCCTGGGCAACATAGTGAGACTCTTTCTCTACAAAGAAAAGAAATTAGCCAGGTATGGTGGTGCATACCTGTAGTCTTAGCCCTTCACCCAGGTATGGTCGTGCATACCTATAGTCTTAGCTACCTGGGAGCCTGAGGCAGGAGGGTTGCCTGAGCCCAGGAGTTCAAACCTGCAGTGAGGTATGATCGCCCCACTGCATGCCAGCACTCCAGCTTGAGTAACAATGTGAGGCTGGTCTCTTAAAAAAAGAAAGAAAGAAAGAAAGAAGGAAGGAAGGAAGGAAGGAAGGAAAGAAAGAAAGAAAGAAAGAAAGAAAGAAAGAAAGAAAGAAAGAAAGAAAGAGAAAGAAAGAAAGAAAAAAGAAAGGACTGTAGAGAGCCAAAAGCCAAAGGGTCATGACCAACTCTGCATTCCACTGAAGGCTATATGATTAAACAGCAAACTGTTTATCATGAATGCAGGATGTGGGCAAACTCACATCTGCCCTGCCGCCAGAAGGTATGCTGAGTGCAATTACTCCCTGGCACCATGCTCCTTGAGGTTATCTACTGAAACATCTGGAGGCTACTGTTCAGAGAATGCAGTCGTGCAAGCCTGCACCAAGTCAAGCAGCTGACTGACAACCACCCGCTTCTCCCTATCTCCTTTACTCAATAAATATGAAGGGCTCTAAAAGCTCAGGACTCTTGCTCACTAGAAGCAAGGAGCCCCTGACCCCTTCTTCCAAATATACTCTTTTGTCTTTGTCTTTATTCCTGTGTCCGTCCCCCTTTGTTCAGTCCACAGGCATTGGGGCTGCAACAAAGGATAAAAAAAACATTGAAGAACACACAAAGAAATGGAAAGCTATCCCATGTTCATAGATTGTAAGAATATTTTAAAATGATTAAAATGTCCATACTACCAAAAGTGATCTGCAAATTCAGCACAATCCCTATCAACACTCCAATGCTATTTTTCACAGATAAAAAAAGAAAAAACCCTAAAACTTTTATACAACCACAAAAAACTCCAAAGAGCCAAAGCAGTGTTGAAAAAGAACATGCTAGAGGCATCATACTTTCTGATTTCAAACTATATTATAAAGGTACAGCAATCCTAACAGTATAATACTGGCATAAAAACACACAGAGAACAATCAAACACAAGAGAGCCCAGAAATAAACATGCACATATACAACTAGCCTTTGACAAGGGCACCAAGAATATACAATGAGGAAAGGACAGTCTCATCAATAAATCCTGTCGGGAAAACTGTATATTCACATTCAAAAGAATATGAAACTGGACCCTTATCTCACACTATATGCAAAGATAAACTCAAAATAGATTAAAGATTTAAATATATGATCTAAAACCGTAAAACCCCAGAAAATAGAAAAAAAGCTCCTTGACATTGATCTTGGCAATGATTTTTTTGGATATGACACCAAAAGCCCAGGCAACAAATGGTGGGACTACATCAAACTAAAAAGTGGGACTATGTCCAACTAAAAAGTTTGGCCAGGCGCAGTGGCTCATGCCTGTAATCCCAGCACTTTGGGACGCCAAGACAGGCAGAGCACTTGAGGTCAGGAGTTCGAGACCAGCCTGGCCAACATGGTGAGACCCTGTCTCTACTAAAAAATTAGCTGGGAGTGGTGGTGCAACCTGTAATACCAGCTACTACGGGGGCTGAGGCAGGAGAATCATTTGAACTCGGAAGGCACACATTGCAGTGAACTGAGATTGAGCCACCACACTCTAGCCTGGGCAACAGAGTGAGACTCCATTTTGGGGGTGGGGTGGGGGAGGGGCAAAGCTCCTGCACACCAAAGGAAACAATGAACTAAATGAAAAAGCAATTTGTAAGATGGAAGTATGTATCTGCAAACCATATATTTAATAAGTGGTTAATATCCAAAATATATAAAAACTCCTACAATTCTACAGCAAAATACCCCAAATAATCTCAATAAAAATGGGCAAAGGACCTGAACATTTTCCAAATAAGACATACAAATGACCAACAGGTATATAATAAGATGCTCAAGATCACTAATCATCAGAGGAATGCTAATCAAAACCACCATAAGCTATCACCTCATACCTCTTACGAAGGCTATTTTAAATAGGCAAGAGATAACAGGTGTTAGCATGATATGGAGAAAAATGAGCCCTTGTACACTGTTGCTGGGAGTGTACATCAGTACAGCCATTATGAAAAACACTATGGACATTCTTCAAAATATTAAAAATAGAACAACAATGCAATCCAGCAATCCCATTTCTGGGTATATATCCAAAGGAAATAAATGAAACCAGTATCTTTAAGAGACATCTAGGCCAGGCATAGCAGTTCATGGCTGTAATCCCAGCACTCTGAGAAGCTGAGGCGACAAGATCACTTGACACCAGTAGTTAGAGATCATGCTGGACAACATAGCAGAGACCATGTATCTGCTGAAAAAACACAGACAAAAACAAAAAAATGGCTGGGTGTGGCGGCTCACGCCTGTAATCCTAACACTTTGGGAGGCCAAGGCGGGCAGATCACGAGGTCAGGAGTTCGAGACCAGCCTGGCCAACATGGTGAAACCCTGTCTCTACTAAAAACACAAAAAGCTGGGCGTGGTGGCGGGTGCCTGTAATATCAGCTACTCGGGAGGCTGAGGCAGGAGAATCATTTGAACCTAGGAAGTGGAGGTTGTAGTGAGCTGAGATTGCACCATTGCACTCCAGCCTGGACAACAGGGTGAGGCTCTGTCTCAAAAAAAAAGAAAACCTTACAAAATATCTGTCCCCCATGATCACTACAGTATTATTCATAACAGCCAAGATATGGAAACAACCCAAGTGCCCATCCATGAATAAATATGTGTGTATATAGACATATACAGAGTGTTCATGTGTACATATATATAATGGAATATTATCCAACCCTAAAAAGAAGAAAATCCTGCTATTTGCAACAACATGGATGAACCTGGAAGACATTATGCTAGGTGAAATAAGACAGACACTAAAAGACAATTACTGTATGACCTCACAAGTGGAATCTAAAAAAGTCCAATTGATAGTAACAGGGTAGAACAGTTGTTGCCACAGGCTGCTGGGGGGTGAAAATGGAAAATGTTGGTTAAAGGGTACAAATTTTCTGTTATAAAATGAAGAAGTTCTGAGGAAGCTAATGTACACCATGGTGACTATACTATATTGGACACTTTAACAGTTTGGAAAGTTTTTGAAAAATCTAATAAATTATGGGGTAAAAGTTCAAAAAATGATGGCACTTAATATTCAGAAATGAATGAGATCAGCTGATTATTGGATGCCACCAAATCTTATTTCTGGAGTTAGCAACTATAGGAAAGAAGCAATTGAATAAAATGTATCTCAAGCTTCCAAAATAACAATTAATTAACTGTAAAGCAACTACAAAGAAAAAAGTAAATTCATTACAAAAAAACAAGACTTTCAATGCTTCTGCGAAGACATACCTTGTAGGCCTAGTGTGGTGGCTCACATCTGTAATTCCAGTGCGTTGAGAGGCTGAGGTGGAAAGACTGCTTGAGGCCAGGAAGTAGAAGCTGCAGTGAGCCGAGATCATGCCACTGCTCTCCAGCCTAGGCGGCAGAGAGAGACCATGTCCCCCCCCAAAACAAAACAGAACAAAGCCAAAAAAAACACCAAAGACATATCTTGTAGTGACAGTCAGTCATTTCTTGCCCCATTTCTCCCCTCCTTTATGCTCTACTCCATCATTGGGAAGAAGAGAGTTACCACAAATAACTGGATCAAGTCACTGCCCTCTGGCTAAATAGGAATTCCAAATATCTTTTGATACAAATACATACAAAATGCACAAGGCTTATAGAAAAAACTTTGGTGATTTTCATCCTCATGAGTACAACTTAAACATATTTCAAATCAGAGTATAAAGCCACAAATCAATATATTACAACCACCATCCATATCCAATCAACTGTCACGCATCTGGATGGGGTCCTCTCCCGCTTTCTTCACGGCTATGTGTTTCCCTCTCTCATTCTGAGCGTCTTTTTTTTCTCCTTTTCTGTTTTGCACCCCTTTCTTTATTCCCTCTTTTATGTCTGTTCTGCCCAATGCTCTGCAACTTACTTCACCTCTCGTAGCTCTTTCTCCCCAATCTTTCCGATTGTCCCCAATCTCCACGTATTTCTGCCTCTTTTCCCCCATCTAAGCTCCCTCTCTGCTCTCCTTGTTAAATTCCCTCTTCCCTGTTACATCTCCTTTGTTCCCACTCTCTAGCACCCCCAATTTCCTAGGCTTACTCCCTGCTGTGGTTCTCCCTCTACTCTGCTTGTCACCCACTGCCCTCTCTCCCTCTCTTTCAGTCCCAGCACCACGTAGCTCTGTCAGCCGCGGCTCCAACTCTTTCACCTTCTCCCCACTGTCTGTCTGTCTGCAGTGCCTCCTCCTTTGCCGCCCCACTCTATTTTGCTGCCCTTCATCTCTCTGAAGGTCCCCTTTTTTTCTAAATTTCTCTGTGTGCTTTTCTCCCCCTGCTACTTTTTCCATCCGTTCTCTTTCACTCTTGCTCTCTTTGCAAGTCCCTAAAGTATCATCCATTTTGCCGTGTATTTATGGGTCTCCCTCATTCTTTTCTCCTCAGTTTTTCCTTTTGCTCCGTCGTTCCCCGTCTTTTCCTCTCCTGATCCCTCTCACCCACACATTCGGGAGGAAAGGGGAGGAATAGGATGCCCACCTCCCGGAAGAGCACATTTTCCAGTGGAGTAAAATTTGGGAAGGAAGAACACTGGGTGTCACAAGACAGACTCAGGTAACCTGTCCCAACGGGGAGTCAAGAAAAGCAGTGGCTGTG
The DNA here is from genome assembly GCF_000001405.40 of Homo sapiens. NCBI lineage: Eukaryota > Metazoa > Chordata > Mammalia > Primates > Hominidae > Homo > Homo sapiens. The sequence continues at coordinate 52,095,210 of NC_000019.10, forward strand.
AAGGGGAAGCCTGGGGAGCGGAAGGACCCGGCGTGAGGACGACACGAGGTGGCGCGGAGAACGATGTCTCACGACAGGGAGGGTCTGCAGAATCCCAGGACGTGGGAGGAGAAGCGGCTCCTTCAGGAGCCGGACAGTGGGCGCTCCCCTCCAGGGGCAGACGACGGAGGAGCTCGGGGATCGCGAAGGGCGCTAGTCCACATCCCGAATGAGGACTCGACTTGGCGCGGGGCCCAAGCAGAGGGTTTTAAGCGGGAACACTACCTGAATGGGGTTGTCTACATGGTCCTAAGGAAGAAAGGCAGAGAGCAAGGAACGGCCTCAGAGAGATTTTAAACCGAAAGGGAAGCAATTCTCCTACTTACTTGGGACGAAGGGGCTGTTGCGGGTATTTTAAGGTCCGTAGCGATCCCCAGGTCACGGGTATGGAGAACCGAGGACTGCGAAGTGCACGTTTAATCAAGGTAGACGAAGAGAAGCAAACGTTTAATCCAGGTAGACTGAAACACACTCATAGCGACGTGGCCTTTCCCCAGCGCGATCTGCTTCCGGGTGTGCAGGAAACTGGGCGCGGAAAGAAAAACTGGGCGGCCTGGGGGCGGGGCCTAGGCGGGGCGCGACTAGGAAAGGGCTGGGCGGAAAGACTGGCCTGACTTGGGAGTGGCCCGAAAGGGTGGTGGGAGGCCCAGGGCGGTAGGGGGCGTGACTAGGTGGGGCTTGGCTGGACCGAAAACTGGGATGAAGCGGGGCCTCCAGGGGTGGGCGGGGCCGAGGCGGGGCCTGTTCTCCACTCCGCCTCTCACCCAGCAGGATTTTGTTTTCCAGGTTTGGGAGTATTTGTGACTATTTCTTGTCCTGTGAAGCAGCGTTGCTCCTTGCCCATTTTAAATTAATGTTTCAGAATTTAAGGTTGAATCTTAAAGTTGTGGTCCACTTATACTGGAAACTAAGATGATTTATTCTTAACAAGTTGAACTGATTTAAGTCAAAACCGATTTTTCCGAGCCTGGTGGACTCCATCCAGTCTTACCAGAAAAGCTGAAGCTACTCAGTAGTCAGGGAACTGGGATCTCGGTGGGGATTGGATGTGGAGCAGTGACTGGATCCAGGAACCCAGAAGACATTATGCCAAGCGAAATGTGCTAGACACAGTGTAGAAAATGAAATAAGTAGAGGTTCCTCTTCAAAGGGACTTTCCTCCCAGTCTAATTGAGAATAGATAGTAACCTCTCTTAGAAGCAAAATTTACTCAAAGACCTGTGCTAATATTCTTAAATATCTGCTAGCCATAATAGATAAATCAATATACTCTGTGTTCTTAGCTCCCACATTTTAGCCTAGATATTTGCCCTGGCATGCCTGAATTGTTCCAAGCAAGCATTAGGTCACAGCCTATTCCTCTTCCTTATTTGGAAGTGTTTTTGCCTCTCTCAGCCTTCCACAAGTTACTTCCTCTCTTCCTTTGTTCTCCTCTGCCTTTGCCTCTTTTGGGAAGTTCTAAGGTGCTAGCCAATCAGGTCAAGCACAGAATTGGGTCCGATTCCAGCCAATGGAAACCAGACACAGCAGTAGGGTGGACGCGTCAGGTTATTATTATTATTATTTTTTTTGAGACGGAGTCTCGTTCTTTCGCCCAGGCCGGAGTGCAGTGGCGCTATCTCGGCTCACTGCAAGCTCTGCCTCCTGGGTTCACGCCATTCTCCTGCCTCAGCCTCCCGAGTAGCTGGGACTAGAGGCACCTGCCACTGCGCCCAGCTAATTTTTTGTATTTTTAGTAGAGACGGGGTTTCACTGCGTTAGCCAGGATGGTCTCGATCTCCTGACCTCGTGATCCGCCCACCTCGGCCTCCCAAAGTGCTGGGATTACAGGCATGAGCCACCGCGCCCGGCCAGATGCGTCAGGTTATAAATGACCCTTCTCTTTTGTTCATGTGTACTCTCGTGGCAAGACTGCTAGTGAGCAGCACCCTTTCTGCAGAAAGTAAACTAGCCTTGCTGAGAGATCCTTTGTCTCAGTGTTGATTTTTGCGACACTGAGCACCCGTTCCCAACACACACAAAGAAACATACTTCATGCACTTACTTACACGTGCTAAGTACAAACATCAAATTCAGAGTAACAAAGTAGAAGGGTGGTTTCCAGGGCTGAGGGTGTTTCCTATGCCTGTCCCACCATTGTATTTTGGAAGCAGATAACTTCTCTGGCTTCACAGATTCACAGCTGGGCAGAAACTTTGCCTCAGGATGAACCACACCTTGTGTCTCACCCATATGTGATTCAGATAATATTTAGGTGATATTTGGGCCTTAGAGTTGATACTGAAATGGATTAAGACTTTTCAGATGGGCCAGGCAAGGTAGCTTAGGCCTGTAACCCCAACAATTCAGGAGGCCGAGTCTGGCAGATTACTTGAGCTCAGGAGTTCAAGACCAGCCTGGGCACATAGCAAGAACCCCGTCTCTACAGAAGATATAAAAATTAGCCATGCTTAGTGGCACACTCCTGTAGTCCCAGCTACTTGGGCGGCTGAAGTGGCAGGATCACTTAAGGCCAAGGATTTGAGACCAGCCTGGGCAACATAGTCAGACCCCATCTCTACAAAAAATTAAATTAGCCAGGCATGGTGGCCTGCATGTGTGGTCCCAGCTATTGGGAGGCTGAGGCAGGAGGATCACTTGAGCCCAGGAGGTCGAGACTGTGACAAGTCATGATTACGCCACTGCACTCCAGCCTGGGTGACAGAGAGAGACCCCATCTCAAATAAATAAATAAAAGATTTTTGTTCTGATGGGAGTGAAGGGATCTTGCATGTAAGAAGGACATAAAGTTTAGGAGTCCAGAACACAGTGTGTTATGAGCAGAAAAATTTCCACACACAAAAAAAACCCTATCTTGAAGTCCTAATACCCAGTACCTCAGAATATAACTGTATTTGGATATATGGCATCTACAGGAGTGATCAAGTAAAAATAAGCTTGTTAAAGTGGGTTCTGATCCAATCTGGCTGATTTCTTTATAAGAAGAGGAGATTCAGCTGGGCAAACTGGCTTGCCCCTGTAATCTCCACATTTTAGGAGGCCGAGGTGGGCAGTTCCAGCCCAGCCTGGGCAACATGGTGAGACCCTGTTTCTACTAAAAATACAAAAATTACCTGGCAATGGTGACCCACACCTGTACTCCCAGCTACTGAGGAGGCTGAGGTGGGAGATTTGCTTGAGCCTGGGAGGCAGAGGTTGCAGTGAGCCAAGATCACACCACTGCACTCCAGCCTGGAAGTCAGAGTGAGACTCTTGTCTCAATAAATAAACAAATACATAAATGAAAGATAACGCCAAGGAAGCAGGGAGCTAACTTGCCTTCTTCTGTTAGGTGTTTGATGAAAAATTGAAGCAGAAAGTTTATGAGCTATGTATGTTATCTGCGCAGAAGGGCTATATGGCCTAAGCCAGAAAGAAAAACAGACCTACAGCTTATCTGCTTCCTGTATTTTGTTTATATGTCCTGGACCATGAAGAAAGGCAGTTTTTTAAAATTTTGTTTTGTTTTGTTTTTTTGAGGCAGAGTCTCCCTCTGTCACCCAGGCTGGAATGCAGTGGCATGATCTCAGCTCACTGCAACCTTCGCCTCCTGGGTTCAAGCAATTCTCGAGCCTCAGGCTCCAGAGTAGCAGGGACTACAAGCACCCACGACCACGCCCAACTAATTTTTTTCTTTTTTTTGTATTTTCGTAGAGACAGGGTTTCACCATGTTGCCCAGGGTGGTCTGGAGCTCCTGAGCTCAGGCAATTTGACCGCCTTGGCATCCCAGAGTGCTAGGATTACAGGCGTGAGCCACCGCACCTGGCCTAGAAAGGCAGATTTATAGCTTATTTGCTTTATCTCTTTGCTTTCCCCTGGTCCTGCCAGGCTGACTCCTTTTCTCTAATTAGGTCTCCACAGACTATACCATAAAAGTGCATTTTTCTCACCCTCCTATAAAATCCCTGGACTCCTAGTTTTACTACAAATAAACCAGGATTCTATTTCCCAGTATGAAAAGTTTGTCAGAAAAAAAGAGGTAGCACGGGACCTTCTTTCTTTTCTTCAAAACTAATTCACCTCCTCTTCTTCTCTTTCCTGTCTCTCTCTTCCTAGACTGGCCTGCGCAGTTCTAGATCCCCAGTGAATCCTTGGGTTGACATACAAGGGACGAAGAACCTATAGGAAAGGGAAATCTCTAGCTCTCAGAGGTGGCTTTTTGGATGTCTGGATGCATTCATAACCATCCTCGTGTTGCCAGAAAGGGGTCCTGATCCAGATCCTGAAACCGCCATTGCAAATTATAACTGAGAATTATTACAGTGAAAGGGATCCGACCTAACCAACTCCATCTTGCTTTTAACCTCCAAGCTGCCTTTGTCCACTCCTGGGTGTAGGCCAAACTAGCTTTGGGAGGAACTTAGTTTATCTTTTAAAATAAGGGCATTAATAGCCCTTTCCCAAAACAAATGCCCTTTCTGCTTGGGACTAGACTGCCTTTATAGGATTAACAAGTTAGTCACAAGATTAGAAACTATAGTTTAGGAGTCATGCAGCTAGAGGCTACAAGATTGTCACCTTTCCCAAATTGTTCCTGGGAATAACATCAGTATTTTAAAACCTAAGATCAGTGTTTGAGAAATTTTGCAGTCCCTGCACTTGATGGATCACCTGACACCCAGATCAATAAACTGACTCATCTGGTCTTGTGACACCACCCAGGAACTGACTCAGTGCAAAAGGACAGTGTCAACTCTCTGATTTCATCTCTGAACAACCAGTCATCACTCTGGACTCACTGGCCCCTACCCATCAAATTATCCTTAAAAACCCTGATCCCCAAGATTTCAGGGAGACTCATTTGAGTAATAATAAAACTTCAGTCTCCTGTACAGCCAGCTCCACATGAATTAAACTCTTTCTCTATTACAATTTCCCTGTCTTGAGGAATTGGCTCTGTCTAGGCAGCAGAAAAAGAGAACCTATTAGGCAGTTAAACCCAGAAGAAGGGGTTCTTGGATCTTGTGCAAGAAAGAATTAGGGGGGAGTCCAGAGAGTAAAGTGACAGCAAGTTTTTTAAGAAAGTAAAGGAATAAGGCAGGGTGCACTGGCTCACACCTGTAATCCCAGCACTTTGGGAGGCTGAGGTGTGAAAATTGCTTGAACCCAGGAGTTTGAGACAAGCCTGGGCAACATGGCAAAACCCCATCTCTACAAAAAAAAAAAAAAATTAGCCAAGGGTGGTGGCATGCACCTGTAGTCTCTGCTACTCGGGAGGCTGAGGTGGGAAGATTGCTCAAGCCTGGGAGGTGGAGGTTGCAGTGACCTGAGATCACACCACTGCACTATTGCTTGGGCAACACAACCACTCTCTCTCAAAAAAAAAAAAAAAAAAAAAACATATATATTAGATAGATAGATTCAGACAGTTTTTATTTCAACACTGAATGTTTACTTTTGAAACTCCTGACGTTTAAGTTGATAAAAACTCAATTTTCCCCATGCTAAAAACTTTATACATGTCCTTTCTTCATGCATACATAGAACCCTTCACACAATATAATTGTTGGAAGTGTTTCTGAAATACTGTTTAGACAAATTACCTATATTTTTACACCTGTACTATAAAATTAATATCTAACAGACAATAAATATTAAATTATTTAATAGAAGAATTATTTTTCAAAGGCTAATGATTTCACAGCTGTAGCAAAACTTTTTTCTTTTTTTTTTTGAGATGAGGTCTCACTCTGTTGCCCAGGCTGCAGTGCAGCGATGTAATCACACCCCACAGCAGCCTCCACCTCCCCAGGCTCAGGCAATACCCCAACCTCAGTTTTTGTATTTTTAGTAGAGATGGGGTTTCACCATGTTGCCCAAACTAGTCTAAAACTCCTAGGTTCAAGCGATCTCCCCACCCCCACATTCTAAAGTGCTGGCATTGCAGGCGTGAACCACTGTGCCTGGCCAAAATGTAATTTTAAAAATAATTTTTAAAATCATTATACAATTTCCTAGAAACGATTTAATCCAATTTAAAGATTTACATTTCTTTCCTTGTACTTCAGTGAAAAACTTATAGGATTAGTAAATCAAGGTGGTATTTTCAGATTTGTATGGCAAAAAAATATGCGGAGACCTGACAGATGTAAAGGATGTATTCTATCAATATATGGAGGGTCCCTTACATTTTAAGTTCAGTGAAAGAACTGGAATGATACAAGATAATGAACTAAAATTGTATAATGTAAAAGCAAGAGCTCTGTTGCTAATGTACAGCTGTATCAGTTGGATTTTTAAAAACCCAACATACTAATTTGGCAGGGTGCGGTGGCTCATACCTGTAATCCCAACACTTTGCGAGGCCAAGGTGGATGGATCACTTGAAGTCAGGATTTCGAGACCAGCCTGATCAACATGGTGAAACCCCATCTCTACAAAAAAATACAAAAATTAGCTGGATTTGGTGGCATGCACCTGTAGTCCCAGCTACTTGGGAAGCTGAGGTAGGAGAATTACCTGAGCCCAGGAGGTGGAGGTTGCAGTGTGCTGAGACTGTGCCACTGCACTCCAACCTGGGTGACAAAGCAAGATCCTGTCTCAAAATATTATAACATGTGACAGTGCAGCTTCCAGCAGAAATAATCTGTTCCTCTTTTGCTCACACCAAATATTCACCCCCACTTCTAAAAAATATAAAAGAATAAGCCAAAATGTAACTTCAAGTCACAAGCAAGGATCTCATGACAGTCTCATGAGACTTCTTTTCATTGAGAGCCCAGTAGAGTTCTCCTCACTCACAACACTTCATTGTGGAACAGAAAAATGAAACCTGAATAAACCCTCCCATCCAGAAAAGGAAAATAAAGAAGGTACCCCGTAGTTTCTGTTTCACAGCAAATGTGCAATGTTGCTGAGAAGATGAGTCAGGGACTGATTCCACAAGGTCAAGAATGAACAACAGTCCTTTTCATGGCTACAGTTCTCCTGAGAATGTTTCCAGTCCATTGTGATTTGTTGTTCTTGACTTCACCTGATGACATCCCTAATACAGTATCAGAAAGTATGCCTTCCTTGTGCAGTAAGCACCTTTCTCCAGCTACTTCTATTTATTTATTTATTTATTTATTTATTTATTTATTTATTTATTTATTTTTAAGACAGGCTCTGTTGCCCAGGCTGGAGTGCAGTGGCACTATCTCGGCTCACTGCAACCTTCACCTCCCAGATTCAAGTGATCCTCCTGCCTCAGCCTCCAGAGTACCCAGCTACTTCATTCCCACAAAAATTTACCATCCAAAGGATTATTATAAATCTATATTTAGTTTTGTTTTTAGAAAATACTATGGACTGGTAGAAGTCTCAAAATACAACACGACTAAAAATACAGAAATTAGCCAGGCATGACAGTGTGCATCTGTAATCCCAGCTACTCTGAAGGCTGAGGCAGGAGAATCACTTGAGCCCAGGAGATGGAGGTTGCAGTGAGCTAAGATTCAGCTATTGCACTCCAGCCTGAGCCACAGAGAGAGACTCTGTCTCAAAAATAAATAAATAAATATTTTTGGTAGGAAAGCTTAAAGAAAAATAATTCTATATGAGAAAGAATCTTGTATCAGAAATTTTGTCCTGGAATAAAATGACTGATTGTATAAGAAAGATGAATGTTCAGGAAAAACAAGAAATCCCACACATGTCATGAATGGTCTGTGTAAGTCATAATAAGATTGATGAAAAAAAGTTTTATGTGATCAAATTCACTATAATTAAAGGGAAATTATAATGGTCTTTCTAGAGATTGGGTTTTGATTTTAAAAAACACCACTTATACACTAAAGAATTGGTTCAAACTACAAAATTTTGTTAAGCGGTGCTTTAAATAAATTATGAAACATAATTTATTCAATGTAAAGTTCAAGTTTTATGGAATCTCACTGTTTTCAGCTTTCTCTCCCCTCTTAAAAGGCCTGAAATCATAACTTTTTCACCTAATTTTCAGCTCCTGTAGCCTTTTTTTCTTTGGGTTCTAACTGTTGTGGCCTGACACTATAAAATGTTTTATTTTTGAGGTCTAAAGGAAATGTTTCTTTCCAAACATAATATCTCCCATAGGGAACAGCAGTCACACTGTAGAAGGGCTTTTCTTTTGCCTTTGGAAAACTGGCCTACTAAACAGATCTCACACTTTATCAAAGTAATTCCTGTGTCAGTATTACTAAGTTTGGTTTGGTTACAAGGAAATTTAAATTAAATTTTTTTAAATTAAGTTTATTATGTCCATATAACTTTCCGTATATGCTTTTAGGTCCCTGTTCCATTCAGTTAAAGGGCTTTGACTCCTGGGTCTAAAAAGGACACCAAGTCTTGCTAAATCTTAAACACTGACAGCAGTTCAAGCCTCATCTTCAGACCCAGTAGAAGTTCCTAATCAAAATAAACTGTGTTTGTGAAACACAGGGCAAGAAATTAAAACTATTCAACTCCTCAAGTACCAGTGGTTATACTGAAAGAAGTGGACATGTGAGATTGTCAGGGTCAATTTTTAGAGCTGAAATAAGTTTGGTTTCTCTAGAAATTAACTATCAATTTCAAAGGCAAATTGTTGCAAGACCAGCATATGAGCCCCTGCGTCAGATTAACAAGGTTGTCTTGGAGCATTAGCCCACCTTTTTTTTATTCTGGAGATGGAGTCTCACTCTGTTGCCGAGGCTGGAGTGCAATAGTGCGATCTGGGCTCACTGCAACCTCCACCTCATGGGTTCAAGTGATTCTCCTGCCTCAGCCTCCCAAGTAGCTGGGGTAACAGACATGTGCCATGATGCCCAGCTAATTTTGTATTTTTAGCAGAGATGGGGATTTACCACGTTGGTTAGGCTGGTCTCAAACTCCTGACCTCAGGTGATTCACCCACCTCGGCATCCCAAAGTGCTGGGATTACAGGCATGAGCCACCGTGCCCAGCCTAGCCCACTATTTAATAAAGATTATATAGTGTATAAAAAGGCTCATGGAAATTATACTTACAGGCAAGATGATTAAAATTTTATAGTTTGTTTATAAAATATTGAAAAACCAATTTAATTGGCCTTGTGCCATTTTTACTAGGGAATATTGTTTGGGAAATTAAGTCTTTTCTCTCAAAAAATAAAGGTTGCCACCTTTTTTTGAAATCTTTGCGATACCACTTTGGTTAAATGAATCACTTATTTTATAATGGCCTGTGATCCTATTTTATGATATCAAGTGTTTTAAACTTTTTATATTTGACAAGCTTTCCAAAGTCACATTTTAACTTGCGTCGTCATTAAACTTTTGTTAATCCCCTGAAATCCAGAAGAGACATATTTGGCTTATTTGGTATAAAAATCATACAGGAAGCATTGTCAAATACAAAATGGTGTTTGGCTTTCTGTGGGCTGTACTTGTATAAATATGAAATTGGCATGTATTCCAAAATTATGGAAAACTCTTATAATTCTGATATGACTTACTATATGTTATTATTTTATTTTTTGAGATGGAATCTCACTCTGTCACCCAGGCTGGAGTGCAGTGGCACCATCTTGGCTCACTGCAACCTCTGCATCCTGGGTTCAAGCAATTCCCCTGCATTAGCCTCGCAAGTACCTGAGACTATAGGTGTGCACCATCACACCTGGTTAATGTTTGTATTTTTAGTAGAGATGCGGTTTCACCATGTTGGTCAGGCTGGTCTTGAACTCCTGACCTCAACCCACCTCAGCCTCACAAAGTGCTGCAATTACAGATGTGAGTGACTGTGCCCAGCCACATGTTATTAATAATTATAATTGTTGGCTGGGCATGGTGGCTCAAACCTATAATCCCAAAACTTTGGGAGGCCAAGGCAGGCGGATCACCTGAGGTCAGGAGTTCAAGACCAGCCTGACCAACATGGAGAAACCCCATCTCTACTAAAAATACAAAATTAGTCGGGTGTAGTGGCGCATGCCTGTAGTCCCAGCTACTCAGAAGGCTGAGGCAGGAGAATCGCTTGAACCCCAGAGGAGAGGTTGTGGTGAGCCCAGATTGTGCCACTGCACTCCAGCCTGGGCAACAAGAGCAAAACTCTGTCTCAAAAAATAATAATAATTATTATTATTATTGACTATTATGTAAAATGGTGGTATGTCACAGAAGTAACCAAAATTTCCATTATAGTCAATTGTGGTTTTAATAACAGCTGTCCTGAGACATTTTGTTGCCACAGGCAATTGTTGTCTTGTTTGGATCCTCTTCAAAAGTTGGTTTATAATCAGCTACAGGAATTTGATAGGTGCTCTGGAATGCAAGTTTCTGATAACTTTGGAAAATGTGACATTAGAATAGAGGAATAGAGGAAAGAACTTTCAAAACTTTCATGGATAACTAAAATGTTCATGAATATCAAACACAACACACATTAACTGCATGGACTGAACTAATAGGAGTCTAAAGTAATCTTTCTGATTTTTTCTTTTGATCCTTTGTTTTGTTTTGCAGAGTCAAGGAAACTTTTCTTTTGAGCTATTGACAGCAATTTTTTTTTTTTTTGAGACAGTTGCCCAGGCTGGAGTGCAATGGCATGATCTGGGTTCACTGCAGCCCCTGCCTCCCAGCCTCCCAGGTTCAAGCGATTCTCCTGCCTCAGCCTCCCAAGTAGCTGGGATTACAGGCACCCACCATCATGCCCAGGTAATTTTTGTAGAGACGGGGTTTCACCATGTTGGCCAGGCTGATCTCGAACTCCTGACCTAAGGTGATCCGCCCACCTTGCCTCCCAAAGTGCTGGGATTATAGGCATGAGCCACCGTGCCCAGCCGACAGCATTTAACAATTGAGGAAAGTATACTGCTGTGAAGAAAATTTGGAACATATTTGTTTCTCTCTACCTGCTTTCTCCAGAATTTGGAAACTATTTCTGAGTATTCTTTTTTTTTTTTTTTTTTTTTTTTGAGATGGAGTCTCACTCTGTTGCCAGGCTGGAATGCAGTGGCACGATCTTGGCTCACTGCAACCTCTGCCTCCCGAGGTCAAGCGATTCTCCTGCCTCAGCCTCCTGAGTAGCTGGGACTACAGGCATGTGCCAACACACCCAGCTAATTTTTGTATTTTTAGTAGAGACGGGGTTTCACCATGTTGGCCAGGATGGTCTTGATCTCTTGACCTCGTGATCTGCCTGCCTCAGCCTCCCAAAGTGCTGGGATTACAGGCGTGAGCCATGGCGCCCAGCTTACGTTTTTCAATTTTTATGATTTTCCACAGTTTGGACTGAATTCTAATTTTTTCCAGCTACATGTCTCTGAAATAATGTTTTCAATTTTTTCTTCTTTCTTTTCTTTTTTCCCCCATATTTTCTAATTTGAAATCACTGAAAACTAAACTGTATTTTCTTGAAGCCCTGATAACTGAAGCTAGACAACTTAAACTTCAGAAGAAAATAACAGCAACCTATTCACATACATAAGCCACTTTCATACCTATCTACTGATGTATGGACTTCAGAGTAATATGGCCTGTATCTATTTTCCAGGATTATTCTTTGTTTTTCTTCCTTCCTCCTGCTATTTTCTCTTCATAGGACACGACACTTTACAAACTGCTAAAAATGAGCTTTCCAAATAACATGGGACTTGCCCACCTGAAAATAAACTGTCCTAGCCATGAAGGATCAGATGAAACCTGATTTTTTTTTTTTTGAGACGGAGTCTCGTTCTGTCCCCAGGCTGGAGTGCAGTAACGTAATCTGGGCTCACTGCAACCTCTGCCTTGCAGGTTCAAGTGATTCTCCTGCCTCAGCCTCCTGAGTAGCTGGGACTACAGGCATGTGCCACTACGCCTGGCTAATTTTTGTATTTTTAGTAGAGATGGGGTTTCACCACGTTGGCCAGGATGGTCTCCATCTCTTGACCTCGTGATCCGCCCGCCTTGGCCTCCCAAAATGCTGAGATTACAGGCGTGAGCCACCGCACCCAGCCTCTCCCAAAGATTTTTAAAGGAGAAAAGGGGAAATGTGAAAGGAAAATAAATCTTGGCACCCAACACTCACTAAGCCAAAGGGAAAAGTCAAGCTGGGAACTGCTTAGGGCAAACATGCTTCCCATTCTATTCAAATCATCCCTCTGCTCACTGAGATAAATGTGTGTGATTGCTTCCTTTGAAAATGCTTACCAGAAACCCAAAAGAATGCAACCTTTGTCTTTTATCTACCCGATGACCTGGAAGCACCCTCCCTGCTTGGACTTACCCTGCCTTTCCAAACCAAACCAATGTGCATCTTACACATTAACTGATATCTCCTAAAAGTGTATAAAACCAAGCTGCGCCCCAACCACCTTGGGTATATGTGGCCAGGACCTCTTGAGGCTGTGTCACAGGCAAGCATCCTTAACTTTGGCAAATAAACTTGCAAAATTGACTGGAACAAAAGAAGTAATCTTCAGAGAAAATAAAAATAACAGGGAAAAACAGGGAGATTACATGATAAAAATGTCAACTTACAAAGATGATTTCAGAACCATCAGTGTGTATGCACTAAAAAACAGCTGCAAAACGTGAAGCAATAAGTGACAGAAGTGAAAGAAATACACAAATTTAGACTGAGCAAAGAGGATTATTAGGGTAGTCAAAGTACTCTGTATGTTACCATAATATGTGAATATGTGCCATTTTACAGTTGTCCAAACCCACACAATGTACAAGTGTGAGCCAACTATAAACTAGGGATGTTGGATGATAATCTACCACTTTGGTGGAGGATGTTGACAATGGGGAAGGCTATGCATATGTGGGGGAAGGAGCTATATGAGAAATCTCTGTACCTTCCACTGAATTTTGCTGGGAACCAAAAATTGCTCTACAAAGTAAAGTATATCATAGAAAAAAAATTGAATTAGAAAATAGGTTAAAAATATGAGAAATTTCACCGATGCAGATGCACAAATAGGCAAACGAAAAGATTTTCCATATTACTGTCCATCAAGTCTCAGAAATTAACAATGTTCTATTTCTTTATTGTAATTGAAAACTGAACAGCAAATGAATTTTTATGGTTTGTTTTCTCCAACAAACTTAATAATATTAAAATATGTGAGAAATAATATTTATTGCAACAGGTTATGAGGGTGGAAACAAACAGTCTCACAATTTGCTAGAAGCATAACAGAGCTTACTGACATTTTCAAGGAAAAACAACAAAGAAAGAAGTCATCAAACAAGATGGTATCTTGACAAAGGCACAGAGCTCCACAACTGCTTCATACTCTGCACACAATAAATCCTCTCAGAGAGATGAAAGGAGTGATGACAAATGGGCTTGCATTTGAGCTGTGGACACTATCACTGGTATTATTCATATAACCAGGGCTCTATATCACCCCTCTGGAGAAGAAAGTGCAACACAAAGTCTGTGTAACAAAGGAAAGCAAAAGTAGCAATAAAGGTCCAGAGAAATACACACATGCAAATACAGTACTGCAAACTCAGTAAAAGGAGTTTTTGACTGGAGTGTGAACTTTCAACTTGAAGATACATTTCGCAGGGACATTCACCCAAAGCTTGAGAGCTAGAGCAGAGAGACTTGCTTGCAGTCAGTAACTGAGTAGATGAAATGCGTAATTTTTCACTAGGTGATAATTCCCTTTGGGAAGAAGTGCCTTATCTTTAATTATTCCACTTTTTGTTATATGGTTCATGCTTTTGAACTGCAGTTGTCTGAAACTTGCTTGCTATTGAATTGTGTAACACCAGATAATAGCAGGTTGTCAAAAGATAACCCCAGTGGATAATTTAAGCTGCTTTTATGAGAAGCCTGGTGCTAAGCTGCCTTACACAGTCTTTTTACAGTAACCATAAAAAAAACTGAGTTTATTTGATCATGTATTATCCCTTTTCATATAAGGTCATATTAGAGGAATTCTTGGAAGAGGTTTTCAAACTAGTCCTTTGGGCATTTAAAAAATCATTATATAAACGTACACTTCTTCAATACATAAGAACAAACATTTTTCCTTTACAAAAAAACCTCATTTTTAGGCCAAAATAAATTACAACTTGCTGAAATACCTTTTATGGCTCAGTGCTCATTCCAGCTATATAAAATTATATTTTTTGCACATCTTCAGAAATTAGAGATACTGAGAGAGAGTGGTTACTTTTTTTAGGGGGGCGGTGATGGAATTTCACTCTGTCTCCCAGGTTAGAGTGCAGTGGCGCAATATCGGCTCACTACAACCTCCACCCACAGCGTTCAAATGATTCTCCTGCCTCAGCCTCCCAAGTAGCTGGGATTACAGGCACCTGACACCATGCCCGGCTAATTTTTGTATTTTTAGTAAAGATGTGGTCTCACCATATTGGTCAGGCTGGTCTCAAACTTGACCTCAGGTGATCCACCTACCTCGGCCTCCCAAAGTGCTGGGATTACAGGCGTGAGCCACTGCACCCGGCCAGAGAGAGAGTGGTTACTTCTAAAATGACATGATGATATAACCCTGGCTTAGGGAACAGATCAAGTTCTAAATCTCAGGAATAAAAGATACTCATTATCCAAGCCATATAGTCTTGTACTATATACATATTAACAGTCTATGCAATGAAAAATGAAGAACAGAAATTTCATAAAACTTTAAAAACACACAACATAGGCAGGGTGTGGTAGCTCATGCCTGTAATCCCAGCACTTTGGGAGGTCGAGGCGAGCAGATCATCTGAGGTTGGGAGTTTGAGACCAGCCTGACCAACAGGGAGAAACCCCATCTCTACTAAAAATACAAAATTAGCTGGGTGTGGTGGTGCATGCCTGTAATCCCAGCCACTTGGGAGGCTGAGGCAGAAGAATCGCTTGAACCCAGGAGGCAGAGGTTGTGGTGAGCCGAGATCGCGCCATTGCACTCCAGTCTGGGCAACAAGAACAAAACTCTGTCTCAAAAACAACAGCAACAACAACAACAAAAAAGACAAAATAACACAACATAAAAATGTAAAGAAAACATTTCATGTACAAGCTACTCCATTTGGCAACGTGTACTAAGATAAAAACTTATCTACAAACAGAATATAACACAAAGAAAATGTGATTTAAGGAGTGATCTCAGGTCCACAGCTCTTCAGTTCTTCCAAATTTGTAGATCAGAGTGGTTGGGTAACATATGCACCAAAAAGAATCCACATGGAAGCAATAAGTACCCCAAACATCAACATGAAACCAACGAAAAGCCAAACTCAAGGACCTGTTCTTCCTAAACAGCCACTTTCATAGCTATCACCTCTCACCTGAGCATTGGATACAGCATTTATCATGAAGAAAGCCAATGTGGGAAATACACCACATGTGTGAAAGGCATGGTTCAACTGTTCTGGCCTACAATACACCACTGCTGCGTCATTATCCACCAGCCTGTAAAAAACAATATACCTGTCACAACAGACGCCACAACATTTCTTCTCTCACTCGTCAATACATTCACATTCTGGCCATTGAAAATTATCTAGGAAGACTGCCATTTTCTACTTCTTAAGCATAAATTTTTCATTAAATGCTGTATCCCCACTTCCTCAAACACCCACGCGGACTTCAGGCATGTGCACAAGGAAGACTGCTGCTCCGCAGTCTGGCCGGCATCCTCCAGCTCCACCTCAGCCTTGGGAGCCCACAATGTTCTATTTTTATTTGATCCCATCTGCTTCCAGCAATCACTGAAAAGAAACAGCCTTTACCAAACACTCCAAAATGTCTTTGTGGTGACGTCATTAGGAACTCATAACTGTCCCCAGGAATTCGCAGTGGGAACAAAGGTTTTCAGGAATATTCTCAGCTCACCAAGCTTGCACATTATCAATATTGGTGAATTGACAAATTGCAGTTTTTTGCAAAGCTGCTATCTCAGAATCACAAACTTACATCTCACAATCAGCTGGCTCCCTCCCCCCAAGACATTGGTACAGTCATCCCACATTAGCTGCTGTTTTGCTTTCCATGATTTCAATTACCAGTGGCAACTGTGGCCCAAAAACATTAAATGGAATATTCCCAAAATAAATAACTCGGAAATTTTAAACTGTACACTGTTCTCACTAATGTGATGAAATTTCACATTGTTCCACCCAGGACATAAATCATCCCTTTATACGGTGTAGCCACACAGAATAACCTACCCCTCTCTCAGTCACTTAGTAGTCATCTCAGTTAGCGTTGTTAGAGTATCATCGTGTTTGTGTTCAAGTATCTCCTATTTTACTTAATTATGGCCCCAAAGCACAAAAGTAGTGAGGCTTGCAACTTGGATATCTCAGAGAAGCTGTAAGCTAGACACAATAGCATGTACCTGTAGTCTCAGGTAGTCTGGAGGCTGAGGTGGGAGGACCACTTTTTGACGCTGCAGTGTGCTAAGATCTTACCTGTGAATAACCACTGCACTCAGCCTGGGTGACATAGCAAAACCCCCTAACAAAAAAAAAAAAAAAAAAAAAAAAAAAAGAGAAAGCAAGAAAGCTGTAAAGCGCCTCCTTTAAGTTAAAAAGTGAAAGGTTATTGATTTAATAAGAAAAAAATACAGATGAAGATGCTAAGATTTATCATAAATCTTCTGTACAAGTGTGAATAAAAATAATCAGTACTAGCTTTGCTGTCACACCTCAAAACTTGACTGAAACTATATATTTATGGTTGGGTACTATCCACTTTCAGGTATCCACTAGAGGACACTTGGAAGGCATCTTGTGGGTTAAAGGGGGACTATGGTATGGGCAAAAATCTATGTTGTTTGATTTCGCCATAGAAAACAATTGTCGCACATTATTTTAACCAGCAGAGTGTAATGCAGTGTCTGTTAGAAGTTCTTTACTAAGGTGGGATAAATCTGTGTTGGTGAAAGGAACGTCACTGAGTTACGAAAACGAATAACATTTTATTAATTGAACCATGAGACTTCTGATACATTTTGAATGTAACAGCAGTAAAATATAGAGTAAATACTTCAATGTGAATCTGGCCTGTGACCATGCTATTCTGATTCTTTTGATTAAATTCTCCTCTCTGATAACTGCTGTCTTCCACTTCCAAGAATAAGACTAATTTTACATTTATCTTTGCTATATAACAGCTGTCATTCAATGGAGATGATCATCATTTCCTCTGCATTATTTCTCCCACACAATCCATCCCTAGTAACCTATCACTTGCCTCTCATGAATACCCTTAATATTCCATCAATGTCCTCACTGGTATTTCAGTCAGTTGGTTGTGCAATTATTTTCTACAACCCAAAGTGGCACTCTACGTGTTCATGGACACCTGGAACACAAGCACAACTTACATCATAAACTTACATTATTCTCCCAGTTACTCCATGGTGTGTAACTCACAGAATATTGAATTTTAAAATTCAGTGACCTTAATCTTCAGGAAGCATGGAAATGAAGGAGCCACACTGAATGAAGGAGGCTCTCTCATCTTGTTGATTCATTCCCAGATACCACAATGAAGGATATGTAAGGAAGATGATAGACTTCAAACCTTAGGATAAACGTCATAGTCTAGTAGCTATTTTAAGAAACGCCCCATTGGCCAGGTGTGGTGGCTCATGCCTGTAATCTCAGCAACGTGTGAGGCCAAGGTGGCAAATCACTTGAGGCCAGGAGCTTGAGATCAGCCTGGCAAACATGGTAAAACACCATCTCTACAAAAAAATATAAAAATTATCTGGACATGGTGGCATGACTGTAATCCCAGCTACTTGGGAGGCTGAGGCACAAATTGCTTGAAACCAGGATGTGGAAGTTACAGTGAGGTGAACTGGTGCCACTGCACTACAGCATGGGGAACAGAGCAAGACTGTCACAAAAGAAAAAAAACAGAAACCTCAAATTTAATGTAATATTTTATAAACTGAATGAGCCATTTTCACACATGCACTTGCTCCTTTAAAATACATACTGTCCTGAGTTTTAACAAATGTTGTCTGGTAGTTATTCTGTAATAATATTCCAGGCCAATCTTGGAGAAGCAGATTTGGTTATCCCTAGTATGATTTCAAAGATGTGTAGTCTGTTTAAAAAACTGGTTGAAATTTGTGCCACATTGATTACATTTCCAAGTTTTCTCTCAAGTAGGGATAATTTGGTAAAGGCTGAAGACACACTACTGCTTCCAGGTCCTTTCATGTTCAGCATACTTACAGGATTTTTCTCCTTTATACGTTCAATCAAACTGCAAAGGCGTGGACATTGGTTTTGTCTCACTTTAAGTTCTGGGTACATGTGCACAATTTGCAAATTTGTTACATAGGAAAATGTGTGCCATGGTGGTTTGCTGCATCTACCAACCCATCACCTGGTATTAAGGCAAAAATGCATTAGCTATTTGTCCTGATGCTCCACTTCCCTGCCCTTCCCACCCCCATCAGCAGGCCCCAGTGTGTGTTGCTCCCCTCCCTGGGTATATGTGTTCTCATTGTTCAGCTTCCACTTTTAAGTGAGAACATGTGCTGTTTGATTTTCTGTTCCTGTGTTAGTTTCCTGAGGATAATGGCTTCCAGCTCCATCCACATCGCTGCAATGGACATGATCTCATTCCTTTCTATGGCTGCATAGTATCCCATGGTGTATATGTACCACATTTTCTTTATTCAGTCTATCACTGATAAGCATTTGGGTTGATTCCAGGTCTTTGAACATTTCATTTTTTAAAACCATTTATTTGGAAGGTTGTCTCTAGTATGAATACTCTTTCCATTTTGATGTTCGGGTAAAAACCTTAGCATGCACATTACATTTCTGTGGTTCCTCTCAAAGATGTATATTCTGATGCCTAGTGAGTTCCAATGCCTGGGGAAAGCCTCTGACACATACATTTATATGATTTCCTTTCAGTATAAACTCTCTTATGACAAGTAGTGATTGAACTCTAGTAAAGGTTTTGCCACCCTCATTTCATTTCATACATCTATGCCCTTTTAATTACCTAGATTTACAAGTTCTGGCTTTTGAGTAGAATTCTTGCCACACGTATTACACTTCTGTGATTTTTCTCCAGGATGTATACATCCTGGAATATATATACAAATTCTTACACCTAGTGAGTAGTGAATACTAGCTTAAAACTTAGGTATATTTACTGCATGTGTAAATGTATTAGGTCATAACTGCATTGCTACAAAAAAAAACCTGAGGCTGGCTAATGTATAAAGAAAAGAGTTTAATTGGCTCATATTTCTGAAGGCTTAAATGAAAACATGGTGCTGGCATCTGATCACCCTCTAGGGAAGCCTCAGGAAGGTTAAAATCATGGTGGAAGGCAAAGCGGGTGTCGGTATTTCACATGGTGAGAATGAGGGCAAGCGACAGGGAAGTGCTATGCACTTCTAAACAGCCAGACCTCAAGAGAAGTCACTATTGCCAGGACAGCACCAAGGGGATGACGCTACATCTTTCTCAGTTTGAGAAATCCACTTCCATGATTCAATCACCTCCCAATGGGCCCCACCTCCAATACTGGAGATTACAATTCCACAGGGATTTCAAGAGAAGGGGTAAATATACAAGGTATATCAGTAAGTAGGAATTATTCGGTGATTCCAGAAACTAGGACAACGTCTAAGGCCTTGTCACATTGAGTTTAGTTGTAAGGCTCTCTCCAGTATGTCTTATTCGATGTTTAGTGAGGCCTGAGCGACAAATAAAAGATTTCCCACACTCATTACATTTATAAGGTTTTTTGCCAGAATGAATTCTTTGGTGTTTGCTGAGGGAAAACAACCGCCCAAAGGCTTTGCCACATTCAATACATTTGTATCTTTTCTCTCCAGTGTGGATTCTCTGGTGACTTACAAGATGTGAACTATGCCTGAATACCTTGCCACATTCATCACATTTATATGGTTTCTTTCCTGCATGAATTATCTGATGTGCAGTGAGGTTTGAGCTCCGTTTAAAGGTTTTGCCACACTCATTACATTTGTAAGGTCTGTCTCCAGTATGAACAGTCTGATGAAGTCTAAGATGGACACGCTGACTAAAGGAATTCCCACACTGATTGCATTTGTAAGGTTTCTCTCCGGTATGAATTCTCTGATGTCTATTGAGTGTGGAGCCCTGATTAAAGGCTTTGCCACATTCATGACATTTGTATGGTTTCTCTCCAGTATGAACTCTTCGATGCCCTACAAGATGTGAATACTGACTGTAGACCTTGCCGCATTCATTGCATTTGTAAGGTTTCTCTCCACTATGAATTCTCCGATGCACTGTAAGACGTGAACATTGACTGAAGACCTTGCCACATTCTTTGCATTTGTAAGGCTTCTCTCCAGTATGAATTCTCCGATGCCTTGCAAAAGCTGAACGGTCACTGAAGACCTTGCCACATTCTTTGCATTTGTAAGGTTTCTCTCCAGTATGAATTCTCCGATGCACTGCAAGACGTGAATGTTGACTGAAGACCTTGCCACATTCATTGCATTTGTAAGGTTTCTCTCCAGTATGAATTCTCTGATGAGCTGCAAGTCGTGAATGTATGCTGAAAACTTTGCCACATTCATTGCATTTATAAGCTTTCTCGCCGGTATGAATTCTCCAATGCACTGCAAGATGTGAATGCTTACTGTACACCTTGCCACATTTATTGCATTTGTAAGTTTTCTGTCCAGTATGAATTCTCTGATGCACTGCAAGACTTGAACGTTTACTGAAGACCTTGCCACATTCATTGCATTTGCAAGGTTTCTCTACAGTGTGAATTCGTCGATGCACTGCAAGACTTGAACGTTTACTGAAGACCTTGCCACATTCATTGCATTTGTATTGTTTCTCTCCACTGTGGATTCTCCGGTGACATACAAGATTTGATCTATGTCTGAATGCCTTGCCACATACATCACATTTATATGGTTTCTTTCCTGCATGGATTACCTGATGTACAGTGAGGTTTGAGCTCCGTTTAAAGGTTTTGCCACACTCATTACATTTGAAGGGTCTCTCTCCAGTATGAACTGTCTGATGAAGTCTAAGATGGACACGCTGACTAAAGGATTTCCCACACAGATTACATTTGTAAGGTTTTTCACCGGTATGAATTCTCTGATGAACTGCAAGGTGGGAACTTTTACTAAAGGACTTGCCACATTCATTACATATGTAGGGTTTCTGTCCAGTGTGACTCCTTTGGTGTCTTACAAAATATGAATTTTTTCTGAAGATCTTGCCACATACATCACATTGATATGATTTCCCTCTTGTATGGACTACCTTGTGTACAGTTAGTAGTGAGGCCCGATGAAAGGCTTTGCCACACTCATTGCATTTGTAAGGTTTCTCTGTAGTATGTATCCTCTGATGATTAATAAGGCTGGAAGACGCTTTAAAGGCTTTGCCACATTCATTACATACATACGTTTTTTCCCTAATGTGTGGAGAAACTAAACAACCATTATTACCTGTCTTCTCCGTTTCATTACATTCATAAAGTCTCCCTTCAGTTTGAACTTTCTGCAGTTCAGCCAGACGTGACTCAAAGTTTGATGTAAGCTGGTTTTCAATATGATTGTTTTCTACATCCCCTTGACTATGTTGATCTCTTTTACCAGTAAGATTGTTTTCATGGGGCACTGGCACTTCTTTATCATTTGTTTCACCATCTTTCCATTGAAATTCAAGGTCATGTAGATGTTTCTGTATTTCCCTGAAGTATAAATTTTCAATATCATAGCTTTGATGTCTTTCCAGTGCCACTGTTTGGAACCTTTCTCCTGTATTACTGTTCTCTGTTGGTGGTAATTCCTTGATCACACATTTAGGAGAGATACCTGCAAAATATAATGAACATGAGTTTTTTTTTAAACTACTACTATTGATAAACAAACATTTTATATTGGAAACATACCTACACTAAACATAATCTTTATACTAGACAGGTGTGAGAGTTCTCCACCATGATCTTTTATTTTTAGAAATACAAAATGAATAGAAGTCTATAGTAAAGAAAGGGTGACTACATGTAATTCAAATTAAGTTTAGGAAAGCCTAGTTTCAAACATCCTATGACCAAAAGACTTATGTTGTGCAAACATATATTGGCACTAAAACAAGTATTTTGCAACCAATGACACCAAATTACGAACCGATTGGCAGAAAATGTGGCTCTCTCATAAGAGAATAAAAGTTATATATATTTACTTCATATTTACTGTGTACAAACAAATGCCAAACCACAGCAAGATATAGTGTAATGGTAAATATTCACAAGATAAACTAATTAATAATCATCATATAAATTAATAAATAAAACACTCTATTAACCCATGATAAAACCAGCAGGTAAGTAAAATACAATATACAATATACTTAGAATTCCATACTATAAATTTGTATATTGCATATACAAGTTTGCATCATATGCAAATACACAAATTTATAGTATGGAATTCTAAACAAATCTCCCTTTATAATAAGCAAGAACATATATTCTAGAGACAGCATATGATAACTAGAAAATATGTTGAGATCACTGACTTTTAAAGATAAAAGAAAGATAAATATGTCTATGGCCATACCACCTGGAACACAGCTGATCTCAGAAGCTAAACAGTGTCAGATCTGGTTACTACTTGGATGGGAGAAAGGTAAATACACAACATAATACAGAATAAAAAGTGGGGAAGGAAAAATACTGACTATGATTTCATGCCTACACCTATGTAACAATCAATAGAGCAACTCCCTATCTATTGTCATTTTTTCTTGAGACAGAGTCTCACTCTGTCACCTAGGCTGGAGTAAAGTGGCATAATCTTGCCTCACTGCAACCTCCACTCCTAAGACTCAAGCGATCCTCCCACCTCAGCCTCTCAAATGGCTGAGACCAAAGATGTTCACCACCACGCCCACCTAATTTTTTTGTAGTTTTGGTAGAGACAGAGTTTTCCTATGTTGCTCAGGCTGATCTCGAACTCCTGAGGTCAAGCAACCTGCCTGCTGCAGCCTCCCAAAGTGCCGGGATTATATACAGGCATGAGTCACCACACCTGGTCCTATTCATTGCCTCTAATTACCTAGTTAACTGGCCACAAAATATATATCATCAAGAGATTTCTACTTGAAAAGCATATGAACTAAGATAAAAGACAACAAACACTGTTTGGAAGAAACTACAAAATGAAAACTTACAGATACAATGAAGGCTGCTTTGATATAAAGACTTAATGTCTGCCAAAATTCCTATGTTGAGGACCCAATCCTCAATGTGATAGTATTTGGAGGTGTGGTCTTTGGGAGGCAATTCGGTCCTCTGCCATGTCAGGACACAGAAAGAGAAAGCCATGGTAAACCGGAAAAAGGGCCCATGCCATGCCAAGAACCAAAATGGCTGGTTCTGACATGTTAGACTTCTCACCACCCAGATCTGTGAAAAGGGAATTTCTGTTGTTTCAACCACCCAATCTACAATATCTACTATAGGTAGCCATGCTGACTAGGGTAAAGCCAATATGCTATCTCATTATAAACATAAAACAATGTTGATATGCTTTATTTAACAAAGAAATCTGTGAGTCTTTACTAAAAAACAATATTCTAGACTAGCTAACAGCACTAACTTGTTTAAAAAGTCTTGAGGTAAATTACCACTATTTAACACACAAGCAGTTAGTATGCCCACGGGATTCATGTATCTACATCCAATTTACAAAGAAAGTAAGATATGCACCTACGTTTGCAGGATCAAACATTATGTTTTTTTCAAAAACTGCCCAAGCAGGTACTGCAGGTAACAGGTCACCCCAAATACTAAGAGTGTATAAAGAAATACTTCAAGAGCCATGCTGTGTTGCCAAAAGCATTATTCAGCCATCCCCATGAATAACAGTATCTGAGTCATCATTCCCTGCACATAATGATTTAGACAGTGTTCTCAGAAAGTGATCAGGCCAAGGCAGGTGGATCACAAGGTCAGGAGTTCAAGACCAGCCCGGCCAAGATGATGAAACCCCACCTCTACTAAAAATACAAAAATTAGCTGGGTGTGGGGGCAGGTGTCTGTAATCCCAGCTACGTGGGAGGCTGAGGCAGGGAATTGCTTGAACCCGGGAGGTGGAGGTTACAGTGAGCCGAGATCACACCACTGCACTCCAGCCTGAGCGACAAAGCAAGACTCCATATGAAAAAAAAAAAGAAAAAAGAAAAAAAGGAAGTGATCAAGTGAATGAGTACGGTCATCCCTTACAGAGTGAGAGTAGTGTGGGAGATGAAGGAGTTATGCAATAATGGGAGTGTAAAACTTATATGCTAGTAAGTAGCCAGGTATTCCGTCTGGAACAAAGTACTATTTTAGGAAAGGCCAGGGAAGAGAAAAGGCAAGAGGAAAGGGCAAGGAGTAATGTGCATGGGGCAGCAGGGTTTGTGCTTGCAGAGCTGTAGGTATATAATTTCACCAGGAACAGTTAAAATCCTGACTTTGGACAAAAAAAGAAACTAATTTAGAAGTAGCATTATACTGGCCAATATTTAAATACGTGAATTATACTATGGGCACAGGACAAGGGAAAACAGTTAAAAAGGAGGCAGTGTGAGGATATGGGAAGAAAGCAGACTTATGTCTTTATAATATATGCTATGAATTTTATCAAATTGAATGTCCCATGAGTTATATTTCCAGGCATATGCTCAACAACCCTACATATCAAGAGATATGCGAAAAAATGTTCCTACAATATAATCCTGAAGAAAAAATTTGATAACAGCCATGAAGAGGAGATGGATGAATTTATTTTGTACACACACAAAAAGACAACATAAAACCTTATTGATAGTACAACAATGTTAAGGAGACTTGGGATGCAGAAGAAGACACGCTGGCAAAATGGGCAAATATTAATCTGAAAAAACTAAGAAAGCAGGAAATTGTTGTCAAGGTTTAAATACACGTTCATGGAGACACAGTATATATGGAAGTAATCTGGGATATCAAAAACATAACATGGGAGCAGACCTGTAAAGGAGTCATTTTTCTATGTGACTGAAGTCAAACTGTTACCAGTTTAAAACAGGATGTTATAAATCTAAAGTGTTTTCTGTAATTGCAATGGTAACCACAAAGAATGTATAGAAGACACACACAATGGAAATAAAAGTATGTCAAGACAAAAGAATCAACTAAATAAACACAAAGGCAGTAACGGATATGAAGAACAAAAAAATCTAAGAGATATAGGAAACATTCAGCAAAACAGCAAGAGTGAGTCCTTCTCTATCAGTAATTACATTAAGTGTAAGTGGCTTAAACTCCACAATCAGAAGATAGAGACTGGCTGAATGAATTTTAAAAACAGGCTCCAACTACATACTATCCACAAAAGATTCATTTTTATTTGAAGGACACACGCAGGCTGAATTGAAAGGGTGAAAAAAGATATCCCTTATAAATGGTAATAGAAAGACATCGGAGGTGGCTAAACTGGTATCAGTCAAAACAGACTTTATGTCAAAACTGGTACAAGAGACAAAGAAGAGCATTATCTAATAATTAAAGGGTTAATTCACTAGAAGATATACCAATTATAGTTATATATGCACCTAATATTAGAGATCCTTAATATATGAAGCAAGAGAAACATAACTAAAGGGAGAAAAGTTCCACAGTAATAATAAAAGACTTCAACGGACCACTTTTATAAATAGGACAGACAGAAAAAAAGTAAGTAAATAGGCAACCTAAACTATACGTTAAATTGGACCTAACCTACATATGCACAACGCATCTCCCAAAAACAGCACGAAAGAATTTTTTCAGAACTTCACACAGAACATTCTTCAAAAGAAATATTTAAAAGTAAAACTTTTTAACACTTCTTTTTTGTTGAGGCTGAGTCTCGCTCTGTTACCCAAGCTGGAAGGCAGTGGCGTGATCTTGGTTCACTGCAACCTCCGCCTCCCAGGTTCAAGCGATTCTCCTGACTCAGCCTCCCGAGTAGCTGGGACTACAGGCGCACGCCACCACGCCCAGCTAATTTTTGTATTTTTAGTAGCGACGCGGTTTCGCCATGTTGGCCAGGCTGGTCTCAAACTCCTGACCTCGTTTAACACATTTTAAAGACTGAAATCATAAAGTGTAACTTATCCCTTCATAATAAAATAAAACTAGAGATCAACAGCAGAAAAAAAATTAGAATATCAAAAAATATGTGGAAACAACATATTCCTAAACAGCCAATATGTCAAATTGGAAATCTCAAGGGAAATGATAAAATATCTCAAAACAAAGGAAAATGAA
This sequence comes from Homo sapiens, assembly GCF_000001405.40. Classification (NCBI taxonomy): domain Eukaryota; kingdom Metazoa; phylum Chordata; class Mammalia; order Primates; family Hominidae; genus Homo; species Homo sapiens. Next base: position 52,121,485 of record NC_000019.10, read on the forward strand.
AATAGAACATGCCAAAACTTATGTATGCACAGAAAACAGTGCTAAGATAGAAAACTGTTAGATATAAATGCTTCTGTTAAAATAGAAGATCTCCAATAGAACAGAATAGGGAACCCAGAAATACAGCCACAGATCTCCAATGGAATGGAATAGGAAACCCAGAAACACAGCCACATACCTACAACCAACTGATCTTTGACAAAGTCAACAAAAACAATTGAGATAAGACATTCTATTCAATAAAGGGTGCTGGAAAAACTGGCTAGCCATATATAGAAGAATGAAACTGGACCCCTATCTCTCATCATATACAAAAATTAATTCAAGATGGATATAGACTTAAATGTAAGACCTCAGGCTACAAAAATCCTAGAAGAAAACTTAGGAAAAACACTTCTGGATAAAATATAATTTTTTAAAAAAAATTTATTCCTCATTCCCTAAGCATGACGGGAAAAAATATATAGGTTTTATAAACATCAGTTGAGAAGTCCTTGAAGTGCAAGAAATGGGCTACATGTATAATAAAGTAAGATTTGAAAATAATAATTCAGTATAACATGATGGACTTGAAAGCAGACAGGAGAATAATTATTATAATATAGCACTTGTTCCAAAAAAAAAAAAAAGTGTGATTTAAAGAAAATCCAGCAAGTTATATTTAGGAAACTGAAACTTACTACAGAAAAGCAATGTGTCTGATATAACAAGTATGACCAGGCCGGGCGCAGTGGCTCACGTCTGTAATCCCAGCACTTTGGGAGGCCGAGACTGGCAGATCACCTGAGGTCGGGAGTTCAAGATCAGCCTGACCAATATGGAGAAACCCCATCTCTACTAAAAATACAAAATTAGCCAGGTGTGGTGGCACATGCCTGTAATCCCAGCTACTCAGGAGGCTGAGGCAGGAGAATCGCTTGAACCTGGGAGACGGAGGTTGCAGTGAGGTGAGATCGCGCCATTATTCTCCAGCCTGGGCAACAAGAATGAAAATCCGTCTCAAAAAACAGAACAAAACAAACAAACAAAAACAAAGTATGACCAATCTCTTTCATGGTATTTCTACAATGAAGATAGTAACTATATTAAAAAAATATATTCAAGGTATTAAAAAATTTCCAATGAGAAGAACTGTAATCAATTCCATTAACAATTTTTTTTTTTTTTTTGAGATGGAGTCTCGCTCTGTCACCAGGCTGGAGTGCAGTGGCGCAATCTCTGCTCACTGCAAGCTCCGCCTCCCGGGTTCATGCCATTCTCCTGCCTCTGCCTCCTGAGTAGCTGGGACTACAGGCGCCCACCGCCACACCCTGCTAATTTTTTGTATTTTTAGTAGAGACGGGTTTTCACCGTGTTAGCCAGGATGGTCTCGATCTCCTGACCTCGTGATCCACCCGCCTCGGCCTCCCAAAGTGCTGGGATTATAGGCGTGAGCCACCGTGCCCGGTCTCATTAACAAATTTAATAGTAGGAATTAAGTCAGGAGAAATGGGAGTAAAAGAAATAACTGAAACTGTCTTATTACAACACTATTGAGTTTGTGTAAGTTTTAGAGAAACTGCTCCTGAGCTATACCATCTGTACTAAAGAAAGAAATCTTGTAAAATATATAAAATGATATACATTCCCCAATACAACACTACCTCAAAAAGAAACATAAAACAAAGAAAACTGAGTATCCTCAAAAATATGGAACTGATTATTAAATAAATAAAAACAAAGTTCATTTACAATACATGAAAATGCACCAGATTAAAGTAGCGGTCACTTAAAACAAATTATGTGGACTTAAAAAATATAAGCTTTGGCCGGGCGTGGTGGCTCACACCTGTAATCCCAGCACTTTGGGAGGCTGAGGCGGGTGGATCACAGGGTCAGGGATAGGCCAAGCGTACTGGCTCAAGCCTATAATATCAGCACTCTGGGGTGCCAAGACCAGAGAATTCCTTGAGCCCATGAGTTCAAGAGCAGCCTGAGTGACATAGTAAAACCCTGTCTCTACACGGGCATGGTGGCACGCACGCATAATTCCAGCTACTTGGGAGGCTGAGGGTGGAGGATTGCTTGAGCCCAGGAGACAGAGATTGCAGTGAGCTGTGATCACACCACTGCACTCCAGCCTGGGCAACAGAGCAAGAACCTGTTTTAAACAAACAAAAAAGCACATGGACAGAAAACAGGGAATTGGATATTTTAACTCTGCCATAAAGTTCTCTGCGAACTTCAGCTCTGGAACCACCACTGATGTACAAAGAAGGCAGCAGAATATATATACAAAGGTGACAGTGAAAGGCCAGATGCAGCATTGTGAAGCTTTTTATTTTTGAACCAATAAGGCTTCAGTCTCAAATAACGGAGGGGTTCCCAAGAAAGACAACAGAGGAAATACAAAAATGCACAAGGGCGAATCTGAACTTCTAGAAGGAAATTATACTCACCTAGGAAGACCAGGTTCCTATAGTTCTCCAACATCACATCCTTGTACAAAGCTTTCTGCACAGGCTCCAGGCATTTCCACTCCTCCTGAGAGAATTCTATGGCTACATCCTTGAATGTCAAATGCCCCTGAAATGAAAAACACATTTCAAAAAGAAGCAATATGAGAGCTCTTCTGTTTACACAAAATGAGGAGAGAACTATCACATCACTTTGAAGTGTGTGTTTTGACATATCTATATGGCATCTGTGAGAAAGTTATTGGTCCCTAATTTTAGTTTGTTATAAAATACAATAGGAGACTATTATATTCTCTACATCAGTGTATAGTTCTATTTTTGTGGACAATACAAGAAATACACAAATAAGAAAAACACATGGTTATCCCTTAAAAAGTGTTAGATATTATGCTCCATACATCAACTGTGTCTAGGTGAGCTAGTATATGAGTGGTGTTTTCAGAGATGACAATGTCTACAGCGGCTTTAAAGGTCAGAAACTAAAAACTGTGATGACCAGAGCAACAGCAATGACTGAAGTTTTGGAACACTCCCCACGTGCTGGGCATTATTCCAAATGCTTTACATGTTCTAATTCAAATAACAACATGATAGCCTATGAGAGAGAGACTTGTTCCATGTTACTGTGTCACAGACACGCTAACAAACTTGCCTAGGTCAACAACCTGAAAATGGCAGAGCAAGCATCTGAACCCAGATGTCTGAGAATTAGAGTTGAATCAAAACAATCAAACAGTTACATTATGGTTACAGAATATCCTAGTCTGTCTGTGCTGCTATAACCAAATAAGACAGACTGGGTAATTTATGAACAATAAAAATATATTTCTCATAATTCTGCAGGCTGGGAAATCCAAGATCAAGGTGCCAGAAGGACTGATGTCTGCTGAGGGATGATCCCTGCTTCCAAGATGGTGTCTTGTTGCATTTTCTGGAGGGGAGGAATGCTGTGTCCCCACGTGGCAGAAGGAACAGAAGGGCCAAAAAGCAGTGAACTCCGTAGGATAAGCGTTTTGATATCTCACTGACCAGAACACCATATCCCATTGATAAGGGCAGACCCCTCAGGATCCAATCACCTACTAAAACCCAAACCTCATAATACTTGGAGATTGGGCATTGGAGATTAAGTTTCAAATGAATTGTGGAGGAGAGAAAAACACTCAGACCACAGCATTCCATCTTGCCCCACCAAAATTCATGTACTCCTCACATATAAAATGCATTCCATCCCAATGGCCCCCCAAAGTCTTAACTTTTTCTACTACCAATTCAAAAGTCTATAGTCTACAGCTGCATCTAACTATAATCTAAATCAGATATGGGTGAGACTCAAAAATGTGTTTCATCCTGAGGCAAACTGCTCTCCAGCTGTGAACGTGTGAAATCAAACGACTTAAGTGCTTCCAACATCCAACGGTGGCGTAGACACAGGCTAAATATTTCAACTCCAAAATGCAGAAACAGGAAAGAAGAGGTAGCCACTCCCATGTTAAGTCTGAAACTCAAATAGGGCACACATATTAAATCTTAAGGCTTGACAATAATCTTCTTTGACTCTATGTCCCACCTTCTAGACATCCTGGAGTAGGAGTTAGGTCCCCAGTGTCCTGGGGATCCCTGCCCCATTAGTTTTGTTGGGATCACCCACATGGAACTTCTCACAGGCTGTGGTTTCCCGAGCTGGGATCACATACTGGTGACTCTACAGTTCTGGGGTCTCAGGCGTGGTCCTGCTTCCAGGGCTCCCCTTGACCTTGCCCTAATAAGCACTCTCTAAGGTGTCCCTGCCTCCATGGCTAGGCTGAGAATTGCCTTAGTGGTGACCTCCTGTGGTAGCACTGAAAGGAACAGGATGAAAGGTTAGGGGCCACTGAGCAAAAAGATAACTGACGTAAACCGGTGTCTGCAATAACACAGAAAGACATGAGGGTGAAGATCTAGTACCACAGATATCTGCAGTACCAGAGTCTATCCACAATAGTACAGAAAATAGGGGAGCTTCTGAGTAGAAAGCAGCAAACCTCTTCAATAGGGAGATGACAAGCAAAGGCCCAGAGAAAAAGCATGGGAAGTCTCCAGAATCTAGGGTAGTTGATTGGAATGTCCTCCCTGAACAAAGCAGCCACCAAATCTGGGCAGGCAGCTGATTTTTTCAAATGCTGAAGTCACAAAAGAAGACAATAAAACATACAAAGAAACAGGGAAATACGGTCTACAAAAAGAAACCAACTGAATCTGTACAAACCTACATGAAAGAAATGGCAATTTACATCTTGGCTTTGAAGAATTAAAAAGAAATGTGGGCCGGGCATGATTGCTCACAACTGTAATCCCAGGACTTTCAGAACGCCAGGCAGGAAGATCACTTCAGAGCAGGAATTCGAGACCAGCCTGGCCAACATTATGAAACCCCATCTCTACTAAAAATACAAAAATTAGCCAGGCATGGTGGCACATGCCTGTAATCTGAGGCTGAGGCATGAGAATTGCTTGAACAGGAGGCAGAGGTTGCAGTGAGCTGAGATCCCACCCCTGCACTCCAGCCTCGGCAATAGAGTGTGACTCTGTCTCCAAAAATAAAGAAAATGCGAAGGTAGGCAGATCACCTGAGGTCAGGAGTTTAAGACCAGCCTGGCCAACACGGTGAAACCCCGTCTCTACTAAAAATACAAAAATTAGCCAGGTGTGGTGGCACGTGCCTGTAGTCCCAGCTACTCAGGGAGACTGAGGCAGGACAATTGCCCGAACCCAGGAGGCAGAGGTTGCAGTGAGTCGAGATCATGCCACTGCACTCCAGCCTGGGCGACAGAGCGAGACTCCATCTCAAAAAATAAATAATAAATAATTAAATAAAATAAAGAAAATGAAGAGAGTCTAATGGGCCCATGAAAAACCATCAAGCACCAAGAACATATGCATTCTGGGAGTCCAACAAATAATGTGAATATATCTAACATTACTGAACTTTACATAAGCAAACAAGCTTTAATGAAAGACATAATAAAGATATTATCAAAGACTGACAAACTCGATTCTTTTTGGAAGACATGGTGACATAAAGGCCTGCAACTGAAAAAATTCAGAGCCATGAAAACACAAACAAAATATGTGGGAATTTTTTTTTTTTTTAGAAGACAGAGTCTCACTGTCACCCAGGCAGGAGTGCAGTGGCACGATCTCAGCTCACTGCAACCTCCACCTCCCAAGTTCAAGGGATTCTCCTGCCTCGGCCTCCCAGGTAGCTAAGATTAAAGACGTGCACCATCATGTCCGGCTAATATTTGTATTTTCAGTAGAGACAGGGTTTCACCATGTTGGCCAGGCTGGTCTTGAACTCCTGACCTCAGGTGATCCACCCACCTTGGCCTCCCAAAGTGCCTGGATTACAGGTGTGAGCCACCACACCCGGCCAATATGTGGAATTTAAATAATATGTGGCTGTGTTGTGTAAAAGGAGAACCATAATAATTTTGGAAAGAAAATGGAGGGGTTTGCCAATCTACTTGTGAACCTATTATGTTATTTATAATCTAAAACTTTATAATCAAATATAATCTACAACAAGATATACAGAAAAATTCAAATTAAAGATTCAAGCAAATAAAATGTAAGCAACAAAATATTAGATCTTAAAAAAACACAGTATTTTATAATCACACAGCGAGCCAGGCCTTCCAAAGAAAGATCAGTTATTTATTTTTGCTTTTGTGGTATAGCGTCCTAACAGAAGCAACCACTCTTTAAACTGTCCAACCTGAAGGAACCCTCAAACACCTGTGGTGAAGAGAGCATTGTGGCAGCCATGGTGAAAAATTATAAAAGATCCATATGTCTTCATTTAGAGATTGTTCCAAAGAGGATGCAAAACAAGCTATTACTGCTTATTAACAAAAAAAGATGTATCTTTGAAAAACTGGCACAATGAAATTTCACAACAGAACATGTACTGAAGAATTGTTTTCTAAAATCTCATAATGACACGTAAATGCATCTTGACACCTCTCACTGACTCTTGCCACAGAACTTACAACTGTAGCTCCCCACGGAAACATGAGGGATGATGGAGAAAGTGACAGGGAAAAGAAACCCGGGTTCCTCCAGGTTGGGTAACTGAAAGAGTGATTGCCTCTTTAGGATGGTGCATTTCCTATTTTCCTGGATCTGGCAAGATTTCCCACTACCCTAAGGTGCAATGGTGTCCTCATACACCAACGACACATATTGGGTGGATTTCCCACCCAATAAAAAAAAAAAAAAAAAACTTACTACTATGTTCTGTTTACATTTTGAGGCTATGGGGAAAATGAAAACCCTTCGTATTTCCATTTTCCAATTCCTTGGACTGTGAGGAGGTTTCATTATTTTGTGGAAATCAAACCAAAATAATTTTCATTCTTTGCTCAGTTTTCCTTTACTGCATTCTAGGAGCCATTTCATATTCTGTAGTTAAATTTTTAAAATATATATGCCTTGATGTCCTTTTCTTAGGTTATAAATTTCTTTCTGTGTAAAACTAAAGCTGGGCACGGTGGCTCATGCCTGTAATCCCAGCATTTTGGGAGGCCAAAGCGGGTGGATCACCTGAGGCCGGAAGTTTGAGACCAGCCTGACCAACATAGAGAAACTCTGTCTCTACTAAAAATACAAAATTAGCCAGGCACGGTGGTGCATGCCTGTGGTCCCAGCTACTCAAGAGGCTTAGGCAGAAGAATCGCTTGAACCTGGGAGGCGGAGGCTGCAGTGAGCCAAGATTGCGCCATTGCACTCCAGCCTGGGCAACAAGACGAAACTCCGTCTCAAAAAAAAAAAAAAAAGCTAAAATGTTTCCTTGATGCCCATTTTTGTTTGCTGATAAATTACATTGTGTATATTTAAGGTATACAACATGGTATTATGGTATGGATAGTAAAAAAAAAAGTCATTAGAGTTTAACAAATTAACACACCCATCATCTCACAGTTACTTTTTTTTTTTTTCCCTCTGTTTTGGCCAGAACAGCTAAAATCTCATTTAGCATGAATTTCATATATAATAAAACATTATTTACAGGCTGGGTGTGGTGGTTCACACTGTAATCCCAGCACTTTGGGAGGCTGAGGCAGGCGGATCATCTGAGATCAGGAGTTCGAGACCAGCCTGGCCAACATGATGAAACCCCCCACCATCTCCACTAAAAATACAAAAATGAGCCAGGCGTGGTGGTGCACGCCTGTAATCCCAGCTATTGGGAGGCTGAGGCAAGAGAAAATCGGTTGAACCCGGGAGACAGAGGTTGCAGTGAGTCGAGATCACGCCATTGTAGTCCGGCCTGGGTGACAAGAGCGAGACTCCGTACAAAACAAAAAGCAAAAAACAAAACAAAATTATTTCCTATCATCCTCGTGTTGTATTAACTTCTTAATGCCTAAACTGCATCTCTGCTTGAAATTTTACCAAAAAAACAAATATATACATCATGTGATGTTTAAAATAAATATAATATTTAATAATAATTGGTGCAGTGAGAGAATTTGGCTCCATCTTCTCTGATAACAAATGTTCAGCTCTTACATCTGAGCAAAATTATAACCTTAAAACTTAAAACAACTGCTGGTAAGAGTCCCCGCAGGAACACCGCAGTCTCTGTGAGATGGATATTCTGACCATGGCTAGAATCTGACATTCAGGTTGATTTCATATTTTTAAATCAATGATGGAATAAAACACGCTCTAATGTCTGTATCTAGTTTTCCATTCAATTCCCTGTCATTAAGGCAGTTAGAAATAGTGACTCATTCATACAGCTTCAAATGTAGTATAAAATCAGGCAGAAAGATCTCCCCTTACACGCCTCCTTTTCCATATTTTTTTTTTTTTTGAGGATGAAGTCTTGCTCTGTCACCCAGGCTGGGGTGCAGTGGCACCATCTTGGCTCACTGCAACCTCCACCTCCGGGTTCAAGCTATTCTCCCGCCTCAGCCTCCTGAGTAGCTGGGATTACAGGCCCCTGCCACCATGACTGGCTAATTTTTGTATTTTCAGTAAAGACGAGGTTTCACCATGTTGGCTCAAACTCCTGAGCTCAAGTGATCCGCCCACCTCAGCCTCCTAAAGTGCTGAGATTACAGGCATGAGACACGGCGCCTGGCCCCTTTCGATAATTTACTAGGTATTTATGCACATTAATATGTGACTTCCACATGCAGCTTCTCTATTCCTGGTCTACAGAAAGCTGACAGTGCATCCAGATGTGGCCCCTAAACAATCCCTGCTGCCCAACAGCTCTGATACCACGGGACCCTCACCCCATCTCCATCCATGTCTGGGTGTGAGCCCTTCCCAGGACCATGCCCAGTGCAGCCTCTTCCCAAGTTCATGTCACTGGATCATGGTGAGATGGAATCTAAATAAGATGAGAGGAACTGAGGAAAAGCATGGATGAGCATGAGCAAATGTGTCAGGAAGGACACTTCAGACTCAGAGAAGATTTGCAACTCCGACGCCCTGTACTTCACAAAGGAAGGAGACAGAATGACCCACCAAGAATATCACTTCACTTGAGTAAAGTATCACTCTACCTGAGTAGCCATCACTGACTCCTTTTCCTTCCTCTTCTTCCTCTTCTGGGTTTCTTTCTCAGTCAATGTAATTATTCACACATCAAACCTGAAAGTTAAAAAATCTGTTGTTTAATGCTTGGAAACAACACATTCCTTTCTGTGTCACAACCATGCACACAGGGAAGAACTCAGCCTGTGGAGAGACAGCCCACTGCACCAGGGGGGATGCAAGAATAATAAATTCCTACACAAAGACCAAGTGAATCTTTCACCGTTTTCTTCAGCATTAGCTCCCCTCTGGGAGAAGCCCACACACAGGCTGCAGCAGTGTGTAGCTAGGCTGGACTGAGCTCCCATTCAGGGCACGGACCTATCCCTGATCAAACCCCATGCAGCGCACAGCCCCCCGTCACCTCTGTGGGTCACAGGCTGAGCTCTGCCCTCGGAAATGGGGGACACAGAGGCTGGAAGCTCAATGCTGGATACAAATGAGAATCAACTTGGGGCTGGGAGCGGTGGCTCATGCCTGTAATCCCAGCACTTTGGGAGGTCGAGGCGGGTGGATACCTGAGGTCAGGAATTCGAGACCAGCCTGGCCAACATGGTGAAACACCCTCTCTACCAAAAACACAAAAATTAGCCAGGCATGGTGGCACACCCCTTAAATCCCAGTTACTTGGGAGGCTGAGGCAGGAGAATCACTTGAACCTGGGAGGCGGAGGTTGCAGTGAGCCAAGATCAAGCCACTGCACTCCAGCCTGGGCGACAGAGACTCTGTCACCAAAAAAAAAAAAAAAAAAAAAAAAAATCAACTTGGGTACCTAAAACATTACGGAGGCTGGGCCCCACCCTAACTACTGGAAGGAGAATCTCTATAAGGGGGAATGAACCATGTGTTACAAATGCCTTGGCACTCTAGTGTGAAGCGAGGGTTGAGTAGTCTCAAAGGGGGCAAGACTACCACAGCCCCAGTCTCCCAGCTCTGACCTCCCCTTGGGGCCTTGCTGTCACCAGTCTGTAGAAAGTGGAAGGCAAAGGGCCAGAAAGAAACACACAGAGCAGAAAATATGGACCTGCCTTTATTGGCTTTTATTTGCAATCCTAGAATCAGACAACACCTCATTCTTAAAATGAAAGGAGTGTTCTGTGAGCTAAGGGGAGGAGGTTGGCTTCATAAGCTGAAAGGGGCTGAATGGAGCAAAATCAGGAAACTAAAAGCATGTTGGTTGTTTCAAAGTTACTTTTCTTTGGGTTGCCATTTTCCCCAGATCCTCAAAATGTAAAAACAACATAGTAGTAAGTTTTGTTTAAATGAGTGGGAAGTCTCATGTGATGCTGGTGGGAGAGGGCACCTTTGCAGCTCGGGATGGGGGAAATCTTGCCAGATTACCTGCAACTGAGGGGCCAGAGAGTTCTAGGCACAGGGACAGCCCAGGTAGACACCCTCGGCTCCAGGAATAGGAAAGAGGCCTGTGTGGCTGGAGCAGAGGGAGTGAGGAGGACACAGGTAGGAAATGAGGTCAGAGAGGTCCCGAGGCAGCAGATCAGGTAGGGACGAGGTCTTCAAACATTTTTCTCCCACAGCTCACAGCACTTTTAGAAACTATGCATTTCCCTACCATTTTAGGTAAATGTAACTTTTCTTTATCATTTGAATTAAAACCCTTCTATATAATGTCATATCTTCTCTATTTCAAATATATCCTGACATGTAAAGCTAGAGCCAGGAAGTATAGGGCCACCGTCATCTGAGATGTGCAGGAGCGCAGGGGAATGTACTTAGGGAGTTTAGGAAGTCACTTTAGACACATAAAGGTGGAGACGTCTCTTAGACGGCTGAACAGACAACAGAGGAGACAACAGGACACAGAATTCTAGAGTTCAGGGGACAGGCCTGCAGGGGACATGGAGACGTGTAGGTGAGTAGGTGGGTGATATGGATCAGCTCTGTGTCCCTGGCCCAAATCTCACACTGAATTGTAATCCCCACCGTTACTGGTGGGGCCTGGTGGGAGGTGGATGGATCATGGGGGTGGATTTGTGATGAATGGTTTCGCACCACCCCTTGGTGCTGTTCTTTATCACAGTGAGTTCTCACGACATCTGGTTGTTTAGAAGTGTGTAGCGCCTCCCCCCTCACTCTCTCTTGCTCCTGCTCCCGCCACGTGAGACGCCTGTTCCTACTTCGCCTGCTACCATGTTTGGAATCTTCCTACAGGCTCCCCAGAAGCAGATGTTGCCATGCTTCCTGTGCAGCCTGCAGAACTGTGAGCCAATTAAACCTGTTTTCTTTATAAATTACTCGGTCTCTGGAATTTTGTTGTAGCAATTCCAGAATGGACTAATACAGTGGGGTTTAAAGCCATGAGATGAGATGATGAGGAAAGACAGTAGGTGTGGACAGAGATAAGAAGAGGTTCAAGGACTAAGCCATGAGTCTTTCCCACATTGAGAAACATTCGAAGTCCGGACACAGCAGCAGAGGAAAATGGTCAGGGAGGTGACAAGAAAATTAAACAGAAAGCTCCTGACAGGAAAAGAAAGACTAAAGCAGGAAAAGAAATACATTGGATTTAGAAATGGGGAGGTCACTGGTGACTCTGAAAAATAAAGTTATCAGTGGAATGGTGGATATGCAAGTTTGACTGGATGCATTCAAGAGGGAATGGGAGGCAAGAAGTGAAGACGGAGAGTATAAATAAGATTTCAGCACAGAAGAGGGGTACTCATACGGGCAGAAATGTAGTTAGTAGTATGTTTTGTTTCAATTAGGGCAGAGTGGAAGGAAACGATAAGCTTTAGGGTCTGTGTGTGTGCATGCATTTAATGGGCAATACCACCATCAGTAAACAATGTTTAAAATAATTCCCTAGAGGTAAAAATAGACGTTGCAGTTGTTACACTTTATAATAGGCCAATTTTTTTTCTCTTTTTAACTTATATTTTAAGTTCAGGGGTACACGTGCAGGAGGTGCAGCCTGGTTCACAGGTAAACGGGTCATGGGGGTTTGTTGTATACATTATTTCATCACCTGGGTTTTTGTGTGTGTGTGTGAGACAGAGTCTCGCTCTGTCGCCTAGGCTGGAGTGCAATGGCACGATCTCGGCTCACTGCAACCTCCGCCTCCCGGGTTCAAGCAATTCTCCTGCCTCAGCCTCCTGCTGGGACTACAGGCATGTGCCACCACACCTGGCTCATTTTGTATTTTTAGAAGAGCCGGGGTTTCACTGTATTGGTCAGGCTGGTTGCGAACTCCAGACCTCAGGTGATCCGCCCGCCTCGGCCTCTCAAAGTGCTAGGATTACAGGTGTGAGCCACCACGTCTGGCCCCATCACCCGGGTATTAAGCCTAATGTCTATTAGTTATTTTTCCTGATCCTCTCCCTCCTCCCACCCTCCACCCTGAGGTAGGCCCCAGTGTGTGTTGTTGCCCTCTACGTATCCATGTTTTCTCATCATTTACCTCCCACTTATGAGTGAGAATACGCAGTATTTGGTTTTCTGTCCCTGTGTTAGTTTGCCAAGGATAATCGCCTCCAGCTCCACCCATGTCCTGGCCAAGCGCATTATTTTGTTCATTTTTATGGAAAGGCCGTTGTTTTGTACGAGCCTCCCGCACTACCAGACCAAGCCAGAATGAAGTCTCTCATGCTAAACGCCACATTAGCAAACTGACCCTTGAAATAAGTCACGTTTAGGAAAAAAGAAAATTCCAAAAAAGAAAACAAGAACAGGAGTTAAAAAATGAATTTGTAATAATTTCCCTCCTTATCACGACATCGTAACAAGGTTTGAGGGAAGCACATCTCACATGAGTGTGAAAACCCAATCATCACATTTATTAACTACAAAAGGATCGAATTTGTTGTGATTTTGTCCTTCAACAATAAGAAACTGGTAAATGTGTTTCTCTAAGTTCGGTGAGCCATCCTAGCAAATTAATCAAACCTTTGGCTGGGGTAGTAGGAATGCCAATTTGGAGTCAGTAGGTCAGAAGTATAGGTGACAACCTACTACTTTCGAAATGGTAGCTGAAGTGAGCCGGGGAGGTCTTGTGAGACTGAGCCCTTTACCTGTGGGCAACCTGTGGGAGATGACTCTAACTCCAGGTAGACAGTGCCAGAATTAAATTGAATTCTAAGGCAATCTAGCTGTTGTCTGCTGGAGAATTTTTTAGTGTGTAGGAGAAAACTCCCCAACACTGGCCACAGAAGAGTTCTGTGTTAAGTGTGAGAGTAGAAAGGAAAAAATTTGTTTTTTCCTTTACACCCTGCAATTACTAGGCCTGTCATTCTCCAAAGAGCATTACCCATCCTCTCCCCAAACTGCCTCCCCAGCACCTAGTGGACCCTCTTGCCTGGAGAAAATATCCCTGTTCCACACTGAGTTTAAAGCATTTTGCCTCGTAGCTCCCTGTGATTGTTGCAGCAGACAGAGGTGGGGGGAAAGTAATCACCACTGTCCTGGCAGCGAGAAAGTAACAGCTGTATCTTCCGAGGACAGTCCCAGTTGAAATCTTTGTGCTGCAGGTCGTTGTGATATCATATTCTCTGATTCTTTGAAAAATCTTCCCTAAGCCACCATCCTGCCATAGACCCACCACAGAAAACCCTCCCTAACGAAAGCCTTTTGTCACTAGAGTTTGAGGCCCTAACGTTCCCCTCCTAAACTGAGACAGGTTTACAAACTTCCTTGGGGTCCACACCCTTCCCAGATACTCCATAGTGCTCCCCATATCGTGCTACGAAATCCCACATGCCCCAACAACTCATAAACTCCTGCTGACCTAATACACACAAAGATACCTGAGGACTCAATGACCCAAGACACTCGATTCCATTCATAATGACCCCACCCTTGAACACTGGCACCACCATCTACTAAAACAGATGTCTCCAATGATGCACATACCCCAGTGAGACCCAACATCTTCCAAGGAAACTCTCCATATTGACATTTAGATAGTCCAAAATGCATCTATAACCATCTTAACTTGCCGCCCAAAATACTCCAAAATAACAAATGTAGCCCCCAAAGTGATGGACCCCACAGAAGTCACTATGGAGAGTGCCTGCTGTGCTGCAGCTCTGGGTTCCATGCCCTCAGGACCAATGCACCACCACTCCAGCTGCCCACTCTCCCCGTGGGCTCAGCTTAGGACTTGCTCCTCAATTCAGCTGACCCTTGAACAATACAGCTTTGGATTGTGTGGCTCCTTTCAATAAAATTTTCCTCAATAAACATCCTGAAGAATATTTTGGAGATTTGCAGTATTTTGTTGGCTGTACAACAAGAAGGCCTGGACAATGAGAAGTTGTTCCTTAAGTCAGGAAGGGAATGCCTTTTAAAGTTCTTTGATGTTGGGCCGGGCACAGTGGCTCATGCCTGTAATCCTAGCATGTTGAGAGGCCGAGGCAGGCAGATCTCTTGAGGCCAGGAGTTCAAGATCAGCCTGGCCAACACAGTGAAACCCCATCTCTACTAAAAACACAAAAAATTAGCTGGGCATGGTGGGACATGCCTGTAATCTCAGCTACTTGTGAGGCTGAGGCATGAGACTCGCTAGAACCCAGGAGGCAGATGTTGTAGTGAGCCGAGATGGCGCCCCTGCACTCCAGTCTAGGCAGCAGAGTAAGACTTTGTCTCAAAAAAAAAAAAAGCGGGGGGGGGACAGGGGGCAAAGGACCTGAACATTTTGCAAATAAGACATACAAATGCCAGGCACGGTGGCTCACGCTTGTAATCCTAGCACTTTGGGAAGCCGAGGCGGGCAGATCACCTGTGGTCAGGAGTTCAAGACCAGCCTGACCAACATGGTGAAACCCCCGTCTCTACTAAAATACAAAAATTAGCCAGGCATAGTGGCAGGTGCCTGTAATCTCAGGTGCTTCGGAGGATGAGGTCGCAGTGAGCTGAGATCACGCCATTGCACTCCAGCCTGGGCAACAAGAGTGAGACTCTGTCTCAAAAAAAAACATACAAATGACCAACAGGTATATGAAAAGGTACTCAAGATCGCTAATCATCAGGGATATACAAATCAAAACCACCATAAGCTGTCACCTCATACCTCTTAGGAAGGCTATTATCAAATAGGCAAGAGAGGTGTTAGCAATGATATGGAGAAAAATGAGCCCTTGTACACTGCTGCTGGGAGTGCACATCAGTACAGCCATTATGAAAAACACTATGGATGTTCTTCAAAATATTCAAAATAGAACAACAATGCAATCCAGCAATCTCATTTCTGGGTATAAATCCAAAGGCAATCCAATCAGTATGTTTAAGAGACATCTAGGCCAGGTGTGGTAGTTCATGCCTATAATCCCAGCACTCTGAGAAGCTGAGATGGGAAGATCGCTTGAGACCAGGAGTTAGAGACCAGCTTGGACAAAACAGCGGGACCATGTCTCTACTTAAAAAAACAAAAAACAAAAAACTTAGGAACTTCTGCCCCCTCATGATCACTGCAGTATTATTCACAACGGCCAAGATATAGAAACAACCAAAGTGCCCATCCAGGAATGAATATGTAAAGAAAATGTGTGTGTATATATATTTATGTATGTGTATATATATATATATATATATACAGAGTGTGTGTGTGTATATTTATATAATGGAATATTATTCAACCATAAAAAAGAAAATCCTGCCGGGCACAGTGGCTCACGCCTGTAATCCCAGCACTTTGGGAGGCCGAGGCGGGTGGATCATGAGGTCAGGAGATTGAGACCATCCTGGCTAACACAGTGAAACCCCGTCTGTACTAAAAAAAAAATACAAAAAATTAGCCGGGCGTGGTGGCGGGTGCCTATAGTCCCAGCTACTCAAGAGGCTGAGGCAGGAGAATGGTGTGAACCCGGGAGGCGGAGCTTGCAGTGAGCCGAGATCACACCACTGCACTCTAGCCTGGGCGACAGAGCGAGCGAGACTCTGTCTCAAAAATAAAAAATAAAAATAAAAATAAATAAAATCCTGCTATTTCCAACAACATGGATGAATCTGGAGGACATTATGCTGGGCGATATAAGACTGACACACAAAGACAACTACTGTATGTTCTCACAAGTAGAATCTAAAAAAGTCCAATTCATAGTAATAAGGCGGAACAGTTGTTACCACAGGATGCTGGGTGGGGAAAGTGGAGAAATGTTGGTCAAAGGGTACAAATTCTCAGTTATAAAATGAAGAAGTTCTGAGGAATCTAATGTACTTCGTGGTGAGTTTACCGCACTGGACGCTTTAACAGTTTGGAAAGTTTTTGAAAAATCTAATAAATTATGGGGTAAAAGTTAAAAAAAGGCAATATTGAGAAATTAATGACATCAGCTGATTACAGGATGACATCAAATCTTATTTCAGAAGTTAGTAATTATAGAAGAAACTGAATAAACTAAAATTTAAATCAAGCTTCCAAAATAACAATGAATTAACTGTAAAGCAACTACAAGGAAAAAAGTAAATCCATTAACAAAACAAAAAACCAACACTCTCAACTCTCCTTCAAAGACATACATTGTAGGCCTGTAGAGGTGGTTCACACATGTAATCCCAGCACCTTCAGGGGCTGAGGAGGATGGAGTGCAGCTGAGAGGCTGCAGTGAGCCGATATAATTTTACCGCACTCCAGCCTGGGCGACAGAGACCCTGTCTCAAAAAGAGAAAAAACAAACAAAAAACCAAAGATACATCTTGTAGTGACAGTCAGTCATTTCTTGCCTATTTCTCTCCTCCTCCATCCTCTACTCCCTCCCTGGAAAGAAGAGTTACAAAATGACTGAATCAAGTCACTGCCCTGTGGCTAAATAGGGATTCCAAATATCTTTTGATATAAACAAATACAAAATGCACAAGCCTTGTAGAAAAGAGTGGTAATTTTCATCCTCATGAGTACAATTTAAAGAAACAAATTTTAAATTAGAGTATAAAGTCACAAATCAATACATTAAAACCACCATCCATATCCAATCAACTCACAGCTCATCTGGGTGGGGTCCTCGCCCACTCTCTTCACTACTATGTGTTTCCCGCTCTCATTCTGCACGTCTTTTTTCCCTTTGCTGTTTTTCTCCCCTTTCTTTATTCCCTCTTTTATGTCTATTCTGCCCAATGCTTCGAAATTTATTTCACCTCTTGTTGCTCTTTCTCCCCAAACTTTCCCATTGTCCCCAGCCGCCACGTATTCCTGCCTCTTTTCCCCCATCTGAGCTCCCTGTCTGCTCTCCCTGTTAAAATCCCTCTTCCCTGTTAAATTCCCTTTTCCCTGTTACATCTCCTTTGTTCCCACTCTCTAGCACCCCCAACTTCCTAGGCTTCCTCCTTGCTGTGGTTCTCCCTCTACTCTCCTTTGTTACCCACTCCCCTCTCCTTCAGTCCCAGCACCACGTGGCTCTGTCAGCCGCGGCTCCGACTCTTACCTTTTCCGCCCCCCGCGTCTGACTGCAGTGCCTCCTCCTTTGCCGCCCCTCTCTATTTTGCTGCCCTTCAGCTCCCTGAAGCTCTCCCTTTTCCCTAATTTCTTTATGTGCTTTTCTCCCCGTGCTACTTTCTCCATGCGTCCTCTTGCACTCTTGCTCTCTTTGCCAGTACCTAAATTATCATCCATTTTGCCGTGTACTCATTCTTTTCTCCCCAGTTTTTCTTTCTGTCCCGTCGCTCCCCCTCTTTTCCTCTCCTGATCCCTCTCACCCACACATTCAGGAGGAAAGGGGAGGAATACGATGCCCACCTCCCGGAAGAGCACATTTTCCAGTGGAGTAAAAATTTGGGAAGGAACGACAGTGGGTGTCACAAGACAGACTCGGGTGACCTCCTGCAACGCGGAGTCAGGAAAAGCAGTGGCTGTGAAGGGGCAGCCTGGGGAGGGGAAGGACCCGGCGTGAGGAGGACACTAGGTGGCGCGCGGAGGACACTAGGTGGCGCGGGGGACGGTGTCTCAGGACAGGGAGGGTCTGCAGAATCCCAGGACCTGGGAGAAGAAGCGGCTCCTTCAGGAGCTGGGCAGCGGGCGCTCCCCTCCAGGCGTCGACAAGGGCGAAGCTCGGGGGTCTCGACTGGTGGGAATCCACCTCGCGAGGGAGGACTTGACTTCGCCCGGGGCCGAAGCAGGGGTCAATGAGAGTTTTAAGCAGGAACACGACCTGAATGGGGTTATCGACATGGTTATCTACATGGCAGAAAGGCAGGGGGCAAGGAACAGCCTGAGAGAGATTTTAAACCGACAGGGAAGCAATTCTCGGACTTACGTGGGGAGAAGTGCCTGTTGCAGGGGCGAAGGGGCTATGGGTATTTTAAGGTCCGTAGCGATCCCCAGATCACTGGTACGGAGAAGTGAGGACTGCAAAGTGCACGTTTAATCCAGGCAGACGGAGCGAAGTAATGTTTAATCCACGTAGACTGAAACACACACACAGCGATAAGGCCTTTCCCTGGCGCAATCTGCTTCCGGGAGTGACGGAAACTGCTAGCGGAGAGAAAAAACTGGGAGGCCAGGGGGCGGGGCCTGGGCGAGCCGCGACCAGCAAGGGGCGGGTCGGAAAGAGGGGCCTGACTCGGGGAGGGACCCTGAGAGGGTGGAGCCGGGCCGGAGCGGCAGTGGGCGTGGCTAGGTGGGGCGGGACGGAGCCGCGGCGGAGGATGGGGCGGGGTTTCATGGGGTAAGCGGGGCCGAAATAGAGCCTGTTATTTACTCTGGTTCACAGGCAGCATGTCTTTGGTTTTCTGACTACTTCTTGTCCTGTGAAGCAGCGTTGCTGCCTGCCTATTTTAAGTTAATGTTTCAAAATTTAAGGTTAAAGCTTAAAGTTGTGGTCCACTTATATTAGAAACTAAGATGATTTCTTAACAAGTTGAACTAAGTCAAAACCGATTTTTACAAGCTTGGTGGACTCCATCCACTCTTGCCGATGATGCTGAAGCTACTCAATAGTCAGGGAACTAGGATCTCGCTGGGGATTTGATGTGGAGCCGTGGCTGGATCCAGGAACCCGGAAGACATTATGCCAAGCGAAATATGCTAGACACAGAAAGACAAATACTGCCTGTGCTTTTACACGTGCAAAGTACAAACGTCAAATTTACAGTAACAGATTAGAAGGGTGGTTACCAGGGCTGGGGGATGTATCCTATGCCTTTATCACCATTATATTTTGGAAGCAGATAACTTCTCTGGCCTCACAGATTCACAGCTGGGCAGAAATTTTGCCTCAGGATGAATCACACCTTGATTCTCACCCATGTGTGGTTCAGATAATATTTAGGGGGTATTCTGCCCTAAGAGCTGATACAGGAATGGATTAAGACTTTTGAGAGTTGATACTGAAATGGATTAAGTCTTTTGAGATGGGCCAGCAGTTTTGGAGGCCCAGGTGGGCAGGTCACTTGAGCTCAAGAGTTCAAAACCAGCCTGGACAGCATCGTGAGACCCCCATCTCTACAAGAAATACAAAAAGTAGCCAGGCTTGGTAATGCACTCTTGTAGTCCCAGCTACTTGGGAAGCTGAGGTGTCAGAATTGCTTGAGGCCAGGGATTTGAGATCATCCTGGGCAACATAGCCAGACCTCTCTACAAAAAATTAAATTATCTGGACATGGTGGCCTGCACGTGTGGGCCCAGCAACTCGGAAGGGTAAGGAAGGAGGATCATTTGAGCCCAGGAGGTGAAGGCTGCAGTGAGCCATGAGAAGAGGAGATTTGGTTGGGTGCAGTGGCTAACGCCTATAATCCCCACACTTTGGGAGGCCAAGGTAGCAGGGAGCTAACTTGCATTCTTCTGTTAGCTGAGGCGTTTGATGATAAATGAAAGCAGAAAGTTTGTGACTTATTTACGTTCTTTCCACAGAAAGGCCATATGTCCTTGGCCATAAAGAAAAAGAGACCTACAGCTTATCTGCTTCCTCTATTTTTTTTTATATGTTCTGGACCATGAAGAAAGATTTATAGCTTATTTGCTTTATCTCTTTGCTTTCTCCTGGTCCTTTCAGGCTGACTCCTTTTCCCCAATTAGGGCTCCACAGACTCTACCCTCAAAGGGCATTTTTTTCTCACCCTCCTATAAAATCCCTCCCACAAATAAACCAGGATCCTATTTCCCAGCATGAAAAGTTTGTTGGAAAAAAAACTGAGGCTGCATGGGACCTTCTTTCTCTTCTTCAAAACTACTTCACCTCTTCTCTCTTTTGTCTCTCTCTTCCTAACTGCCCTGCACAATTCTAGGTCCCCAGTGAATCCTTGGGTTGACATGCAAGGGAAGAACCCATAGGGAAAGGAAATCTCTGGCTTTCAGAGATAACTTTTTGGATATCTGGATGCATTCATAACCATCCTTGTGTTACCAGAAAGGGGTCCTGATCCAGAACCTGAAACTTCCATTGCACAATTATAACTGAGAAAATTATTACAGTGAAAGAGATCTGACCTAATCAACTCCATCTTGCTTTTAACCTCCAAGCTGCTCTTGTTCATTCCTGGGCATAGGCTGAACTAACTTTGGAAGGAACTTAGTTTATAGTTTGAAACAAAGACATTAACAGCCCTTTCCCAAAACAAACCCCCTTCCTGCTTGGGGACTAGACTGCCTTTGTAAGACTAACAAATTAGGCACAAGGTGAGAGATGATGGTTTAGGAGTCATGTAGCTGGAGGCTACAAGATTCTCACCCTTCCCAGATTGTTCCTGGGGATAACATTACTATTATAAAACCTAAGATCAGTGCTTGAGATATTTTGCATTCCCTGCACTTGATGGATCACCTGACACCAACCCAGATCCATAAACTGGCTCATCTGGTCTTGTGACCCCACCCAGGAACTGACTCAGTGCAAAATGACAGCTTCAGATCTCTATGATTTCGTCTCCTACCCAACCAATCAGCACTCCCGACTCACTGACACCTACCTATCAAATTATCCTTAAAAACCCTGATCCCCGAGTTTTCAGGGAGACTCATGTGAGTAATAAAAAAATTTCAGGTTCCTGTACAGCCAGCTCCACATGAATTAAACTCTCTCTTGCAATTCCCCTGTCTTGATGAATCAGCTCTGTCTAGGCAGCAGGGAAGGAGAACCTGTTGGGCAGTTACAACCAAAAGGGAGGGTTCTTGGATCTCATGCAAGAAAGAATTAGGGGTGAGTTCACACTGTAAAGTGAAAGCAAGTTTACTAAGCAAGTAAAGGAACAAGGCAGGGTGCAGTGGCTCACGCCTGTAATCCCAGCACATTGAGAGAGGCTGAGGTGGGCAGATTGCTTGAACCCAGGAGTTCAAGAGCAACCTGGGCAACATTACAAAACTCTATCTCTACAAAAAATACAAAAATTAGCCAAGGGTAATGGTGTGCACCAGTAGTCCAAGCTAGTTGGAAGGCTGAGGTTGGAAATTGCTTGAGCCTGGGAGAATTTTTTTTTTTGAGGCAGTGTCTGGCTCCGGTCACCCAAGCAGTAGTGCAGTAATGCCATCTCGGCTCAGACTCTAATTCAACACGGAATGTTGAGCTTCTGAGCGTGATATAGCGGAAGTGCCTTCTCTTCCGGTCTCTCTGGTCTTGGCCGCAGAAGCCAGATGACGAAGGGAACGTCATTGTTTGGAAAGCGTCGCAATAAGACGCACACGTTGTGTTGCCGCCGTGGCTCTAAGGCCTACCACCTTCAGAAGTCGACCTGTGGCAAATGTGGCTACGCTGCCAAGCGCAAGAGAAAGTATAACTGGAGTGCCAAGGCTAAAAGACAAAATACCACCGGAACTGGTGGAATGAGGCACCTAAAAATTGTATACCACAGATTCAGGCATGGATTCTATGAAGGAACAATACTTAAACCCAAGAGGGCAGCTGTTGCAGCATCCAGTTCATCTTAAGAATGTCTATGATTAGTCATGCAATAAATGTTCTGGTTTTAAAAAATACAAAAAAAAATACTGAATGTTTACTCCTGAAACTTATGATGCCTAGGTTGAGAAAGACTCAATTTTCCTCATGCTAAATACTTTATACATGTCCTTTATTCATGCATACATAGGACACTTTACACAATATAATTGTTGAAAGTGCTTCTGAAATACTGTTCAAATTGTCTATAATATTTTTACACATGCACTATAAAAATTAAATTTATCAGACAATAAATATTAAATAATTTAATAAAATTGCATTTTTCAAAGGCTCTAACAATGCATATTTGAGTTATCATATTAAACATTGTATTCTATGATTTTTCAACTGTAATATAATTTTTTTTGAGATGGGATCTTGCTCTCTTGCCCAGGCTGCAGTGTGGTGGTGCAATCACGGCTCATGCAGCCTCCACCTCCCCAGGCTCAAGTGATCCTCTCACCTCAGTTTTTGTGTTTTTAGTAGAGATGGGGTTTTATAATGTTGCCTAGGCCGGTCTCAAACTTCTGGGCTCAATCTGTCCACCTCAGCCTCCCAAAGTGCTAGGAATACAGGCATGAGCCACAGAGCCCAGCCAAAACTACATTTTAAAAATAATTTTTTATCATTACACACTCCACTAGAAACCATTTAACCCAATTTATGGACTTACATTTCTTCCATTGAAGAACTTGAAGGATCCAAAAATCGAGGTGACATTCTCAGATTTGTGTGGCAAAAAAAGAATAGAAAAATAACAGATGCAAAGAATGTGTTCCACCAATATGTGGAGGATCCCTTTTATTTTAAGTTCAGGGAAAGCATTGGAATGATACAAGAAAATAAACTGAAATTGTATAATGTGGAAACAAGAGCTCTGTTGCTAATATGCAAGTTTATCACTGAGATTTTAACAACACAACATGCTAATTATACCTTAAAATATGTTTCTCCCAGTCTGGGCAACATGGCGAAACCCCATCTCTACAAAAAAATCCAAAAATTAGCTAGGTATGCTGGTGTGCACCTGTAGTCCCAGCTACTTGGGAGGCTGAGAGAAGAGGATCACCTGAGTCCAGGAGGTGGAGGTTGCAGTGAGCTGAGATCGCACCACTG
This sequence comes from Homo sapiens, assembly GCF_000001405.40. NCBI lineage: Eukaryota > Metazoa > Chordata > Mammalia > Primates > Hominidae > Homo > Homo sapiens. Next base: position 52,144,466 of record NC_000019.10, read on the forward strand.
CACTCCAGCCTGGGTGACTGAGCGAGACCCTGTCTCGAAATATTACAATATGTGACAGCGCAGCTTCCATCAGAAATAATTTGTTCCTCTTTTGCCCACACAAAATATTCACCTCCACTTCCTCTAACATTTTTTTTTAAAAAAAAAAGCCCAAACATAACTTTCAGTTGCAAGCAAGGATCTCATGACAGTCTCATGACACTTCTGTTCACTGAGAGCCCAATAGAGTCCTCGTCACTCACGACATTTCATGGTGGAACAGAAAAATAAAACCTGAATTAACCCTCACATTCAGAAAAGGGAAACAAAGAAGGTACTACCCAGTAGGTCCATAGCAAATGTGCAATTTTGCTGAGAAGATGAGTTAGGGCCTGGTTCCAGGAGGTCAGGAATGAATAACAGTACTTTTCATGGCTACAGTTCTCCTGAGAATAGGTTTCCAGTCCACTATATTTTGTCGTTCTTAACTTCACCCGATGACATCCCTCATGCAGTATCAGAAAGTATGCCCTCCTTCTGCAGTAAGCATCTTTCCCCAGCTACTTCTTTTCCACTTCAATGTACCATCCCAAAGACTATTATAAGTCTAAATTTAATTTTGTTTTTATAAAATACTATGGACTGATAGAAGTCTCAAAAGTATAACATTATGAAAAGTATAACAAAAGATAGCATTTTATCTGATGCCATTTCAAAATAGAGACATTTTCAAAGCTAAACCCATGACTTTAGCTATACCCACGAGTTTTAGGAACCCTTCCTTAGTTTCAGAATTTTATTCCAGTGCTTTTGAACTTCTTGGGCCACAGTCTAGTTTCTATTTACTACACTTGCCATTTCATCCACTCTCAAAAAACAATTTCACAAGAGTTACCTTAATCAACTGGCAGGTTATTTCAAAGAACGTTAGGGCTATGGCCTTGACTTGGACTTTGTTATAATTTTAACTTGCTGTTGCCCCTCAAACCACTTCTCAAATGTGAGTTTTATCAGTTGCAGATGAGCTACTGCTGCAGACTTAAACATTGCTTGAAAATCAGCTAACTCATTTTTGAAGAATTTACAAAATATTGTGTCAAGTGCAGTTGAAAGCCATATGGCACATTAGCACCTTCTGCTTTCTTTTTGTTTGTTTTGTTTTGTTTTGAGATGAAGTCTCACTCTGTCACCCAGGCTGGAGTGCAGTGGCATGATCTCAGCTCACTGCAACCTCCACCTCTTGGTTTCAAGCAATTCTCTGCCTCAGCTTCCTGAATAGCTGGGATTGCAGGTGCCTGCCACCACGCCTGGCTAATTTTTTTGTATTTTTAGTAGAGACAGGGTTTCACCATCTTGGCCAGGTTGGTATTGAACTCCTGACCTCGTGATTCACCCACCTCAGACTCCCAAAGTGCTGGGATTACAGGCGTGAGCCACCACACCCGGCCCAAGCACCTTCTGCTTTCTTGATCTCTATACTGGCAGGTGGTATTTCCAAGAATGATGCCCCCTCTCCAGGAAACGTTTGCACATGTCTGGAGACATTTTTGATTGTCACAATTGGTGGTGTTGCTGGTATCTGGTGGTAAGGAACAGTGATATGTGTTTCCTCCAAATCTCATGTTGAAATATGACCCAAATTGTTGAAGGTGGGCCGAGTGAAAGGTGCTTGGGTAATGGGGTTGGGTCTCTTCTGAATGGCTTGGTGCTTTCTCCATGATAATGAGTGAGTTCTTAGTCTTAGTACACTCAAGACCTACCTGTTTAAAAAAGACTAGTGGCCTGGCTGGTGGCTGAAGCCCGTAATCCCAGCACACTGGGAGGCTGAGGCAGGTGGATCACAAGATCAGGAGTTCAAGACCAGCCTGGCCAAGATGGTGAACTCTGTCTCTATTAAAAATACAAAAAGTAGCCGGGCATGGTGGCGGGCACCTGTAATCCCAGCTACTCAGGAGGCTGAGACAGAGAATTGCTTGAACCTAGGAGGCCGAGGTTGCAGTGAACTGACATTGTGCCACTGCACTCCAGCCTGGGCAACAGAGAGAGACTCTGTCTCAAAAAAAAAAAAAAGAATCCTTCTTCTAGTACACAGATGCATTTTAAAGGGGTCTTCTCTACTGCTTTTTCTCTCAAAATCAATTTCAGTTTGGCCTGTCTGTTCACATTTACATGAGGATCCAAATTGTTGTTTTCATAGGTAAATGAGTGACTGAGTATCCTCAGCTTCGAACAGAAAGAGCATTTTGCTCCTTGCAGCTGATAGGCACCCCTAGGTGACCGGGGGCCTCATGGGAGTATCTGGGAAGTTGACCCACCGTGATGTGTAGTGGCTCTACAGAGAACCCCCACAAAATTAGTTTTAAAAAGACTAATCCAGGAGGTGCATATGGGTGCTAGTAACTTGTGCTTTGAGCCCTCCTGGAGGTGCTTAGACCTCCGGAGGAGAAACTGAGACACATAGGAGGGCGGCAGTGACTCAGTGGTAACACACTGCGGAGTCTCTTTTGCAAGCAGCACATACTTTGACCTACTCCACAAAACCCTAGGCCACATCTCCTTTTCTCCTTTTAAGGAAACAAACAAACAAAAAAAGTGGGAACCAAATAATCTAAGAACGAGGAGAAAACCAGAAGAATGACGCCCCTTTCAGGCACTCCTTTGGTTTTATGGCACCTCTTCTTGCAAGTGTTTGTGTGACATGAACTTATATGGTCTTTTTGTGCAGAAGTACATGAAGGAAAATTCAGAGCCCAAAGGTCAGCCTGCAACTGTAAAGTTCCCAAGTTCTCTCTCTGCTTTCTTTTCTGCCTGCTTGAAGTCCACTGCTACTTTTCTAATGAGATAAAATCCACTGTTTGCAATTTCTTTTTGAAAACCAATGAGTTTCTACTAATACCTCATGATTAAAGTTCTGAAGTAAAAGCTACATGATCTTTGGTTATATGAGAATGTATGTGTGTGCTAATGTGTTTGTATACGTATTTTGTTGTGTTTTGGACACAAGGCGCTAAATTGGCTTAAAGAGTCCTCGTAAATTAAATAATAAGCCAAAATGTTTCTCAAGTTCACATGACTTAAGTAAAATCTTTAATAAGTTAGCTTTAAAAGTATTGGTAAAATAGGCCAGGCATGGTGGCTCATGCCTGTAATCCCAGCACTTTGGGAGGCTGAGGCAGGTGGATCACCTGAGGTCAGGAGTTCAAGACCAGCCTGGTCAACATGGTGAAACCCCATCTCTACTAAAACTACAAAAATTAGCCAGGCATGGTGTTGGGCACCTGTAACCCCAGCTACTCGGGAGGCTGAGGTGGGAGAATCTCTTGAACCCAGGGGGCAGAGGTTGTGGTGAGCCAAGATCACACTACTGCACTCCAGCCTGGGCAAAAGGGCAAGACTCTGTTTCAAAAAAAAAAAAAAAAAAGTATTGGTAAAATAATATTAGAAATGTCTTAAGAATTGCCAGCATACATTTTTGTTTGCATTTATTGATCAAGCAATTTCATAGTTATCCCTGCCAAATACTATTGAGGCAGGAAAATAGCAGAGGGAATTGGAGTTTGGATAAAGGGTGGAATGAGTAGGAGCAGAAGAAAGGTGAAGAGGTGGGTGCCCAAGCCTGTCATGAATGGTCTGTGTAAGTCATTAATAAGAGGATTTATGAAAAAAAAAAAACCTTTTATATTTCAAGTTGTATATAAATTAAACAGAAATTATAATGGTCTTTCTAGTGACTGGGTTTTGATCCTTAAAAAAACCACTTATAGACTAAATAATTGGATCAAAATACAAAATTTTCCTAAGGTATTGCTTTACTCTTAATATATTATTACAAGACACTATAATTTTTTTACACAAAGTTCAACTTTTATTGTGTCTTGCTGTTTTCAGCTTTCTCTCCTCTTTTAAAAGGCCTGAAATAATAACTCTATCCTTCAACTAATTTTCAGCTCCTGTAAGTTTTTCTCTTTTAGTTTCTAACTGTTGTGGCCTCATGCCAACATCAACAAAATGTTTTATCCTAGAGGTCTAAAGGAAATGTTTCCTTTCAATGTAATATTCCCCATAGGAAACAGCAGTTGCACTGGAGGAGGTCTTTTCTTTTGCCTTTAGATAACTGGCCTAATAAACAGATCTTACACTTTATCAAAATAATTCCTATGTCATTATTACTAAGTTTGGTTTGGTTAGAAAAAAACTGAAATTAAAAAATTTTTTTTTAATTAAGGTTATCACATCCATGTATTTTCTGTATGTGCTTTTTTTTTTTTTTAAAGAGAGTCTCACTTTGTCACTCAGGCTGGAGTGCAGTGGCATCATCTTGGCTCACTGCAACCTTGTCTCCAGGTTCAAGGGATTCTTGTGCCTCAGCCTCCCGAGTAGCTGGGATTACAGGCACACACCACCATGCCCGGATAATTTTTTTGTATTTTTAGTAAAGATGAGGTTTCGCCATGTTAGCCAGCCTGGTGTCAAACTCCTCACCTCAAGTGATCTGCCACCTTGGCCTGCCAAAGTGCTGGGATTACAGGTGTGAGCCACCATGCCTGGCCTGTATGTGCTTTTAAAGTCCTTGTGTCACTAAGTTACAGAGCTTTGACGTCTGGGTCTAAAAAGGACACCAAGTCCTGCTAAATCTTAAACACTGACAGCAGTTAAAGCCTCATTTTCAGACCTAATAGAAGATGCCAATCAAAATAAACTGTGTTCTTGAGACGCAGGACAAGAAAGTAAAACTATTCAACTCCTCAAGGCCCAGGGGCTATTACAGAAGAGGTGGGCACATGAAATTGCAAGAGCTTACCTGGAGAGATAAAATAAGTTCAGTTTCTCTATAAATTAACCATTGATGTCAAAGGCACACTGATGCAAGACCAGCATATGAGCCTCTTTGTCAGATTAACAAGGTTTTCTTGGAGCATTGACCCACTCCATAATAAAGATTACAATGGTAGTAAAAAGGCTTCTGGAAATCATATCTTATGGGCAAGATGATTAAAATTTTAGATTGTTTACAAAATTTTGAATAACAAATTTAATTAGCCTCATGCTCTCTTTATTAGGGATTATTGTTTGAGAAATTAAGTGTCCTCTCTCAAAAAATAATGGTTTGCACCTTTTTATGAAATCTTTGTGGTATCACTTTGGTTAAATGAAGGACTTATTTTACAATGGCCTCTGATCCTATTTTGTGATGTCAAGCACTTTAAAGTTTGTCAAATATTTTTTGTCAAACTTTAAATTGGGTCCTCATTAATCTTTTCATATTAGTTCCCTGAAGTCCGAAAGAGGCACATTAAGTTTATTTGGTATAAAAATCAAACAGAAAGCATTGTCAAATAGGAAATGGTGTTTGGCTTTCTTTGGGCTGTATTTGTATAAATATGTTATTGGCATGTGTTCCAAAATTATGAGAAACTCTTGTAACTGTGATATGACTTCATGTATGTTATTAATAATTGTAATTATTATGTAAAATTATTGTATGCCACAGAAGTAACCAAAAGTTCTAGTCAATTGTGCTTTAATAGTGGCTGTCCTAAGACTTTTTTGTCATTTATGGACAATTGTTGTCTTATTTTGATCCTCTTCACAAGGTGATTTGGCCGGGTGCAGTGGCTCATGCCTGTAATCCTAGCACTCTGAGAGGCTTAGGTGAGCAGATCACTTGAGGTAAGGAGTTCAAGACCAGCCTGGCCAACATGGTGACACCCCCTCCCTACTACTAGAAATACAAAAATTAGCTGGGCTTGGTGGCATGTGTCTGTAACCCAGCTATTCAGGAGGCTGAGGCAGGAGAATTGCTTGAACCCAAGAGGCAGAGGTTGCAGTGAGCCAAAATCATGCCACTGCACTCCAGCCGGGGCCACAAGAGCAAAACTCCATCTCAAAAAAAAAAAAAAAAAGGCTGGGCGTGGTGGCTCACACTTGTAATCCCAGCACTTTGGGAGGCCGAGGTGGGTGGATCACGAGGTCAGCAGTTCAAGACCAGCCTGACCAACAGGGTGAAACCTCGTCTCTACTAAAAATACAAAAATTAGCTGGGCATGGAGGTGGCACACGCCTGTAATCCCAGCTACTCAGGAGGCTGAGGCAAAAGAATCACTTGAACCCAGGAGGGAGAGGTTGCAGTGAGCCGAGATAATGCCACTGCACTCCAGTCTGAGCGACAGAGCGAGACTCCATCCCAAAAAAAAAAAAAAAAAAAAAAAAATTGTTGCTGATCCTTTGTTTTGTTTTCAGAGACAAGAAAACTTTTCTTATGAGCTGTTGGCAGCTGTTAACAACTGAGGAAAGTATACTCCTGTAAACAAATTTTGGTGCATATTTGTCTCTCTGCTTTTGAATTATCTGGAATTTGGAAACTATTTGTGAGTATTCATAACTTATGGCAATACAGTTATTTGCATAAGTGCAATAAGATTTTTTTTTAGCTGGTCATGGTGGCTCAAGCCTGTAATCCCAGCACGTTGGGAGGCTGACATAGGCGGATCATTTGAGCCCAGGAGTTCAAGTCCAGCCTGGCCAACATGGAAAATCCCCATCTCTACAAAAAATATGAAAATCAGCCAGGTGTGGTGGTGCATGCATATAATCCCAGCTATTTGGGAGGCTGAGGCACAAGAATTGCTTGAACCTGGGAAGTGGATGTTGCAGTGAGCCAAGATCACACCATTACACTCCAGCCTGGTTAATAGAGTGAAACCCTGTCTTGGAAAAAAAAAAAAAGTTTTCTTTTGCAACAGAATACCATCAGAGAAAATGGCTATTTTACCAAGGCTTTGACTGAAATGGTGTGCTTTCCTTTAAGGAATCAAACTTGATTCATAGAGCCCATTAAAGCCCCTTGGAAAACTAGTCTCATACCCTGCCTACAGCATCCCTATACAGGGTTTCTGACCTGTGTTAAGTAAAGAATGTCCCTTTCTGATAGGCCCAGGAACTCCAAGTTATCTTGGGACCTCAAGAGGAGAGGAATTTACCCAACTCATAGGTATTTGGTGATACATGGCAATGGCTGGGCTTGGCTTTTAAAAAGTCTTACCTGATATTCCTTTTGTGGAACAAACTTCCATCAAAGCCAATATAAAGAGTCTGTGTGAAAAATAATGATTCTTGCTGCACTTATACGTATAAACAGGCCAAGAATAATAAAGCAAATCAGTCATACCATGATTGGTCTTTAGTAAAAACAGGAAACTGGAGTGAGAAAAATTATGTTTCAAAAACTACAGTACATCTGTTGTTAGACTCTAGTCTCGCCTATTGTTTTTCAATTTTTATTATTTTCTAAAGTTTGGACTGAATTCTAACTTTTCTGGGCTACACATCTCCAAAATAATGTTTTTAATTTTTTCCCTCCTTCTTCCCCGATTTTTCTAATTTCAAATCACTAAAAACTAAGCTGTGCTTTCTTAAAGCCCTGAGAACCGAAGCTAGACAACTTAAATGTCAGAAGAAGATAGTAACAGCCTATTTACATATATAAGGCACTTTCATACCTGGCTACTGATGTATGAACTTCAGAGTAATATGGCCCATGTCAATTTTCCGAAATTGTTATTTTTCTGTTTGTTGTTTCTCTCCCTTTCTCCCCCCATTTTCTCTCCGCAGGACATGAGACTTCACAACGTGCAAAATGTGAGCTTTCCTAATAATATGGGACCTCCCTCTCTAGGAATAAACTGTCCTAGCCATGAGGGATCAGAGGAAAACTAAGAACAGAGACTCATGTTCTTCTAAAATGATTTCTCTGAAAAATTTTTAAAAAGAAAAAGGCATTAGATGGGAGAGTTAAAATCATCATTAAAAAAAACCAGGGGTGGGGGAATGTGAGAAGTCCTGGGAGGTGGAGGTTGCAGTGAGCTGAGATAACGCCACTGCACACTAGCCTGGAGGAAAGACCAAAGACTCTCTCAAAACAAAACAAAAACCTCAAATTGAATACAATATTTTATAAACTGAATTGGCCTTTTCCACATATGTTCTGGCTCCTTTGACATACATAACGTCCTGAGTTTTAACAAATTTTGTCTTGTAGTTATTGTGTAGTATGTAATATTCCAGGCCAATCTTGGAGAAGCAGGCTTGGTTATCCCTAGTATGATTTCAAGGATGTGTAGTCTGTTGTGAGAACTGGTTTTAAATTTTACCACACTGATTACATTTGTAAGGTTTCTCTCCAGTATGAATTTGGTAAAGACTGAAAACACACTACTGCTTAAAGTCCCTTTCATGTTCAGCACATTCATAGGATTTTTCTCCTATATAAATTCTCTCACTCCAAAAGCATGAACATTTGATTTTTTTTTTCTTTTTTTTGAGACAGAGTCTCGCTCTGTCGCCCAGTCTGGAGGCACGATCTTGGCTCACTGCAAGCTCCACCTCCTGGATTCATGCCATTCTCCTGCCTCAGCCTCCCAAGTAGCTGGGACTACAAGCGCCCACCACCTCGCCCAGCTAATTTTTCGTATTTTTAGTAGAGACGGGGTTTCACCATGTTAGCCAGGATGGTCTCGATCTCCTGACCTCATGATCCACCTGCCTCGGCCTCCCAAAGTGCTGGGATTACAGGCGTGAGACACCGCACCTGGCCGAACATTTGATTTTTTAAAAAGTCTTACTACATTTGTTACATTTGTAAGGTAGCTCTTCAGTATGAATACTCTGGTTTCCATTTTGATGTTCAGGTAAAAGCCTTACCACACATATTACGTTTGTGTGGTTCCTCTCAAAGTTGTATATTTTGATGTCTCGTGAGTTCCGATGCCTGGGGAAAGTCTCTGGCACATACGTGTAGATTTCCTATCAGTATAAACTCCCTTCTGTCCAGTAGGGATTGAACTCTGGTAAAGGTTTTGCCACACTCTTTTCATTTGTAAAGCATCTCTGCACTATGAATTATCTATAGATCCACAAGTTTTGATCTTTGAATAGAATTCTTGCCACACATACTGCATTTCAGTAATTTCTCTCCAATATGTATATTCTTTTTTTTTTTTTTTTTTTTTTTGGAGACAAAGTCTTGCTCTGTCGCTCAGGCTGGAGTGCAGTGGTGTGATTTTGGCTCACTGCAACCTCCACCTCCCGGGTTTAGGCAATTCTCCTCCCTCAGCCTCCAAAGTAGCTGGGACTATGGGCACATGCCACCATACCTGGCTAATTTTTTGTATTTTAGTAGAGACGGGGTTTCATTCTGTTGCCCAGGCTGGTGTCAAACTCCTGAGCTCAGGCAATCTGCCCACCTCAGCCTCCCAAAGTGCTAGGATTACAAGTGTGAGCCACCACACCCGGCCTTCTAGTATGTACATTCTTATGCCAAGTGAGTAGTGAACAATACCTTAAAACTTAGCTACATTTACTGCATGTGTAAATGTATTGGGCCATATTTGAATTGCTATAAAGAACTATCCGAGGCTGGGTAATTTATAAAGAAGTTTAATTGACTCACAGTTCTGCAGGCTTTACAGGAAACATGGTGCTGGCATCTGCTCACCTTCCGAGGAAGCCTCAGGAATGTTAAAATCATGGTGGAAGGAAAAAGGGGAGTGGGCATGTCACATGGCAAGAATAGGAGCAAGAGAGAGGAAAGTTCCATACACTTTTTTTTTTTTTTTTTTTTTTTTCTGGAGACAGGGTCTCGCTGTCACCCAGGCTGGAGTGCACTGGCACGATCTTGGCTCACTGCAACCTCTGTCTCCTGGGTTCAAGTGATCCTCATGCTTCAGCCTCCTGAGTAGCTGGGATTACAGGCATGCATCACCATGCCTGGCTAATGTTTATATTTTAGTAGAGACAACTGTTCACCACGTTGACCAGCCTGGTTTTGAACACCTGGCCACAAGTGATCTGCCTGCTCCAACCTCCCTAAATGCTGGGATTACAGGCATGACCCACCATGCCTAACGTGCCATACACTTTTAACCAACAAGATCTCAGCCAGGCGCAGTGGCTCACACCTATAATCCCAGCACTTTGGGAGGCCGAGGCAGGCAGATCACTAGGTCAAGAAATTGAGACCATCCTGGCCAACATGGTGAAACTCCATGTCTACTAAAAATACAAAAATTAGCCAGGCATGGTGGTGTGCACCTGTAGTCCCAGCTACTCAGGGAGACTGAGGCAGGAGAATCACTTGAACCTGGGAGGCAGAGGTTGCAGTGAGCCTAGATCACGCCACTGCATTCCAGCCTGGCGACAGAGAGAGACTCCGTCTCAAAAAAGCAAAACAAACAAAAAAACAAGATCTCACCAGAACTCACTATCCCAAGAAGAGCAAAAAGCGGGTGGTGCTAAACCATTCTTGAGAAATCCACCCCTGTGATCCAATCATCTCCCACCAGGCCCCACCTCCAATAAAGGGGATTAAAATTCCACATGAGATTTCAGACGGAAGTGACAAATATACAAGCTATATCAATAAGTATGAATTATTTGAACCCAGAAGTTAGGAGAACATCTAAAGGCTTTTCCACATTGAATTTTGTTTTAAGACTCTCTGCAGTATGTTTTGTCTGATGTTTAGTGAGGCCTGAGCGACTAATGAAAGATTTGCCACACTCATTACATTTATAAGGTTTTTCTCCAGAATGAATCATTTGGTGTTTGTTGAGGCAAGAAAACCGCCCAAAGGCCTTGCCACATTCAATACATTTGTATGGCTTCTCTCCAGTGTGATTTCTTTGATGGTACACCAGCTTTGACCTTTCAATAAAAGCTTTACCACATTCATTACATTTGTAAGGTTTGTCCCCAGTATGCATTTTCTGATGATTAACCAGAATTGAACGCACTCTAAAGGCTTTGCCACACTCATTACACACGTAAGGTTTCTCTCCAGTATGAATACTCCGATGACGTGCTAGTGTTGATTGATGACGAAAGACCTTGCCACATTCATTACATTTGTAAGGTTTCTCTCCAGTGTGAATTCTCCGATGCCTTGCAAGGTTCGAAGTGGAATTAAAGACCTGGCCACATTCAATACATTTGTATGGCATCTCTCCAGTATGCCTTCTCTGATGGTACGTCAGGCCTGTTATATGACTAAAAGTTCTACCACAATGGCTACATTTGTGTGGTTTCTCCCCAGTAGGATTTCTGTGATATCTTGCAAGTTTTGAACTTTGGATAAATGCCCCTCCAAACTCATTACAATTGTAAGGTTTCTCTCCAGTATGAATTATCAGATGTTTAGTGAGGCTTGAACGCTGAGTATAGGCTTTGCCACAATCATTACATTTGTAAGGTTTCTCTCCGGTATGAATTTTCCGATGACGTGCTAGGCATGAGTAGTAACTGAAAACCTTGCCGCATTCGTTACATTGAAACGGCTTCTCTCCAGTATGAATTCTCTTATGATTTGAAAGGTTTCCACTGTCATTGAAGACCTTGCCACACACATTACATTTGTAAGGTTTCTGCCCAGTATGAATTCTTAGATGACGTGCTAGGCATGAGTAGTTCCTGAAGACTGTGCCACATTCATTACATTGGAAAGGTTTCTCTCCCGTATGTATTCTCTTATGAATTGAAAGGTTTCCACTGTAATTGAAGACCTTGCCACACACATTACATTTGTAAGGTTGCTCCCCAGTATGAATTCTTAAATGTCTTACAAGGCATGAATTTTCACTAAAGACCTTTCCACATTCACCGCATTGGTAACGTTTCTCTCTGGTATGAATTATCTTATGTCGAGTGAGTAATGAGCCCTGTTTAAAGGCTTTACCACATTTATCACATTTGTAAGGTTTCTCTCCAGTATGAATTCTCCGATGCCCCACAAGATGTGAAGTCTGACTGAAGACCTTGCCACATTCATTGCATTTGTAAGGTTTCTCTCCAGTATGACTTCTCTGGTGCCTTGCAAGTTGTGAACGTTGACTGAAGACCTTGTCGCATACATCACATGTATATGGTTTCTCTCCTGTATGGATTATCTGATGTGTAGTGAGGCTGGAGCTCCGTTTAAAGGTTTTGCCACACTCATCACATTTGTAAGGTTTGTTTCCACTATGAACTGTCTGATGAGTTGCCAGGTTGGAACTTTGACTAAAGGACTTTCCACATATGTTGCATTTGTATGGTTTCTCTCCAGTGTGGATTCTCTGGTGATTTACAAGATTAGAATTCTGCCTGAAGACCTTGCCACATATATCACATTGATATGGTTTCTCTCCTGTATGGATTATCTGATGTGTAGTGAGGCATGAGCCTTGTTTGAAGGTTTTCCCACACTCATTACATTTGTAAGGTTTCTCTCCAGTGTGAATTCTCTGATGTATTGCAAGGTTATAACTTTGACTAAAGGACTTGCCACATTCATTACATTTGTACGGTTTCTCTCCAGTGTGACTTCTCCGGTGATTTACAAGATCTGAATTTTGTCTGAAGATCTTGCCACATACACCACATTGATATGGCTTCCCCCTTGTATGGACTATCTGATGTATAGTTAGTAGTGAGCCCCGATGAAAGGCTTTGCCACATTCATTGCATTTGTAAGGTTTCTCTGTAGTATGTACCATCTGATGGTTAATAAGACTTGAAGACACTCTAAAGGCTTTGCCACACCCTTTACACATATAAGGTTTTTCCCTAATGTGTGTTTTCTCAAGTTGGGTGGGTAATGACAGCTGCAAAAACTCATTCTCATATTTTTTAGAAATGTTGGTTTGGACACTAGGAAGAATTCTTTGAAGTGGTGAAACTAGGGAACTGTTATTAACTGTCTTCTCAGATTGGTTACACTCATAAATTTTCCCTTCAGTTTGAAATTTCTGCAGTTCAGTCAGACGTGACTGAAAGCTTAATGTAAGCTGATTTTCAATACATTTGTTTTCTACATCCTCTTGACTATGTTGACCTCTTTTACCATTAAGATTGTTTTTATAGGTCATTGGCACTTCTTTATAATTTATTTCACCATCTTTCCATTGAAACTCAAGGTCCTGTAGATTTTTCTGGATTTCCCTTAAGTAAAAATTTTCAACATCATAACATTCATGTCTTTCCAGCGTCACTGTTTGGCATTTTTCTCCTGTATTACTGTTCCCTATTGGTGGTAATTCCTTGGTCATACATTTAGGAAGGATACCTACAAAATATAATGAACATGGGAGTTTTTTCGTTGGTTTTTTTTTTTGAGACAGAGTCTTGCTCTGTTGCCCAGGCTGGAGTGGAGTGGCACAATCTCAGCTCACTGTGACCTCCACCTCCTGGGTTCGAGCTATTCTTCTGCCTCAGCCTCCTGAGTAGCTGGGACTACAGGCACACATCACCACACCTGGCTAATTTTTATATTTTTAGTAGAGACAGGGTTTCCCCATATTGGCCAGGCTGGTCTCGAACTCCTGACCTCGTGATCCGCCCACCTCGGCCCCACAAAGTGCTGGGATTACAGGTGTGAGCCACTGCGCCTGGCCGAACATAGATTTTAAAAATAACTAGTATTATTTGTTTTTTTTTAAATAACTACTATTCATAAATATTTTATATTGAAAACATACTACACTAAAAGTAACGTTTATACTAGACAGTTACCAAACTTTACCACAATGATCTTCTATTTTTACAAATAAAAAAGGAGTAGAATTCTTCAGTAAAGAAAGAGTAATCACATGTAATTCAAATTAATTTTAAGGAAACCTAGTTTCAAACATTCAATGACTGAAAGACTCATGTTGTGCAAACATATATTAGCACTAAAACAAGTATTTTTCCACCATGCCCCCAAATCATACATCAACTGGCAGCAAACATATGGCTCTCTCAGAAGAGAAAATAGTTATATACATATATATTTACTTCATATTTATTGTGCATGAATAAATGTCAAATTACAGCTAAATATCAACAAGTTCAACTAATTAATGTTCTATATAAATGGCAAGCTAGAATTATAAATCAAAAATAGTACTGGGAAAATGAGAAAGAATTTTTTGAAGTTATAACACTAAGTTATTTTTCTGAATACTTATTATATAAGTATTAAACCTGTTCTAAAACTACCTATTTCTGGCCGGGCGCAGTGGCTCACACCTGTAATCCCAGCACTTTGGGAGGCTGAGGTGGGTGGATCATGAGGTCAGGAGTTCGAGACTAGCCTGGCCAACATGATGAAACCCCGTCTCTACTAAAAATACAAAAATTAGCCAGGCATGGTGGTGTGCACCTGTAATCCCAGCTACTTGGGATGCTGAGGTAGGAGAATTGCTTGAACCCAGGAGGCAGAGGTTGTAGTGAGCTGAGATCGCGCCACAGCACTCCAGTCTGGGTGACAGAGCAAGACTCTGTCTCGGAAAAACAAACAAACAAACAAAAAACTATCTATTTCCATAAAAAATAGACATTTGCAACACTAACAAGCAGTGCAAGTCAGCTATATTGACTTATGTCTGCCAAAACTCGTATGTTGGGGTCCTAATCCTCAATGTAATATTACTTGGAGGTGTGAACTTTGGGAGGCAATTAGGTCACCATGGTAGATAGAATTTCAGGAACGGAATAGGAATTTGAGTAGATGTGAAAAAGCTTTTGCTTTTTGCACGGCAATCCTTCTGCCATGTGAGGACACAGAAAGAGTTAGTCATGATACACCAGGAAAATGGCCCACACCAAGAACCAAGGTGACTGGCTCTGACATGTGGACTGCTCATCACCCAGATCTGTGAAAAGTGACTTCCTGTTGTTTAAACGACCCTATCTATGGTATCTGCTATACCTAACCACATTAAGTTAAAGCTAATATGCCATCTCATTATAAACATGAAATAATGTTGATATACCTTATTAAACAAAGAAATTTGTGAGTCTTTACTATAAAACATGCAATATTCTAAGCTAGCAAACAGCACTAACTTGTTTTAAAAAATCTTAAGATAAATTATCACTATTTTACAAATAAGGACAGTAAGACTGCCCACAGGATTTATGTATCTACACCCAAATTACGAAGAAAGTAAGACATGAACCTGGGTTTCCGGGATCAAACATGTTTTTAAATAAAACTGGCCAAACAGTCAGTGCAGATAACTGGTCACTCCAAATACCAAGAGTGTGGAAAGAAATACTTCAAGAGCCAATGTGTGTTGCCAAAACATTATTCAGTCACCCTTCATGAATAACAGTATCTGAGCCATCATCCCCTGCACATATTGACATAGACAGTGTTCTCAGAAAGTTGTCAAGTGAATGAGTTACACTGAGTGTAACATGGAAGGTGAGGGAGTACTGCAATAATGGGAGTGTAAAATTAATATGCTAGTAAGTAACTGGGTAGTCCATCTGGACCAAAGTAATATGTTTGGAAGAGGCAGGGAGGAGGAAGGGCAAGAGGGGAGGGCAAAGAGTTATAAGCATGGGGCAGCAGCGTTTGTGCTTGCAGAGCTGTGGGTATATAATTGCCCAAAGAATAGTTAAAATCCTGACTTTGGAAGAAAAGAGAGATACTAATTTAGAAGTAGCGTGGTGACTCACGCCTGTAATCCTAGCACTTCGGGAGGCCAAGGCGGGCAGACTGCCGAGCTCAGGAGTTTGAGACCAGCCTGGGCAACATGGTGAAACTCCGTCACTACTAAAATACAAAAAATTAGCCGGGAGTGGTGGTGTGAGCCTGTAGTCCCAGCTACTCAGGAGGCTGAGGTAGGAGAATTGCTTGAACTCAGAAGGCGGAGGTTGCAGTGAGTTGGGTTCACGCCACTGCACTCCAGCCTGGGAGACAAAGCTAGACTCTGTCTCCATTAAAAAAAAAAAAAAAAAAAAGTACCATTATACTGACTAATACTTAAATATGGGAATTCTACTAAGGGCACAGGACAACAAGGGAAGACATTCAAAAAGGGGATAGTGTGATGATATGGGAAATGAAAGGCCAGATGCAGCATTATGAAGCTTTTTATTTGTGAGTCAACAAGGCTTCAGTCTCAGTCAAATAATGGAAGGGCTCCCAAGAAAGACAACAGAGAAAATACAAAAATACACGAGGGCAGATCTTAACTTCTAGAGCAAAATTATCCTTACCCAGGAAGACCAGGTTCCTGTAGTTCTCCAACATCACATCCCAGTACAAAGCTTTCTGCACAGGGTCCAGGGATTTCCACTCCTCCTGAGAGAATTCTATGGCTACATCCCTGAATGTCAAAGGTCCCTGAAATGAAAAACACATTTCAACATGAGCAATGGGAGAGCTCTTATCTATACATAAAATGAGAAGAGGAGAGAACTGTCACATCAATTTGATTGTGTGTTTTCACATATCCATGCAAGGCATCTGTGAGAAGGTTATGTGTCCCTAATTTAAGTTTGTTTTAAAATTCAATAGAAGATTATGATATCCCGTAAATCAGTGTAGGCTTCTCATTTTTGTGTACAATGCAAGAAATATACAAAGAAATGAACACGTGGTTATCTGTATAAGTATTAGATATTATGTTCAATATATCAACTGAGTGTCCAGATGAGCTAGTATACAAGTGGTGTCTTGGAGATGACAATGTCCATAGAAGCTTTAAAGAAAGGTCAGAAACTAAAAACTGTGATGACCACAGCAACAGCAATGACTGAAGTTTTGGAACACTCCCCATGTGCTGGGCATTACTCCAAATGCTTTACATGTTCTAATTCAAATAATAACATAATAGATAGAGAGATAGAGAGATTTGTTCCCATGTTACTAGGAGACAACTATGTCACAGAAAACGCTAAAAAGTCACCTAGGTCAACAACCTGAAAATGGCAGAGCAGGCATCTAAATCCAGATGTCTGAGAATCAGTCTTGAATCAAAAGAAACAAATGGTTAAATTATGGTTACGGTATGTCTTAGTCTCTCTGTGCTGCTGTACCAAGTAAAACAGACTGGGTAATTTATGAACAATAGAAATGTATTTCTCATGATTCTGCTGGCTGGGGAAATCCAAGATCAAGGTGCCAGCAGGACTGATGTCTGGTGAGAGATGATCCTCGCTTCCAAGATGGTCTTGTTGCTGCACAGGGGACGAATGCTGTTGTCCCCACATGGCAGAAGGGACAGAAAGGGCAAAAAGCAGTGAACTCCGTAGAATAAGCCTTTTGATATCTCATTGACGAGAACACCATACCCACTGATAAAGGCAGACTTCTCATGATCCAATCTCCTCCTAAAGGCCACGACTCATAACATTTAAAGATTAGGCACTGGGGATTAAGTTTCAACATGAATTGTGGAGGAGAAAAAAAAAAAAAACTCAGACTGTAACATTCCACCCCTGGCCCCCAAAATTGATATACTTCTCACAAACAAAATACATTCTATCCTAATGGCTCCCAAAGCTTTATTTCTACAACCAATTCAAAAGCCTATAGTCTAGAGTTGTATCTAACTATAATCTAAATCAGATATGGGTGAGACTCAAACATGCATTTCATCCAAAGGCAAACTGCTTTCTAGTTGTGAACCTATGAAAGCAAACGAGTTATGTGCTTCCAAAATACAATGGTGGGGCAGACACAGGTTAAATATTTCAATTCCAAAAGGGAGAAACAGGAAAGAAGGGGTAGCTGTTCCCATGTAAGGCTGAAACCCAACAGGGCATACACATTAAACACTAAGGCTTGACAATAATCTTTGACTCCGTGTCCCACCTTCTAGACATCCTGGAGTAGAGGTTGGGTCCCAACATCCTGGGGATCCCTGCCCTAGTGGTTTTGTTGGGATCACCCCACATGGAAGTTCTCACAGTGCCTGCAGCTCTCCCGAGCTGGAATCACATACCGGTGACTCTACAGTTTTGGGGTCTCAAAGGTGGCCCTGCTCCCAGGGCTTTACTGGACCTTATCCTAACAGGGACTCTCTGAAGTTGGCCCCACCTCCACAGCTAGACTGAGCATTGCCTTAGTGGGGACTTCCAGGGACAGCCTCACTCCTATGGCATTTTTATGCCTAGGCTCCAAGGATCTCTGAGGCATTCTTTGAAATCTAGATGGAAGTAACCGTGAGTCCACATCTCATGCCCTCTGCACACTTTTAGTTAGCACTGTGTTGATGTTGCCAAGGTTTACAGTTTGTGTGTTGTAACCGACCTCAATCCCTGGTGGACTGAACAAAGCGGGTGAACGCGGGAATAAAAGAAAAAGACAAGAGAGTATATTTGGAAGAAGGGGCCAGGGGGCATCTTGCCTCTAGTGGACAAGGGCCCTGAGCTTTTTCAGCCCTCCAAATTTATTAGGTAAAAGAGATAACCAGAAGTGGGGGTGATTGTTGGTAACTCAGTCGGCCGTTTGGATCACAGCAGGCTTGCAAGACTGCATCCTTCCAACAATAAGCTCTAGATTTCCCAGTAGATAACTTCAAGGAGCCCGGCGCCAGGGAGTGACGGCCCTCAGCAAACCTTCTGGCGGCAGGCGCAGTCGTGAGTTTGCCCACATCCTGCATTCATGGTAAACAGTTTGCTGTTTGATCATATAGCCTCCAGTGGAATGCTAAGTTGATCACGATCCCTTTGGCCTTTTTAGCTCCCAACAGTGTGTGCCCTCTGGAGTGGTGGCTGGTCCGCACCTGGCCCCACTTCAGTCATAGGTGGGGTAGCCAAGGACCTCTGCTCTGAAATACAGAGATCACAGACCTGAGGTATCAGAGTTCCGAGGTCCGAAGGGCACCCTGGGCCACTCCCTTGAAACTATTCTGCCCTCAAGGCCCTGGCACTCTGGACCTACAATGGGCACAGCAGTCTCAAAGATCTCTAAAATGCCTTTGGGATGATTCTCTGATTGTCTCAATAATCAGGTCCTGGCTTACTTCTATCCATACTAATCTCCTTGTCAGAGGCCACTTGGCTACACCCCTCTTGGTTTTCTCTCCTAAATACACTTTTAATTCTTTACATGGCCAGGCTGAGAATTTTCCAAATCTTTACACTGGGCTTTGAAAACAAACTGTTTTTAACTCATTTCTCTCTTCTCCTGTTTTACTATAAACAGGTCAGAGAAGCCATGCAGCAACCTGAACAATTTGCTTTGAGAGTGTTTCTAACAAACATCTTAGTTCATCACTCTTAAATTCTGCTTTCCACAGCCCGGGTGCGGTGGCTCACGCCTGTAATCCCAGCACTTTGGGAGGCCGAGGTGGGCGGATCACAAGGTCAAGAGATCGAAACCATCCTGGCCAACATGGTGAAACCCCGTCTCTACTGAAAATTCAAGATGAGATTTGGGTGGAGACACAACCAAAGCCTATCAACTGGTTTCTGTCTTGCCTGAATATAATCACTGAAAGGAACAGGATGAAAGGTTAGGGGCCACTGAGAAAAAAGAAGATTGACATAAACCAGTGTGTGCAGTAACACGGAAAGACACTAGGTAAGATCTAGTACCATAGGTGACTGCAGCACCAGAGTCTTCAATAGCGCAGACAGGTAACAGGGGAGCTTCTGAGTAGAAACCAGCAAACCTCTTCAATTAGGAGATGACAAGCAAAGGCTCAGAGAGGACACAATCCCCAGTCAGAAAATTATAATTGTGTGTGTGTTGTTGTTGTTTTAGATGGATCGTTCTACTGAACTCCAGCCTGGGCAATAGAGTGAAACCCTGCCACAAAAGAAGGAAAAGAAAAAGAAGGAAGGAAGGAAGGGAGGGAGGGAGGGAAGAACAAGAAAGAAGGAAAGAAAAAGTGAGAAAGAAAGAGAGTAATGGCCGGGTGCAGTGGCTCACGACCTGTAATCCCAGCACTTTGGGGAGCCAAGGAGGGCAAATCACCTGAGGTCAGGAGTTTGAGACCAGCATGGCTAACATGGTGAAATCCCGTTTCTACTAAAAATATAAAAAATTAGCCAGGCTTGGTGGTGCGTGCTTGTAATCCCAGCTACTCAGGAGGTTAAGGTAGGAGAATTGCTTGAACCCAGGAGGCAGAGGTTGCAGTGAGCTGAGATCGCACCATCGCACTCCAGCCCGGGCAACAGGAGTGAAACTCTGTCTCAAAAAAAAAAAAGAGAAAGAAAGAGAAAGGAGGGAGGGAGAGAGAGAGAGAGAGAAAAGGAAGGAAGGAAGGAAGGAAGGAAGGAAAGAAAGAGAAAGAAAAAGAGAGAAAGAAAGAAAGACTAGAGCTAAAAATAAAATAACTGAGTTGAAATAGTCACTAGATGAGTTCAACAGCTGACTTAATCAGACAGAAGAAGGAATCAGTGAACTCAAAGGGGATTTTGACAGGGAGAGAAACAAAAACTATAAAAAACAGAGAAAAATGAAGAGAGCATGAGGGGCTCATGGCAAACAATCAAGCACCAAGAACATATGTATTCTGGAAGTCCAATAAATAATGTGAATATATATAACATTACTTAACTGTAAGTAAACAAACAAGCTTTACTGAAAGGCATAATATAATCAAAGGCTGGGTTCAATGGCTCATGCCTGTAATCCCAGCACTTCTGGAGGCTAAGGCAAGCGGATGACTTGAGTTCAGGAGTTTGAGACCAGCTTGGTCAACATGGTGAAACCCCCTCTCTCTGAAAAATACAAAAAAATTAGCTGGGTATGGTGGTGAGTGCCAATAGTCCCAGCTGCTCAGGAAGCTGTGGCAGGAGGATCCCTTAAACCTGGGAGGCGGAGGTTGCAGTTGGCCCAGATCATGCCACTGCACTCCAGCCTGGGCAACAGAGCCAGATTCCATCACCAAAAGAAAGATGCATGCAAAGAAAACGTAAGCAAGAAAACCTTAGATCTAAAAGAAACATAGTATTTTATGATCACTCTGTGAGCCAGGCCTTCCAGAAAAAGATAAAGGAAAACATTTATTTATTTTTGCTTTTGTGGTATGCCATCCTAAAAGAGGCACTCACTCTTTAAACTGCCCAACCTGGAGGAAACTTCAGACATCTGTGGTAAAGATAGCATGCATACAGGCAGCCACGGTGACATTCTTTGTAACAGCAAAAAACAGTAAAAGACCCATACGTCTTCATTTAGGCACTGCTCCAAAGAGGATGCAAAACAAACTATTAGTGTTTATTAACATAAAAATATGTACACTTCAAAAACTTGCAAAACAAAACTTCACAGCAGAACATTCACTGAAGAATTGTTTTCTGAAATCTCATAATGACGTGTAAATGCAACTTGACACCTCTCACTGACTCTTGCCACAGAACTTGCAACAGTAGCTCCCCACAGAAACATGAGGGATGGTGGATGATGTGATAGGGAAAGGAACCTGGGTTCCCCCAGGTTGGGCACTTGAAAGAGTGATCGCTTCCTCTAGGATGGTGCATTTCCTGCTTTGCTAGATCTGGCAAGATTCTCCACTACCCTGAGCTGCAAAGCAGCCCTCTCCCACCAACATCACACGAGATTTCTCACTCATTTGAACAAAACCTACTACTATGTTTCTTTTAGATGTTGAAGATCTGGGGAAAATGATAACTCTTTGCATTTCCATTTTCCATTTCATTAATTTGTAGAAATCAAAATAAAATAATCTTCATTCTTTGCTCAATTTTTTTTTACTGCATTCTAGCAGCCATTTCATATTCTGTAGTTAAATTTTCAGAATATATATGCCTTAATGTCCTTTTTTTATTTTTATTTTTATTTTTGGAGACAGAGTCTAGCTCTGTCACCCAGGCTGGAGTGCAATGGTGCAATCTCAGCTCACTGCAACCTCTGCCTCCTGGGTTCAAGGGATTCTCCTACCTCAGCCTCCCGAGTAGCTGGAACTACAGGCATGCGCCACCACGCCAGGCTAATTTTTGTATTTTTAGTAGAGGTGGGGTTTCACTATGTTGGCCAGGCTGGTCTCTAACTCCTGACCTGGTGATCCGCCTGCCTCAGCCTTCAAAAGTGCTGGGATTGCAGGCATGAGCCACTGCGCCTGGCCAATGTCCTTTTTTAAGATTATAAATTTTTTTTTAGCATAAAACTGAAATGTTTCCTTGATGCCCCATGTTTTATGTTTGCTTATAAATTTTATGGTATATATAAGGTATACAACATGATATTACAGTATAGATAGTAAAAAAAGTCACTATGGTTTAACAAATTAACATATCCATCATCTCAGAGGTACCTTTTTTTTTGACAGGAACAGCTAAAATCTAACATAGCATGAATTTCATATATAATAAAATATTATTTTCCTATCATCTTCATGTTGTACCAACTTCTTTTTTTTTTTTTTTTGAGACGGAGTCTCGCTCTGTCGCCCAGGCTGGAGTGCAGTGGCACGATCTCGGCTCACTGCAAGCTCCACCTCCTGGGTTCATGCCATTCTCCTGCTTCAGCCTCCCAAGTAGCTGGGACTACAGGCCCCCGCCACCACGCCCAGCTAATTTTTTTTTTTTTATTTTTTAGTAGAGACGGGGTTTCACCTTGTTAGCCAGGATGGTCTCGATCTCCTGACCTCGTGATCCGCCCGCCTCGGCCTCCCAAAGTGCTGGGATTACAGGCGTGAGCCACCGCGCCCGGCCTGTACCAACTTCTTAATGCCTCAACTGCATCTCTGCTTGGACTTTTACTGCAAACAAATATATTATGTGATGTTTAAAATAAAAGAAATATGATGTTCAGTAATAACTGGTGGAATGAGAGAATTTGGCTCCATCTTCTCTAATAACAAAGGAGTTCTGCTCCTACATCTGAGCAAAATTATAACCTTTTTACATAAAACAACTGCGAAGAGTCCCAGCATGAACACCGCAGTCTCTGTGGGACGGATACAGTGACAATGGCTAAAAGAATCTGACATTCAGGTTGATTTTATATTTTAAAATCAATGATGGGCCAGGCACGGTGGGTCACACCTGTAATCCCTGCATTTTGGGAGGCCGAGGCGGGAGGATCACCTGAGGTTGGGAGTTCTAGACCAGCCTGACCAACATGGTGAAACCCCATCTCTACTAAAAATACAAAAATCAGCCGGGCGTGGTGGCGCATGCCTGTAATCCCAGCTACTCAGGAGGCTGAGACATGAGAATCACTTGAACCAGGGAGGTGGAGGTTGCAGTGAGCCGAGATCACACCATTGCCCTCCAGCCTGGGCAACAAGAACGAAACTCCGTCTCAAAAAAAAAAAAAAAAAAAAAAAAATCAATGATAAAATAAACACCCTCTATCACTGACGTGTGTATCTAATTGTCCATTCCATTCCCAGTCATTAAGATTTTGAAGTTAGAAACAGTGATTAATTCATACACCTTCAAATGTAGTATAAAATTAGGCAGAAAAGATCTCCCCTCATAGGTCTCTTTTCCAGAATTTATGAGGTATCGTGCACATTAATATGTGACTTCCGTGTGCAGCTTCTCTACTTCTGGTCTACAGAGAGCTGACTGCATCCTGATTTTGCCTCTAAACAATCTCTGCTGCCAACAGCTCTGACATTGTGGGGCCCATACCCCGTCTCCATCCGTGTCTGGGTGTGAGTCTCTCCCAGGACCATGCCCAGTGGAGCCTCTTCCCAAGTTAATGTCACTGGGTCGCAGTGAGATAGAAGCTAAATGAGATGAGAGAAACTGAGGGAAGGCATGGGTGAATGGCAGCAAACGTGTCAGGCAGGATGCTTCAGACTCAGAGGAGATTCGCAACTCCAATGTGTCGCATTTCAAAAAGGAAGGAGACAGAATGATCCACTAAGAATATCATTTTACCTGTGTAAGAGCCATCCCTGACTCCTTTTCTTTCCTCTTCTTCCTCTTCTGGGCTTCTCTCTCAGTCAATATAATTAATTCTTTACAAGTCAAATCTGAAAGTGAAAAATCTGTTGTTTAATGCTTGGAAACAACACATTCCTTTCTGCGCTACAACCATGCCCACAGGGAAGACCTCAGCATGTGGAGAGACAGCCCACTGCACCAGGGGGATGCAAGGATAATAAATTCCTAAACAAAGACCAAGTGTCCTGGCATGGTGGCTCACGCCTGTAATCCCAGCACCTTAGGAGGCAGAGGCGGGCAGATCAACTGAAGTCAGGAGTTTGAGAGCATCCTGGCCAACACAGTGAAACCCTGTCTCTACTAAAAATACAAAAATTAGCCGGGTGTGGTGGCATGCACCTGTAGTCCCAGCTACTCAGGAGGCTGAGGCAGGAGAATTGCTTGAACCTGGGAGGCAGAGGTTGCAGTGAGCCGAGATCATGCCACTGTGCTCCAGCCTGGGTGACACAGCAAGACTCCATCTCAAATAAATAAATCAATCAATAAAAATAAAAAAGAAAATGTATGATGTGTCTGTATACATATCTTTATGTGTACGTGTATTTATATAGATATATATAGTATGCGTACATATGTATAATGGACTTATTCAACCATCAAAAAGAAGAAAATCCTGCTATTTGCAACAACATGGATGAACCATGCAATCTCCGCCTCCCAGGTTCAAGCGATTCTCCTGCTATTTGCAACAACATGGATGAACCTGGAAGACATTACGCTAGGTGAAATAAGACAGACACTAAAAGACAATTACTGTATGACCTCACAAGCAGAATTTTAAAGTATCCAATTCATAGGAACAGGGTAGAACAGTTGTTGCCAGGGGCTGGTGGTGGGGAGAATGGAAAAATGTTGGCCAAAGCGTATAAACTTTCAGTTATAAAATGAAGAAGTTCAGGGGAATCTAACGTACACCGTGGTGTCTATACTGTATTGGACACTTTAACAGTTTGGAAAGTTTTTGAAAAATTTAATGAGTTATAGGGTGAAAGTTTAAAAAAATGACAATACTTAACATTTAGAAATGAATGACGTCAGCTGATTATAGGATGCCACCAAATCTTATTTCAGAAGTCAGTAATTATTTATAGAAAGGCAGATATTGAATAAACTAACACTTATCTCAAGCTTCCAAAATAACGATGAATTAAGTGGAACTACAAAGAAAAAAGTAGGCCAGGCGCAGTAGCTCACACCTGTAATCCCAGTACTTTAGGAGGCCGAGGCCGGCAGATCACCTGAGGTTGGGAGTTCAAGACCAGCCTGACCAACATGGAGAAACTCTGTCTCTACTAAAAATACAAAATCAGCCAGGCGTGGTGGCACATGCCTGTAATCCCAGGTACTCGTGAGGCTGAGGCAAGAGAATCACTTGAACCTGGGAGGCGGAGATTGCAGTGAGCCGAGATGGCACCATTGCACTCCAGCCTGGGCAACATGAGCGAAACTCCGTCCCAAAAAAAGAAAAAAGCAAATCCATTACCAAAAAAAAATAAGACTCTGAATACTCATACAAAGATATACCTCGTAGGCCTGGCGTGGTGGCTCCCGTCTGTAATCCCAGCACTCTGAGGCAGAAAGACTGCTTGAGCCCAGGAGGTTGAGGCTGCAGTGAGCGGAGATCATGGCACTGTACTCTAGTCTGACAGAGCAAGACCCTGTCTCAAAAAAGAAAAAAAAAAAAAAAAGACATACCTTGTAGTGACAGTGACAGTCATTTATCGCCCCATTTCTCAGTTACTCTATCCTCTACCCCATCCCAGGGAAGAAAAGAGTTACCACGAATGACTTAATTTAAATGCTCTCTGGCTAAACAGAAATTCCAAATATCTTTTGATACAAATAAATACAAAATGCACAAGCCTTACAGAAAAGAGTGGTAATTTTCATCCTCACGAGTACAATTTAAAGAAATGAATTTTAAATTAGAGTATAAAGTCACAAATTAGAATATTACAACCACCATCCATATCCAATCAACTCATCGCTCATCTGGATGGGGTCCTCTCCCACTTTCTTCACTATTGTGTGTGTCCCTCTCTCATTCTGCACCTTTCCTCCCCTTTTCTGTTTTTCTCCTCTTTATGTCTGTTCTGCCCGATGCTCTGCAACTTACTTCACCTCTCGTAGCTCTTTCTCCCCAATCTTTCTGATTGTCCCCAATCTCCACGTATTTCCGCCTCTTTTTCCCCATCTGAGCTCCCTCTCTGCTCTCCTTGTTAAAATTCCCTCTTACCTGTTACACCTCCTTTGTTCCCACTCTCTAGCACCCCCAACTCCCTAGGCTTCCTCCCTGCTGTGGTTCTCCCTCTACTCTGCTTGTCACCCACTGCCCTCTCTCCCTCTCTTTCAGTCCCAGCACCACGTAGCTCTGTCGGCTGCGGCTCCAACTCTTTCACCTTCTCCCCACTGTCTGTCTGCAGTGCCTCCTCCTTTGCCGCCCCACTCTATTTTGCTGCCTTTCATCTCTCTGAAGGTCCCCCTTTTTTTCTAAATTTCTCTGTGTGCTTTCCTCCCCCTGCTTCTTTCTCCATTCGTTCTCTTTCACTCTTGCTGTCTCTTTGCAAATCCCTAAATTATCATCCATTTTGCCGTGTATTTATGGGTCTCCCTCATTCTCTTCTATTCGGTCTTTCCTTTTGCTCCGTCGCTCCCCTTCTTTTCCTCTCCTGATCCCTCTCACCCACACATTCAGTAAGAAAGGGGAGGAATAGGATGCCCACCTCCCGGAAAAGCATATTTTCCAGTGGAGTAAAATTTGGGAAGGAAGAACACTGGGTGTCACAAGACTCAGGTGACCTCCCCCAAGGGGGGGATCGAGAAAAGCAGTGGCTGTGAAGGGGAAGCCTGGGGAGCGAAAGGACCCGGCGTGAGGAGGACACAAGGTGGCAGGGGGTACGGTGTCTCAGGACAGGGAGGGTCTGCAGAATCCCAGGACCTGGGAGGAGAAGCGACTCCTTCAGGAGCCGGACGGCGGGCGCTCCCCTCCAGGGGCTGACGACGGAGAAGCTCCGGGGTCGCAACGGGCGGGAATCCACCTCCCGAGTGAGGACTCGACTTGGCGCAGGGCCGAAGCAGAGGTCAGTAAGGGTTTTAAGCAGGAACACGACCTGAGTGGGGTTGTCTACATGGTCCTAAGGCAGAAAGGCAGGGAGCAAGGAACAGCCTCAGAGAGATTTTTAAACCGAAAGGGAAGCAATTATCAGACTTACTTGGGGCGAAGGGGCTGTTGCTGGTATTTTAAGGTCCGTAGCGATCCCCAGGAAACGGGTATGGACAAGGGAAGACTGCCAAGTGCACGTTCGATTCAGGCAGACGGGGCGAAGCAAATGTTTAGTCCAGGTAGACGGAAACTGACGCGCAGCGCTGTGATCTTTTCCCCGCGCGATCTGCTTCCGGGTGTGCAGGAAGCTACACGCCCTGAGAAAAAAGACTGAGAGACCTGGGGCGGGAGAGGGGCCTGGGCGGGGTGCGACCCGCAAGGGAAAGGGCAGAAAGACTGGCCAGATTTGGGAACCCTGAAAGGGTGGGGCAAGGCTGATGCGGTAGTGGGCGGGGCCAGGTGGGCTAAGCGGGACGGGCGGTGTGGGCGGGACCTGTTTGGTGGGCGGGGCCTGTTATTCGCTCTGCCTTCCACCCAGCAAGTCTTTGTTCTCCCGATTTAGGAGTATTTGTGACTATTTCTTGTCCTGTGAAGCAGCGTTGCTTCCTGCCTATTTTAAGTTAATGTTTTAGACTTTAAGGTCAAAGCTTAAAGTTGTGGTCCACTTCTGTTGGAAACTAAGATGTTTTCTTCTTGTCAAGTTGAACTGATTTAAGTCAAAATCGATTTTTGCGAGCCTGGTGGACTCCATCGGGTCTTGCCAGTGAGGCTGAAGCCAGTTAAGGCTGAAGTTACTCAGTAGTCAGGGAACTAGGATCTCCGTGAAGATCTGATGTGCAGCCGTGGCTGGATCCAGGAACCCTGAAGACATTATGCTAAGCGAAATGTGCTAGACACAGAAAGACAAATCCTGCATGTGCTTACTTACATGTGCAATCTACAAACATCAAAATTACAGTAACAGAGTAGAAGGGTGGTTTCCAGGGCTGACGGTCTATCCTGTGCCTGTCCCACCATTGTATTTTGGAAGCAAATAGCTTCTTTGGCTTCACAGTTTCACAGCTGGACAGAAATTTTGCCTCAGGATGAACCACACTTTGAGTCTCACCCATATGTGATTCAGATAATATTTGGGTAATATTTGGGCCTTAGAGTTTGATACTGAAATGGATTAAGACTTTTGAAATGGGCCAGGAGCAGTGGCTCTGGCCTGTAATCCCAGCTCTTTGGGAGGCCAAGGTGGAAGGATTGCTTGAGCTCAAGAATTCAAGACCAACCTGGGGCAACATAGTAAGACCCTTGTCTCTACAAAAAATACAAAAATTAGCCAGGCATGGTGGCTCACGCCTATAGTCACAGCTATTTGGGAGGCTGAGGTGGGAGGATCTCTTGAGCCCAGGGGATCAAGGCTGCAATGAGTTGTCTTTGCACCACTGAACTGCTGCCAGGGCAACAGAGTGAGACTCTGTCTCAAAAAATAATAATAATAAGACTTTTGAGATGTTAGGATGGGGGTGAAGGGATCTTGCATGTGAGAAGGACATGAATTTTGGGAGTCCAGAGTACAGAATGTTATGAGCTGAATCACGTCCCTAAAAAATCATTGTTGGCCAAGCGCGGTGGCTCATGCCTATAATCCCAGCACTTTGGGAGGCCGCGGCGGGCGGATCACAAGGTCATGAGATCGAGACCATCCTGGTTAACACGGTGAAACCCTGTCTCTACTAAAAATGCAAAAAATTAGCCGGGCGTGGTGGCGGGTGCGTGTGGTCCCAGCTGCTCCGGAGGCAGAGGCAGGAGAATGGCGTGAACCCAGGAGGCGGAGCTTGCAGTGAGCCGAGATCCAGCCACTGCACTCCAGCCTGGGCGGCAAAGCGAGACTCTGTCTCAAAAAATAAATAAATAAATAAAATAAAATAAATCATTGTCTTTAAGTTCTAACACCCAGTACCTCAGAATATGACTGTATTTTGAAATAGGGCATTTAGAGGCTATTAAGTTAAACTAAGCTTGTTAGAATGGGCTCTGATGCAATCTGACTGATGTTTTGATAAGAGGAAATTTGGCTGGAAGCAGTGCTTCATGCCTGTAATCCCAGCACTTTGGGAGGTCAAGGTGGATGGATCACTTGAGCTCAGAAGTTTGAGACCAGCCTGGCCAACATGGTGAAACCCCATCTCTACTGAAAATACAAAAATTAGCCAGGTGTGGTGGCGCATGCCTTTAGTGCCAGCTACTCGGGAGGCTGAGGCAGGAGAATTGCTTGAATCTGGGAGGCAGAGCTTGCAGTGAGCCGAGATCGCGCCACTGCACTCCAGCCTGGGTGACAGGGTGAGACTCTGTCTCTTAAAAAAAAAAAAAGAAAAATTAGCCGGGTGTGGTGTCACGCACCTGTAATCTCAGCTACTTGGGAGGCTGAGGCAGGAGAATCGCTTGAACCCGGGAGGCGGAGGTTGCAGTGAGCCAAGATCGTGCCACTGCCCTCCAACCTAGGCTCAAAAAAAACAGTGTGTGGCACCTCCCCATTCTCTGTCTTCCTCCTGTCTGGGCATGTGAAGTACTTGCCTCCCCTTCACCTTCTGCCATAATTGTAAGTTTTCTGAGGCCTCTCCAGAAGCCAAGCAGATGCCAGCATCATGCTTCCTGTACAGCCTGCAGAGCCATGAGCCAATTAAACCTCTTTTCTTTATAAATTACCCAATCTCAGGTATTTCTTTATAGCAATGTGAGAACAAACTAATACACTGGCACTACAGGCATGTGCCACCACACCTGACTAATTTTCAAATTTTTTGTAGAGATAGGGTTTCACGTTGTTGTCCATGCTGGTCTTGAACTCCTGGGCTCAAGTGAGCCTCCTGCCTTGGCCGCCCAAACTGTAAAGTAGATAAAATTTAAAAAATGTATATTTTTCCAAGGCCGGGGGCTGTGGCTCACACCTGTAATCCCAGCACTTTGGGAGACTGACGGGGGCTGATCACGAGGTCAGGAGATCGAGACCATCCTGGCTAACATGGTGAAACCCCGTCTCTACTAAAAATACAAAAAATTAGCCAGGCGTGGTGGCACGCACCTGTAGACCCAGCTACTTGGGAGGCTGAGGCAGGGGAATCGCTTGAACCTGGGAGGTGGAGGTTGCAGTGAGCCGAGATCGCGCCACTGCACTCCAGCCTGGGGACAGAGTGATACTCCGTCTTAAAAAAAAAAATTTCCTTCAGATGAGTAGGTAATTAAGTAAGAAAGAAATATAAATCTTAAAAAAGGGCTGGGCATGGTGGCTCACGCCTGTAATCCCAGCACTCTGGGAGGCTGAGGTGGGTAGATCACCTGAGGTCAGGAGTTCAAGACCAGACTGTCCAACATGGTGAAACCCAGTGTCTACCAAAAATACAAAAATCAGCCCGGCATGGTGGTGGGCGCCTGTAATCCCATCTACTCAGACTGAGGCAGGAGAATCTCTTGAACCCAGGACAGGAAGGTTGCAGTGAGCTGAGATGGCACCATTGCACTCCAGCCTGGGCGACAGAGCAATACTTCGTCTCAATAAATAAATACTATTTTTCCTTCCTCGAGAAACTCAAAGAAGGCTGATCTGTATGTGATCCGCAATTGACTTTTCAGTCAGTGGTCCTTTGCTGTGACCCACAGGAGTGTGACATTCTATGGATGGATTCTTCTCCCTGAGACCAGAACTTCATCTTTTGCATATGATCAGAGGCTTTTAGAGGCTCTGCATTACTTTTCGGATCAACACCATTACACAAGTTTAGCCTAGAGACAGCTGACGTGGGAAGGTATCTTATGAACAAATACTGTTGCACTCGGCTCTCTTGCAGGGATCTTGCTGCCCCTTAATAATTTCCTCCAGGGCCACTGAAAGACGCTAGAATTTTTCCTAGATCTGTCTCCCACACATACATAGATTGGAATTTTTGGATAAAAGCTCTGTTTAGGCCGAGCTCGATGGCTCATGCCTGTAATCCCAGCAGTTTGGGAGGCCGAGGCAGGCGGATCCCTTGAGGTCAGGAGTTCAAGACCAGCCTGGCCAACATGGTGAAACTCCGTCTCTACTAAATAAAAAAATACAAAAATTAGCCAGGCGTGGTGGTGCATACCTGTAATCCCAGCTACTCGGGAGGCTGAGGCAGGAGATTCTCCTGAACCCAGGAGGCAGAGGTGGCAGTGAGCCAAGATTGTGCCACTGCACTCCAGCTTGGGTGACAGAGTGAGACTCTGTATCAGAAAAAAAAACAACAACAACAAAAAACCTCTGTGTATCACTCTGAGCCCCGCCCAACCTGTATCTCTAGAAGGATGATATTCTCTGAGGAGACAGATCTTAGGTGTCTCTTTGCACTGATGTTATTGATTTAGCAAGGAAAACAAATAGGCAAATATCAGTTTATGCTGGTGATGGGATCTAGTGATCTCTTACTTGACTTGGGTCTCTGATTTACTCAAATAATGATAAAAATTGATTCTCCTCTAGATGGCAGAAAAACAAGAGGAGCTCCAGCCCACACAGGAGGTAGAAAGTAGAATCTATGCCACGTGGAGTCCAGTTTGAGTTCAGCCATAGGCACTGAGTGTCCTCCCACAAAGAAATGGCTCTCTATTATTTGAAGGGCACTCTTGTTGGCACTGCTGCCTGGAGCTACTGGACACTGAGAGCGTGCATCTCAGACCAGAGTTCTAGGCCTGCATCACAGAGCGACGGAACAGCACAAAGGTTCTTTAGTGCGGAGAAGAGATAAAAAGGAGAAGGTGAGCCCTGACCCTCCTCCCACCATCCAGTCTAGCCAACCCCAGCAAATGTCTGAAACCAACCCAATCCCTTCACTGTTCTTTTTCCTTTTTCTTTTGAGACAGGGGTTTACTCTGTTGCCCAGGCTAGAATGCTGTGGCACGCCCAGGCTAGAGTGCTGTGGCACGATCACGGCTCACTGCAGCCTCAACACCTCCAGGCTCAAGTGATCCTCCCACCTTAGCCTGCCAAGTAGCTGGGACTCTGGGACTACAGGTGCACAACACCACGCCCAGCTAATTTTTGATTTTTTATAGAGACGGTCTTACTATGTTTCCCAGGCTGGTTTCAAACTCCAGGGCTCAAGCTATCTAGCCACCTCAGCCTCGAAAAGTGCTGGGATTTATAGGTGTGAACCACCATGCCCAGCCCACTGTTCTTTTTTTAAACTCTAAAAAATATTATATCTTTTAGCTTTTTCTCTTTCCTTTCTTTTTTAGACAGGGTCTTGCTCTGTCACCCAGGCTGGAGTGCAGTGGTATGATCACCACAGCATTGACATCCCGGCCTCAGGCGATCCTCCCACTTCAGCCTCCCAGTAGTTGGGACTACAGGCATGCGCCGCCACACCTGTTGGGAGCCGAAAAGGCCAAAGGGATCATGACCAACTCAGCGTTCCGCTGGAGACTATATTATCAAACTGCAA
The DNA here is from genome assembly GCF_000001405.40 of Homo sapiens. NCBI lineage: Eukaryota > Metazoa > Chordata > Mammalia > Primates > Hominidae > Homo > Homo sapiens. The sequence goes on from NC_000019.10 coordinate 52,176,677, forward strand.
ACTGTTTATCATGAATGCAGGATGTGGGCACACTCACACTGCCCTGCCACCAAAAGGTTTGCTGAGGGCCTCACTCCCTGGCACCGGGCTCCTTGAAGTTATCTATTGAGAAATCTAGCACCTATTGTTCGAAGAATGCAGTCTTGCAAGCCTGCTGTCAATCAAACTGCTGACCGACAACCCCCCACCGCTCTTGCTATCTCTTTTGCCTAATAAATACGGAGGGCTGTGTAGGAGGACTGTGTAAAGCTCAGGGTCCTTGTCCACTAGAGGCAAGTGCCCCCTGACCCCTTCTTCCAAATATACTCTCTTGTCTTTGTCTTTTATTCCCTCGTTCACCCTCCTTTGTTCAGTCCCCCTAGGTCCGTGCCGGCTACACACACCTAGTTAATTTTTTTTTTTTCCTGTGGAGATGAGGTTCCACTATGTTGCCTAGGCTGGTCTCAAACACCTGGGTTCAAGGGATCCTTCCGCCTCTGTTTCCTAAACTGCTGGGATTATAGGCGTGAGCCACTTGCATGTGGTCCCTTCACTCTTCTCTAAGCCTCCATCTATTCCATTTCCATCCCCTCATCATATCAAACATACCCTTTGGGCCGGGCACGGTGGCTCACACCTGTAATCCCAGTACTTTGGGAGGCTGAAGATGGGCAGATCACTTGAGGTCAGGAGTTCGAGACCATCCTGGGCAACATGGTGAAACCCCATCTCTACTAAAAATACAAAAATTAGCTGGGTGTGGTGGTGCACACCTGTAGTCCCAGCTACTCAGGAGACTGAGGCAGGAGAATCACTTGAACCTGGGAGACAGAGGTTGCAGTGAGCTGAGATTGCCCCACTGCACTCCACTTGGGCAACAGAGCAAGACTCTGTCTTAAATAAATAAATAAATAAATATAAAAAACATATACCTTGGTAAAACTTTATTTATTCCACATGTAACTGAGATCTCATATGAGTCTAGCATCACTCTTAGAGAGCTAGACTTTAACCTCATTAATCTATCATCCTGAAAGTCCATCGTTTTCCCACAAATGTTTGCTAATTCCCAGGGATTTATACTCTCAGGATCTACTATGTCCTCTATTCAAGCTTTCTTGTAAAACTTGTCTTTGCTTTAAATTAACACAGCTTTTCTTTCTAGTAGCCCCCAAAAAACCACATTCACAGAAAAGCCTCACTTAGCCATTTGGCCTTTTTTTATTCATTTTTATTTTGAGACAGAGTCTCACTCTGTCACCCAGGCTGTGGTGCAGGGGTGGATCATAGCTCACTATAGCCTCAAACTCCTGGGCTCAAGGGATCCTCCTACCTTAGCCTTCTGAGTAGGTAGGATTACAGATGTATGCCACCAGGCCCAGTGTCAGGCCTCTGAGCCCAAGCCTGCATGTATACATCCAGATGGCCTGAAGCAACTGAAGAATCACAAAAGAAGTAAAAATGGCTAGCTCCTGCCTTAACTGATGACATTACCTTGCGAAACTCCTTCTCCTGGCTCAGAAGCTCCCCGACTGAGCGTCTTGTGACCCCCGCCCCTGCCCACAAGAGAACAACCCCCTTTGACTGTAATTTTCCACTACCTACCCAAATCCTATAAGACTGCCCCACCCCATCTCCCTTCTCTGACTCTCTTTTCGGACTCAGCCCACCTGTACCCATGTGATTAAACATCTTTACTTATTATTATTTTTTTTTCCCCGAGATGGAGTCTTGCTCTGTCACCTAGGCTGGAGAGCAGTGGCGTGATCTCGGCTCACTGCAACCTCCGCCTCCCGGGTTCAAGCCATTCTCCTGCTTCAGCCTCCCGAGTAGCTGGGATTACAGGTACCCGCCATCACGTCCGGCTAATTTTTTGTATTTTGTATTTAGGGGTTTCACCATGTTAGCCAGGATGGTCTCGATCTTCTGACCTTGTGATCCACCCGCTTTGGCCTCCCAAAGTGCTGGGATTACAGGCGTGAGCCACTACGCCCAGCAAAAAGCTTTATTGCTCACACAAAGCCTGTTGGTGGTCTCTTCACACGGACGCCCTTGACACCCAGCTAGTTTTTTTGTTTTTTGTTTTGTTTTGTTTTTGGAGACAGGGTCTCGCTCTGTCACCCAGGCTGGATTACAATGGTGGGATCATAGCTCAACCTCCTGGGCTCAAGTGACACTCCTGTCTCAGCCTCCTGAGTAGCTGGGAACACAGGCACACACCACCATGCCTGGCTAATTTTTGAATTTTTTTGTGGAGACGAAGTCTCACCATGTTGCCCAGGCTGTTCTCAAACCCCAGGGTCAAGTGATCCTCCTGCCTTGGCCTCTCAAAATGTTGGGATTACAGGCATGAGCCACCATATTGGGCCTTTTTTTTAAGAGAGAGATGGGGTCTTACTATGTTGTCCAGGTTGGCCTCAAACTTCTGGCCACAAGTGATCCTCCTGCCTTGGACTCTCAAACAGTTGGGATTACAGGTGTGAGCCACCGTGCCCAACCCTGGCCTTTATTAAAGACACTGCATGGCTGACACACAAGGAAAGAGATGCCATCCAGCTCCATGGGAAACAGTTTCGTAACCTTATTGTAATTATTTTTCTTCCAGTCCCTTCTGGGCTGCTCTTGCATTGGGGGCTTGAAGCTCTTCCCTTCTACCTGTGCAGCCCCTTACCCTGCTGTCCTGCTCTTCTCTGTCCTGGTTCCTCTCTCCCTCAACATTTTATGTTCTCCATCTATATAGGTCAATTTTCTCCCAAATCTATTCTCCAATTTGTACACTTAAACTCATTTTGATTTGGAGAATGTGAGTCTTCCCTTTAACATAATTGTGTCCCTTATGAGAGCAGTTAGTTTTAAATGGCAACATTATTTTGTTGCTTTAAGTTTTTTTTTTTTTTTTCCTAGGAATCTTAGCTCTGCAGGGTTCTTTGAGCTTTTAAAAACTACTTTATGGCCGGGCACGGTGGCTCATGCCTGTAATCCCAGCACTTCGGGAGGCCGAGGCGGGTGGATCACGAGGTCAGGAGATCGAGACCATCCTAGCTAACATGGTGAAACCCCGTCTCTACTAAAAATACAAAAAATTAGCCAGGTGTGGTGGTGGGCGCCTGTAGTCCCAGCTACTCCAGAGGCTGAGGTAGGAGAATGGTGTGAACCCGGGAGGCAGAGCTTGCAGTGAGCTGAGATCATGCCACTGCACTCCAGCCTGAGCGACAGAGCGAGACTCCGTCTCAAAAAAAAAAAAAAAATGCTTTATTAGGCTAGGTCTGGTGGCTCATGCCTGTAATACCAGCATTTTGGGAGGCCTAGGTGGCTGGATCACCTGACGTTGGGAGTTCGAGACCAGCCTGACCAACACAGTGAAACCCCATCTCTACTAAAAATACAAAATCAGCCAGACGTGGTGGCACATGCCTGTAATCCCAGCTACTTGGCAGGAGAATTGCTTGAACCCATGAGGTGGAGGTTGTAGTGAGCTGAGATCATGCATTGCTCTCCAGCCTGGGCAACAAGAGCAAAACTCCACCTCAAAAGAGAAAGACAGAAAGAAAGAAAAACTACTTTATTGAGGTATGATTGACATATAAAAAACTGTAGATATTTAATGTATACAACTTCACGTGTTTGGAAATAAGTATACATCCTTGAAACTATTATCACAACTAATGCCATAAACTTATCAATTGCCTCCAAAAATTCCCTTCCAGTTCATTTCTTCACTCCGCTTTGGTTTTGTTTGTCCTTTTGTGATAACATAAGATCTTATATAAGACCTACCCTTTCAGCAAAGTTTTAAATGTACAACGCCGTATTTGTTAATCATGTGCCCTATGTTGTACGGTAGGCCTCCAGAACTTGTTTATCTTGCAGGACTGAAACTTTGTACACTTTCCTTTTTGTTTTTGTTTTTTTGCTTTTTGCTTTTTTAATTTCCCCATGAAATTAAAAAAAAAAAGTTTCTCTTCATGAGAAACTTTGCACACTTTGACCAACACCTTTTCATTTCCTCCCACCTCTCAGCCTCTTGCAACCACTATTCTGCTTTCTGCTTCTGTGTGTTTGACTATTTTGGATTCCACATATAAATGAGGTCATACGGCCGGGCGCGGTGGCTCACGCTCCTAATCCAAGCACTTTGGGAGGCCGAGGCAGGCAGATCACAAGCTCAGGGGTTCAAAACCAGCCTGGCCAACATAGTGAAACCCAGTCTCTACTAAAAATAAAAAAACAAAATTAGCCGGGCATGGGGGTGGGCGCCTGTAGTCCCAGCTACTCAGGAGGGCAGGAGAATGGCGTGAACCCAGAAAGCAGAGCTTGCAGTGAGCTGAGATCGTGCCACTGCACTCCAGCCTGGGTGACAGAGCGACACTCTGTCTCAAAAAAAAAAAACATACGAGATCATATGTTATTTGTCTTTCTGTGTCTGTCTTATTTTACTTTGCATAATGTCCCTTAGGTTCGTCCAAGTCATCACAAATGACAAGATTTCCGTTTTTTTCCTTTTTATTTGAGACGCAGTTTCACTCTGTCGCCCAGGCTGGAGCGTAGTGGTGCGATCTTGGTCCACTGCAACTTCGACCTCCTGGGTTCAAGCAACTCTTCTGCCTCAGCCTCCCGAGTAGCTGGGATTACAGGTGTGCACCACCATGCCCAGCTAATTTTTTTGTATTTTTTTAGTAGAGATGCGGTTTCACCATGCTGGCCAGGCTGCTCTCGAACTCCTGACCTCATGTTCTGCCCGCCTTGGCCTCCCAATGTGCTTGGATTACAGGCGTGAGCCACTGTGCCTGGCCTGTTTTTTTTGAGACGGAGTTTCACTATTGTCACCCAGGCTGGAGTGCAATGTCCCTATCTCGGCTCACTGCAACCTCCAACTCCTGGGTTCAAGCGATTCTCCTCCCTCAGTCTGCCGAGTAGCTGGGATTAGAGGCACCCACCAACATGCCCGGCTAGTTTTTTGTATTTTTAGTAGAGACGGGGGTTTCACTATGTTGGCCAGGCTGGTTTTGAACTCCTGACCTCAGGTGATCCACCAGCCTCGGCCTCCCAAAGTGCTGGGATTACGGGCGTGAGCCACCACGCCTGGCCTAGATTTCCATTTTTTTAAAGGCTGAATAGTGTGTGTGTGTGTGTGTGTGTGTGTTTATCCATTTATCAGTGAACATTTAGGTTTTTTCCACATCTTGGTTATTGTGGCAATAAACATAGGAGTGCAGATCTCTCTCCAAGATATTGATTTCATTCCTTTGGATATATACCATGAAGGGGGATTGCTGAATCACCTGGTAGTTCTATTTTTAATTTTTTGAGGAACCTCCATAATGTTTTCTACCAATTTACATTCCCACCAATGGTGTACAAGGGTTCCCTTTCTCCACATCCTTGCCAATACTATTTCCCGTTAATATTATTTTGTTTTTGAGACAGTCTCGCTCTGTCGCCCAGGCTGGAGTGTAGTGGCACAATCTCGACTCACTGCAACCTCCACCTCCAGGGTTTAAGCGATTCTCCTGCCTCAGCCTCCTGAGTAGCTGGGACTACAGGCATGAGCCACCATGCCCGGCTGTTTTCTTTTGTTTTTTTGAGGCAGAGTCTTGCTCTGTCATACAGGCTGGAGTGCAGCGGCACATTCATGGCTCACTGTAGCCTCACCTCAATCTCCTGGACCGAACCAATCCTCCCACCTCAGCCTCCCAAGTACAGTAGCTGGGACCGCAGGCAGATGCCACTATACCCAGCTTATTTATTTATTTATGTTTGAGATGGAGTTCTGCTCTTGTTGCCCAGGCTGGAGTGCAGTGGCGTGATCTCGGCTCACTGCAACCTCCGCCTCCCGGGTTCAAGCGATTCTTCTGCCTCAGCCTTCCTGAGTAGCTGGGATTACAGGCATGTGCCCCCACACCTGGCTAATTTTGTATTTTTAGTATAGACGGGGTTTTTCCATGTTGGTCAGGCTCGTCTCGAACGCCCAACCTCAGATGATCCGCCACCTCGGCCTCCCAAAGTGCTGGGATTACAGGAGTGAGCCACCGCGCCCGGCTATTTCTATATTTTGAGACGGAGTCCCGCTCTATTGCCCAGGCTGGTGTGCAGTGATGTGTGATCTCAGCTCACTGCGACCTCCACCTCCTGGGTTCAAGCGATTCTCCTGCCTCAGCTTCCTGAGTAGCTGGGATTACAGGAGCCCACCACCATGCCTGGCTAATTTTTGTATTTTTAGTGGTGCACATGCCTGTAATCCCAGCTACTCGGGAGGCTGAGGCACAAGAATCCCTTAATCCCAGGAGATGGAGGCTGCAGTGAGTCGAGATTGTGCCACTGCACTCCAGCCTGGGCAACAGAGAGACTCTGTCTCAAAAATAAAAATAAAAAAAAAAAAAAATAAAAAATTCAAGGTTGCTTGAAGAAGATATAAGACTCCGGTGTCAGGTCCAACAGACTTTATTACTGACAACACAGCAAAGAAGCAAAAACTTGATACTCACGTCAATCCCCTTGCACTTCAAGTCCAACAGGACTGATGAGAAAGGGTCTGGACAGATGCTTTGCATACAGTGAGTGTGTAATGCAGTGAGTGTGTGCCAGAATGAAGAATCCTGAGCTTATAAAGCAATCTTTTAAGAGGGCCACAGGAAGACCTCCCCAACCTTTGCTTCTGACATATGCATCATTATATATATTTTTTACAGTGGTTAGGCAACAAATCTGCCTCTGGCCATGGGGACTCGCTGTTGCTATCTTCCTAAACCGTTTGCTATACAAACATTCTTGGCCGGGCGCTGTGGCTCATGCCTGTAATCCCAGCACTTTGGGAGGCTGAGGCTGGTGGATCACCTGAGATCAGGAGTTCGAAACCAGCCTGGCCAACATGGTAAAACCCCCGTCTCTACTAAAAATACAAAAATTAGCTGGGCATGGTGGCGGACGCCTGTAATCCTAGCTCCTTGGGAGGCTGAGGCAGGAGAATTGCTTGAACCCAGGAGGTGGAGGTTGCAGTGAGCCGAGATTGTGCCATTGCACTCCAGCCTGGGCGACAAGAGCGAAACTCCGTCTCAAACAAACAAACAAACGAAAAAACACAAACAGGCCGGGCGCGGTGGCTCATGCCTGTAATCCCAGCACATTGGGAGGCCGAGATGGGCAGATCATGAGGTCAGGAGTTTGAGACCAGCCTGGCCAGCATGGTGAAACTCCGTCTCTACTAAAAAAATACAAAAAATTAGCCAGGCATGGTGGCACGTGCCTGTAATCCCAGCTATTCGGGAAGCTCGGGCAGGAGAATTGCTTGAACTCGGGAGGGGGAGGTTGCAGTGGGCCAAGATTGAGCCACTGCACTCCAGCCTGGATGACAGAGCAAGACTCCATCTCAAAAAACAAACAAACAAAAAAAACCCAAAAACATTCTTGATAAGATAGTCTGGAACAAAAGCTTTAAAAAATGTGAAGATATGTGAGATGCCCTGGGAGAATTATCTACCAACATAGTGTACATTTCCCTTTAATACACGGGAATAGTCAATCTTCTGAACAAAAAGATCCCCTGGCTGGGCACGGTGGCTCATGCCTGTCATCTCAGCACTTTGGGAGGCTGAGACAGGCAGATTGCTTGAGTCCGGGAGTTTGAGACCATCCTGGGTAGGGTAGAGAGAACTACTCAGGCTGAGTGAGCTTCTAGACAGGACAAATAAAAAGAGCATTGCAAGTAGGGTTTTACAGGGGGGTCACTTGACAAGGCAAATAATGACAATTTCCTGGGACTGGGACTTTGAAGGGACTCCAGCCCTGTTCTCCTCCTGCCAATGGTTGCCAGGTTGCTGTTCCTCTCTGACGGAGACTGCTGGCTTTCAAGTCTACCGTGGATCAGTGGAGGGACAATGAAATAGGGCAAGTTAAAAAAAAACCCACAAAGCTTGCTATTCTTCCCAAGATTCAGCTGTTTTCCTTGAAAGCGATGAATATCATCCCTAGATTGCTGCAAACTCTTAGTTAATTTCCAAAGATTAAAAAAAAAAAACTGTAACCCCAGCATTTTGGAAGGCCGAGGCAAGCGGATCACGAAGTCAAGAGATCGAAACCATCCTGGCCAACATGGTGAAACCCCGTCTCTACTAAAAATACAAAAATTAGCTGGGCATGGTGGCACGTGCCTGTAGTCACAGCTACTCGGGAGGCTGAGGCAGGAGAATCACTTGAACCCAGGAGGTGGAGACTGCAGTGAGCTGAGATTGCACCACTGCACTCCAGCCTGGACGACAGAGTGAGACTCCATCTCAAAAAAAAAAAAAAAAAAATGATGCTGAAATTGCTTTTTTTTTTGAGATGGAGTTTTGCTCTTGTCACCGAGGCTGGAGTGCAATGGTGCCATCTTGGCTCACTGCAACCTCCGCCTCCCAGATTGAACTGATTTTCCTGTCTCAACCTCTCCAACAGCTGTATTTTCAGTAGTAAGGCCTTGGGAAGGTCATTAGGTCATGATGGTGGAGCCCTCATGAATGGGATTAGTGTCCTTATAAGAATTCTGTCAGACACAGTGGCTCACACCTGTAAGCCCATGACTTTGGGAGATCAAGGAGGGAGGATCAGTTGGGGCCAGGAGTTTGAGACCCTGTCTCCACAAAAAAGTAAAAGTAAATAATTAGCTAGGCATGGCGGCGAATGCCTGTAGTCCCAGCTACTCAGGAGGCTGAGGTGGGAGGATTGCTTGAGCCCAGGAGTTTGAGGCCGCAGTGAGCTGTGGTCATGCCACTGCACTCCAGCCTGGGTGACATAGTGAGACCCTATGGCAGGATCTCACCATTTTTTCCTCCAAAAAAAAAAAATTGTTAAAAAAAATTCCAGTATTGTGCAGTAGCTGGATGTTTCAAATTTTAAAAAGAAGAAAATAAAAAATAAAATAAGAGTCTTGATAGAACTTGCTTCTCCCTTCCACCATGTGAGAAGGACACAGCTAGATGGCACCATCTACGAATCAGAAAGTGGACCCTCACCAGACGCTAAATTGCTGGTGCCTTGATCTCAGACTTCCTGGCCTCCCAAACTGTGAGAAATAAGTTTCTGTTGTTTATAAGCTACCCAGTTTATGGTATTTTGTTACAGCAGCCTGAACTAAGACACGTTGCAACTTCCACTTTCCATTCAACATATATCGTCCCCATTTCTCTTACTCCATACATACAGATCTAAGTGGTTTTTATGAAAGTTCTTTAATAATCCATAGTTGGTATGTCCGATATTTTATGCAATAATCTATCAAATAGTGGACTTTCCTATTTTACATATGTAGAAACTGAGGATCAGGGCCGGGCACAGTGGCTCACACCTGTAATCCCAGCACTTTGGGAGGCCAAGGCGGATCACTTGAGCCCAGGAGTTCGAGACCAGCCTAGGCAACATAGTGAGACCCCCGTCTGTACATTTTTAAAATTAAAAAAAAAAAAGGCCAGGTGTGATGGCTCACGCCTGTAATCCCAGCACTTTGGGAGGCCAAGGCGCACGGATCACCTGAGGTCAGGAGTTTGAGACCAGCCTGACCAACATGGAGAAACCCCATGTCTACTGATAATACAAAAATTAGCTGGGCATGGTGGCGCATGCCTGTAATCACAGCTACTGGGGAAGTTGAGGCACGAGAATCGCTTGAACCTGGGAGGCAGAGGTTGCGGTGAGCTGAGATCGCGCCATTGCACTCCAGCCTGGGCAACAAGAGTGAAGCTCCATCTCAAAAAAAAAAAAGGAAACTGAGGATTAGGAAAGCCCAAGACCCAACATCAGGAATGTCTCCTAGTCCCAGAATCTCTTGCATTTGTACACCCCACCCCACTATGAACTCAGGCATAGTAAAATAATCCAAAATCCCCCATCAAATATTTTATATATATACATATATATGTGTGTGTATATATATATATATACACATATATATGTGTGTGTGTGTGTATGTATATATATATATATATATATATATATATATATATATATATATACATACACATATATATGTATTTCTATTTTATTTTAATTTTTTTTGAGACAGGGTCTTGGCTGTTGCCCAGGCTAGAGTGTAGTGGTGTGATCATGGCTCACTGCAGCCTCGATCTCTTGGGCTCAAGTGATCCTCTTGCCTCTGCCTCCTGAGTACTACAGGGATATACCTGATGTACTACAGGCATGTGCCACCACTCCCGGCTAAACTTTCTTTCTTTTTTGCAGTGACAGGGGTCTTGCTATGTTACCCAGGCTGGTCTTTACCTCCTGGCTTCAAGCAATCCTTCCTCCTTGGACTCTCAAAGTGTTCAGATTACAAGCATGAGCCACCACCACACCTGGATTGTATCATTATATTAAAGCTGAGTTTTAGTCAAGCAAGCCTTTGGAGTCAGACTGCCCAGGTTCAAATTCCAGCACCCGATGAGTGGGGTGGCTCCTGTTTGTAACCCCAGCACTTTGGGAAGCCAAGGCAGGTGGATCATTTGAACCCAGGAGTTTGAGACGAGCCTGGGCAACACAGTGAGACCCCAGGGGTCTCTACAAAAATTAAAAAATTACCCGGGCATGGTCACACATGCCTTTAGTCTTAGCTACCGGGCATTGGGGGGGCCGAGGTGAGAGGACCACTTGAGCCTGGGAGATCAAGACTGCACTGAGCACAGAACAGATTGCGTCCCTACACTCCCAGCCTAGGCAACAAGGCAAGACCCTGTCTCAAACAAACAAACAAATTCCAGCACCACTATTACCATCTATGAGAACTTGGACAAATTCCTAAAGTTCTCTATGCCTCGGTTTCCTCATCCATTAAATTAGGATGATGCTGCTACTTTACATATATCATAGAGTTATTGTCAGGGTTAAATGAATTAATTTACTGAATACACTTTACTGTAGCTATTATCACTGGCATTGATCTGTATAGGTATTGATTTGTATAGGTATTGATCTGTATAGGTATTGATCTGTATAGGTATTGATCTGTATAGGTATTGATTTGTATAGGTATTTGTTAAATACTTATTAAAGTTTGCAGTTTTGTTTTGCATTTTGGAATCCATAATTTGTTTTTATTTTGTTTCTGAGATTTATAATGCCTCATTTAAGCCTCTGAAAATTCCTAGGCCCTAAGCACTTCAAAGGCCACCAGCCCAACATCCCAAGCAGCCTGACACCAAGACAGGCACGCATAGCTAAAAAGATCCCTAGCCTCAGAGACCTTGGGGCTGAGAGGAGTCCTGGGAATAGGGAGGGCTGGGACTGAAATATTCAACCCCATCCCCACTTTTATGAGCAGCAGTTTCCTAACTGCAGTGGGTAAGGGTATTTGAAATAGATGCTGGGCCGGGCACGGTGGCTCACACCTGTAATCCCAGCGCTCTGGGAAGTCCAAGTGGGCGGATCACCTGAGGTCAGGAGTTCGAGACCAAAGACAGCCAACACGGTGAAACCCCGTCTCTACTAAAAATACAAAATTAGCCGGGCGTGGTGGCTCATGCCTGTAAATTCCAGCTACTCCGGAGGCTGAGGCAGAAGAATCGCTTGAACCCGAGAGGTGGAGGTTGCAGTGAGCAGAGATTGAGCCACTGCACTTCAGCCGGGGCAACAAGAGCGAAACTCCGCCTCAAAAAAAAGGCCGGGTGCGGTGGCTCACACCTGTAATCCCAGCACTTTGGGAAGCCAAGGCAGGCAGATCACCCTGAGGTCAGGAGTTTGAGACCAGCCTGGCCCAAAGTGGTGAAACCCCGTCTCTACTAAAAATACAAAAATTAACCGGGCGTTGTGGTAGGCGCCTGTAATCCCAGGTACTCTGGAGGCTGAGACAGGATAATTGTTTGAACCCAGGAGACAGAGGCTGTAGTATGCCGAGATCGGGCCCCTGCATTCTAGCCTGGGCAACAGAGCGAGACTCCGTCTCAAAAAAAAAAAAAGAAAAAGAAAAAGAAGAAAAAAGAAATAGATGCTGTGGGTATTCAGATCTGTCAGAGTGCTAGCTCAGCCTAGCCCTTCAAGTAGCAGAATAAAGGAGGAAAGAGCATCCCAGGCCTTCCCATCCCCATTCAACTCCCTCAGTTAGAGTGGTCCTAAGATTGCGGTGGGGGGGTAGGGCTGTGTTGAAGAGGTTAAAAACAGAGATTAGTCAGATCCAATCCTGCTCCCACTCTATGGAGGAAACAAATTCGAATACATAGTCACAGCCCAGGCTCTGGGATTGAGAGACAGAGAGAGAGATTGGATTGGAGAGAGAGAGAGAGAGAGATGGGATTGGAGAGACAGAGAGATAGATGGGACTGGAGAGACAGAGAGAGGGGTTCTGTGGCTCTGGAAGCCTAGAGAACAGAGCCTGAAGACAGAGAGGAAAGGGAGTAAAGGGGAGGCATTTATGCAGAGATCTCAGAAGTGAATATGAAAGGCACCCCTAGCAGAACGCACAGCTTGGGCAAGGAGGCTTGCTGGCATGAAAACGCAAGAAGTGCTCAGGCAGCTGTAATTCTCCAGGACATCAGATAAAAGGTAAAAAACAGATGGGAGACGCGCCTAGACAGGGTATTGAATACCAGCCCGAGGGGCTTGGGTTTCATCCAAACAGCAAGGCAACTGAGCTCAACACAGTGAGACTCGGTCTCCACAAACATTTTTTTAAAAATTGGCCGGGCCTAGCGGCGCGCGCCGATAGTCCCAGCTATTTCTGCAGGCTGAGGCGAGAGGATCATTTGAGCTCGGGGAGGTCCAGGCGGCAGTGAGCCAAGATCCTGCCACTGCACTACAGTCTGGGCAACAGAGCGAGACCCTGTCTTTAAAAAAGTAAAAAAAAAAAAAAAAAAAAAAGAAAGAAAAAGAAAAAAGAGAGAAGGGCAAGTCGCTCCCTTCTCTGGGCCTTGGCATAAATCAAGCACAAATCAAAGTCTCACTCCCTCCTCCTGCCGCGCAACGGCGCGGAGAGCCAGCCAGCCAGCCAGCGGAACCACGGCCTGGTAACCCAAAACCTGCACACCCTCCAGCTCCCCACAGGACGTCACGTATTACCACCGACGCACGCGCAGAAGCCTTCCCGGGGACTCAAGAAAGGGCAGGCTTAGCCTCCTCCCCATGTCGCCCCTCATTGGCTAGAAACTACTGCTCGTCTCGGTCGTTGTTAGCAGCGACCAGGGCGGGTACAATCTTGGTCGCTAGGACACGGCTAACTTCCGCTTTCTTCCCCCTCTCCTAGGCTCAAACTAGTCAAATCTTGTTCACTCGACCAATGGCAAATCGGAAGTGGGCGGGACTTCACAAGTCCGGACCAAAGAAACGCGAGCTTAGCCCTGGGTAGCGCGGCCAATGGCCGTGGAGCAGCCCCTGTAAACTGGCTCGGGCGCCCCCACGCCCGCCCTTCCTTCTTCTCCCAGCATTGCCCCCCCCACGTTTCAGCACAGCGCTGGCCGCAGTCTGACAGGAAAGGGACGGAGCCAAGATGGCGGCGGCCGACGGCGACGACTCGCTGTACCCCATCGCGGTGCTCATAGACGAACTCCGCAATGAGGACGTTCAGGTCCGGAGGCTACGGGGGACTTGGGGAAGACGCGGAGGGGTACCTGGGGGCACGGGCGGCCCTCGCGGAGAAGACTCAGCGTTCGCTGGGAGTGGCGGAAGGGGGCGACGGCCAATCAGCGTGCGTCTCTTATCTCCCCGGTTGCCCGGACTCCTTGAGACGGCGCTCCCGATTGGGTGTCGGCCCAGTGGAGGGCGGGGGCCAGCGCTAGCCTCGAGGGTCCCGGGCCTGCCCTGTGCGCGCGGCGGTCCGCGGTCCTGGGAGGTTGTGGCCAGGGCTGGGGTCTGCGGACTGGGTCTGGGAGAGAGGAGGACTCCGTGATTGGCGGCGGCCTCTGAATGGCCTCTTGGGGATGTGGGGCGCGCATGACTTGCTCCAAGTAGGGGAGGGCCGCCGGGTGGGTCGGGACCTGGGAAGGTTTTTTTGTTTTCTGGGTTTCGACTGCTGGGCCAAGTGGGGACCGAGAGGCGAAGGCCTGCCATCCTAATTCCTGCTCTTCCTCCGCCTCTCATTTTGGTTTAGGTGTCCTAAGAGGACGGGGACGCAAAAACACCCCCCCACCAAAGGTGGGGACTAGCCAAGTTTAGGAGCGAATTAGGTTGTAGAAACCCGCCTCCCCATCTCCCCGGATCCTCCCATTGACCAGGATAGGGGTTGAGGGATTTGCTAAGCAGATGAACATTTATTTATTTCTTTTTTTTGAGACAGTCTCTGTGTCGCCCAGGCTGGGGCTGGGGAGCAGTGGCGCGATCTCGGCTCAGTGCAACCTCTGCATACCGGGTTCAAACCATCCTCGCCCCTCAGCTCCCTAATTAGCTGCGATTACCGGCGCGAGCCACCACGCCCGACTAATTTTTGTATTTTTAGCAGAGACGGGGTTTCACCATGTTGGCCAGGCTTGGTCGGGAACTCTTGACCTCAAGCGATCCACCCGCCTCGGCCTCCCAAAGTGTTGGAATTACAGGCGTGAGCCACCGCGCCCAGCCCGGATGAACATTCCTGGTTATGGGATGAGGTGACCCAAGGCTCTGAGCCGGGCTGGTGTGGGATTGAGAACAGTTAGAACTGCAAGTCCACCTCCCACCTGCTGTGTGACCTTGTGCAAATTACTTCACCGCTTTGGGTCTCTGTGTTCCATAAAATATGGGCTAATTGTAGTCCTGGTCTTGCTGGAGGGACTTGTGAGGGACTGAACGAATTATGACACAAATAAAAAGTAGAATGGTGTCAGGCCTGTTGTAAGGGCTCGATAAATATTAGCTGTAATTATTGGGAGTGGTGATTAAAGAGGTCCCATCCTCCCTTTAGGTCTGTTTTCCCATTTATAAAATTGGACAAGGTGCACTGGGTAACCTGCCAAACGTGGGTCTCGCCTCCTAGGTTCCTGGTATATCACTGTTTCTGGTGGCATACAGGTTGTGGTTGTATTCCCGGCCCTTCCACTTGTTACTGATTGACAAGGGCAAGTTAGTTAATCTCTCTAGGCCTGTTTCCTCTTCTCTTTAATGGGGTTAATTACCTAGTTCATAGGGCGGTTGTATGAATTCTTTTGTTCAGTAAATATATGCCATGTATGAGATATGATGCTGGGGATATAGTGGAGACACCAGTTGCTATACAGGATCCAGATGTGAAACAGGTCAGCAGAGCTGAATAGATGAGTGTTTGAAAAGTGATGGGAAGGAAACAAATAGGATGTAGTGGTAGCGAATCCATATTGAATTGGGCCTCTATTCTGTGCAGGGCGCTGTTCTAAGCACTGGTATATAGCAGGAACAAGACAGAAAAAACTCTAGGCCTTGGGGAGTTTATTTTGTAGTGAGGAGAGACAGACAATAAACAGAGTATACTGGGGATAAGCATTAGGGAGACAAATAAAAATAAGAGAGATGGGGTATATATAGGGCATGCAGTTTTAAAGTGTGGTCAGGGGAGGCCTTGTTGAGATCCTGTTTGAGAACACGCCTGAAAGCAGAGGGCACAGCAAGTACAAAGTGGGGTGGGGCAGATCCATTTTAAGAAGGCCAATCAGGCAAGGCCCCTCTGAGGATGCAGAGTTTGAGAAGAGATTGAAAGAAGGTGGGGGAGAGCCTCCCAGGAAGAGGGAACAGATATGTAATGGCCTTTTTTTTTTTTTCTTCTTTTTTTGAGACGGAGTCTTGTTGCTCTGTTTCCCAGGCTGGAGTGCACTGACGCGATCTTTGCTCACTGCAACCTCCACCTCCCGGGTTCAAGCAATTCTCCTGCCTCAGCCTCTTGAGTAGCTGGGACTACAGACGCAGGCCACCACGCCTGGCTGATTTTTGTGTGTGTGTTTTTAGAAGAGACTGGGTTTCCCGGTGTTGGCCAGGCTGGTCTCAGACTCCTGATCTCAGGTGATCCTCCTGCCTCGGCCTCCGAAAGTGCTGGAATTACAGGCGTGAGCCACTATGCCCGGCCAGTTTTTTGTTTTTTTTAACTCCAGGATCACTTCCTTCAGCTATCTATCCTCCCATCTTTTCATTCATCCATCCATCCACTAACCAGCAGACATTTGTAGGGAGATGTCTTTGTGCCAGGATCAGAGCTAGGCAGCTTACCGGTTTATTCTAAAGAATATTGCAAAGGATACAGATGAAGACACATGCAGGGTGAGGTGTGGGGGAAGTTGTGTGGAGCTTCCATGCCCTCCCTAGGCATTCCACCCCCCAGGAACCGCGAGGTGTTCATCTGTCTGGAAGCTCCTATGGCTGCTTTTGTGCTACAGCCCAGAGTTGCATGGTTGTAACAGAGATGGCCGCAAAGCTTCAAATATTTGCTGTCTAACCCTTTGCAGGGAAAAAATTGCTGACCTCTGACTTAAACCATCTGCGTAACAAATTATTGGGTGCTTGCTCTATGTTAGGTACAGTACAGAGGAATATCACTGACGATCTTACTGAATTCTCACAATCACTCTTTGAAGTAGGTCCTGTCCTTGTCCACATTTTCCAGATGAGGAAACTGAAGCACCATAAATAACATGGCCAAAGCTGTGCAGCTGAGAAATGAAGGAGCCAGGAAAGGAAGTAGGACCTAAGGGTGGAATAGAATCTGGGGTGGGACACACGGTTGCTGATTATATTCATATGCCAGACATTTTAATTGTGTCTGAGACAGTTCAGGATACTAGAAGGAACATGGGACATGAAATCCTGTAGTCTTGATTTATTTGTTCAGCAAATATTTATCAGCACCTCCTGTGTGCCAGACTCTGTTTTAGATACTAGACATACAGTAGGGAACAAAACAGCAAAGCTGCCCTTGTGGGGTTTACATTCTGGTTTGGGAGACAGATAGTAGATCTGTAGTGGGATGTCAGTGGCAGTAATTGCTAAGAAGAAAAATTGCTGGACGTGGTGGCTCAAGCCTAATTGTAACACTTTGGTTTTATTTTATTTTATTTTTTTTGAGACAGAGTCTCACTCTGTCGTCCAGGCCGTCTCTGCTCATTGCAACCTCCGCCTCCCGGGTTCAAGTGATTCTCCTGCCTCAGCCTCCTGAGTGGCTAGGATTAGAGGCGCCCACCACCACATCCAGCTAATTTTTGTATTTTTAGTAGAGAGTGGGTTTCACCATGTTGGCCAGGCTGGTCTCAAACTCCCTGCCCGCCTCTGCCTCCCAAAGTGCTGGGATTACAGGCATGAGCCACCACCCCTGGCCAATTCTAGCACTTTGGAAGGCCAAGGTGAAAGGATCGCTTGAGCCCAGGAGTTTAAGACCAGCCTGGGCAACAAAGTGAGACCCTGTCTCTACCAAAAAAAAAAAAAAAATTAGCTGGTGTGATGACACAGGCCTTGGTCCCAGCTGCTCAGGAGACTGAGGTCGGAGGATTGCTTGAACCAGGGAGATCGAGGCTGCGGTGAGAGCCTGGGCGACAGCAAGACCCTGTCTCCAAAAAAAAAAAAAAAAAAAAAAAAGAACAAAATAAGACAGGTACAGGGAATAGAGCAAGCACCTGGGGCTGCTTTGTTAGATAGGGAGGTTAGAGAAAGCTGCTCTGAGGAAGTGATGTTGAACAAGGATTTGAATGAAATGAACAGGTCGTGGAAGAGCAGTCTGGGCAGAGGGAATAGTTGGTACAAAGGCCAGGAGTGGGAGGATGCTTGATGCGTTCAAAGCACAGCAAAAAGGCCAGTGTGACTGAGGCAGAGAGAATGGCAAAGTGGTGGGAGGTGAGGACTAGACCAGGACTAGATCAAGTGAGGCCTGTGGGCCAAGGTGAAGGCCTTGAAGATGGGAGGGAGGAGGAGGAATTGCAAGGCTTTCAGTAGTAATTATGGGTTCTGGTATAATTTTAAAGGATCCTTCCTCTGGCTGTCATAGGGGTTGGGCCCTGTTGAGGTGCCATTACAAAGCACCCAGGACCAGTGTTAGCATGCAGGGGGGAAGTATGGTTACAGTCAGGACATGTTGAGGGGGGCTGATGGGATTTGCTGGTGGGTAATGTAGAGGGAAGAGTTGAGGGTGACTGAAGTTTGAACCCCCGCTCTGCCAGTTGTGCTCTCTGTGTGCCCCTGGAGCAGTACTTTCCCCTCTTTGGACCCAGATTCCTCATCTGCAAAATGGGGATAATGATGAAGAATCAGCGTGTGCCTGGTTGTGAAGATGCAGTGAAATTGGCTTGCTCATTGTTCTGCGGTAGTCATATGGTGGGGATTGAGCAGACCTGAGGAAATGGGGCATCTGGGGAACCGTGTGGGACCAAGTCAGCAAGTGCTAAAGCCTGGGTTGGGAATACACTGGGCTGTTTGTTTTTTTGGTTACTATCAAGGAAGCAGTTGTGACAAGCCAGGCCCAGTGAGAATGGATCAGTAGACTAGGGTCAGATTGTGTTGGGCCTTGTAGGCCAGAGTAAGGCCTTAGCTTTTATTCTGAATGTGCAGGGAAAACATACTACATGTGGGATTATACCATATACATTCATATTATGGAAGGCTCCATGGGTTGAATGCAGGGTGGATCTTCAAAAGTGGGTCCCCTTTCCACAGGTGCATATAGTGGGAAGGCGGATTTTATTTATTAACTCACCACAGAGCAGGCTCTGTGCCGAGGCCTGCTGGGACACAGAGAGTCCCAGTCTAGGGTGGTAAGTGCTGTCATGGAACCATATGGGTGGACTCTTTGGAAAATCCCAATTCCTATTCTCTCACTTAACACAACAATCAACAACACAGAAGAAGACTTCCGTGACTAAATGTGTGTTGGGGTGGGGAGGGATTCTTCACCACCACTAAGCAAGCATTCAGTTCTGCAGCACACGCCAACTGGATGTCCTCCAATTCAGTTCAGACACGACCTGGAGACAGTGTTGGATCCAACAGGTTGAGGGCTCAGGCCTCAAAACTGCCCCTTGGCCCTCGCCTTCAGTTGCCATTCTGGGTCGTCAGAACTTCTGATCTACCTGCTTCAAGTTGGAGTTCCCATGACCACCCTGCCTTTGGGTTTGATTAATATGCTAGAGCAGCTCTCAGAACTCAGGGAAACATGTAAGTTTATCAGTTCATTATAAAGGATAGTATAAAGAATACAGATGAAGAGAGGCATAGGGTGAGCTATGGGGGAAGGGGTGTGGAGCTTCCATGCCCTTCTTGGGTGCACCACCCTCCAGGAACCTCTGTGTGTTCGGCTATGTTGAAGTTCCCAGGCCCTGTCCTTTTGGGTTTTTATAAAGGCATTGTTAGGTAGGCAGGATTGATTAAACCTGGTGATCACCTTGACCTTCAGCCCCTCTCCGATCCCTGGAGGTTGTGGGGTGGGACTGAAAATCCCAACCCTCTAATCATGCCTCTCTGTTTTCCATGACTATCTTTCCAGTGACCATGGACCCCATCCTGAAGGTATCAGTCAACATTAGCATACAAAAAGCGCCTTGGAGATTCCAAAGATTTGAGGAGTTGTATGCAAGGAAATGGGGATGAAGCCCAAATCTGTATCTCACAGTATCACAACTGTAGCAGGTGCTTGGTGGGGACACACTTGGGAGATAGTCAGTGCACAGGGAATTCTCAGGATATGACATGATCAATGGCCAGTCAAGGTTTCTGAAATGATATTAATAGATTTTCTATCAGGAATGTGACGGAGACCCCAACCTAGAGTTGTTTAAACAAGTAAGAGTTCTCTTTATTTCTCATATAGCAAGTTCAGCAGCTCAAAGCTATCACAGAATTGGGTCAGCTCAAAGATATCACAGAAATGCGGTTTTTTTGACTGGCCTGTTTTGGTTATAAGATTCCAGCAGCATCTGCTGTCCTAGTGGAACTGCACTTTTTAGTGCAGTTTAGCAGAGGCCAGCTTAGGACACAGAGGTTCTTTCCCTCCTCCCTTTTATGAAGGAGGAAAATCTCTCCTGAATCTCCTCAGCAGACTTGCTTGTATATCTCTTTGCCAAGAACTAGGTCATATGCAGAGTTAGTTGAAGTTAAGTTTGGCTGTAAGTAGTAGAAAAACTCTAAATAACAGGGGCTTAAATGAGCTTGAAGTTTCTATCTGACTGATGACCAAAATGTCTGGTGGCAATCCAGGCTGCTGTGGCACTTCATGGTGTCAGGGTCCCAGGCTCTTACCATTATGCGCTGGTTGTATCCTCCATTCTACCCTCCGTGTCCCCCAGGTTACCTCAGGTCCCCAAGTTGGCTGCCGAAGCCCCAACCATTATAGCTCCATTCCAGACAGGAAGGAGGGAAGATAAGTGTGACCCCCATCCCTATAAGTTGCACAAAACATTTCCACTTGGATTTTATTGGCCAGATGTTAGTTTTATAGTCACATTCAGATGCAAAGGCAATTCAGAAATGTCTTTTCCAGGGGTCATGTGTACAGCTGAAAACCAAGGATTATGAACAGCAGTATAGCCCCATGCAGGAGCTCCTAACTTGGGGATCATCTGCAATTCCCAGGCAGGTCCATGAATTTGGATGGCAAAAATAACATCTTTATTTTCATTAACCTTTAACTTACATTTAACTTCCCTTCTGTTATAGATTATAATATCACTATAGTATATCATAGGTAGCGTTAGCAAAACCTGTGACTTACCAGTGGAAATCAGGAGTTGTGTTCACATGTCATTTCTGCTATTATACATATCTTCTAGTGTTGTTTATGTTCACCTCTTTCAAAATTGCGTTCATTATTAGACCTGCTAAGGGGATTCATGGCACCACCCCACCCCTCTACAAGAGAAAAACCAAAAAAAGCCGGGTGCAGTGGCTCATGCCTATAATCCTAGCATTTTGGGAGGTCGAGGTGGGAGGATTGCTTGAGCTCAGGAGTTTGAGGGCAGCTTGGGCAACATAGTGAGGCCTCATCCCTACAAAAAGTTAAAAAACTAGCTGGGCTTGGTGACACCTGCCTGTAGACCCGTCTACTTGGGTAGCTGAGGCGGGAGAATCACTTGAGCCCGGGAGGTCAAGGCTACAGTGAGCTACGATTGTGCCACTGCACTCCAGCCTGGGTAACAGAGTGAGACCCTGCCTCAAAACAACAACAAGCACAACAAAAAAGAAAAAACAGAGCAAATATGAATCCATAGTACTGGTTAAGAACCTGGTGGCTGGGATTCAAATCCTGGCTTTACTACCAGTAAGCTGTATGCAGTTAAGCTCCCTGTGCCTTTGTGTTCTCTGCCTCAAGACGGGGGATTCTGTATTTCCCTCATGGGATTGTGAGGGTCAAATGAATTAAAACATTAAAGCCTGGGGCATAGTAGAGACTAAGGAAATATTTACTGTTATTATTCTGTCATGGTGAAAAAAGGGAAAAGAAACATCAGTGGACCAGCTGCCACGATGTCCTTCTTAATAATCTGAACAAAATCAGGATGCTGTCAGTGAGGCGTGGTTGCCACGGCTGCCATTATTAATCTTCCCCTGGTGCTAGGGTGTCCCTGTAGAATGTCATTTTGTACTCAAGACAACCCTCTGAGGGTAGGTATTCTCATCATCCCCACTTCACAGATGAGAAAATTGAGGCTCAGAAAGGTACAAGGATTGCCCAAGATTCCACAGCTAATATGTAAGCAGTTTAGCCTTGAACCTGGACAGTGCAGCTCTGTAGTACCACCCTAGGCCATCTTTCTCAAGCATTGATGATGCTGTCTGCCTGAAGAAACACTTTTAATGAAACCAAAAGCAGAATCCCAAAGAACAGCAGTGGAAGGAAGGGAGCTCTCTGGATGGGAAAGCAGCCTGATTGTCATGGGCCCACCTCTTGGGCATCCCCAGCTTCAAGTTGGGGTTCCCACGACCCCCTCTTTGGGTTTGATTAATTTGCTGGAGCGGCTCACAGAACTCCAGGAAACACTTAGGTTTACCGGTTTATTATAAAGGATATTCCAAAGGATACAGATGAAGAGGTGCATAGGGTGAGCTATGGAGGAAGGGGCGGGGAGCTTTCGTGCCATCCCTGGGGATGCCACCCTCCAAGAATGTGCATGTTCTGCTATCAGGAAGCTCTCTGAATCCTTTCCTCTTTGGTTTTTATGGAAGCTTCATGATACAAACATTTTTGCCTAAATGACAGTATGATATTGAAATTGAGTCAGGCTGCCTGGCTTCATTGCTTTCCAGTAAGTGACAGCCTCACCTCTGTGCATCAGTGTCCTCACTCGCCTCTGTGCATCAGTGAAGTGGGGACGCTGCTAACAATACATACCTCAGAGCAGTTATGAGGATTCAGTGTGTTAATCATCCATGTCAATCACTTGGATTGCTGCCAAGCACGTAGCAAACAATAAATGTTTGTTGCTATTGTTCTGGCATTTATGATTATGATTATTAATTGTAATTATTCCCTGTACCATCTCATTGTCCTCAGGGCTGTTGCTCACCTAGTATGGCCCTAGCCCATGTGTATATTTCCCCATAGCTCAGGCTGAGAGAAGAACACACAGATCAACTTGGAGAAAACAAAGAGGAAAGAAATAGGCAACTAGGTCAATACTCCCCACAGTATTTTATGTTATTTTATTTTATTTATTTATTTATTTGAGACAGAGTCTCACTCTGTCACCCAGGCTGGAGTGCAGTGGCACCATCTCGGCTCACTGCAAGCTCCACCTCCCAGGTTCACGCCATTCTCCTGCCTCAGCCTCCCGAGTAGCTGGGACTATAGGCGCCCGCCACCACGCCCGGCTAATTTCTTTTTGTATTTATGGTAGAGACGGGGTTTCACCGTGTTAGCCAGGATGGTCTCGATCTCCTAACCTCATGATCCGCCTGCCTCGGCCTCCCAAGGTGCTGGGATTACAGGCATGAGCCACTGCGCCTGGCCTCCCCACAGTATTTTATTATGAAAGTTTTCAGACATGCATAACTTTGGAAGACTAACACAAGGGTCAGCAGACTACAGTCCATGGGTCCAATTCAGCCCACTGTCTGCTTTTGCAAGTAAAGTTATTGGAACACAGCTATGCCTGTTTGCTTCTCTAGTTCTGGTTCTATGGTTGTTTTCAGTGCCACGCAAGCAGAGTTCAGTAGTTAGGTTTGCAAAGCTGAAAATAATTACTGTCTGGCAATGTATAGAATAAGTTTTGCTGACTTCTAGCATAGTGCAGTGAGCACCTCTATACTTACACCCCAGGTCAGTGATTGTTAGTGTTTGCTATATTAGTTTTTTATCTTTCTATAGGTCTGTCTCTATATACGTTTTATTTTTTAGCTGAAAATCAGTTGCAGGTTTTGTAGTACTTTATCCTGAGGTCCGTTTAATGCCAGAATGGTGAGTTTTTGGACTACCTGTATGAAAGATTTACTGTGTGCATTTTTCTGAGGAGAGACCATCACAACACTTCATCAGATGCTCATCGTCTGTGATCGCAGAGATATTCTTCAACTCCTGGACCGGAGAACCCAACTCACGCAAGATCTTAGTCACTTGTAGACCTCGTCTCAGTTATGTAGGGCCTCAGAACAGAACAGGCTAAGGGAGCTCCTGCTCCTCAACCTCGCCCTGTCCCTACCTGTTCTGCCTCTATCCAGGAAGAAAGGTCCCCCGTGGGACCATTAGTCACTCTCCCCCTCATGAAAGCATTTCCTCCCACTCTCACACTCATGAGCTCATTCCATTCTTGTGACAGTGCTGGGAGCTATTAATAATAGGAGAGGCCTCGTGGTGATGAAGAAATGAGGGGAGAGTTTCACAGTCTGTCCTGCCATCAGAGCAGCTGGCTTTGGATCCCACACTCCCTCGGTGCTTGCTTTGGTAGGTGTCTTTACCTCTCTGATCGTCACTTTCCAAAGTGGTGAAAAGAGGATATTAGCCATGCTTTTCTTTTAGGATCTGGAGGATCAAATGAGGTCCCAACATGTAAATGCTTGTTGTGAGATCTATTATGTGTGTTAGCCAAATATAATAGTTCTCTAGGACTGCCACAGCAAATCACCATGAACTGGGTAGCTTAACACAACGAATTTATTCTCTCACAGTTCTGGAGGCCGGAAGTCTGAAATCAAGGTCTCGGCAGGGTTGGTTCCTTTTGGAGGCTCTGAGGGAGACCCATTCCATGCCTCTCTGGAAGTTAGGACTTCTGGTGGCTCCAGCAATTCCTTGTGTTCCTGGGCTTGTGGATGCATCTCCTGGTCTCTCCACCCATCTTCACATGCGTGCCTTCCCCTCTGTATCTGTCTTCCTTTCTGTCTCTTAGAAGGACACTGTCACTGGATTCAAGGCTAACCCTCCGTTTAGGATGATATTATCTGGACACACTTAACTACGTCTGCAAAGACTGTTTTGACGTGCACGTCACTGGATTCAAGGCTAACCCTCCGTTTAGGGTGATATTATCTGGACACACTTAACTACGTCTGCAAAGACTGTTTTGATGTGCACGTCACTGGATTCAAGGCTAACCCTCCGTTTAGGATGATATTATCTGGACACACTTAACTACGTCTGCAAAGACCGTTTTGACGTGCACGTCACTGGATTCAAGGCTAACCCTCCGTTTAGGATGATATTATCTGGACACACTTAACTACGCCTGCAAAGACTGTTTTGACGTGCACGTCACTGGGACATAACTTTTTGAGGCTGCTATTCAGCCTCCTGTACTGGTGGTATTATTACTACTGCTAATGCTACTCTTGTTTTTGTAGTCATTTTATTACAATAATTTTTTTTTCTCTTTGAGACAAAGAGTCTCACTCTGTTGCCCAGGCTGGAGTGTTGTTTGTTCTTTTACAATCACTTAGCCAGCAATCCTGGCTTTAAATCCTGCTCCATGTGATCTTAGCTGTCTGACCCTGAGAGGGGCTTTTGTTCCCCGAGCCTGTTTCCCTGTCTGTAAAATGGGACTCCAGCTAGTGACATGGGTGCAGGTGTGTGGATGTGTTTAGCCGAGGACCGGGCACAGAGGAAGCGTGTTATAAACGTGGCTGCTGCTGTTAAAGTACAGTGCATTGGCATGTTACATGATACTGTGTATAGGAGAAAGTGATGAAGAGAGAGGAGGAGAGGGAGTACAGTTTTCAACAGAGTGGTCCTGGAAAGTGCAACTGAGTAGGTGTCACCTTCATAAGACCCAAGGGATGCTTTTGCATTTGTTGCTGCTGCCACTACTATTGTTGTTATTTAATGATTCCCTCGAGGTCACAGGGTCTCTTGGTGGGTGTTTGCCAAATTACTCTTGAGCATCTTCACATGTAACCAAGCAAGGCTTCCAGGGGCTGACTGGGTTGAGAGCTGTCAGAACTCACGCGTGTCTGGGATTTCTAACATTCTCCCCTCCTCTTCTTGTTCTCTCATTAGCTTCGCCTCAACAGCATCAAGAAGCTGTCCACCATCGCCTTGGCCCTTGGGGTTGAAAGGACCCGAAGTGAGCTTCTGCCTTTCCTTACAGGTAACAAAGGGGACCCCTGGGGCCCAGATGTGGGGACTCTTGGGAGGTGGTTTTCACTATATAAGAGAAGACTTGTGGATTTAACATATTGTTTGTGAATATCTGCCCTGTGTTAGACACTATGGAGTGGGAAAAGGGATTCAGAGAAGTGCAGTCTTGCTCTAAAAGAATGGTCTGGAATGATGGAGACAGATGGTGAAAGGGATCTAGAAGCAGGTAGAACGAGGTTTGAGTTGCAGCTCCAACAGTTGGAAGCTGGTGACTTTAGACAAGTTAGTTTACCTGTTTCTTATATTTTTCATCTGTAGATTGGGATAATCATCCATGTGCCAAAGTGTTGATCTGAGCATTCAATGTTAATAACAATTGCTAATACTTATGATATGCTTACTGTATGCCAGGTGGTGTTCTACACCGTATCTTGTGAGGATTGAGTTCATATAAAGTGTTTAGAAAGCTGCCTGTACTCAGTAAACATACATCACTATCATTTCACCCAGTTGATCTCACAGCAGTGCTTTAAGCAGGTAATACTGCTGTCCCCATGTTATAGATGAAGAAACCAAGGTGTAGAGAGGTGAAGTGATTCATTTGCCCAAGGTCATGCAGTGAGGAGGTAACTGAGAAGGGATATTTATCTAGTCATTCTGGCCTTTAACTTGACAGCATTGGTTAATGACTGATTTCAAATCTGAGCTCTACCACTTTCTAGGTGTGTGACTTTGGGCAAGATATTTTACATCTGCCTGCTTCAGATTCTTCACAGGTGAAATGGGCATAATTATGTAACCTAACATGAAGACTAAATAAGATACTGTAAAGTGCTTATAACACTGTATAGTACGTGCCGCCTAAGCGATAGCTGCCAGGCTGTTACTAAGCACTGCTGTTTGTGAGGATGTAGGTAAAGCATTTAATACACTGTCTGACACAGACTGGACCACAATTAATAGTAAATTCTCTGTTATCATTATTCCCATTACTACTTCATATTTTATACTTATTACCAGCTGAAATCACAGCTGAAGGTTCAGAGTGCTTTGTCACTAAACTCTTGTGTATGGGAACATCTTACTTGGACCTAGTGATGATCCTGGGGAGGAAGGAGCTTGAGATTGTTACCCCTCCCCACACTGGACAGATGGGGTATTGGAGCCTAAAGAGGTGCAGTGACTCGCCTACAGTGGCACAGCTAGTGACTGAGGGGTGCAGGTGTGTCTGACTGGATGGTGCATGAAGAGTAGGTGTCTGCTCGTATGACACTGAACAAATGGCCCCAAACCAGGTGGCTTCTATTGGTGAACTGTTGGGGAGACTTGAAAGCTTTAGAATGCTGAAGCATGGCAGGATAATAAAGTGGTGAAGAAGTTGTAGAGGAAAAATGTTGGACCTGGGTTTGCAATAAGCAGCTCTGCCACTGACTTGCTAGGAAAACCTGAGTAGGTCACTCCACCTCTCTTAGCCTCATTTCCCTTGTCTGTAAAGGAGTCTAATAAGAGGAGTACCTAACACTCGGGGTGTGTAGGGAAAACTCTGTGACTTTCCTCTACTTTCACACCACAGCAATCATAACACAGAACATGACTTCTGTGACCATATGTCTGGGTTTTTTTCCCCAAACTAAGCAGTGGACAGCAGCTGGTTGTCCTCTAATTCAGTTCTGACACGTCTGCCCAGAGACAGGTTCAGATCCCACAGATTGATAGCTCAGTCCCCAGGACTGTCCCCAGCCCTGACCACCAGTCGCTGGTCCTGTGGAACTTCTGATTGATCAGCTTCAAGTTGGGATTCCCACGACCCCCTCTTTGGGTTTGATTAGGCTCATAGAACTCAGGGAAACACTTATGTTTACTGGTTTATTATAAAGGATTTTGCAAAGGATACAGATGAAGAGATACAGAGAATGAGGTGTGGGGGAAAGGGCCTGGAGCTTCCGTGCCCTCCCTGAGCCCACCACCCTCAAGAACCTCTATGTGTTTCACCATCTGGAAGCTCTCTGAACCCTCTGGGTTTTTATGGAAGCTTAATGGCAGAGGGTCCTGAGTGGAACGGAGGCACCAGCCATGTGGAACTCTGTGGGAAGAGCATTTCAGGCTGTGGGGAGAGGCAGATGTAAGCTCAGTGTGTTGGAAGAATAGCAGTGAGGTAGCCATGGGTTGAGCAAGATTGTTAAGGGAGAGTGAGACTAGGACATGAGGTTGGAGAAGAACAGTGACCACAGTATGTGAGATCAGGTTTCTTTGAAACTATTGGCAGATTGAAATGAAAGAGTGTCGGGATTTCTTTTACACCTGAAAGAGTCACTCTGGGGTCTGGGAGATCAGATGGTGTAGGGGCAAAGGTGGAAGCAGGAAAACCAGGTAAGAAGCTGTTGCAGTCTCCCAGGCGACAGCTAGTGATGATCAGAGTGACCTTAGTTTGGGAGGGTTGACAGGCTTGGCTCAGAAGGAGCTGCCAACCCTTCCAAGAAGGATAGTTCTCTGTGGATTGGTGGAAAGACAAGGTGCTGGCAGTTCCCAGGTGTTTGGCCTTCAGCAGCATTGCTTGGCTATAAGGTCTAGACTGGAGATAAAGATGAATAAGAATTGAGTCCGTGGATACGCATAAGGTCTTCAGGAGACAAAGAAAACAGGGAGGGTGGTTTTAACTGTGTGCAGAGGGAGCCAGGGAAACTGAGGCTGGGAACGAGCCTAAGAACAGTGTAGCTGGAGTCACATTGGCGAGAATTTATTTATTGAAGGAAGAGGCAGAGATACTAACCCTCCTACTGGGCCCTGTGCTGAGCTCTTCAATGAAAGCATTTATTTCCCTTTAGTCTCCGAACAACCCTATGAAGTGAGAACAGCCCTGTGGTGATTTAGGGGATGACAAAGGCTCAGAGAGATGAAGTGAGCTGCTGTATAAGCAGCCAACAGTAAAGCAAGATTTGAACCTACCATAAAATGGAGATGATGATAATGACTCCTTAAATGAGAGGGTTGTGGTAAGGAGGTGATGCAGAAGTTGAACCCACCACTTACACTCACACCCCTTTGGCCAGAGCAAGGTTACGTGGCCTTGCCAACTGCAAGGGCGTCTGGGAAATGCAGTCGGCTGCTGGATTGCCATACACCCAACTTAAATGCAGGAGGTTTAAGTGCCAATAGATGCCAGGGATATTAGCAGCTTGTGCTGTGCAGAGATCAGCAGTTCCCACTGCCTCAGGGATGAGAGGATGGAGCTTAAGAGAGAGGCCTTTGGATGTGGGCATTAGGGACAGAACGGATTTTCCCTTCACATATTCATTCTTTCAGCAAACCTGAATTGCTGTCTGTCTGTGCTCAGCTCTGGCAGGAACTGGGGCACAGAGAGGAGCCAGTCCTGGGCTCGCTGATTATAGCCTATGTTAAGGATGTGGTAAAGGTGGCATGGAAGGAGAGAGAGACTGAGCCCAGAGAAGGTGTAGCGGACATCCTAGAAATCTTCCAAGAAGGGGCGGCTAAACTGAATCTCCAAGGATAAAAATAAATTTCTGGCAGAGGGAACAGTGCTGAGGGGAGAAGCTGGACCCCAAAAAAGCTCTCGTTGACCATGCTCTGCGCTTTATACACCTAGTCATATTTGCTCCTCACTGTAACCGTTGCTACGAGGGAGGGATGGTGAACACCATTTTACAGACGCAGAAGCTGGGACTCAGAGAGGTGGAATCACTCAGTCAGTATTTCACACCCGCTAGAGGGCAGAAGCAGGACTTAGGGCTCTCTTATCCCAGCCAAGCCTGTACCTTAATATCTGTGGCAGCCCAGGTGGAGAGTGGGGGAGCAAGTGGGCGGATGGAAGAACTGAGTGCTGACAGCCTGAGGAAGCAGAATGGAGTCCATGTGTTCTGAGCTTGGGCTGGGGTCAGAGTTGAGATGGGATAGTCACGAAGTCTGTCTTGGTTCCACAGATACCATCTATGATGAAGATGAGGTCCTCCTGGCCCTGGCAGAACAGCTGGGAACCTTCACTACCCTGGTGGGAGGCCCAGAGTACGTGCACTGCCTGCTGGTGAGTGGAAGGCAGGAAGTCCTCTTGCCCACCCCTTAGGGTCGGCCCATGGTCCTGCCGGCCTAGGGCAGGGAGGGGAGCGTGTCAGAGAGCGTGGGGATCACGTCAGAACAGCCGGGCCATGGACATCCGCTTTAATCCAACAAGTCAGGAGTGGCTTTTAATATCGTGAACTCAGGGTGCAGTTATCATCCTTTCTGTTTAGTGGTCAGGTAGGTGCCCAGTGCCAGGCCTTACCTGGGATTCTACATAGGGCTGTGGGTTTAGAGTCAGGTTGGGTTCTACTGCTTATTTGCTGTGTGACTTGTAAGAGAATTACTTACCCTCTCTGTGCTGTACCTTTCTCATCTGCACAATGGGGTTATGAAAACCTTTTTAAATTACCTTGAAGAGCCCTAGCACAGTACTTGGCACTTAGTAGGTACTAACCGATGTTAACTGCAATTGTCATTATTGTTGCTGTGACATCATATCCAGCCTTTGGGGTAGGAGGGATTCCCTGTTTATGGGTGAGCCACCTGGAGCACTGAGAGGTTAAGCGTCTCTTCAGATTGTATGACTAGTAGATGGCAGAGCTGGGATTCTTGGTCTGTCCATTTGACTGTCTGCCAGGTCCCCACCCCACTGCCTGCCTGTGTGTCCCGTGCTAGGTGATGGCCAAGGACACAAAGATGGGCCAGATCCCAACAAGCAGCGTTGTTTGAGAGAAGATGATCTGGGAAGGCAGACCGTACAGGTTACCTAGTCCCCTGGTTTTCACTGTTCTCAGAGTGCTGGGCCACTGCTGCTGCCTCTGCCTCTGCCCCACTCCCCCAGTGATTGTGTATTTCACTGTCGCTAGAGATACAATGTGGCACCGGCAGTTGATGGTGTATTAGTTAGCAGCAGCCTTTCTCCTAGCTCTAGTGGTGTATAAAGAATGGTGCTTATCATTGTTGGGATCTTGGGATTTGAGTAAATATAACAATTTGTTTCTTCCCAAATAGCATTATGTAAAGAAACTTGATAGTTACCATTAAATTCGGATATCTCAGCCTTCATCTGGGCATATGTGTATAATTTGTGCGTATGGACACACAGAAAATTGTATACAAATAGATCGTTTCATACATTTTACACAAAACAGGGCTTAACATGAGCATGATGAGGTTTGGGGGCCAGCCTAGAAGGGGTTCCTTGAATTTCACAAAATTATCTGTAGCCCCTGCCTGGTATTTGTCAGGTGGAACTTCTGAGCAGTGAATTCATAGCTTTCAGTAGCTTCTCAGAGGACTTAGGAGCAGAAGACATTATTTTTATGAAACCGCAAGGCTTCAACAAGGGCCCCCAGGGTCTGCAACTGAGGTTGGGACTCAGGCTTGCTGTGGAGCTGGGCTGGGACCCAGGGATCCTTCTCCTACCTGGCCAGGGTCTCCCAACAGAACATTCTCAGTGAGGAAAGTCCCAGTCAAGCCACGCTTCCTTTTGGGAAGCAGTTCCCTGTGACCGATGTGCCTGACGTTCATGTCAGCCAGCAGACACATCCTGGGGCTGTCTGGGCCAGGCAGTGCTGGAAACCAGAGAAGAGTTAGATCAGAATAGCTTGTGCTTGCTCGTTGCCTGCAGTGCACATCCCAAGAGCCTTACACAGTTGTATACTGATGTTAGCTGTATTGCCCAGATGAGGAAACTGAGGCACAGGCAGATTTAAGTGAATTGTCCGAGCTGGGAAGAGGCAGAGTCCAGATTCGATCCCAGGCCCCTAATTCTTAGCCACTCCTATGTGCTATCCTCAGAGGGCTCCTGGTTGCTTTCAGAGCTGTAAACAAGGGAGGCAGGGGGGTCCTTAAACCCAGGGAAGGCGCCTAACCTGCTTAGGTGGGATGGGAAGTTGTCAGGGAAGGCTTCCTGGAGGAGGTGGCTGTTAACCTGGATTTTGACAGGTTATAAGAAATAGAAAATGGCTTTGTGTAGTTTCTTCATTCCACAAACATTGAGCAAGGTCTCTAGGCTATGGAAACCCAGAGATGTGTCAGACCCACTCCCGGCCCTTGCTCTCAGCAGTGGTGAAATGGAATTAATTACAGAGACTCCTGTAGCTGCAGTGTAAGGATTGTTTTTTTGTTTGTTTTGTTTTTTTCCCGAGATGGAGTTTCACTCTTGCTGCACAGGCTGGAGTGCAGTGGCGGGATCTCGGCTCACTGCAACCTCTGCCTCCCAGGTTCAGGTGATTCTCCTGCCTCAGCCTCACGAGTAGCTGAGATTACAGGCGTGTGCCACCGCACCCAGCTAATTTTTGCATTTTTAGTAGAGACGGGGTTTCACTTTGTTGGTCAGATTAGTCTCGGAATCCTGACCTCAGGTGATCCACCCACCCCGGCCTCCCAAAGTGCTAGGATTACAGGTGTGAGCCACCGTGCCTGGGTGTGAGGGTTGTTTCTGTGTCAGCAGCTCTTTTTATTTTTATTTTTCTTTGAGACAGAGTCTCGCTCTGTCACCCAGGCTGGAGTGCAGTGTTGTAATCTCAGCTCACTGCAGCCTCTGCCTCCCGGGTTCAAGTGATTCTCAAGCCTCAGCCTCCCAAGTAGCTGGGATTACAGGCACCCATCACCATGCCTGGCTAATTTTTGTATTTTTTGTAGAGACAGGGTTTCACCATGTTGGCCAGGCTGGTCTAGAACTCCTGGCCTCAAATGATCACCTGCCTTGGCCTCCCAAAGTTCTGGGATTACAGGCGTGAGCCACCGCATCCGGCCAGCAGTTCCTAACTCTTTTGGAATTATGGATCCCTTTGAGAATCTGTTAAATTCTGGACCCTCTTCTTATAAAAGTACACAGGATTTTAGGCGGTTCACACTCTTCCCTACCCTGTGTGGTCTCCAGGTTTGAGAACCCTTGCCCCCAGACTTCACAGAGAGGCTTCACAGTAGTGAGTCTTCACTGTGCAAAGGCATCAATTGCAGTTTCTTAAATGTGTACCTTCCTGGGCCCTGCCTCCAGATATTCTGATTGTTTTGGTCCATGCTGGGATAGGCCTCCGGGTGATTCTGCTGCAGGGTGGTCAGGGATCATCCTTTGAGAACTACTTCCTGCAGTAACCTACAGGAGAAGAGAACCTTGGCTTACATAATTACTGCTCAGCCTCTGTCCCAGGCCTCCTTATAACAGATTGCCGTAAGTTCCACCGGTAGTCACTTGGCAAGTGTTGATTGAGTACCTTCTCTGTGCCAGCCCAGGTGGTGGGAGAACTGAGGTGAACAAGAGGAACTCTGTCCCTGCAGTATCCCAGTCACACCGCACCTATGGTCACACTCCCATGATACTGTCCTGAACTTGAGACGTCACGATAGCATGAGGACCTGTGACAGTGACATTATGCTGGCTTGCTTAGTATTACATTTTTCCTTTGAATCATTCATTGCAACTATTTTTAAATGCTATTTTTAAACATTTGTTTTTATTCTTAGTTTTACTGTAAAAATATACATAGAATGTGCTATTTTAATTATTTTAAAGTGTGTAGCTCTGTGGCGGTAGGTTTATTCACATTGTGCAGCCATTATCACCCTCCATCTCCAGAATTTTTCACCTCCTCAAACTGAAATTCCAAACCCATTGGACATGAGCTCCCCCTTCCCTCTCCCCCAGCCCCTGGCAGCCACCGTAGGAGTTTGACTGTTCTAGATTCCTCATATAAGTGGAATCAGAAAATATTTGTCTTTATGACTATTAGCTAATTTCCCTTGGCATAACATCTTCAAGGTTCATCCATGTTGTAGCATGTGTTACATGAGACTTCTCACATACAAGATTCTTGAGTTTTTTTGAGGGCTGCATTTGGAAAACCAGATTTGCTTATTGCCAGCTGCATTCTCCCATAGTGACAGTCCTTGGAGCTGGGGAGCACCTGCCCTCCCTGGGCTACATGCCCTCCAGGGTGCCACAGTGCCTGCCTCTTCCTATTCATGCCTCCTGCCACCCCTGCCTGTCACCTTGGCTGATGGCATCATTCTGTTACTTGACTGAGCCCTGGAGGCATTTCCATTTATGATTTTTTTTTTCCTGCTTTAAATACCTGTCAGCCCAAGTTGAATTTCAGATCAGAGACCTCCACACCTTTATTTGAACATATTGGGATAAGTTGAGTCTCCCTTCAGTAGGTCACTAATTAAGAGTTCCTGTCTTGTGCTAAGAGTGCTGCTGGGCTCTGGGGATACAGTGGAGAGCCAGTCGTATGTATCTGAAGGAGCACAGTCATTCTAGGCCCACAGTAACAACCAGCGAGCAGTCCCGAGCCCCATAGTCCCCCAGAAACATGAGATCCCAATTCAGTCACCAGAGCTGTGTGTAACTGTTCATGGGAAGCTTAGGTCAGGTTTTCGATCCTGACCTGTAGCTATTACTAGCTTGGGCAAGCCAGGCTGTACCTCAGTTTTCTCTTCTTTTTTTTTTTTTTTTTTTTCTTTTTGAGACGGAGTCTCGCTGTGTTGCCCAGGCTGGAGTGCAGTGGTGCGATCTCGGCTTACTGCAGCCTCTGCCTCCCGGGTTCAAGGATTCTTCTGCCTCAGCCTCCCGAGTAGCTGGGATTACAGGTGCGCACCACCACACCCAGCTAATTTTTTTGTATTTTTAGTAGAAACGGGGTTTCACCATATTGGCCAGGCTGGTCTTGAACTCCTGACCTCGTGATCCACCCGCTTCAGCCTCCCATAGTGCTGGGATTACAGGCGTGAGCCACTGCGCCCGGCCCGTTTTCTCTTCTTTAAAATCAGGACTTGCTTTATAGAATTCAGTGAGGAAGAACAAGCACCCCTGGTACAACACGGAGGTCCTGCCTAGTACACACAGTGAGTAGATGTTCTACACAGTGTCAGTGATGATCATTGCACTTTGAGAGGCTAAGAACTTTCTCCTCAGAAAGCAACGTGTGTAATTTTAAGGTTTATGGACCCCAGTGAAACTCCTTCAAGGACCCCTAAATAAGAACCTTTGTGGAAGGCACGCTGACAGAGACCTTCTGCTGGCTGGCATAATATTACGTTTTTCCTTTGAGTCATTCATTGCAACCATTTTTAAAGGCTATTTTAATGAAGGTCGGGATGGGTAATAGGGAAGTTTTCTCTGAGGAGATGAGCCCATGATGGGGTGCAGGATGGGGCTCCAGGGCTGCGGATGGTGGAGAGGGAGCTGTCCAGTGACTTTGTGTTCTCACCACAGCCACCGCTGGAGTCGCTGGCCACAGTGGAGGAGACAGTGGTGCGGGACAAGGCAGTGGAGTCCTTACGGGCCATCTCACACGAGCACTCGCCCTCTGACCTGGAGGCGCACTTTGTGCCGCTAGTGAAGCGGCTGGCGGGCGGCGACTGGTTCACCTCCCGCACCTCGGCCTGCGGCCTCTTCTCCGTCTGCTACCCCCGAGTGTCCAGTGCTGTGAAGGCGGAACTTCGACAGTGAGTCTCTGCCTCCTTGGAAGCTCCAAGCTCCCATCTCAGCTCCAACCTTCTCTAAAGCCTCAGACTCCTTTTGGTCTAGCTGGGGCCCAAATGCCCCTGAACTCTCTCCACTCCCACTCCTGCTTACCACCTGATAGGCCACATCCTCGAGAGTTGGTCTCTGGACACGGCCACGTGTCAGTTTACCCACCTCTGCCCCCTTGCTCACTTAGGAATTGAGATGATGACAGGTCCTCCTTCCCACTGGTTAATGTGAGGATTTAAAAGAATTATCACACATAAAGTGCTTAGAGCAAAATCTGGAACATAAAAACTTTCAGCAACTTACATCTGATGGTATCTCCAGCCTGTCCCAGGTCCAGTGCCTTTGGCAGATAAACCACCTCAGTTTTCAGCCTCCTGCTCGTCTACTTTGCAAACGATTGACCGTCAAGCCCGGGTTTGAGCCTGACTCACTCCAGAACTCTGGTTTATGGCTGTACACTTGCTTAGATACTTACACTGGCCCCCACCGCCTTTGATCGAAGCAATTGCTGCTGAAAAATAAAGCCTTTCTGTGGCTCTAGACCTGCCTCTTAGTTAAGCAGTTTTTTGTTTGTTTGTTTTTTGAGATAGGATCTCGCTCTGTCATCCAGGCTGAAGTGCACTGGTGCAGTCATAGCCCACTGCAGCCTCAACCTCCTGGGCTCAAGCATTCCTCCTGCCTTAGCCTCTCAAATAGCTGGGACCACAGGTGTGCAACACCACGCTGGGCTCATTTTTTATTTTTGGCAGAGATGGGGTCTCACTATGTTGCTCAGGCTGGTCTTGAACTCCTGGGCTCAAGCAATCCTCCTGCCTTGGTCTTCCAAAGTGTTCAGATTACAGGTATGAGCCACTGTGCCTGGCTCGTTGGTTAAGCAATTTTTATGGGAATGATGTAATCGTCAGCACTTAGCATTGACTAGATTTATTATGCGCAATCTGCGAAGTGTCTCACACACACTATTTTCATTTAAACCTCATGCGGACCTGTGGGGTAGGTACTGTTACTATCAGCTCCGTTTCATAGGGCTGGGAAGACAGAGAGGGGGTCATCACTTGCCCAAGGTCATTCAGCTAAAACCTGGACCCACACAACTGCAGAGTCTGTGCTTGCTCCTCTCTGCCATACTGCCTGCTGCCTCAGGATCCCCGTCCCCGACTCCCAGGTACTTCCGGAACCTGTGCTCAGATGACACCCCCATGGTGCGGCGGGCCGCAGCCTCCAAGCTGGGGGAGTTTGCCAAGGTGCTGGAGCTGGACAACGTCAAGAGTGAGATCATCCCCATGTTCTCCAACCTGGCCTCTGACGAGCAGGTGAGTTTTGCTTCCTGGCCCTCTGCTCTCCCGTCCTTCTGGTGGTTCCTGCCCATGAAAGAGAATCCCAGAGCTCAGCAAGGCCTCTGCTGCCCTCCCACTGTTCCTCTCCTCTCCCTAGGACTCGGTGCGGCTGCTGGCGGTGGAGGCGTGCGTGAACATCGCCCAGCTTCTGCCCCAGGAGGATCTGGAGGCCCTGGTGATGCCCACTCTGCGCCAGGCCGCTGAAGACAAGTCCTGGCGCGTCCGCTACATGGTGGCTGACAAGTTCACAGAGGTAGATGAGCGACCGTTGACATTGTCCCACTGGTGGGGACACTGACACTCTCAGAAGGGAAGCATATAGGAGCTGAGGTTTCCATTAGGCCGATGGAACCATTGGGCGTTTGAGCAATAAGATCTCTATGATCATCTAACTGCGTCTCGCTTCGTGTGCCAATCCTGGTTGATTGACATGGCATCTTAAAGTGCTGCCTTGAGAAAGATTCTGAGGCAAAGTTAAGGCTACGTGGAGGAAAGTGCCACAGGAGCAGAGAAGGGTAGCACATGTGGGGTGTTCCTGACATAATCAAGCTGTCCTTTCACAAAGGGGAAGACAGCCCAAAAAGGTGGGGTTTTTTGGTGTTTTTTTTTTTTTTTTTTTTTTTTTTTTTTAAGATGGAGTCTGTCGCCCAGGCTAGAGTCTTGTTACCCAGCTGGAGTGTGGTGGCGCAATCTTGGCTCACTGCAGCCTGTCCCTCCCGGGTGCAGGCATTTCTCCTGCCTCAGCCTCCTGAGGGACTGGGATTACAGATGCCCACCACGACACCCGGCTAGTTTTTGTATTTTTATTAGAGACGGGGTTTCACCATGTTGTTAGCCAGGCTAGTCTCGAACTCCTGACCTCAAGCGATCCGCCTGCCTTCATCTCCCAAAGTGCTGGGATTACAGGTGTTAGCCACCGCGCCCAGCCCCGGAAAGTTTAATTAACTGATCAGAGTGACACTACCAGCCAGGCAGAAAGGGGACAAGACTCCAGGTCTGTGACTCTCAGGACAGTGCTCCTTCCACAGGGATCCAGATTGCCTCATCCCACAAACATGTTTGCTGAGCACCAGCTATTTGCTGGGCCAGTGAATTCGGATCATTCCTGGCCTTCATGGAGCTAGGCAGTCTGAAGGGGAAGACTGACTTAGGGGAAATTTGATTATAAAGTGTCACAGGTGTGGGACAGACAGACAGATGTGGGGCCTTGGAAGCATTGAGGAGGGGAGGTGGTGTTACAGCTGGTTCTAGAAGATGAGTGGGTAAGAGCTAAGATAGGAACTTTGTTCCAGCCAGAGGACAAAGAACCCTGGGAGGTGAGAGCAAGTGCAAGCAGGAACATTCAGGCCTGATCTTGATGGCCCAGCCTGAGAGAAAGCAGGAGAGAGGGCAGGGTGGGATCGGAGAGAGGGCAGGGTGGGATCAGAGAGGCCTTGAGTGCCACTCCACCCTGAGGCGCCCTTTGCCTTTAATTATGCTGGTTCCCACTGGCATTTGCGGGAAGGACTCAGAGCTTCAGAATAGCGTACCATCACCACAGTTAGGGAAGGTTCTTCCCATCCTTGTCTCCTGAGCTGCATAAACTGTGTCACACTGGGTCTTAGAATAAAAATTCCATGAGGGCAGGAATTTTAGGCTGTTAAACCAGTTCTTGGCACATAGTAGACATTCAGTAAATATTTGCAAGATGAATAAAAGGCAGTATTTTCCCAAGATATCATGAGGTCCTTCAAGATTTTTACTTGTTCATTCCCGTCTTCATAATGAACTGTCCTGCTTCCTACCAGGTCTTCAGGAACCAGCTTTGCAGCAGGAGCCGTGCGTCTTTCCATGCCTGGTGCCATGAAACAGGCAGGGCCAAGCGTGCCTCCCTTTTTTTTTTTTTTTAAGACAGAGTCTCAGTCTTTTGCCCAGGCTGGAGTACGGTGGCACAAGCTCAGCTGACTGCAACCTCCACCTCCCAGACTCAAGTGATTCTCGTGCCTTAGCCTCCTGAGTAGCTGGAATTACAGGTGTGCACCACCACACCCAGCTAATTTTGTATTTTTAGTAGAGATGGGGTTTCACCATGTTGGCCAGGCTGGTCTCGAATTCCTGGCCTCAAGTGATCCACCCACCTCTGTCTCCCAAAGCGCTGGGATTACAGGTGTAAGCCACTACGCCCAGCCCTAGAGTGCCTTCCTTTCTGTCAATCTTTATTGTTTTATTTTTATTTTGAGACAGGGTCTCACACCATCACCCAGGCTGGAGTGCAGTGGCACAGTCACGGCTCACTGCAGCCTTGACCTCCTGGGCTCAGGTGATCCTCCCACTTCAGCCTTCTGAGTAGCTAGGACGATAGGTGCCTGCCCCCACACCCGGCTAATTGTTTTGTTTTTTTTGTAGAGTCAGGGTTTCACTGTGTTGCCCGGGCTGGTCTTGTTCTCTGGGACTCAAGCGATCTGTCCACCTCAGCTTCCCAAAGTGCTGGGATTATAGGCATGAGCCATCGCACTTGGCCTATTGTTTTATTTTCATTACAAAAGTAATTCGTGCTTCTGGTAACAGATCTTTAAGAAATACAGCCATATATAAATCAAAAAGTTGCAGTCACTATATCATTTGAATGTTTTTGAATCAGGTAACAGAAAACTTAACCTCAGTAGCCTGAATAATATGGAAATGTGTTATTTTTAATGCTGACAACACCGTGAGGTAGGTGCCCTCGCAGTCCTCATTTTTCTTTGGAAGCAAAAGAGGCTCAGCGAGGTGAAGAGCCTTGCCCCGGGGCCAGTCTTGGCACTCGAATTAGATTTTAGCACTGCTTCCAAGGCCCACGCTCTGTCCCCTAATTCTGGTGCCTTCACTTTGATTTTGGCTTCCTTAGCCCAGAGTAAACTGCCAGCCCCTCTCACTCTCCCCCTCCTCCTTCCTGTCTGCAGCTCCAGAAAGCAGTGGGGCCTGAGATCACCAAGACAGACCTGGTCCCTGCCTTCCAGAACCTGATGAAAGACTGTGAGGCCGAGGTGAGGGCCGCAGCCTCCCACAAGGTCAAAGGTTGGTGCTGGCAGCCGGAACACAGCAAGTGGGGTGGGTATCCAAGGGGCTGGAGGTGGAACTAGCACATCAGGTCTCACTTCCCTTTGCCTCCCTCTCCCTGCCCACAGAGTTCTGTGAAAACCTCTCAGCTGACTGTCGGGAGAATGTGATCATGTCCCAGATCTTGCCCTGCATCAAGGTAACAGAGAGTTTGATGGGAGGAACCAAGTGGATCCGAGCCTGCCAAAAAGAGGGGCTGGAGACAAGGCTTTGGGGATAGTCAGCTGCAAACTAGGTTCCCAGCCCTCTGGGACCAGGCAGCTCTTGGGTTTCAAGCAGTTAGGGGTCCTGACTGCAGCTTGAGGCTGACCTTAAAGGTGGAAGTACTTTCTAGAACCTCAGATGTCACTGAGTCCTGTCATTCACAGGGTTTTGGGGTTGGAGTGGGGGCTGCTGAGAGCAGGGGTCATTGAACTCTTAAGTAGGTGGTACTCATAAGGAATAGTGATTTCCCCTGTACCCTAAGCCATCCCCTGCTCTATGAATGAGAGGGGCAGAAGCAGGTTATTGTCTCTTAGGAGTTGGCATCTGCTTAGCCACTTGCTGCTGCAGGGGTTGCACTGACCCCTGTGCCTGCCTCTTCTCTCTCCCAGGAGCTGGTGTCCGATGCCAACCAACATGTCAAGTCTGCCCTGGCCTCAGTCATCATGGGTCTCTCTCCCATCTTGGGCAAAGACAACACCATCGAGCACCTCTTGCCCCTCTTCCTGGCTCAGCTGAAGGATGAGGTAAGGGCACCAGGATCTCAGCTCTGGGTTTGTGGAGGGGACAGGCGGGTCTTCCTAGATTGCTAGGGTTTACCTAGATTGACCAGGAATCTGCTGATATCTCAACAGACATCCAGATCTTTGCTGAGTTGCATGTTTGTGGGCATAGCTGTGTGTTCATGCGTTCATTCCTCCAGGCACTCTTCATGAGGCCTTTCCTGGACATGGAGGATATGAAAAATAGAAATTTAAAGTTTTTATTTATGGCCAGGCGCGGTGGCTCACGCCTGTAATCCCAGCACTTTGGGAGGCTGAGGCGGGTGGATCACCTGAGGTCAGGAGTTCGAGACCAGCCTGGCCAACATGATGAAACCTCGTGTCTGCTAAAAATGCAAAAATTAGCCAGGCATGGTGGCGAGTGCCTGTAATCTCAGCTACTCGGGCAGCTAAGGCAGGAGTATCACTTGAACTCAGGAGGCAGAGGTTGCAATGAGCCAAGATTGCACCACTGCACTCCAGCCTGGACAACAGAGCAAGACTCTGTCTCAAAAAAAAAATTATTTATTTATGTTTTGAGATAGGGTCTTGCTCTATTGCCCACACTGCAGTGCAGTGATGTGATCATGGTCTACTGCAGCCTCCACCTTCCAGGCTCAAGTGATCCTCCCACCTTAGCCTCCCAAGTAGCTGGGACTACAGGCAAGAGCCACCACATCTAGATAATTTTAAAAAACATTTTCCATAGAGACAAGATATTATGTTGCCCAGGTTGGTCTTGAACTCCTGATCTCAAGCAGTCCTTTTGCCTTGGCCTCCAAAGGCCTGGGATTATAGGCGTGAGCCGCTGCCCCCAGCCTAGAATAAGAGTTTTGATCCCCAAAAGCCTTCAGAGACTGGCAGTGGAGAGAGACAGGCAGTCCCATGATGCCATTAAGGTGTTACAGGTGCTGTTAAGGATGAGTTCATGTTTTTTAGGGTTTAGGCTAAGGTGCTCTAATATAGACCCCAGAATACATTCTGGCTTAAATTCGGTGGTGGATTTTTTTTCTCTCTCTCATAACAGTCTAGGACGAGATTCCTCACATGTGCTTGCACCCCATACACCCATTGGCCAGGAGGGTCACGTGACCACACCCAGCAGTTCAGGTTGCCTGTATTACAAAGGATGAGAGGCGGTGCTGGGTGATGACTGGAGAGATCATCAGGGTGACCACTGGGGAAGGAGTTTGGACTTGACTGTGGGCAAGCGGAAGAGCCAGAATAGAGTTGGTGTTAGAAGGCACCCTGAGGCTTATGTGAAGGAAGGATTGAAGTGAGGTGGCCAGCAGCAGTGTAGGCAGACCAAACCGGAGGCTGTGGGAGTCTGGAAGGCTGAGGCTAGACTAAGTGGTATGTAGAGATGAGGCTGCATTGATACGGAAGGATTCAAGATTGTTCAGGAGGCAGAAGGGACCACGTGGTGGTTTTTGCCTTGGTGGTGAAAAACTGGGCAGATGGTGCAATTGTGTGCTGGTGTGTGACATCTTTCCCAAAAGATGGGAAGTGTGTGAGGCTTCCCAAAAGCCTCAGTCTTTCTTCCCCATCCCCTTCTTTCTTTTTTATACACAGGCGCCCACACAGTCTGCTAGAAAGTTGGAGGAAATACTGTAACAGAAAGTACTGCATCACATTTCAGTCCTCCATGCCCCTAAAAGTTACGTTATTCAATTCTGTTACAGTGGAGTAATCTCTTAGCCCCAGAATTACAGTGAATTTTTTAATACATTGAAAAGAGTGCGCTATTTTTAATATTTTTTTGTTCTTTTTGTTTTTCCCTATTAGTGGGTGATTAACTGTACTGGTTTTAATCAGTTAATTACGTCAGTTGCTAAAAGTCTGAATCTTCATTAGTGTTCATGACAAATTTTATGACTTAAGTAATTTATCTGAGTTATGCTTCACATGCACATAGTTTTTATAATTTTATAGATATTAATACAATTTATATTTGTTTTTGATGCTTTAATGGGCATAATTTGGCAGGTGAGAGCCCCTCAAGTTGTCTGCTATGTCATTTCACACCTCTCCAGCGTTTTGGGGATCATTTTGCCTCTGGCATGAGGGAAGGATCCAGGCTCAGCCCAGTTTGAAGGCAAGCCCATACGTGCTGCAAGTGCGCTAGGACTGGAGCATTTTTTGCTCCAGTTTCACCTTCAGCAAGCGCTATATGGTAATCGTGTGCTGGCAGCCAGCCTGTCTCAGGGCAGCTTCTCTTAGAAGAAAAGAACCAGCATGGTTTTCTTGGTGTGAGGAATTCATCTGACTTATATTTGAGATTTCCATTTTAGATTTATAAACTTTATATTTTACATTTTGACTCTCACCAGAATTTATAAACTTGTCTAAATGAAAAAGGCTACCTTTTTACTGGTGCACCAAAAATAAGTCTTTTTAAATGGGTGAGGTATAGTCTCTGAGCCTTCTCTTCTCATGCACATGTTCAGCAGCTTGAGGCTCACACAGCAAGGGCTGGAGCTGGGCAAGGGCCAGTCCTATCCTCGGAATGTGCAGGGTTTCAACAGCCCAAGCCTGCCAGGCTTGTTCACTTGGTTATTGATTCATTTCAGTGCTCCTTTATTTATTTATTTTTTTAGACTAAAATAGTTTTAATAAGGAAATAGTTTTCTTCCTTCCCTTCTCCCATGTTGTGGATTGATACCCAGAAAGGAACCCTTGTTAGCAAGCAGCGGAGCTAGGATTAGAAGAATCATGTCTGCCTGTTTTTTCCAGGGTGCTGTATTTTCCTACTGTGATTCTTAAAGTCTTTTCAAAATGGATAAACATTTCTTGTGATACTATTGTAAGGTTTAAAAATCTGCTTAAGTTAGTGATCCATGCTGCTTGCTTTTTGTGTGCCGTTAATGTGTTCCCAGAACGGGGAGCTGGGCTTGGACAGGAGTAGTCCCTCGGGAGATGTCCATAAAAGTTGATGCAGCTGAGCTCTTTCCATCCTGTCCTGGGTTGCTGTGTGCATTGCATTCTCTCAGAATCCTTCTTTCCTCTCCTCAGTGCCCTGAGGTACGGCTGAACATCATCTCTAACCTGGACTGTGTGAACGAGGTGATTGGCATCCGGCAGCTGTCCCAGTCCCTGCTCCCTGCCATTGTGGAGCTGGCTGAGGACGCCAAGTGGCGGGTGCGGCTGGCCATCATTGAGTACATGCCCCTCCTGGCTGGACAGCTGGTGAGTGAGGAGGCCTGGGGGCCAGGCAGTGCTGCCTCAGGGGAGGTGCAGTATGTCCAGGGCTGTGATGGGGAAACGGGGCTTTGAAGGCTTAGTGGAGGCTGTGACAACTGCCTGGGGAGTCGAAGGAAGGGACCCAGGAAATAGGGCCTTAAAAGATGCATTGGATTCAATAAGAGAGAGGAGGGAAAGGAGCACCTCAGACAAAGTTGAGAAGTGTCCGGTCTTTCTAGGGTGGGTGTAGGTTCCATGGGATGTGGCTAGCAGCTCCCCCTGTTTGCTCTCCTGGAACGCTTACCTTGGAACCCTTGGTTTCTCCTGTAGGGAGTGGAGTTCTTTGATGAGAAACTTAACTCCTTGTGCATGGCCTGGCTTGTGGATCATGGTGAGTACCTTCACAGGAGCAGCAAGAGGAGATGGGAGCTCCAGAAAGGCAGGATGGATTGGCTGGGGCTGTGGCGGGCAGTGGAGGAGGCTAGAGTCACTCCCCACGCCGCTGGATGCTCGTATGGACCAGCTCGCATGCTTGTTAGAGTCCTAGAGAAGTGTTGAGTGGGAGGAGGACGAAACAGATCACCCAGGGGTTGCCTGGTATAGTGGAGAGCCAGAGGGCCACTGAGCAGCCAGACCAGGGTTTTGAATCCTGCCCTTGGGGCTGTCAGATCTAAAACAAGTCACCTGCTGTCTTTGAATGAGCCCCACACTCATTCTTTGAAACTTCTTATTCTGGTGCCTTGGGGCCATTATGAGAATGGCTCATTGTTTACACTAAGAGAGGTAAAAAATAAAAGGTAATATTTATCTCTGTGAAGCCCTGTTTGAAGTAATAAGTGCCACATAATTTAGGCAAATCACTTCTTAGAGCCTTAGTTTGCCCATCTGTAAAATGAAGCCAGTAGTGGAACCTACCTCTTGGAGTGGTTGAAAAGATACTGTATAAAAAAAAACAGTTACTAGATATAGCACATAGTAAGTCCTTTTTTCTCTCTTTGGCTCACATGCAGCCTGGCACCTAGGGGCTGCTTTGTAAGCCATGGTGAGTGTGACCTACATTTTGCCCACATCAGTTCTTCACCTCCAAATCCCTGTCTCTCTCACCCTCACCCTTCTGCAGTATATGCCATCCGCGAGGCAGCCACCAGCAACCTGAAGAAGCTAGTGGAAAAGTTTGGGAAGGAGTGGGCCCATGCCACAATCATCCCCAAG
This sequence comes from Homo sapiens, assembly GCF_000001405.40. Taxonomy (NCBI): domain Eukaryota; kingdom Metazoa; phylum Chordata; class Mammalia; order Primates; family Hominidae; genus Homo; species Homo sapiens. Next base: position 52,221,071 of record NC_000019.10, read on the forward strand.
GTCTTGGCCATGTCCGGAGACCCCAACTACCTGCACCGCATGACTACGCTCTTCTGCATCAATGTGAGCCTTCCACCTGCCTGCTGGCCCATCCCTAGGGAACTGGAGCGCGTGGGAGAGGAGGGATGCTAGAGGGTTCCCCAAGGGAGACACCTGGCTTGGGAATGGAGACATGGAGTGCATCTTCTATCCAGAGATGAGTCCTTGGGGAACTGCAGGCAAGGGGGTGGGGCTCCCAGGGTCAGGGTCATAGGGCCTCTGGGACTGGGGACTTGGATGGTGAGGGACCCAGGGCCTGGGAGACTTGACCTGTTGGAGCAGCGATCTCAAGCTTTATGAGCACCCCTCTCCTTCCCTGAGAAATGTGTGTCTCTATCTGTGGTGCGTTGGGTGAGTGTATGGGCTCTAGGTCAGACCTAGTTTTAAATTCTGGTACTGCCATATATTAGCTATGGACCTTGGATAGTTACCTAACCGATGCTTTGGTCTTCTCATTTGTAAATAATTCATACTGTAAAGAATTCATACTGGTAATCACAGCCTGGTGAGCGTGAAGATTAATCAGGTTATACACGCACAGGGCTTAGAACAGTTATGCTACAGGTAGGAAGTGCTCCTGTCTATTTGCTTTTCCTACGATTATAATTATCTCATGTACTACTTATTTATGTGTAAACCATACACAGGGCTAGAAAGGAAGGGATTTAAAAATAAATATAACTAAGTGTTCTGATCATTTCTTCCCACGCCACTCTCTGGAGAGCATTGCTTTAAGGAGGGATCCTAGGGCTTGGTAATTAAGGTCGATCTCCAGAATAATTAAGGGAAGCCTGAGGACAGAGAAACTGGGACATGGTGTTAGGATGGTGTTAGTGGAGTTGGGAGATTCACTCCACTAACTGAGTCACCCGTATTGCTCAGCCTCTGTGGGGCCTGATGATCACCAGAGTGGCCTGGTCAGAGGCAGCAGGAAATGAGAGTTAGCCAGGAGCTTTGCATACTCACCCCTGCCACTCACTGGCCCCCAGGTGCTGTCTGAGGTCTGTGGGCAGGACATCACCACCAAGCACATGCTACCCACGGTTCTGCGCATGGCTGGGGACCCGGTTGCCAATGTCCGCTTCAATGTGGCCAAGTCTCTGCAGAAGATAGGGCCCATCCTGGACAACAGGTGAGGTCTGGATACTCCCCCACACACTGGCAGGGGCTTCTTGTGGGCACCTTAATCTTTGACCTTTGAAGGTAGAGCCCAGGGTCAGAGGCCTGGCAGCGCTCCTTGCTTGCTGTGTGACCTTGGCTCCCTTCCCTTCTCAAGGTGTGTTTTCTCAACTGTAAAATGAACATCACAGCATGAAATAGAAAGAGGGGGTGATGGGTTGGCAGTCCTGTATACTAGCAACAAGTCATTAGAAAATGAAATCACCTTATGTTTTATATGTAAGTATGTGTATAATTTATAATTGCACCAAAAATATCAAATAGCCAGGAATAAATTCAATGAAAGATGTGTATGTAACACCTCTAATGTAAACTGTAAAACACTAATGTGAGAAATTAAAGCAGACCTGACCAAGGTGGGCGGATCAGTTGAGGTCAGGAGTTCACGACCAGCCTGGCCAACATGGCGAAACCCCGTCTCTAGTAAAAATACAAAAAATTAGCCGGTGCGGTAGCACTCACCTGTAATCCTAGCTATTTGGGAGGCTGAAGGCAAGAGAATTGCTTGAATCCAGGAGGTGGAGGTTGCAGTGAGCTGAGATCATGCCACTGCACTCCAGCCTGGGCGATAGAGCGAGACTGTCTCAAAAAAAATTAAAGCAGACCTACATAATATTCACGGATGGGACAGTTCCCTGAACTCATCTTTAGATTCAGTATAAGCCCAATAATCTTAACAGGTTCTTTAGTGGAAAATTGACACTTCTAATGAACAAAGTTGTCTGATTTACACTACCAGAGACGAAGACTTATGACACCACAATAATTAAAATAGATGTGAACACAAGCATATTTAAATCGCCCAATAGAATGGAATCAAGGGTACAGAAACAGTCCCACATGTGTTTAACAGTAGGCATCTCTGCAGTTCAGTGGAGAAATGTATGTTTTTTAAAAAACATAGCTGAGTCAATTTGATATCCATTTAGGAATAAAAGAAGGCTCGCCTCAATGCATAAACAAATTAATTTGAGATGACAGACCAGAACCAGAAAGATTTTAAAAATAAAGGACCTAGAAGAAAATGTAGGAAAATATCTTCTTGAGTTAGCGTAGGCACAGATTTGTTAAACAGCAAACCAGAGGAAGTGATGGGTAAGTTGACCTTCTGTAAAATGTAACGCTGTTTCTCAAAAGACAGCATTTTGAGAGTAAAATGCAAGCCACTGACTGGAGGAAGATGTTTTAATATATGTTTCTGAGAAAGGACTCATCCACAATACCTGTCTACAAATCAGGCAAGACAAGAAAGAGATGGGGAAAAAGACTTGAATAGGCACTTGAAAAAGGATCTCCAAATAGCCAGTAAGCATATGACAAGGGTGTTCAGCATCATTAGCCTTCAGGAAAATGCAAATTAAATCTCAGTGACATATGACTACACGCCTCCCAGAACAGCCAACATTAAAAAAGACTCAGTGGTGCAAATGGTGAAGACATAGAAGAGCTGGAACTCTCATCCATTGCACGTGGGGCTGTACATTTAGGGTTTGATCACTCTGAAAACGGGAGTGGATCTGGAGTGGAATTTGGTGAAGCTTGTTATACAAACAGCCTGTGAAACAGCCCTTCCACTCCTGGGTCTCTATCCAGGAGAAATGAGTGCTGTTTCTGTCAGAAGAATGTTCATGGTAGCTTTATTCATAGTAGCCGTAAAAATGGAAACAACCTCCATGTCTGTCCACAGTAGAGTAGATAAATTTTAGTTCATTCAAACAGTGGAAAACTATTCAGCAGTGACGAAACAAATGCCTGCTATAAGCAGCAACAGGTGACTCTCACAGATACCATGTTGAGTGAGGAGCCAAAATCAAGAAAACACACCATTTATGTCAAGTTCAGAAACAGGCAGAATGAAGGAATCGAGATGATGGAAGTAAGAATAGTGGTTATTTGGGGAGAACAGGGAACTGTCAACTGAAAGTGTGGGACCCACAACTGCAGATTTCTCTTTCTGTCTGTTCCAGGACACAACCTCAGCTTTAGTTTCTCTCCGAAGTCCCCCTCCGTTTTCCAAAACAATTGACTCTTGGTGCAGGCGGATTTCCCTGGGCCCCATAGATGAGAGTGGATGCCTCCTCTGGGCTCCTGGAGGACCAGGAACTTCCCCTTGGGGCCACTTACCACTCCCCTCTTACGTACCAGTTTGGTCTCTTCCTCCTGGCCCGGGTGCCTCATGGCAGAAATCAAGAGTGATTTAGCTCTGTATTCACTCCTAATACATTGTAGGCCTCAGTGAATATGTGTGAAATCAATGAAAGATACCCATTTGCTGGGCCTCAGAGACTTGGGGGTTCTGAGATTCTGTTCCACTTTCCCAGCCTGCTCTGATCTCCCTGTTTGGGGCCCCAGTCCTTGTTTATCATACTTCTGACCTTTAAGTAATTGGTTGGTTGGTTGGTTTTTTGCAGTTTGTTTGGTTTTCCTTTGAGGCAGAATCTCGCTCTGTCGCCCAGACTGGAGTACAGTGGTGCGATCTCGGCTCACTGCAACCTCTGCCTCCTGGGTTCAGGCAGTTCTTGTGCCTCAGCCTTTCAAGTAGCTGGGATTACAAGTGTGCACCACCATGCTTGGCTAATTTTTGTACTTTGAGTAGAGATGGGGGTTTTCCCATGTTGTCCAGGCTGGTCTTGAACTCCTGGCCTCAAGTGGTCTGCCCACCTTGGCGTCCCAAAGTGCTAGGATTACAGGCTTGAGCCCCCGTGCTCGGCCTTGAGTTTACCTTTTTTTTTTTTTTTTTTTTTTTGAGACGGAGTTTCGCTCTTGTTGCCCAGGCTGGAGTGCAATGATGCAATCTTGGCTCACCACAACCTCCGCCTCCCAGGTTCCAGCAATTCTCCTGCCTCAGCCTCCCAAGTAGCTGGGATCACAGGCGTGCACCACCACGCCCTGCTAATTTTGTGTTTTTAGTAGGGACAGGGTTTCTCCATGTTGGTTTGGCCAGGCTGGTCTCAAACTCCCAACCTCAGATGATCCACCCACCTTGGCCTCCCAAAATGCTGGGATTACAGATGTGAGCCACCACGTCCGGCCTGATTTTACTTTTAATTGACTCATAATTTTATATATTTATGGGGGTATAGTAGTGTTTCAATAATGTGTGCAAATGTGTAATGATCAAATTAGGATAATTAGCATATCTATCACCTTAAATGTTTACTGTTTCTTTGTGATGAGAACATTCAAAATCTTCTCTTATAGCTGTTTTGAAATATGCAAAATGTTATTATTAACTATGGTCACCCGCCTGTGCAGTGATCAGAGATTTCTAATTCCTGTGTGTGCCCTGGATTCTTGAGACTCCTCCCACCTTGGGTTTGGTGTATCCGTGTCTGTGTACACTCTCTTGCCCAAGAGCCCTGTGCCCACCTGTTGCCCCAGTCCATCCTGGCTCACCCTCTCTCTCCCTGTCTCCTTTCGCTTTCCAGCACCTTGCAGAGTGAAGTCAAGCCCATCCTAGAGAAGCTGACCCAGGACCAGGATGTGGACGTCAAATACTTTGCCCAGGAGGCTCTGACTGGTAAGACCTAGAAAGCACGGAGCCCTAGCAGGAGGGTGGACTTTGAGGACAGGCACTGGGCCTGTGGGCAGCAGCTTCTGGGAGGGGGAGGTACCTTGGCATTGTGGGCAGAGAGAGGGCTCTGGTTCTGATTCTTGCCTGTTCCTGTTTTCCTAGTTCTGTCTCTCGCCTGATGCTGGAAGAGGAGCAAACACTGGCCTCTGGTGTCCACCCTCCAACCCCCACAAGTCCCTCTTTGGGGAGACACTGGGGGGCCTTTGGCTGTCACTCCCTGTGCATGGTCTGACCCCAGGCCCCTTCCCCCAGCACGGTTCCTCCTCTCCCCAGCCTGGGAAGATGTCTCACTGTCCACCTCCCAACGGGCTAGGGGAGCACGGGGTTGGACAGGACAGTGACCTTGGGAGGAAGGGGCTACTCCGCCCACGTCAGGGAGAGATGTGAGCATCCCGGGTCACTGGATCCTGCTGCTGTAATGGGAACCCCTCCCCCATTTACTTCTCCACCTCCCGTCCTCCCCATCATTGGTTTTTTTTTGTGTGTCAACTGTGCCGTTTTTATTTTATTCCTTTTATTTTCCCCCTTTTCACAGAGAAATAAAGGTCTAGAAGTAGTTGGTCCTCTGGCCTTAGTCATCAGCTTGGAGGAGGGGGCACCACCCCAGAGCCACAACATCTGCGCTTTTCTCTGGAGAAGATCTTGTTACAGGACCCATTATACCCCTATGTCCCGAAAGAATACTCTGGGGATCCCCCCAGGAGTGCTGCTGGCCTTTGGGGTAGAGGGTCCATGAGGTGCTCTGGGTGGTGTCCTGTAGTGCAGTTCAGATTCATAGATGTCGGCCGAGTATTTGGGGGGTTAAGAGCAGGTGCCTTGGAACCAGACTGCCTGGGTCCAAATTGTGGCTCCTTCAGTTAATAGACGTGTGACTAGGAGTAGCTTGTTAAGTCTTTATGAGCTCAGTTTTGTATTGTGTAAAATGAGAGTTACAGTAATACCTAGATTGCAGGGTGGGTGGCGAGGACCAAGTGAATTAGTACCTGGAAAGTGTGTAACAGTTTCAACATGAGAAGTACACAACATGAGAAGCAGAGTTAGCTGTACATTGCCAGAGAACCCCCTGTGGGCCATTTCCTGTGTTCTTGAAGAAGACTTGGGCTTGGACCCTGTCCCCAGGAGGTCTCAGAGTAATCAGGACGGTACTAGGGAGAGAACTGTGGCAAGATAGATCAGTTATCTCGGTATCTATTCTCCCCTTCCTAATGTAGAAGCTCTGATTTTTAACTGGGCAGATGACTACATGGATTCAAGGTATTTTCCTAGTGTCTCTTGAAATTAGGTGTGGTATTGTGACCAAATTCTAGCCAAAAAGATGTTGAACAGAAGTGGTATATGCAGCTTCTAGGAAGTGTTCTTAAGGGGGAAGGCGTCATCCCCCACCTTTCCTCCTTCCTGCACTCTGGAATGTGGACCAGATGGCTGGAGTAGGAGCTGCCACCTGGGGCCAGAAAATGATCTTAGGCGTGAAGGTCAAGTAAGGCAGGACAAGAGAGAAGGAGCCTGCCTCCCCGAGGCTGTGAAGAGCCATGCCAGTACTGTCACCTGGGAGAATTAAACTGGTCAAGTGCCTGTTCGTTTAGGGTTTCATCACTTGAAGGTGACCGGAATTCTAACTGATGGAGGGAGGGGCCCAGAGCACCCTGGAGAAAGGAGCAAGGGACGTATGGCTGGTGGTGTCTGCATGGAAGGGTTTCACAGAGGAAATGATGCTTGAGCACATTTTGACCCAGGTGGTGGAAGGGAAATGTGGCTTTGAGTGACAAGGTGATTTCACCAGCTCAGCCTTCATATTACCACATCCCTACCCTTTGTTAGACTTTATTGTGCCCTAGGGGATGAGGCTGAAGGAGACCAAAAAGCATCTTTAGAAATTTCCATTTATGCCCTGGGCGATAAACTCTCTCCCAGTTGAGAACTACTGCTCTAGAAATGTGAACACACGTGTAACCAAACGTCAAAGTCTGACATTAAACTTTGACTTTCCCCATGGTTAACGCTGCTGGTCCATTGTAACAAGAGTGCAGTGGACCAGCAGCCTTTGCATTCTCAGGAGCTTGTTAGAAATGCAGAGCCTCTCGTCCCTGCCCCGACCTGCTCAGGCAGAGCCTTCATTTTAACAAGATGCCCAGGTTCATCTGCACACTGAAGTTAGAGAAGTCCTGCCTTAAATACTAACCCAGTTTTTCTCTCTTGAGAGTGAGGTTAATGCTACGTGGGTCTAGGGCTGAGGATGTGCTATGGCTCAGAGGTGGGGTCTACAATTGGACATGTGTATGTAGACAAGGCTCAGGGATATGTTGAGGCTGCTAGATTGGGCAAGTGATGGAATGGGATTATTACAGGAGGTGGAGGTGCGATGGATACCCAGGATGTGCTGGGTAATGAGGTGATACTCAGCGACCACAGGAGTGAGTATGAGAGACGAGGGTGAAGGATAGCTTGAGTTATTGAACGCTGGCAGAGTCCTGAGTTAACCAGGAGTTGCCTGGTGTCTTGGGTCATGTGCTCTAGAAGCAGAGCCCGAGTGGAGACTCGTTCAAGTGTGTTACTGAGGGAGTGCTCTCAGGAGAACGGACTGAGGTAACTCACCTTCTGTGAGCTTCATGTTGGAAGAATCCAATCAGGTGATGAATGTGATGTTATTAAGTCCATTGTTAGGAGTGGTTCCTAATCTCCCAGGCTGCAGGCTTTGTTTGCTCCATACACCTGGCCTTCTCTGTAGCAGCTGAAGTTTGATGCTGGAGCTGGGTCAGGGTGGAGAGACTGTGTGGAGCCAGGACTCATGACCCTGGCCTGTTTCTCCCGCTCTCTAGGCCTAAATCCCAGCAGTCACACTGGCCATCTCTAATGGTTCCTTCCACAGCACTGTTCTTCAGAGCCCACACACAAATTTTGTCTCCTTTTGTGATGACTGCACTTCTTTGGCTGTTTTTGCCAACAGCCTCTTCACTGACCCCTTCCTTCCACTGCATTGACCCAGACATCTGGATGTGGATGAGGTCGAGTCACTTGTTGCCTTTGGCTAATGCATAGGGGCACGAGTAGAGCTCTAGAATCACCATGCCCTTGACTCAGGGTGCAGAATCTGCCTATGGTGCTTGAGCTGTGGTTGTCGCTAGAGGAGAATTACCATGGCTCCCCCGGGCAGATGAAGATGACGAGGTGGTGCCTCAGCCCCGAGGAGTGAACTGCAGGGCACCGACAAGATTCTGCCTGTGGCCATCAGGGCTGGAGGGAAGGAGGCCAGGTTCATCTACCCAAGCTGGTGGCATGAGGCATAAATTTAAAAAAATTGGTGTGGGCACAGTGGCTCGCACCTGTAATCCCAGCGCTTTGGGAGGCCGAGGTGGGCGGATCACCTGAGGCCGGGAGTTCGAGACCATCCTGACCAATTCAGTGAAACCCTGTCTTTACTAAAAATATGAAAAAATTAGCTGGGCGTGGTGGAGGGCGCCTGTAATCCCAGCTACTCAGGAGGCTGAGGCGGGAGGATTGCTTGAACCTGGGAGGCAGAGGTTGCAGTGAGCCTAGATTGGGCCATTGCACTCCAGCCAGGGTGACAGAGCAAGACCCCATATGAAAAAAAATAATAATTCAGGAACTTGTCAAAAAGAGAAAATCCAATAAAGATTTAGTGCCAGGCCTTGACTCCAGCAGGCCTTCCCCGCTCTCTCGATGTCTTGCCATACAGAGCTGCAAGGTGGTGGGGGGTTACAGGCTTTGTAGGGCTGGATTTTTCCCAGTCGGCCTCCAGGAAGGGTAAGAGACTAGTAGCTCGAAGTTTGGGTTGGCTGATTGGGTCCTTCCCAGACTTCGGAGGAGGGAAGGGAAACCTGAGGCCCCAACTCTTCATGGGGAATCACTGCTCTCTGTCCCCAAGAGCACATGCCTTTCCTGACAGAAGCTGAGTAGCGGGAATCTGCTTCCACCCACCCCTTAGCTTGGGCTTAGGCTCAGTCCCCACCCTGCTGTTCCTGTACCCTGTGCATATTCTAGAGCAGTAGGGAGAATGGGCCTTCCCTGATGCTGAAAATAAGAATGAGGGGCTAGAACTCCAATCTCACTCTCTAGGCAAATGGCAGATGTTTATTATTCATGAATACTGTTGAGTTAATTCAGGTCTGTGTTCCTTTGCTGTTACTCCTCTTTTTTCGTATATTTTGTACAGATACTAAGCTTTTATTTTATTTTATTTTTTGAGACGGAGTTTTGCTCTTGTTGCCCAGGCTGGAGTGCACTGGCACTCCACCTCCCAGGTTCAAGCGATTCTCCTGCCTCAGCCTCACAAGTAGCTGGGATTACAGGCATGCGCCACCACGCCCGCCTAATTTTCTATTTTTAGTAGAGACGGGGTTTCTCCGTGTTGGTCATGCTGGTCTCAAACTCCCGACCTCAGATCATCCGCCCGCCTCAGCCTCCCAAAATGCTGGGATTACAGGGGTGAGCCACCGCACCCAGCCATTTTTGTTTACTTTTTGAGATGGAGTCTCGCTCTGTTGCCCAGGCTGGAGGGCAGTGGTGCAATCTCCACTCACTGTAACCTCCACCTCCTGGGTTGAAGCGATTCTCCTGCCTCAGCCTCCTGAGTAGCTGTTACTCTTAACATGGATAAAAATACTTTAAAAATTTTTCTTTTTTGGGAAACTAAAAGATATGCGATTCTCAATTGATTATTCAGTCTGTGGCCTTCTACTGAAGGAGCATACAGAATCTCACCTCCAGGAGCATGGAGCTCTCTTGGATAGGATCCTGCTTTCTGAGGCCAGAGCTTACTCTCCTATGTGATCAGAGGCTTTCACAGCATCCGCAGTGGTCTCCAGATCAGCCCTATCATGGAGGCTTGGTCCAGAGATCTTCATATGAAAAGGGAAATAATAAGTGTCTGGGAGACACTTCTGCAGGGATCCTGCCCTGTCTCAATAATCTCCCCCATGGCCACAGAAATACCCTGGGATTTTCCCAGGAGCTAGCCGACACACACAGATAGATTATGAACTTCAGATAGAAGCCCCAGCCTAGCCCTCACTCTGATACCTGTCATCCCCAAACTGCTCTGAAGTGCTTATGTGCTGGTATCTCCCAAGAGTCTGCATGTCAGTGTGTCTGTGCTAGTGTAATTTATTTAGAAAAGTGCAAAGGCAAAGGGCAGGATCAACAGGCAAAGGGCAGGATCCTGGAGGCTGGATCTAGGGTCCTCTTACCTGATTTATGTCACTGATTTTCCCAAATATTGATAAAAATGAATTGATCTCTAGGTGGCAGAGAAACAGGAGGAACCCTAGACTACATAGTAAGTAGAAAATAATGCTGCATGTCATTTAGATTGAGCTCAGCCCTGAGTCATGAAGTCTTCAGAACAAAGGAATAGTTCTCCCTTATCTGATGCTCACTGTGGCCTTGGGCAGCCTGGCATCGAGAATTCTCAGCATGTTCACTCTTGAGTTCTGTGCCTGCATCACACAGCAATGGAACAGTCCCAAAAGATTCTTAAGGGTGGGGAAAGGCACTAAGAAAAGATGAACCTGCAGTCCCTGTTATACCATCTGGTCTAATTGATACTACTGTTGTCAAGCAAAAGGAGCTCTCTCCCTGAGGCACTGGAAGCCAATATTTTGACACCAGGTTTTTGAGAAAGAAAAGTTTTTTATTGTAAGTTGACTCACAAGATGAGTCAAGCTCAAATCTGTCTCCCTGTGCTGGTTTTAAGGCAGTAATTTAATTATAAAACGTTTAGGAGGTGGATTCTGGGGTTCTCAGGTGATAGGTAGAAGGAAAGGAGAGGTCTGGAAAGTCTTCAGGCATGCACAGTTCTCTTCATGTCTCCTCATGCATCATGCGCACATTTAGTGGGAGTTTGAAACATGGTGAGGAAATTCAGGCTGTGACATCAGCATGCTTGGTCTGTGCAAACTCCATTTGGCCATATTGGTTTCAACCAATTTTGGCCAGTTTTGTAGAGGGAGTTTGAGCATTTCAGAAAGTTATTTCTTATCTGCTGTTCTGTAAATTCATAATCTTTGTTAGTTACTGGTTTATTTAACTCTTTGGGCATGGGTTCACTACCACCTGTGCTGACCCCACTTGATCTTTTGGGCCTCCTTACTTCCCACCTTCATTCTCTCATCATACTTTATATACACTAATAACTCCCCTGCTATTCTGTATGTAACCCAAATATCAGCTGTACTGCCTCATCTCTTAGATATCTATGTATACTCTGACCTAATCAAAACCAGAAATTGTGGAGTGTGAAATGAGAAAAGCAATAGAGAGGTAACAACAGTATTGAACAAGAAGAAGGAAGAATTTGTGAACTTGAAGATAAGTTATTTGAAAATACATGCTCAGAGGAGAAGAAAGAAAAAAGAATATAAAAAAATAAAGTCATCAGGATGTACAGGACAGCATCAAAAGAGCCAAGTTCACATTACAGGATTTCAAGAAAGAAAGGAGAAAGAAGGCTATAGAAAGCTTATTTAAAGAAATAGTAGCCAAAAATGTCTATACCTGGGAAAAGAGATAAATGTCTAGGTGTAGGAAGCTTAAAGGTCTCCAATTAGTTTTAATTCAAATAAAACTTCAGCAAGACGTGTTGTAATAAACTGTCAAAAATCAAAGACAAAAGCACAGGGGTTTTTGTTTTTTGTTGTTTTGAGCCAGAGTCTTGCTCTGTTACCCAGACTGGAGTGCAGTGGCACCATCTTGGCTCATTGCAACCTTTGCCTCCTGGGTTCAAGCGAGTCTCGTGCCTCAGGCTCCCAAGTAGCTGGGACTACAGGTGTGCACCACCGCACCTGGCCAATTTTTATATTTTTTAGTAGAGACAGGGTTTCACCATGTTGGCCAGGCTGGTCTTGAACTCCTAGCCTCAAGTGATCTGCCTGCCTTGGCCTCCCAAAGTGCTGGGATTACAGGCATGAGCCACCGCACTCGGCCCAAAGACAGAGTTTTAAAGGCACAAAAGAAGAGAGACTCATCATTTACAATGGAACTCTATAAAGCTATCAGCAGACTTCTCAGTAAAAACTCTTAGAGGCCAGGAGGACAGTAGGTTGATATTATTACATTACAGCAGAAAAAAACCCTGGAAGCTAAGAATAATTTACTTAGCAATCTGTCCTTTACAAATGAAGGACGTTGTATAAGGACTTTCCCATACAAACAAAAGCTAAGCAAGTATATCACTTCTAGGCCTGTCTTACGAAAACGATAAAGGGAGTTTTTTTTTAATATGAAAAAAAGGACATTAAGTAGTAACGTGGAAACGTGAAAGGATAGAACTCTCTGATAAAAGTAAATGCAGAATCAAATTTCAGGATACTCTAACACTGTAATGGAAGTATGATAATCACTTATATATTGAGTATAAAGTCTAAAAGGCAAAACTGTTAAACATAATAGGCATATTAACTTGTTTAGGGATATACAATATAAAAGAAGTCTAACATCAAAAATATAAAATGTGGGTGGAAGAATAAAAGTGTAGTGTTTTCTATGTGATAGAAGTTAACTTTATCAGGTTAAAATAGCCATTTATAAGTAAAATATGTTATATGCAAGACTCATGCTAATCATGAAGCAAAAAACCTATAGTAAGTATTCAAAAGATAAAAAGCAAGAAACCTAAACATACCAGTTCATAAATGCATCTAATAACAAAGACAGCAAGTGAGTAGGAAGAAACAAAGAATCTAGAAAACAATGAGGAAATAATAAAATGAAGAGTAAGGTTTTTTTTGTTTTTTTTTTTTGATACAGAGTTTCACTCTGTCACCCAGGCTGGAGTGCAGTGGTGCAATCTCAGCTCACTGTAACCTCCACTTCCCCAGTTCAAGCAATTCTGCCTCAGCCTCCTGAGTAGCTGGGACTACAGGTGCCTGCCACCACACCCAGCTAATTTTTTTGTATTTTTAGTAGAGACGGTGTTTCACCATATTGGCCAGGCTGGTCTCGAACTCCTGACCTTGTGATCTGCCTGCCTTGGCCTCCCAAAGTGATGAGATTACAGGCATGAGCCACTGCGCCCCGCCAGGAGTAAGTTCTTAACTATCAATAATTACCTTGAATGAGGCCAGGCGCTGTGGCTCAAGCCTGTAATCTGAGCACTTTGGGAGGCCAAGGCGGGTGGATCACCTGAGGTCAGGAGTTCGAGATGAGCCTGGCCAACATGGTGAGACCCTGTCTCTACTAAAAATAAAAAAAATTAGCTGGGCATGGTGGCGGGCACTTGTAATCCCAGCTACTTGGGAGGGTGAGGCAGCATAATCGCTTGAACCCAGGAGGCGGAGGTTGCAAGAGCAAAACTCCATCAAATAAATAAATACCTTGAATGTAAATGGATTAAGTTATTTAAAGACACAGAATATCATAATAATTTTTTAAAAGACCCAAGTATATGCTGTGAGAAGAGACTAACTTAACCATTAAGAACACAGAAAGTGAAGAACTAGAAAAAGATATTCTATGCAAATAGAAACCAAAACAGAGTAGAGGTTGAATAAACATTAAGGAAAAACTATAATAGTACAAAAATTGTCATTATACAATGATAAAGAGGTGAATTCATCCAGAGGATATAAGAATTGTAAATGTAGATATGTGCACCATCAGAGAACCTTAATATATAAAGCAAATATTAATCTGAAGGGAGAGACAGATTGCAATACAATACTAGTAGGGAGCTTAAATATCTTACTTTCCATAGTGGACAGATCATTCAGACAGAAAATCAATAAGGAATCGTTGGATGCAAACTGCACTTTAGACCAAATGTACCCTAACAGACATACACAGAACATTCCATGAAACAGTAGTAGAGTATCATTCTTCTCAGGCATATGGAACATTCTCCGGACAGATCATATAGATAAGACAAAGCAAATCTTATCAAATTTAATTGAAATTATATCAAGTATTAGTTCCTACTACAATGGGACAAAATTAGAAATCAATAACGGGGAATTTCAAGATGGAGGGATATGGGAAAATTAAACCACATGCTCCCAAACAATGGGTCAAAAAAGAAATCACAAGAGAGATTTTAAAGTATCTTGAGACAAACAGAAATAGAAACACAACATACTAAATCTTGTGGAAAGCAGCAAGAGCAGTTCTAAGGGGGAAGATCAGAGCAATAAATGCCTACAACAACAACAAAGGTCTCTGAAACCTAACATTACACCCTAAGGAACTAGAAAAAGACAAGCAAACTAAACTCAAAGTCAGTAAAAAGAAGGAAGTAATAAAGATCCAGTGTAATCAGAAAAAAATGAGAGAGCAGAAAAACACAATTGAGAAGATCCTTGAAACTAAGTTTGCTTTTCTGAAAAGATAAATCACAAACCTTTAGCCAAACAAACCAAGAAAAAAGAAGAGTCAATCAGACATGGAAGATGAGACATTACACTTAATACCACAGAAATACAAAAGGTCATAAGACAACATTATCCACAACTATATGCCCACAAGTTAGACAATCTAAAAGAAGTAGAGAAATTCCTAGAAAGATAAAACCTGCTAAGACTGAATCATGAGGAAATAGAAAGTATCTTTCATTAATGCAGAATTGAGGAAAACAAATTAGGCCAGGTGCCAGTGGCTCACCCCTGTAATCCCACCACCTTGGGAGGCTGAGGCAGGCAGATCACTTGAGGTGAGGAGTTTTGAGACCAACCTGGCCAACATGGCGAAACCGTGTCTTTACTAAAAATACAAAAATTAGCTGGGTGTGGTGGTGCATGCTTGTAATCCCAGCTACTTGAGAGGCTGAGGCACAAGAATCACTTTAACCGGGGAGGTGGAGGTTGCAGTGAGCCTAGATCGCACCACTGTACTTCAGCTTGGGCAACAGAGGGAGACTTTTATCTCAAATAAATAAAATTAAGAAAAACGAAAACGAATTAAAAATCTGAACTGACCAAGAATGAGAAACGAGATTCAATCAGTAATAAAACACTTGCATCAAAGTAAAGCCCAGGACATGATGTGTTCTTTGCAGCATTCTACCAAACATTAAGAAAAGAGTAATGCCAATCATTCTCAAATTCCTTCAAAATATTTAAGAGTAGAAAACATTTCCATTCTCTTTTTTGAGGCCAGCATTACCCTGATGCCAAAGCTACACACAAGGATAATACAAGAAAAAGCTACAGGTCAACATTCCCTATGAACTTAGATACAAAAATCCTCAACAGAATACTAGCAAAAAAAAAAAAAAAAAATTGGCCTGCACGGTGGCTTCATGCCTGTAATCCCAGCATTTTGGGAGGCTGAAGTGGGTGGATTACCTGAAGTCAGGAGTTCGAGACCAGCCTGGCCAACATGGTGAAACCGTGTCTCTACTAAAAATACAAAAATTAGCTGGGCATGGTGGCAGGTGCCTGTATTCCCAGCTACTCAGGAGGCTGAGGCAGGAGAATCACTTGAACCCAGGAGGTGAAGCCTGGGTGGCAGAGTGAGACTCCATCTCAAAAAAAAAAAAAAAAGCAACACATTAAAGGATTATTTACCATAATGAAGTGGTAGGTTATCCCTGGATGAAGGATGGGTCAACCTATGCAAATCGGTGAATGTGATGCACCACATACAAAGAATGAAAACATAATCCATATGAGCATCTCAACAGATTCACTGAATGCATTGGACAAAATTCAACATTCTTCCATGATAAAAACTCTCATCAAATTAGGTATAGAAGGAATGTACCTCAGCACAACAAACGCCACATATGACCAACCCACAGCTAATACTATGCCCAAAGATGAACAGTTGAAAGCCTTGCCTCTATGATCAGGAACAAGACAAGGAAGCACACTCTCACCACTTATATTTAACATAGTGGTGAACGTTCTTGCCAGAGCAATCAGGCAAGAAAAAGTAATATAAAGCATTCAAATAAAAAAGAAAAGTGAAATTATGCTTGTTTAGTAATGATCTTATACACAGAAAACTCAAGACTAAACAAAAATACTGTTAGAAATAATGTGATAATAAATGAACTTTAAAAAGTTTGAAGATAAGAAATTGGTGAGCAAAATTAGTTGCATTTTTATATACTAACAATTAACTCTCTGCAAAAGAAATCAAAACAATCTTTTTTCAATAACCAGCAAAACAATAAAATACATAGAAGTGATTTTGTCTGAAGAGGTGAATAACCTGTAAACAGAAAATTATAAAATGTTGATAAAACACTGAAGAATATACAAAAAAAATGAAAAGATATGTCGTGGTTGGGAATTGGAAGCATTAATAGTGTTAAAATGTCCGTACTAACCAAAGCAATCTGCAGATTCAGTGCAACCCCTATCAAAATTCTAATGGCATTATTCACAGTAATAGAAAAAACAATCTTGAAATTCATATGAAACCCAAAACCCCCCAAATTTTCCAAAGTAATCTTGGGTAAAGGAAACAAAGCTGGAGGTATAACACTACCTGATTTCAACATCTACTATGAAGCTATACTAATCAAAACATATGACACTGGCATGAAAACAGACAGATGGACCAATGGGATGGAATAGAGAGCTCAGCAATAAGCCCATGCATTCATGGTCAGCTGACTTCAACAATAGTGCCAAGAACACATGATGTGGAAGGATGCATTTGGATATCTACATAGAAAAACAATAAAATTGGGGTTTTCTAATCCGATTTTTATTCAAATATTGCCTCAAAATGCGTTAACAACTTAAACATAAGGTCTGAAACTATAAAACTACTAGAATAATTCATAGGAGAAGAGCTACATCATATTTGTCCAAGCAATGATTTTTGGATATGACCCCAAAAGCACAGTCAATGAAAGCAAAAATAGACAATTGGGATTATATCCAAAACTTCTGTACAGCAAAAAGTTGGGGTGCTGGTGGTGAAGAAATTTTGATTAATTAGTACAACGATATGGTTAGAATGAATAAGCTCTACTGTTAGCACAGTAGAGATTATTGTTAACAATAATTTATTGTACATTTCAAAATAGCTAAGAGACGATCTAAAATGTTCTCAACGCAAAGAAATGATAAGCATTTAATGTGATGGGTATCCTAAATTCCCTGATTAGTTCATTTTTTGCTTCAGTAAATGGGATCTTGCTCTGCCACCCAGTGGCGATCATGGCTCACTGCAGCCTTGAACTCGGCTCAAGGGATTTTTTCCACCTCAGCCTCCTGAAGTGCTCAGATTACAGGCATAAGCCACTTTGCTCAGCCAAAAGGGGCCAAAGGGTGGATCACTGAAAGGTGTTATGTGAAAAATTTTGTGCTGCTACCCAAATCTAAATGTTGAAGTGCCCCGAATCTCCAGTACCTTAGAATGTGTTTTGAGATAGAACCCTTTAAGGGCGATTAAATTAAAATGAGGGTGTTAGAGTGGGGTCCAATCAATCTGACTGATGTTCTTATAGAAAGGGAAAATATGGACACAGAGAGAGACACCAGAGTGTCGTGCACATAAAGACTTTGAGGACACTTCATAATGGCGACCATCTGCATGCCAAGGAGAAAACAGCAAGCCTGCCTTCACCTCAATCTTGAACTTCCAGTCTCCACAACACTAAGAAAATTAATATCTGTTGTTTGTGCTACCTAGTCAATGGCATTTTGTTATGGCAGCCTGAGCAGATTAACACACAAGGCAAGAATCTGCCTTTTCTTTCTTTCTTTCTTTCTTTTTTTTTTTTTTTGAGACAGACTCTCGCTGTGTCACCCAGGCTGGAGTACAGTGGCACAATCTCGGCTCACTGCAACCTCTGCCTCCTGGGTTCAAGTGATTGTCCTGCGTCAGCCTCCCGAGTAGCTGGGATTACAGGCACCCGCCACCACACCTGGCTATTTGTATTTTTAATAGAGACAGGGCTTTGCCATGTTGCTGAGGCTGGTCTCGAACCCCTGACCTCAAGTGATCCACCTGCCTCAGCCTCCTGAAGTCCTGGGATTACAGGTGTGAGCCAATGCACCCAGCAGAATCTCCCATTTCAATGCTGACACCTCTATGAGTTTCTAATAATCTCTCCTCATGAGTTCCAGGTTGCCAGTCTCTGAGGATGTCAGTTCTTACAGCTTGAGCCTCTCAGAAAGGAGAGGTTTCACAGGGAGGTATAAAGAAAGCAGAATCTGGGCGTACATCTCCCATTATTATTGTTTGCCCATTTTCAGGAATTAAAGGATAACAAAGTCACCAAGGGGTCTTCTCCATTAGAGGGAAACTGCTGAGATGTAGTGTGAAGAGTACTGATTGGTTTTAGACGCAGAACTTCCTGTTGCTGTCTTTGGACAAATCGTTAACTTTTCTAAGTCTGAATCCTCCAGTGATATAGCAGTTGCCAGCATTCCTCGCAGGGATATTGTGAGTCTCACAGGGCATTCTGCACGTGAAAGGAGGTGGTAAATATAAATCACTGCACATGTGTGAGGCTTCATATTATAGTCATAGATGTTTTGGATCTTGCTTCCTGATTTCTGATGCTCACAGAATCTAAAATTACAGGATTTAACCAAAGAGGGCATTTTTCTCAACCTTCTGTAAAATCCCTTTGTTCTTAATTTTCACCACATCAGAAGCAGACTTCTATCTTCTAGCTCTGACATTATTCAGTGCATGGGTCTTAATTTAGAAAAGTAACTGAGTGATGACACAGAGAGGCCAATGGGATTTTTAAAGGAAAGGCAGGGCAGAGCAGGGTGCACAGTTCAGGATTGGCCAGATTGAGGCATTCCTGAGGGCCTTGGGGAAAGGGGCTGTTCCTAGTTGTCTGGTACCTGGCTTTGTGTTGACTTAGGAGAGCAGAATATTGGCTTGGTGTGTGAGAGTTTGACATGGAGAGGGTTGGGGCATGGGCTCTGGGTGGGTAAATTTTAATAGGAAAGGCTGGCTCCAGGAAACCCACTTCTACATCTAAGAATGTGCTAGCCCCAAGATGGGCAGTCTCTACCCAGTCAGGGAAGACACAGTCACAGCACCAAAGAACACAGAAAATAAGGAAATATAATAAATATAATTGGCCCTGTGATGGACAGGTGCCAAACAGACAAATACAGAATCTAAAGAAATGGAATTAAAACAGAGTTTGTCACAAAAAGAAAGAGAAATCCTGGGGATTTTTTTTCAAAACAACTTCACTTCTAGTCTTTTTTTTTTTTTTTTTTTAGATGAAGTCTTGCTCTTGTTCCCCAGGCTGGAGTGCAATGGTGTGATCTCGGTTCACTGCAACCTCCGCCTCCCGGGTTCAAGCGATTCTCCTGCCTCAGCCTCCCGATTACAGGTGCCTGCCACCATGCCCAGCTAATTTTTGTATTTTTAGGAGAGACGGGGTTTCACCACTTTGGCCAGGCTGGTCTTGAACTCCTGACCTCAGGTGATCTGCCCGCCTCGGCCTCCCAAAGTGCTGGGATTACAGGCGTGAGCCACCACACCCAGCCCACTTCTATTTTTTAAATTTCTATTTCTAAACTAGTCTTTGCAATTTCAGTCTCCAGTGAAGTCTCGGGTTGACATTACAGGAAGAGGGGGAGAACCTATAGGGAAGAGAAGGGTCTCAGAGGTGGCTATTTGGATGTAGGACTCATAACTGCCTCTGTTCAAGGTAGGAGAAAATGCTGTAGTGGGTTTCTTCCTCTATTGACTCTCCTCTATCTTAGCAGTGCTTGTGGAAACCCTAGTTTCTTCCTTGGGATTCAGCCAATGAATGTCTTACTAGCTTGAGTTTCAGCGACTCTAGAGTTCATGTAGAAAGCTCTAATACTACATGAATTTAGATATTGTCTGAGGATAAAACTGATTTGCCTTTTTTGCAGGGCAATTTTCAGTTATTCTTTTGTTCCTGGGTTGAAGAAACTGATGCATATGTGTCTTGGAGTTTAACTTTTTTTTTTTTTTGAGACAGAGTCTCACTCTGTTGCCGGGCACAGTGGCTCACCCTGTAATCCCAGCACTTTGGGAGGCTGAGGCAGGCGGATCACGAGGTCAGGAGTTCAAGACCAGCTTGGCCAACATAGTGAAAACCCGTCT